>NC_000015.10:52651874-53276874 GCF_000001405.40 Homo sapiens
CTGTGAAGCCCTTTGTTTCCACTGAAAACCATACTGGAATCCTTGTATAAAGGAAGTTGCCTTCTGGCTATCAATAGCTATACTATCAGTAACTGAGGGATCCAGATGTCTGCAGCGGTTAAAACAAATGTTCAGCGTTGGGTGCTGATCCCGCTTCCCTCCGTGTAAGGTTTTTCACAAAGGCAGCAGAGTAAGAGCGCACATAGCAACAGCACTCACAGCTGATTGGACAGAGGGTGTGCTCAACCTCCCCTGCTCGCTAGGTCCACTACAGCTTCCTGTCTACTTGGCAGCACTGTCATGTTTTCTTTGCTCGTCTTACAAACTCAGCTGTGTTTAGGCAACTTGAAAGGAAAGAACAGTAGACTGATAATGGCAAAGTATTCTAGCGTTTGCCCCTGAAATGTGTTTCTTCAGTTGCTTTTAAAACAGAGAAATTCGTAAGACAAAAATTTATTTCAGTTAGTGATGCACATAAACTGAAGACAAAGAAGGGTTGTGGAAGGAATCAGTTACTTCACATCTAAATTAAATCAGGTTCTACCAAGTGAAACCCTCTGAAAATGTATAAATACAAAAATTTACAACAATCAGAATAAAGCATTGTCAACCTTCATATACCTGGAACTTTATATAAAGTATTTTACAACAAACTTCACAAATTCCTAGAAAAGCACAACCTGTTACATATTTAAAATGGGATAGGTCCTGAAATGGTCTCTCCTCAAATGCATGCAGTACCTTTTAAGAGGACTAAAGAAACAGGTTACCAGACTGACTAGAAAAAGATTCAGAAAGGAAAAATTATCAGTTACTTAGTAATCTCTGACAATACAAGATTTAACTAGGTATTTGTGGTAAAATGTCTCTGGATACATAGAACAATGACGTTTAGCTTAAATTCATTTACTTTTTGCTATCATAAAATTACCCAGAGATATAGAAGTATAGACTTTTTTTCAGGTTTCAAGTACTGGGCTTCAGTTTACCAGTTCATACTGTCTCCACAAACTTTAACAGCAAAAATCCCTCCCCAGCTTACAAAGCTGTTTGGGAGAATCAATGAAGGTAGTAGGGGATGAACAGATGTGATGAATTATAAAAATTTCTCATTTTAGAAATATTTCCCCTGAACGTCGCATCAACTAGGATGGTGGTTCAAACGTTTAAAGCAATGGAACTCTTTATTTGCATTCTTCCTATAAAATGCATTATCAGTGGTGGCTCTAGGATTTCCATACAGGAAAGGTTTGTGGGAGTAGGCTGAGGCCGCAGCAGAAGCATGCCGTTTATTACTCAGATCTTTGTTTATCTTGAGTGTCTTGGGGTTAGGGAGTGGAGTCTGATGGAAGTGTTGGAGTTACTAAAGTGCCCCATGAGCACTATGAGGCTATTTTTAAGTGAGAAGCCACAAATAGCATGCAATTTCATATCAGACCCAGAATCCACAAGATTTCTACCCCTGAAGAAGCTTCTAGGATTCCTGGAGTTCTATAGTACAGAAGAAATACAACCCGGAAGAGGCTTATTGCTTTAAAGAAATCTCATTAAAGAATCTGATCACCGGTTCCATACTTAGCCAGAGGGAGAGCTGCTAAGCCCCCTGAGAAATAACAAGACGTGCTTGGAAACACAATAAGCCTGAGGTAGGTGACTCAGAGAAAGAATGGCATGGTAGAGACAGTAAGGAATTTGGAGGTAGGCCAAGCTGTGTTCAAAACATGAATCTGCCATTTACTAACAGCGAGACCACATATAAGATTATTATACCATTATGAGCTTCAGTTTCCTCATCTGTACAACTTCCTAATCCAAGACTAGTCACAGGCCCACTGTACTTTTTCGTTAACACTTACTGCACAGAATGTAGAAAGACTGTTTACAAAATGACTGGTTTAATGACAGTCTCCTCCAACACACTGTAAGTGCTTAAAACGTAGGTACTATGTCTACTTAATTGTTTACCTAGCACCATGCCCCATTTATATTTTTATACAATATTTGATTTGATTTCACAATCATGGGAGGTGACTAGTGCAAGTAGAACATCTTATTTGACCATCTTCATTGTTTAAATAAGGAAGTTAGATCTAAAATTTACAAGTCACAACTAGAAGTTAAAGGAAATCAAATTTAAAAATTTTTTGGATTAATAAATTTATATTTCAAAATTAACCTTTTCCTATCTCCTATAATATATAATCCCAGGGTTGTTTTGGAATAGTTCCTTTCAGTTATAATCCTTAAACTTTAAAATTAAAGGGTAGTGATATATCTATAATATAAATCTATTGATGTCATATAAAAAGAGAATTTACAGAAAAAACATTAAATGTATTTAGTCACAACATGTAATTATAAATGATAAAAGACACTCCAAATAGATGTGCCACCTTAAAAACTTAAATCCAACTGAGACAGAATTTTATTTAGTGAAATGCTCCCCTCTATGCTGCTAGTTTTCCAATAAATTTCAGAACAGCACTTCATACATTTTTGAAAAAAGTTTGCTTTTCCCCAGTTTGCTCATCTTGGTACACAAAACTAAATAATGAGTATGCTATAAAATGATGGCGCATTATCTACTTTGTAAATCTCAAGACTACAAACTAAGAATCTGAATAACATGAAATTATACACAAGTGTTAGTCCCAGATTCTCAGTTCTCAATCCCCAATCACAACAAACCTCCTTCCCCTGCTCCTCCGGAACACACTTAGCATGGTCGTTAAGTATGTTCTCTAAATGGACAGTTCAGGAAACATACCATGCTCCTGTAGGGAAACAAATAGGATAGTAGATCTTTTACAAAAGTTTTAAAAACAAAACTATGTTTTCCAAATATAAAATGGGAAAATTTCAAATAACTATTTCAGATCATCTATGTTTTCTGTTAGCAGAAATAATTGAGATCTACCGATAGTAAGATACTTTAAGAGATAACATGCTATCTTTGAGACTTTCTAAACAAAAAAAGTATTGCAGATAGAAAAAAAGAACCCCTCAAAGGTAATGTTCAAATGGCTACTACACATATACGCATATTAAATAATTACTAAATATATGTATCATATATATATATTAAATAGCCACTACCTACTGGCCCATGGGCCAGGCATGATGCTAATCTCTTTACGTACTCTTCTCTGATCCTCAGGTAGTTGTTATCCCCACAGATTAAAACTGGCTTGTTACTTGCCCAAGTAACTAGAACCAAGTGGGTAAAGCCAGGATTCAAACATAATGTCTTCCTAAATCTAATATATGTGCCCTTAACCACTAGTATCCTTTCCCTAACAATTTCTTACATATGTTACTTACTATTTGCCGTAAGGCAAATATGGCATTACACAAAAATAAAGTTTAAATACAGAAATCTCATATAAGCATTTCCCATGTATTAGTCATTCAATAACCACAACGACAGCCTCATTATACCTCAAAATTACCATTAATACACTGCTTGTAACATGGAAAAATAGGATTTGACTGCAAACAGATAGCTGTTTTGTAGCTGTAGTGTGATCACAAAGACAACGATAAAAGGTTCAATCTGTAAAACTTCACTACTTCATGATCACAGATCACCTAATCCAGAGAAAGTGAAAGGAGGTCGAAAAGGACACTGAACTAGGGACCATCGATGTGGGTTCTGGCCCAAATCCTAGCTCTGATCAGCTTTTTGATCTTAAGCACTTCTTTGAAATTCCTCATTCTTTGTCTGCAATGTTGGTATGTTGTAAGGATAAAATAGGACAGGATAAAATTATTTTCAAAGTAGCAATGTGCTACACATATAGGATATTTCTATTCCTAATAGTCTTTGAGGGATAGGGGATAATGTTCAGATATGGTAGTGTAAACACGCTTGTACAAAATTCAACCTCATGATTGGAAAGACCCCTTAAAGCAGCAAGACATAAAGGAGGAAAGCCACAAATTCAAGCTCTTTCCACTTATAGGATGTGTTACCAAATTATTTAACCTGTCTGAATCTATTTCTTTATTTGAAAAGTGGGAATAATCATTTCTCTAAGTGCTACAAACCACCTAGGTCAGTACTCCGCTCTTAATTTGAAGTTTCCTCTTTCCCTTTGCAGACATCAGGTCTACATGATGTGACCATATGTCTGCATACATACACACACACACACACAAATAACAGCAATACATTAGCATACATTAGTTGTATACTGTATTAATAACAATGGGAATGAGACAACTCTTGATCAAAGAAAGATTTCTGTGAAGCTGATTTTTTTTTAAGTTTTTAAATAATGTCACATTGAACAACACATTTAACAGCTGAATAATTTGTAATGAAGACTAAGCAATAGTTAAAATATAACATTATTAACAGTTGTGGAAAATACAGAAATTTATCATATCATTAAACCAGTTTTTATTAAAAAACAAAATGTGATGTTAGGTCAGTTCAGGGATAAATTAAGCCATACATTATATTGACTTCCACTTACATGAGATTCCTAGCAATCATATTTGCTGCAATGATTACCCACTGACTTGCATTCATTATAACAAGGTACAAATAAACCAAATGGCCAAACAGCAACCAAAATATACTGTTTTAAGAGTTAAACACATTCTTAAAATTAAAATGCTAAAAAGTACCTAAGAGACTTAATTGGGACTCTCATATTTCAAAAGATTTTGGGTTATGATGACCTAGATTAGTTCCAGGAGCAGTAGCTTGTTTACCAAATCTAAGATCTTGGAAAGAAGAAAATGTTCTAGCCTGTTTTTGGCATCATTCATACTACATTGTTTAAAATGAGCTAGAATGGGGGTTATTTATAAGCTAAGCTACTGGACAAACACTTCATCTAATAATATCTTGTATACACATAAGTCAGATTTAATAAGAATCAAGATCAGGTATTAAGAATTCACTTTTAATATCCTATATACTTTGTCTTTGTAAATTAGTATCACCACTATTACATAAAATGTGTGCAGAGGTGCATACGGGTTTTTCTTTATCCATACTTCTTTTAAAGATATATTCTGGGATGTTGTTAATCTCCTGCTATTACAAAGAATGCTATGTTTGATTCAATCTGAAATTGAAAACCAATCACACATTTTTTATTATAATAAAATAACATTTTATGAAAAGTTTTTCCATGAAGACAATGGATCCCATATTTACTTGTCCCTTTGACAACTGCAACTTTGTGAAATAATATTTTGTAGATGAAGAAACTGAATCATAGAAATTAAGGTAGCCGTTGGGTTACCCTGTAAGAATCACCAACTCTAGGTTTAATTCCAAGTGCTGTTTTTTTTTCCACAATTACCTATCACTGATACATGTCATTACCTCTGCTAATAGAGACAAACAGTCATACAAATGACTGATTCTGCAGTTTAAATTCTGGAGAATGTTAACAGAAATCTGGTAGAGTGACACAGTTGTATGTGTATTTAGCCAATCTTGTGTAGGTGTAAGGAGACTCAATCATTAAGTCCCCAAAGCTTTAATACTGTTTGCTTTGCATTTAACATTTTTTAAAATTTGCTTATTTGAAACTATTTCACATTGGTTTGCTTCCAAGTGATATGACTAAACTCTTTTGGCTACCTCAAACTCTAGCATGTCTAAAACTGAATTAGTTTTCCTCTGAATAAGAGTCACCATTATTATCAGTGGCATCCTCCCAATTCCCTAAGCTAACAAACTTCGGAGAGAACATACTCATTGACTGTGTGTTTAGTAAGTGCCTGGCACAACCACTTCACTCAGATTATGTCATTCTAATAAAGTTATAAAATGGTGTAAAATACTATTACTATCCCAGTTTTAATCAATAAAATGGAAACTCAGAAAAGTCAGCAACTTTAGCTTACACAGAGAAGGTAACAAAATCAAATCTTGAACACTTTTAGTTCTAAGTGCTAAAACAATCTGTAGAATTAATGTGTGTAAAATTAATATAAAGAGTTGAGACTATAATTTTCTTTTTAAATAAAGTAGAAAAAAGAAAAAATCAGTCATCATTGCTTATAGCAAGATTGGTAAATAACTTGTTTTTGGGCAGGGGTCGATAGGGATGTTGTCATGGGGGAGCAATGTGAAATGTCTAATTGTGGATTGCAGTCAAAAAAATTGTAAAGTCACTGCTCCATCTGACACTGTCTCTCAATTACTACCATCCCCTCCACTGTCTCCAAATAGATATTGGTTTTTACCATATCATATTCAACAAACATGGACTTTGGAAGCACAATAGCTGAAATTAGGTAGAATTTTACTAAATAGAGTTGGAGAAAATAGTCGCTAGAGACGTACAGCCAAAATTCATATACATCACAGGCTGCCACCACTCAATTCTACTGGCCCTCTTTTACTAGAGGTGACACTACTTCTAAAGACACAGATGTTTAGAGATCCCTAAGGATTCACAATGTACAAATCCTATAACTACTGAATATAGCTTTCTGTGTAGAGGGAGATAATAGTTGTCTTTTTCCTTATATAAATGCTAGAGTCAACCTTTCTGTCAAGAGCTCTCCGTTTTCAATGCAATTTCAGTTTATAAAGTACTTATCATTTGAATACCTCAATAGTTTTCACCATTTTAGACCAGCAAGATTTTAACTACAGCACCTAAGAGAGGAAACATCAGTAAGACCTCATAAACTGAGTGCCTCAATTGAAGCTCGCACTTAATGGGAATAAATTTTCATTCTTCATTCACAAAAACAAAACAAACCATCAAACATGCATGCTCCCTTCCCATTCAAACTCAAAATATAGGAGACCACCACAAACAGAAAGGGATAGTGGAGGCCAGGCATGGTGGCTCATGCTTGTAATTCCAGACTTTAGGAGGCTGATACAGGAAGATTGCTTGAGGACATGAGTTTAAGACCAGGCTGAGCAACAGAGTGAGACCTCGTTTCTACAAAAAAAAAAAAAAAAAAAAAAAAAAAGTTAAAAATCAGCTGGGCATGGTGATGCACACCTGTAGTACCAGCTTCTCAGGGACTGAGGCAGAAGGATTGCTTGAGCCTAGGAACTGGAGGTTGCAGTGAGCCACGATTAAGCCACTGTACTCCAGCCTGGGCAACAGGGCAAGAACCTGTCTCAAAAAACAAAAAAAGAAAGGGATAGTAGAGTGTACAATTTCTGTAAGTTTGTACGGGCCATCTGATACTCTCTTACTCCTCTGGGCCAGCTCCCCTACCCCCAACCCCCAGCTCTTCTAAAACATCATAGGGTAACCTCAGCTTCTGATTCACCTGTTGCCCCAGGAAGAAAGGACTTTGTTTTTTGTTTCTTGTTTTTTTCAAACCACAAGTTTCTGAGGGCAGAGGCCATGTTAGTTCTTGCTCATCACAGTACTTCTAGCACATATGTGCCAGGCACATTGAAAGTGCTTGGTTATACTTGTTTCAGTGAACAAGAGAGGGAGAATGGTCCAGATGTCTAAGGTTTTACTATTTCTAACAGTTAAATTCTAAAATGTTGTCATATTTAACCAATATGACTATATAATCACAACTGTTTATTGCAGAAGGAAATATTCATAAGAATTCCTATCACTTTGAAAAAGAACATTTTGTCAAAATATGGGTGTTTGGTAGAAACATTTTAGAAATAGAGCATTTCTAAAACAAAATCCAAGTGTTTTGTACTAAATCAAAACAAGCATCCCATGTTGTCAATCCCTTGATTTCATACAAGGACCCATGTAAATTACAAAATATTAGATGCAATATCCTACAAAACACAGCTGGGGCAAATGAGCTATTTTAATCTATATTTAAGCTATCTAAGTACAGAATGAAATACCAGTTAATGAAAGACAAGACTTGAGTGCACTAGCAGAACAGTAAAATGACTATTAGGGTTATCATAAAATTCATTGCCCACTGAGGTGGGAGGTTTGCTTGAGGCCAGGAGTTCAAGACCATCTTGGCCAACATAGCAAGACCTGTCTCTAAAAAGAAAAAAATATATATTAAAAAAATAAAAAAGTAAAATTCATGATCCAAACAGTGGTAACACACTTAGAGTGAAAGGAGACCATTGTGAAATAGGATTGGACACAGGACAACAGGCATAAACCAGGATCATCCTATGTAGCATTTAACCCAGCCCATCAAAGTAGTTTGAACTTAATGGTACAGTTAGAGATATAAAACAGTTAAATATGTTAAATTTTTTAAGCGTGAATTTTGTATTTCATGAAACTCACTGATATAAGCCCAAAAATAAAATTATGATATCTTAGAACTTACATAGTAGTTGTTGAGCAAGCAACAGGCGCTTAATTTTTTATCAAGCATCTAATAAATACTAATTCTGTGCCAACCTGTGACAGGTATGAGGAAAACAGCTGGGAAGAAGTCAGATGTCATCACCACCCTTGAAGAACAATTATTCTAGTGAAGGAGACAGTATAATATGAAGAAATGAGGGAAGCACAAACTATCATATAGTACCTGGCCTTCTTTCAGTTCCTAAAGCATGCCAGACTCTTTCTAAATTCAGAACCTTTGCACATATACCTTTGGCCTGGGATGTTCTTTCCCCTTACACAGCTGGTGCCTTCTCATCCTCTGCTCATTTTCTCAGGGGCCTTACCTAACCAAAGAGGACTTCTCCTTGCTCTCACTTAGTCACTCTCTTAGCCTTCGTATATTTCCTTCAGCGCACTTGGAATGTGTTTATCTTACGCACTGAAGAAATGCTAATTTATTAACAATAACAACAGGCAAATTTATTGAGTATTTATTCAGAATCAAATACTATTTTCTTTTCTTTTTTGAGACAGAGTTTCGCTTTTTTTGCCTAGGCTGGAGTGCAATGGCTCGATGTTGGCTCACTGCAACATCCGCCTCCCGGGTTCAAGCAATTCTCCTGCCTCAGCCTCCTGAGGAGCTGGGATTACAAGCATGGGCCACCAATCCCAGCTAATTTTTTTATATTTTTAGTAGAGATGGGGTTTCTTCTTGTTGGTAAGGCTGGTCTCAAACTCCCAACCTCAGGTGATCCACCCGCCTTGGTCTCCCAAAGTACCGGGATTACAGGCGTGAGCCACTGTGCCTGGCCTAAATACTATTTTCTAAGCACCTTATATGGATTATCTCATTTCCTCATTACAGTAGCCCTTTAAGTAGGTATTATCACTAGCCTCATTTTTTACACATTGAAACTAAAGAAAAAAATTGTCCTCTATATTTCTAAATAATTAGTTTATACCATTTCCTGATTTAATTTGACAATTATCTCTAATTTCTTATTTCTTTATATCCATCTCTTTCTCAGCTTCCTAGTTTCAAGGATGAAATGTCTTATTTACTTTGAGTCTACTTATTACCATTCGACTTACTTCTAAGAGTATCTATGTATTACTTTGAGAACAATGTCAAAATATAATCACCTAGCCTGTTTCTTTCCAGTTTCCTGATAAAAGCCAGATGATCATTATTTCATTTCTGGTGCCAGAACCTAGAGGCAATTGTGCTCTGCTAGAGGCATGAAGTAATACAAAATACAGAAAATATTCCAGCAACTAGCAGGGAATTTGAGTTTTACTTTTTTAGTTGGACAGGTTGCTTTTCTCTGGGTCTTACATTTTCTCAACTGTAAAAATGAAAGAAACTCACACACTCTAAAGATCTTTCCAACTGTGGTTTCTAGTGACAGAGTGATTTTGTAATTTCAGAATAACAAAATTATTTTCACGCCCTCAGCTTTTTAAAGTGGATTTAATATGTACCACTGTGTAACCTGAATGTTGTTGTTTTGTTGTTGTTAGCAACTTAGAGTACCCTGGTAAATACCTCAATTCTGCACCATAAGCTACAACAAAAGGTACAGGCCATGGTTAGGCTACGACCTCCTGGACCACAGAAGTGTGCCTGCAGAACCAGCATTCAATCAACACAATAATTATTCAAAGGCATAGGTATGTTCTTTACTTCAATTTCTGAATAGTTAGTATGCCAACTTAAGAAGGACACACATGCTTAGATAAACAATATTTAAGAAAGGAGTTATGCCAGCAGAAATCTTACAAGCCAGGCCAAAAAAAAAAAAAAAAAAAAACAGCAAAAAAAAGGAGTAATGAATGATCAAATCTTAGACCCAGAAGGAACCTCCAAAATTATCGAATCTAATCTCTTAACAGATGAGGCAACTGGTAGTCAAAGAGGTTGGTGATTATTCACACAGATAGTGGCAAACCAAGACTAGGAAACTGAGATTGCTTCTTAGTGCTCTACCACAATATACTGAACAAACCTCACTCTTATGACCACCATTTTTTTTTAAAGCTTTAGTGTGAAAGTGTTTATCTGGTTGGAGAGAGAAGAAGATACATCTCTACTCTTAACACAGCTAGGAAAGCTTATTAGTATCATGGGGACTCCCTGCATTCTCAGACCTTACATGAAACTGAAGGGTATGAAAGCCTCTAATCCCATAGAATTCAAACTTCTGCCAGCAATTATCTGGAATGAAAAATGGAATCTCCAGTTTTACTCTGTATTTTTCTTCCATTTGTTTTAACACACAGCTATTTCAAAATAAATAGTGCAGCTTACTACTCTGACAAAAAGAGTATTATAAAACAACAGACATAGGGCCGGGCACGGTGGCTCAAGCCTGTAATCCCAGCACTTTGGGAGGCCAAGGAGGGCGGATCACAAGGTCAGGAGATCGAGACCATCCTGGCTAACACAGTGAAACCCCGTCTCTACTAAAAATACAAAAAATTAGCAGGGCACGGTGGCGGGTGCCTGTAGTCCCAGCTGCTCGGGAGGCTGAGGCAGGAGAATGGCGTGAACCCGGGAGGCGGAGCTTGCAGTGAGCTGAGATCGAGCCACTGCACTCCAGCCTGAGCGACAGAGCAAGACTCCGTCTCAAAAAAAAAAAAAAAAAAGACATAGTATTATTAGTATTGTGTACCATGTTAATATTCCCAAGAATTTTTGTAAAATAAAACACAAATCCTTCATATATTATAAACAAAGAATGGTGGCAAAGGGAAAAATAAATGGAGAAGAAAAAGAATTAGCTAACAGTAGATGCATGTTGGGTAATTTTTATAACAGCGGGCGATAATGTAATTTTGAGAGCTAAAAACTGATTTTAAGACTGTCTGATACTAGCAAATGAATGAGGCTCAAACTCCTTTTAGCTTAACATTTAAAACTCTAATCTCTCCCTATTCCAAAGCAACCCTTCCCATTCACATTAGTCTATCTGCCGACCGTTAAACAATGGAATCCTATCTTCACACCTTAACTCATTCCCTCTGATCAGAATGTCCTTCCTTCCATTCCCTTCCCTGCCCCAATCTCTAAATTTTTATCTATCCAAATCATAACAGTTTTTGAAGGATCAACTCAGCTGCTGTCTCTGCTAAGACAGTCCCAGACCTAAATTAACTTCTCCAGTGGAATTAATCATTCCCTATGACCTTTGATAGTAAACATTACTTTTACCATTCATTCAGTTCTCAAATGTCCTGCATTATACTTATCTTCTTTCTTGGATTATATTTTCTATAAGGCAGAGAATACAATACATATCTCAGAGGTCATACCACAGAATAGTTCATCAATAAATACTACTGAATGAAAAGAAAAAAATTTAGCCCAATGATCATGTGCACAAAACCATCACTTTTTTCAGATTACCTAATTGTTGCAAGATAAACTAAGAGTTGTACATATTGTTAAGATGACACATATTACATTAATTTAACTATTTAATCAAAACTGTTTTTTCTGAGACAAGGTTACACTCTGTTGCCCAGGCTAGAGTGCAATGGCTTTATCATAGCTCACTACAGCCTTAAATCCTCAGCTCAAGTGATCCTCCCATCTCAGCATCCCAAGAGCTGGGACTATAGGCATGCCTCAACAAGCCCAGCTAATTTTTTTTTTAAGTTTTTTTGTAGAGATGGGGTCTCCCTATGTCACCCAGGCTCATCTTGAACTCCTGGGCTCAAGCAATCTTCCCACCTCGGTAATCAAAACTTTCCTTAGTGAGATATCAAAAAAGTTGGGAAATATTGTAGTTGAAATAGATATACGTATCTACATAAAATGAATGCCACAAAAATTCAAATTCATTGCAGAGCAAATTTGAATTCTATCCATCCAGAGCAGGCATAAGTTTCTTTTTATCCAAAATTAGAGTAAGCTGAAACACTGTTGAATCAACAAAGGAAATCGATGCCAGAGTTTAACTTCACAGAAGGCCACTCTGCCTTGTGCTCAGTCCTTACTAAAGTAGGAAACCATGGACTGACAGCATCTGCAGTTGAGCACAACTGTCATGACAGCAAATTCTCATTTGCTCTTTACACAGCACTAAAGACTTTAGACATTATACCCCATAGATTTTCTAGATCTAAGTACTACTGTTAGTAAACTTTATTATAGTTACAGTTCTAGAATCCTAGTTGGAAAAAGGAGATTTAGGGAATACTGGCCCTGTATCCTCAGCGTGACAACTTGTTTTCGTAGAAAGCTGGTGCCCACTTTGTGCCCAGGCATTGAGCTGTATGCTAACATGTACTATTTCTTTCAATCCTCGCAGAAACCTTGAGAAAAGAATTGCTATTCCCATTTTTACAGATTTCCGGGCAATTAAGACATGGAGAGTTTAACTTTACTAAACTCACCCAGCTAGTAATAATGTTGATGTCTGAACAATGAGTTGTCCAGCTCCAAACCCATGTTCTTTCCACTGCCCTAATTGCCACACAACAATTCCTGAAAGTCAAATCAAGAATACCATCTAGAGTGTGCGCATGGTGGCTTACGCCTGTAATCTCAGCACTTGGGGAAGCTGAGGCAGGAGGACTGCTCAAGGACAGGAGTTCCAGACCTCGGCAACATAGCAAGACCAGTCTCTACAAAAAATTTAAAAGTTACCTGGGCAGGGTGGTGTGCGCCTATAGTTTTAGTTGCTTGGGAGGCTGAGGTGGAGGGATTACTTGAGCCCAGGAGTTCAAGGGTGTAGTGACCTATGATCATGCCACTGCACTCCAGCTTGGGCAACAGAGGAAACCCTATCTCTGGGTGTTGGGGGTGGGGGGGTGCAGGGGAAGGAATACCAGCTAGAAATTGTCCAAAAGAAAAAAACTATTGTTCAGAAAACCAAATATTGCACGTTCTCACTTGTAAATGGGAGTAAACACTGAGTATACATGGACATAGAAGTGGGAACAATAGACACTGGGGACTACGAGGGGAATGGAGGGAGGCAGGTACAGACTGAAAAAATACCTATGGGTACTATGCTCACCACCTGGGTGATGGGATCATCTGTATCCCAAAACCCAAGCATCACAAAATACGCTGATGTAATGAATCTGCATGTGTACCCCCTGAATCTAAAATAAAAGTTGAAATTACGGGGGTGAGGGGAGACTGAAGATTTTAGTTAGAATTTAGCTTGGGCATATAATGTTGGAGAATGAAAAGATGTCTACTATTTGTACGTGAAGGAAAACAAGATACAAATCAGATAGTAATTAGTCATTTTCTTTCAAGAATATCTATAAGAAAGCGAAATCAAATTTGGAATCATTTGTGTGAGTTTTGCTCATACATTAAAGCTAACAAGAGTGTCAAGTAGGGGAAATACAATTTTTCTTCTCATATACTGTTGGTGACCAAAAATTGGCACTTTTTTTTTTACCATAATCAAAAAATGTGATTTTTACAATAATCAAAAAATGTTTGTATATACTTTGATCAAGTAATTCTACTTTTAGAACTTCGTCTGGAAAAGATAAGGAAATACACCAGGATTTAAGTTAAAGGAATGTTCATTACAGTGCTGTTTATACTAGCCAAAACTTGAAGCTTAAGTATCCAACAAAAAGCTTGTACACATGAAAATGGTTAGGAAGATAAATTTTATGTTATCCACATTTTACCACAGTTAAAAATTAAAACATTAAGAAGTATAAATTGGCCAAATGACACAGGCATGCAAAAGTTAGCTATACGACCATTAAATATACCATAAGGGAAGAATATTTAATGACATGAAAATATACAAATTACATTAGGTAAAAAAAGTTTCCTAAACAGTATATATGGTTTAATTAAAAAATATACTATTAATATGTACGTACATTTACAGACTAGAAGGAAAAACACACACCCCGCCCTGGCACCCAAAACATGAACTGTCTAATCACAGAATAGGAGCATTACTATTGGGTATTTTCTCCTTTTCTTTTAGCTTATCTAAATTTTGTACTTCTTTGACAGACTCATATTACTAGTGTAATTTTTAAGAGGATAGAAGAAAAATTCCCTACTATTTCATAAGACTTTGAAGGATGTTAATGTCTTAGTTTAGGGAACCAATATATCTGAGGCCATGATTCCTCAAACTACAAACACTACATTAGCAAGAGACATTTCCAAAGGAGTCAAGAATTTTTCTAGTTGCCCCCCAGACTCACACACAGTACCCTGCTGACTTATTCATCTGTATGTTTCCAGAACCTCGCACAATACCTGATAAGTAAACATAAATGCTTAGAGAATGAACAACTACTTATATTTACATAGCACTCTATCTTGTATATAGGGAGTTCATGTATAACATCTCATTTGATCCCCCAATAACCTTGTGAAGTGGGCATAAACATTTCCATTTAGAAGCAAAAAACTTGACACTGGAGAATTAGATCTTAGGGTTACTAAACTAACAAATCTCAGAAAAGAGAATGCATAACGTTGTCAAGTAATAAGTTTTATGCTACACCACAAAGATATTAAAATGCATGCCAAGTGTTCATTCAACACTAAACATTTATTGAAGAGCCACTAAATGCCAGGTACCTGTCTGTGTATGGGGAAATGCAGCAGTGAACAAATGCCACTAAATCCCTTCCCTGCCCTCATGAAGCTTATATTCCTGTTGGGGAGAGGGGAAAAGAAATAAACACAGAATACCAGATTAAACAATGTAAGGACTATGAAGAGAGTAACGCAGAGTAAAGGGAGAATGAATTAGCTGTACTCTTTGAAGGATGGTCCGAGAAGGCTTCTTTGATGGCAGAAAGCCAAGTTAAAAAAAAAAAAGAGCCAGGAGACTTATATTCTGAGCGAAGATATCAAATATAAAGGCCCCAAAGTGTCAAATGTGCTTGTAGTGACTGAAGAATAACAGGACTAATATGGCTAGACTGCAGGGAACCTTGGAAATCACCAGGAAATGAGGTCAGTCAGCCTGAGACTTTAGGTTTAAAAATATAATTGTTTAATGTGTTATCAATGGAATAAAATCTGGGATTTCAACAATATTCACTTTTCTCTTTAATCCATTTTGCCTAAATACTTAAAAGCTAGAGGAAAAATCTACTAAAATATTAATTAGCTGTTCTATTTACATGATCTAATTTTTTATCATATTCTTATGGCATACTCCAAAACTTTTGTAAATGTTGTCTAACATCAGGGTCTAACTCCATTTCTGTAAAAGGAAGCAATGTACAACTTTAAAAGGCAATGTGACTAAAGATGTTATTGGAACAACTAGGAAAATATGAGTATAAACTGTATATTAGATATTAGTACTATGTAAGTATTAGATTGAATGCAGTAACTGTATTGCAGGTATACAGAAGAATACTTTTATTTTTAGAAGACACATGCAGTGGTATGGCCGTAAATGTTTAACGGCTGGCTCAGAGAGGAAAAAAGGCCTTGGTTTGTAGCACTGCCAATTTCCATGGTATAAATACCATTACCATGGCTGATTTCAAGTAACCAACTAGGTGAAGAGTTGAAATGAAATATACACAATCGGCTTTTGCAAGCCAGTACCTGCCAGCTGTAGCATACTGCTGGATACATGTTGTATCTGGGGCTGAAGTGTCAAGACATCTGCAACTTACACAAGTGGCCAACAGGTATATGAAAACATGTTCAACATTACTAATAACCAGAGAAATGCAAATCAAAACCACAATGAGATAAAACCTTACTCCGGTTAGAATGGCTGGAGACAAAAGAAAGACAAAAGAAAACAAGTGTTGGCAAGGATGTGGAGAAAAGGGAACAGTTACACATGGTTGAGACTGTAAGTTATTACAGCCATTACGGAAAACAGTATAGACATTCCTCAAAATATCAGAGACAGAACTACCATATCATCCAGCAGTTCCGCTACTGGGCATATATACCCAAAGGAAATGAAATCAGCATGTTGAAGAGATATCTGTACTCCCATATTTATTGCAGTATTATTCACAATAGCCAAGATATGGAATCAATCTGTGTCCATAAAGAAAATGTGGTACACACACGTGCGCACACACATAATGGAATACTATAGAGCCACAAAAGGAATAAAATACTGTCATTTGCAACAACATAAATGAACCTGGAGGACATCGTGTTCAGTAAAATCAGCCAGACACAGAAAGACACATACTGCATGATCTCACTTATGTGGAATCTTAAAAAAAAGCTGTTATCATAGAAGTAGCGAGTAGAACAGTGGTTTCCAGAAACTGGGTAAGGGGAAGGAGAGAATAGGAAGAGGTTGATCAACAGATACAAAATTACAGTTAGATAGGAGGAATAAATTCTGGTGTTCTACTGCATAGTAGGATGACTAAGGATAACCCTAAAGTATTATATATTATAAAATAGCTAGAAGAGGCTTTTGAATGTTCCCACCCACAAGGAAATCATAAGTGCATGAGGTGAAAGATATGCTAAATACCCTGATTTAATTATTTACACAACATATATATGTATTGGAACATCATACTGGACTTCATAAATATATACAATTGCAATGTGTCAACTGAAAAAAGTACCAGTTTGAAATAAACAAAAAGGCTTTGCATTAAAAATAGAAAAAAACAGACAACAAAACTCCATGTCTATCTAGCCCACCCACCCATCCCACCTACTTATATGGAGATAAAACAAAAGTTGTAAAATGGTCACAATTAATCTATGAAAAGGTAAATGGATGTTAATTGTAGTATTTCAACTTTTCTGTGGGTTTGAAATTTTTTTTTTTTTTTTGAGACGGAGACTCACTCTGTCACCCAGGCTTGAGTGCAGTGGTGCAATCTCGGCTCACTGCAAGCTCCGCCTCCCCGGTTCACGCCATTCTCCTGCCTCACTGTCCTGCCTCAGTCCTAGAGTAGCTGAGATTACAGGCGCCTGCCACCACACCCAGCTAATTTTTTTGTATTTTTTTAGTAGAGATGGGGTTTCACCATTGTTAGCCAGGATGGTCTCGATCTCCTGATCTTGTGATCCGCCCACCTCAGCCTTCCAAAGTGCTGGGATTACAGGCGTGAGCCACCGCGCCTGGCCTGAAATTTTTAATTATAATAATTGTAGAGCAAGCAAAGTAGGGTAACTTAGAGAAATCCTATGGTTAGTTCTTTCATAAAATGAATAATTTTTTGTATATCAGCATCCTTCTGTCAAACACACCAAATATGATATAGACCTTTAAAGTTATTTTAAGACCAAAATAAACAAAAAGAAGTTTGCCAATATCAAGGGCTAAAATTATACATTCTCTTACTGTTATAAATTTAAGTAGAAATGGCCAATGATCTCTCTCACAAACCATGATCTCTCTTCACAAAAGAAAATTGCTAATTTGATGAAAAATGTAAATGCACTTTCTAGATGTTAGGATAAAGTTTTACAAATAGCCTAATTTCAGATACTGACGCTAAATTAATTCCATTCAGGAATATACATTTGGTTAAGTGGGAAACCAAAATATGAAAACTTTAAATATTGTTTATTCCCAAATACAGATTGGTCATGTTCCCAAAGGGGATATGTTTAAGTCTGACCATTATTTAGGCTTAAATATTACTGACAAGCAATATGAGTTATGATTAGATTCCCAGAAGAGTCTACCAAAGGTTTCTTAACCTATAATGGCCATCTTGCAGCATCATGGAACAAATCTAAATTCTGGGTCATGGAAGCAGAAGGGCCATGCTCCAAGCACTGAATCAATCCTAGGTAATACTCTGAAACAAAGAAAAAAGCAGTTTTGGGCAACATCTCACCACTCTATTTTCCATCAGCCTCTTTCTAGTTCCCACCTCTGCCTCACTCTCTGCCCTGATGCTGCTCTAAACTGTTCATTAGGGTCTACTATCACCCAGAAATAGTGGGCTGTGTTCCAATTTGCCTACTTTCCCTCTCCATTGCATTTGCATTAAAGATTGGGTAGTTCAATGCTGGTTTTGACTTTTTTCTATGTTATTGTATATTTCAGAAGACAAGGTTGACAGTGACATAAGTGTCCATTGATCTTTCATGCTTGTTCCAACCAGTTTTCAAAACGGAGTTCTGAAACACTCATTTCCTCAGTGCAGCTGTTCCAAGCTGTGTATTCTTGTTAGCAGAGGAAACCATTTAGCAATCCCTACCCAGTGCTAGGCGTATGTTAAGTGCCAAACCATATGTTCTCAGTTTACCTTTCCCACAAGGCTTAAGGTTGACGGTATTAGAGCAAAAAACAAAACCGTTGTTCAGAAAGGCTATGTAATTTTTTCAAGGTAATTTGGCTGGTAAGTTCCGAAGTTAGAATTTCAATCCAAATTTGATCCTAAAAGCTTAGTGTCTTAACTTTTCTTGCATTATAGTACGCTGCTAAAAGGAAACCATTTAAACTAAAATATGACCATCATTTCAACAGTCCTCGAAAAATGTATAACTAAGTATACATTTATTAATCCAAGTGAATCTCTAGTTGGTATAATTTCTGTCAGGATAGCAAGAGGAAACTAAAAGTAATAAAATCCTCATACTGTGTGAATAGCACCAACTAAGATGCAGCTGGCTGTATTTGGGAAGACCTGGCCCTTTGCACATCTATACAAATAATCCTGCCCACAGAGTAAATTAGTCCACATTTATATAGCATCTCATGGCTTACTATGTTCTTTGACATATTATCTTAGTTGAAGCTCAGAAGCAACACCCTTAGCCAGCTACATCTTACAGATAAGTAAACAGGTTTGGGACTTAATCCAAGAATGGGTCCCAAATCTAAACTCTAAATCCTTTGAGTTTTTTTTCCATTAGTCTATCCGACTTGTACTTTCTTATATTCATAAACCTGAGGTTTACCAATTTGAACATACAGACATTCTCCCTCTCTCTCAGAAACAGCAATAGGAGCAAATTCAGCACAGGGGGTGGACATCAGAGAGCTTCTAGCAAATGTCTGTGTATGAATCATTTGTTAGACGTATATAAACTGGAAACCATTGTCACTAAATGGCTTTTGCCTACTTTTAAGATATTTTATAGTGTTTTAATTCAATAAGATATGATTAATTAAGAAATATAACCTTTATTTAAGTTATGGATAGTATCCTTAACTGTATTTTCAAAAAATTAAGTATAAAATTGTGATAACAGCCTAACAGTCATTAATTCAAACCAATCCCTAAATTGGCAGAAGTTCAGCTGGTATCAGTAAAACAATCAAATATTGCTACCCAGCTGCTCCTATTCCTATCTGCTCCACAAATACTGAGACATACAAGTCATTCTTTCATTTAACAAATATGTATTAAACACCTATGCACCTACCATGTACAAGACTGCCTACTAAATGATGGGAATACAGGTGTGAATAAGAGACAAGGTTTCCGGACTCACAAAACTTAAAATCTAGCTGTAGAGACAGACAATAAACAAAAGAAATTACAAAATGTGGTCAATGCTATGAAGGAAATACAGGCTGCTCAGACAAAGAATAACAAGGGACATCTCATTTAATAAATGACAGCAATTAACATTCACTGAGCACTTTGGATAGGGTAGTGAGAGAAAACCTCTCTGAAAAAATGACGGTTAAGTTCTATAACAAAAGAACAACAAGGAGACACCAATGTGATGACTGGGGAGAAAGGCTTTTTAGGCAGAAGGAATTTCGCATACCAGATCCTAAGTGGTAATCAAAAACCTAAAAGGCAGCTAGTGGGGCTGGATATGGTAAACAAGGGGAAGAGATGAGTATCTTTTACATGGAAAGGAAAATATGAGAAAGCTCAACTCAAATTATTGCTAGGAATTGTGGTATTACACATGGGCTCTTAGGCTAATATTTTGATTATCTGCTGGCATTTTTTACCTATTCCATCCTGTTTTACTTTAATAAGAGTCTGGGCCAGGTGCAATTCCTCACACCTGTAATCCCAGCACTTTGAGAGGCTGAGCCAGGAGGGCTGCTTGAGCCCAGGAGAATGAGAACAGTCTGGGCAACATAGTGAGACCCCATTTCTCAAAAAAAAAAAAAAAAAAAAAAGACAATTAGCCAGGCATAGTGGCGTGCACCTGTAGTCCCAGCTACTCTGGAAGCTTAAGCAGGATGATCTCTTGATCCCAGGAGTTGGAGGCTACAGTGAATTATGATTGCATCACTGTACTCCAGTCTGAGTGACACAGTAAGACCCCATCCCATGAAAAAGAAAAAGAAAAAGTCTAACATGAGGAACTCTTCTGATTTTTCACCTATTTGAGCAAAGATAGAATTAACTATTAACAAATTGACTTTGGTTTACCTACTAAGAAGTACTGTTTCCAAGTACTACAATTTTGCCTTTTCATTATCCAAAAAAAAAAAAACCAGTATTGTTAGTCTGAGTTTAATATTTCCAGTTTTTAAAATCCCCAGCCTCAAAAAGGGTGAAAACATTTTCATAATTAGATCCAAAGGCGAGAAAGGCAAAAGAATATAAATATTCTTTAACAACTAATTTTTTTCTATATTTGTTCACAATGCAGAAGGCTCAGACCCCATGGGTTTCTTCAGTTCTTGAAGAGAAAATCAATTTTTAAGTCACTCTCCTTATATACACATTTGCCTTTCAGTTCTGCCTTCCAATTATCTTTTTTTTCTCATTCTTCAAAGAAATGACAGGGTTTAGTCCACTGAATCATTTCCTTCTTACTGGATGACAGGCAAAAACATAGATGGGGTATCTCTACGTCAACCCCTTTAGTATCTGAATCTCAGAAGTTGTATCAAGCCATTGATTATTTGACAGCTACTGATGCCAAGACTCATCAACATAAATGGATGAAAGAACAACAGTAGCCAGCTTTTAACTTGTGATCACACTGAATATACAAAACATGCAGCTGAATTAGCCCCCTTTTGTCTTCCTCAGCTTTCACTAACTGACTGGTTTCTTCTTTAGAAAATGTCCAAAAATAATAGCAGTTTACATTTGAATGCTAAGTGCCAGCCACTGTTTTAAGCATATTACACACATTAACTTATTTAATCCTCAAAATAACCATGAGCTGAGGTACTATTACTTTCCCTATTGTAAAGATAAAGCTGAGGCAGAGAGGACAAGCAGCTTTCCAAGATCACAATACTTACCAAATACCTGTTTGGAGTTTTCCTCAAGTATTTTTAAACCACTTTGGTCCCAAAATCTTATGGTATTTTAACATTACTTACTGCTACCAGTCAGGGAGCTTAAGAGCATATGCTCAAGTTCACTTCACATTTGAGCTTGCCCTTTTATTAGCTGTGTAACCTTGGGTAAGTTACCAAACTTCTCTATGACTCAGTTTCGTTTATCCATAAAACAGAGATGACAATAGCATCTATTTCCTTGAGTATCTGTGAGGATTAAATGAGTTATATATGTGAAGTACTTAAGACAGTGCCTGGCACATAGTATGAACAAGTATTAGCTGTTGCTACTCATACTATCATGACCACCTCTACCTGGGAATTTAGCAAAAGGCCGCTTTATTTAATCTAGTCAGTATTTCTTCTCCAACATCTGCCATTTCTTTTGTTTGATTTACATCAACTAACAATGAACTATTCTTAGCAAGCAATGCACCTAATTGCTTTGCTACATTTTTCTAGTCCTTAACACTTCTTTCCTATTTCACCTGCCCAGGAGTGAATTGTTTGAGGTTAACAGGGTTGCATTATGCTATAGTTAAGTTCATAAGCCACTGAAATTCTAAGGCTAATGTCTAAATTTGTAATATAGCCAAATGGAGGAAAAAACTAAGCACTTCTCTATTTTAACCTCAAAAACAAAAACCACAAAATAGTGTGGTGTTTTGTTTGTGGAACAGATTTTGCACTACTAGTTTTAACTTAAAGATCAACAGCCTACAATGTTTTTAAATATGAATTAAAACAGTAGATTTAAATTACTAATTTATGATTTATTTTATAGGTCTTAATCTTTCATAGCAGTTTTGATTAAGCTCAGATATTAAAAATACAAAATTAGAAATACATTTAGAACATAACCTAATATGTTTTTAATTACCTCTACACTAAGACCACATTTTATTTATTTTTAAATAGAGATAGGGTCTTGTTATGTTGCCCAGGGTGGTCTCGAACTTCTAAGCTCTAAGCAATCAACCCTCCTCGGGCTCCCAAAGTGCTGGGATCACAGGCATGAGCCACCGCAACAGGCCGTGGACCACACCTTAGACTTCTCTTGAAACACCAGGTATTCAATATACACACAGGTCTAGAACCAGGTCCAAACTTGTACATCCTTGAGTCAAAGGTGGAATAACATTAAATTTTCCAGCTGCCCAGCTCTAGTCAGCTGTTAACATCACTTAAAAATCTAATTATTCCAGAAAGCTTAGTCCACCCATGTCATCCTCTACATATAGAAGCCATAATTGTAATAGCAAATGACAATATAAATACATTATACATATACTGCAAGTATCCTTCTGTAGCTTTTATATTTTCTCAGATAACTATATATTAAAAAATTATTAATCTGCTCGAGCCTTAGCAGTTTGAACACTATCAATGCAAAACAGAACAAAATAGCATTAGGTTATTAAACATTTCATTATTTATTTACCTTTGTTGAGTATATCTTGTAATTGACCAATATATAAGCATTTGTAATGCTTATATATAAGCTTATATAACCAGTATATAAGCATTTGTAATGCTTATATATAAGCTTATATAACCAATATATAAGCATTTGTAATGTTTATTTAACATAATAAACGATATTATTTATTTAATATCTGCTATGTGCCAAGCACGGTCATATTTCATTCTAACTGTGAGAAGTTGGAATTATTCCCATTTTACAGACAAGGAAACTGAGACTCTCAGAGATTATGTGATGAAGATTAGAGAGCAAGCAAGTAATGGAACAAGTATAAAAACACAGGTCTGCTAATGACAACATCTAAGACTCATCTTTGGCAGTGTTACCCAAGTAATGTTATATTATTGCTTAAAATTAATTTTTTTTACAGTACAGTAAAATACTATCGTACAGTAAAATACTATCGACTATTGTGAAATCTATCATGCTATACCATAACATCTTATTTCAAAGTACAGTAGAAACTCCTGACCTTCAGATAATTTTTTTCTATTGGCTATCAGTTTGTTTTTATGGAGGCTGTAGGGAGCAGAATTGACCAATGCTCCCCACACCTTCCATAAAAACAGCCAATAGAAAAAGAATTAAGGCATTTTTCCTGACCCCCACCTTAAACTTTTACAGTTAGCCAACCAACTACCACACCCAATCATGTACGATAAGAGGCTATTGTATTTATTTAGAAACTTTAACTCTTTGAAGCACAGCTGTCTTTCACAAAACTATAATCTGAGTCTCTACATTAAAATCCACACTTTACTCACACTCTGAATGAGCATCTGAGAAGTTCTCCTATTTATGTTCATCTTATAGAAAACTTAGTGTTAGGCCGGGCGCGGTGGCTCACGCCTGTAATCCCAGCACACTGGGAGGCCGAGGCGGGCGGATCACGAGCTCAGGAGATCGAGACTATCCTGGCTTACACGGTGAAACCCTGTCTCTACTAAAAATACAAAAAATTAGCCGGGCGTGGAGGCGGGCGCCTGTAATCCCAGCTACCGAAGGCTGAGGCAGGAGAATGGCGTGAACCCGGGAGGCGGAGCTTGCAGTGAGCGGAGATTGCGCCACTGCACTCCAGCCTGGGCGACAGAGCGAGACTCCGTCTCAAAAAAAAAAAAGAAAAAGAAAAAAAAAGAGAGAAAACTTAGTGTTAAGTACGGTTATCTAATTATCTAGCTCAGAGACTAAAAGCAGGAAAATTAAAAGGTGACAAGGATAAATATATTAACAACAAAAACTGTTGACAGCCAGGGAACATAAAAATCAGAATAAAAAAAGATAGGCTGAGATGGTTTAAACTAGAGACAAAAAAATCTCAAACCAGAAGCGTGAACATTTTTTAAATGTCTCCACATATCATGATTACAACTAAAAATATTTTGACGTTTAAAAAGTTTCAATTATCCAGAAAATTCATTTATATAGGATAGTTCTTTGGACACCAATGTAGTTTAAAAAAAAAAATGAAGTGTAACTGTTTTCTCGTTAAGAGTTGTCCATAACTCTGCCTTTCAAATTGCAGGTCATCATGACCCATTAATTGGTGAAGAAATCAATTCAATGGGTGGTGACAGCAATTTTTCAAAACGTGAAATAGAATAGAAAATACAACATTACATTGCGCACAGTAAGGGTAAGTACGTTTGTGAAAAGCTTATTTCAATATTTCTGTACTAGTTTGCTAAGTAAAAGATTACTTACACTGGTTTTAGTAAAAGAAAAAAAAAGCCATGGGTCTAAAGGTTTATGTTATTATTATGGAATATAATCACAATACTAAACTCACAATCCCATCATCTTTACCTGAGAATGCTAAAGAAAGCTACAATTTTTAAGGTGAAAACTTCTTTGGAAATCTTGATGAATAAATTTGTTTCCCCTAAAAATCTATATCAGTACGTAACTAAACATTTTATTGTGTTTAACACTAGTTTTGGCTGCAAATACTATTTTTAAAACTGCTTATGACTGTAAAGCAACTTTTCACAACAATTCAAAATAAATAGTGACTTTGATTTTATTTGCTTGTTTATTCTGAGAATCAATTACTAACCTTGGTGCCATTTTTCCAAAGTGATTGATGTAATCTAAAAATCTAAACTTGGCATTCTACACAAGGAACCTGCTCAGGAGCAATACACTTACTAATACTTGATACATACATAGCTGCTGCCTGATTGTATGTAATAGCCAACACCTAAAACTAATTTAAATCACTAAATTAAGTATGGTTTTCTCCAATTCCTTCTGGTGCATTTCAATAGACCTATTTTACCCAGAAAATTTGTCTAATCACTTTGAAAAAATATATGGAAAAACAACCAGTTTAATATATATAAATTTTAAAATAAGCATCTAATTCGTAGGATAAATTAACATTTCCAATCCTAAAGACTTGGATTTGGAAGGAAATCTGTCATCTAGTCCAGCCCCCTACCAAATAAAATAATCCCCACTTCACAATGTTCCTTGGAATCAAACTCATATCTGACTGAAAAGCTCTCACTACTAACCACTACTATATTAACATCTTCTAAAATTGGTTCTTGCCATTAATCAGAAGACTGATAAAGAATTACCTTGAAGTCCTTGAAAAGCAGTGTATATATTATTCTTATAAATCCTGAAAATACAGGTTTAGAAAAGAAGTGACATTTACTTATCACCAGGGATTTCAGTGGCCCAAACTGTCCATATGCTGGTATATTGAATACTGGAGTACTCTGCAAACTTTTGGAGTTTGCTTAAAGCACAAAAATCAACTAATCAAAGTAGTAATAAAATAACAGTTGTCAACTCAAGCTTAAGTTTTCTCTTCATTTTATCAAGTTCACATTCAAGTTTAAAAAGCTTATGAACTTCTTGAAAGTTGAAGTTAGATTGACTACCTAAAAACGAGCAAGTACAACTCTAAAATGATACCTGTATTGTGGCAACAGATACAAATACCATTCTTTACTTTCATTTTGAGATACACTAGAATCTCTCTTGAAGCTAGTGCTTCAGAAGCACTTTTGTAAAAACGCTTAACCTTCTCTTCCATATGCCTTTCTCTACCTCACCAGCTGGAATCTGTCACAAAAACAGATAATCACATATGATACAGAAATAGTTGATCCTACTGCAGAATTAGGTTAACACTTCTAAATTGAGGCATAGAAAAGAAGGGGGTGGGGGAACAAGCCCTACTTAAACAAATCATTTACCTCGGTCTGGCTTCATTTTCACATCCAATTTTCGCCCAGAGTGCTGTGAAATGCACCTGTGGGTTCTTTCAACAGGCTCGCCGCTGATTCTACGGCTTCTGCTTCGCTTTCAAAATGCTGAAAGAGACAAAAATAAAATTAATCTGGCCCTATTCTAATACCCGGACCTTGCAAGTAAACTACTGTTAAGTTAGGCCTCTTCCTGGCACCAACTGCGGTGACAGCACCCTCGGCTGGTCTGAAAAAAGCAAAACTCTCTGCACCGCCTCCCCCATCTCCTCCGGATCGAGCACCCCCTTCCCTGCCTCTGTGCTCTCCAGGCCAATGTGTCCTTCTGACACAGTCTCTGAACCAAAACAGGATCTATTTATAACCTGGAGGTACAGGCAAGAAGAAGAAAAAGATTTGAGCAACACAAACTAACCCCTTCGTACAAAAACGCCTCTGGAAACAGAGGCACCTCCGCAGGGCTGGTATGGAAATTCTTCCACCTGGTGCCTGGGCGCAGCCAACTCTTCCAGTCCCCTGCGCCTCCCGAGCCCTCCGCCCGCCCCGCCGGGCCTCACCTGTGTAATTACCCTCTGGCTAGCCTTCCTGCGGCAACCGCGGCCAAGTTTACACAGAAACCCGAGTCACCTCCTCCCGCCCAGCCCCCAGCCCCAAACGAACTCTTCCGGGCTGTCCCGGGGCGACCCTACCAACTCCCAACCAGTCCTCCGCGGCCGGCTCCGGGGGAGGTGTTTACAGCCTGTGCTCGCCCCCTGCTCTGCACAACCCCTTCCGTCCCGCCGCGGCCCCGGATTTCCTTCAGCCCCGCCGCACCGAGCGCCGCGTCTGCCCCTCTCCCCGCTGGAGAGTTGTTTTCATGGCGCTCTCGAGCTGGCCGGCTCCTCCGCTCCCTCGGCCGACCTCTGCTGACTAACTCGCTCTCCTCTCCCGTCCCAATCCCGCCTCCTCTTGGCACTTCTCTCCACCGCTCGCCCAGCAGCTCACATCACACTCCCACCTCAGACCCCAGGCTCCGAGAGGCGCAGGGCCAGCGGGAGCGGAGTATGGAGCGCAGCGGCCCCCGCGGCTGCCTCAGGTGACCGTGGGGACCCGAGACGACCAGCCCGAAGCGGCTCCCCGGCGCCCCTGTGGCCATCCACCCGCGCCTCAGCCACCGCCTCGCTCCGCTCCCTGCGCTCAGCCCCTCCGCCCTGCCTGACTGGCACCCGAGCCCCGCGACCCCCGGGCTTCCCCCGCCCGTAGCCCCGGCCGGCCCTCTTGCCCAGCGCCTCTGCCAGCTCCTTGCCCGCCCGCTGTCTCTAGCTCTGGCGCCCCGGCTCCCCGTCCCCCTCGCTCGGCCAGTTCTTTCTCTGCTGTTTGCCCTGTCAAAACACTGCCTAGGTCACGTGTCCCAACAACAGCCAACCCACCCCGGTCGTCACTTCCTCCCCGGCGGCCTCCGCGGCCCTGGCGCCCGGTTACTATGGCAATGCCGCCGCTCGCCCCGGGGCGCTAGTTTGGGGCCGGGTTTTCGGTGCAGGTGCCCGGCGGGTGCGAGGGCGCTGGAGATGGCGGCTGGGAGACACCAGCAGAGTCCCGGAAGCCCGAGACGTCCCAGGCACTTCGGTTGCGCTCCCAGCCGGCAGAGGCGCGCCTGGATTCTGAGACCAGGAATCGGAGCTGCGCTATTAGAGCGCAGGGTAACTGGGGAGATGTCATCCAAAGGCCTGCCCCAGACGTGGAGGATAATTATAGTCGTCGTCTCCTCCTCCTCCTCCTCCTCCTCCTCCTCCTCCTCCTCCCCCCTCCCCCTCCTTCCCCCCCTCCTCCTCCTCCTCCTCCTCCTCCCGGGATGCTGGCACAGAGTTGTGATCGAGCCCCAAGTGGATTGCAGCGCATAATGGAACCCGGGTTTAATGTGACCGGGACGGGGGGTGGGCAGCTATGCGGGTCAGGGAGTGGGAGAATTTAAGAACAGGAAGCCCACCCCCACCCTAGATTTTCCCAAATCACTAAGGATTTTAGTAGGATTCAGAACCCAAGCTTCCAAGACACTCGCTGTGCTAAAAATAATCTTCATAACTTCTAAAACACTGACTCATGGGCAGGAGGACACTTTGACAGCATGTTATTGTTGGGGAGCTGTAATTTTGTTGTTGTGCTATAGCAATGTGACATGATGGCATTTCATGTTGTGATGTTGTCGTCATTTAAACACAAACAGATGACAGGAATCTGCTGTACTTAAAAAAAAACCCAATCCTAACAAGCGCTGCAGCTATTAGCTACTCAGTCTATAGACAAAGTACATATGGGGCATGAGCCCAAATGGAGACAAGTAAAAATTTGCAAGGCTCTTTGGTTTCATTAGAAAAAGTTTTTTTTTTAGATATAATTTTGCATAAAAGGATCACAGGAAAGTATTAGGACAAGTCTAAGGGGATTTTTTTTATTTGTGCCCTTCTGTTTTAAAATTTTTTTTACAATGAGTCTATTATTTTCACATCAGAAGAGTTTTATAAACTGCAAGATTGGCAGTTCCATTTTTTTGGCCTCAGGTAAAGTTCTTATGAAAAAGGCATGAAATATTTAAAAAGTAACATTTTCTAGTGCTTAGATATGTACAGTAAAATAACATGTACAACTGAAATTGTTAACCTTAACTCCACGATTGTATCTAATCAGAGCGGAGAGAACATTCAGGAGGGTAACATTTCATTTTCTCTGAAATGTTCTGGCATCATGACGATGAAACTGACAAATGGAAACAGTTCTTTAATCTATAAAATGCTACAAATGTTAAATCCCAGTGGATTTGACTTTGATATTATTGAATACTGTATTATGTAGTTTTTAAAAAATGAACTGAAGTTTTACTTGTTCTACAAGCACTTGGTAATGGGAGACAGAACAGTTACAGATAAGCCAAAAACCTAAATTTAGCACAACAGCTGGGACCAAATAACAGCTATTGTAAAAGGCTTACTGGGTGAACAGGCAGCAAAATCTGGTTTAGCTTCTTTCTTCCTCTATCTAATGCAAAAGAGGTAAAAAGACCAGGAAATGTTGAGAGCAGAAGCCAAGACTATTAGTGTGTAGCACAAACTATTCTCTTTTAAATAATTTTTAACAGCACTTGGGTAAATGATGATGTCAACATTTGTTAGACTAACCTGAAGTTTTTTTAAATTTAGAATCTTAAACCTGTTCAAAAATTTGAAATCATTATGGCAGCAGAAAAAGTATTTAAAAGGTGTATTTCTGACTCATTATTCAAATTGTTTCATTCCATAATATGCATTTACTGAATACTACCTGCTAGGCTCATACAAGTCTCTGAGAATGTAAAGGTCACCAAAACCAGATAGGGTCACTACTTTCAAGGAGCTTATAGTACTATTACAGTTACATGGCCCTAATCAAGTCACATTCTAACACCTTTGTTTCACCTATAAAAGTGAGGTGTTTAGACTCTGACAATAGTTATCGCTTTCTTTTATCCTATGATTATGTAACACATGTTCAGAGCGTTTGGAAATAATGACTTGAAATGGCAATTCACTCTAAGGTGCTCTGTTCACACCTCAGAGCACATAAACAGAACAAATGTTTCTAGTTCCTAGTTGGTGAAGGGTAAGGGTAAGCAAGGGAATCAAGATAGCTGGCAGGAACCTTACCCTCTTTTCATCTGATTTGCTTTCCATTTTGCTTTCCCCTAGGGTTTCAAAGCCGTATATGAGTAATTAACTTCAAAAAAAAGTTAACTCATCTTCAGCAACTCATCTTCATCCCCTCAACTTTTACAGATTTTGTTGAAATGGGTGGTGTATGATCAATCTGTAATGACTGTCTCTAAGTTCTTTTACTTATTAAGGTGATGAGGATAACTGGTTTGCTCACTTTATGAATACAAGGCTGTTACGATGACCAAAGTCATGGAACCAGTCCAGGCTACCAGGATGAGCTCCACCAGAGCAGGGATTGGTACCTTCTTCTTTCTTGTATCCCTAGCACTTAGTAAAGAACTGGATATAAAGTAGGAGCTCAATAAATATTAACCTATGTATTCTCTAATATGCTTTTCTTGTGCATGCCTGTAGTCTGCATGTCTAATACTGGCTGGCATTTTCTCCCTAGTGGGATAAAGGTAGAGTTGAGAAATTGGTGGGTAGCACAAATTTCATTTGTAAATGACACATTTTCATTATACTTTTGGGGCAATGTATATATTATATGTTGTCTCATAATAGTAGGAACCCATTGTGGGTTGAAATGTGTTCTCCCCTCAAAAAAAAAAAAATTGTGTTGCAGTCCTACTCCCATCCCCCATCTGTGAATGTGAACTTAGATATGTACAGTAATGAAGTTAAGATGAGGTGGATTATTAGGGTAGATTCCAAATCCAGTGACTAATGTCCTGATAAGAAGGAGAGGTTTGAAGGTAGAAGACACACAGGGAAGATGGCCATGTGACTAAGAAAAAGAATGGAGGTTCTGAATGGTTACTCAAACATGAAGATCTTTAATTCTGTAGAAGTTAACAGTAAATGAGTGAAAAATGTTAAGATATCTCTAGTATCTTAAAAGAACAACTCTATGACCCATAGCTAGAGGATAATCATGAATAAGTGGTTGAGAGTCAAATGAAGATACATTATTTTAAAGATGGTAATCAGTACATCTTATTTGCCATGAAATATTGTAGAAATAAAGATGAGTAGAATTAAAATGTATAAATAAATCTGTTCTTGCAAAGTTAAAAAGAAAAATGTACTTTTAGTACTTGTTGAAACAAGATGAAATGCAAGCTATCTTTTCCATATCTAAATTGTTTCTGATTATCCACTTAAATTCAGTACAGTTAATTTCTAAGAGAGAAAGATCATGGAGTCATTGCTAAGGCATTGGCTTCTGTAAACAACCTTCTACCTTCACATAAGTTGGTTGTCTGGTTTATTCTTTTTTGAGGTTCCTGTTTGTCTACCCTCTAAAACCACAGGTATAAGGAAGTAAAAATGTATTCTTTCTGGTCCCAGTCTGCGTAAGTGTCTTAGGGCTTAGAAATACAAGGGCCTCTAAACTTCAAGGTGGATAAACCTTTAATTAACCTGACAATTTTGCTGAGCTGCTGGAGGTCTCCGACCCACCAAGACTTAATGTCTTTTTAAAGAATAATAATGGCCGTTTTTTGTGACAGTAACTGTGCTCAGCATTTTACATATATATTTGATCCAAAGAGGGTGATAACTATTTCTCAGATTAGGAAATTGAGGCTCAGAGAAACAAGTAACTTTCCCAAAGCTATATTTAATAAGTAGAAGGCAGCCGCTTCCTGAATGGACTCATTTAATTTCCACTACAATATTCTGAAATAAGTTAAATAATTTCAAAATTTTCAAGTGGGGAAACTATGGCTCAGAAATGTTGAGAAGTGGTTCTGCATTTAGAATTTAAATTGGTTGATATACACTTAGGCTTAGTGCTTTAAGATATAAGCTCTAAATCAAACAGCTCTGGTTGATGTGTTATATGCACACCCCAAAGAGCAAATGGTCATGCTCAGATAATAGCAGCTGAAATTTCTTCAGCACTTAAGTCATAAGCACTATTCTGAATGATTTATATATTTATTAGTCCATTTAATACAACATCCCTATGAAATAGTATTATCCCTACCAAATACACAGAAAAGGGGAAGTTAAATAATTTGCCCAAGTTTAAGCAGTTAGGCAGTAGCAGAGTCAGGATTCACACCTAGTGAGCATGACTTGAGAGCATACGTTCTTACCCACTATCTGTTACTGGTCTCTTAGTTTCATTTTCCACCCAAACCCTGTATCTTCCTGACACTGGGCTTCTGCCCTACATGAGATCCCTCCCCAACTACTATGGAAACCCTTCTGGACTTTGAAAGCCCAAAGTTTCACCTCAAAATGTCTTTTAGAACCCATACACTCATACACACCATCTCTGTCTTTTTTCTGAACACATATTTATGATCTTAAAACCACATATTCCTTTTATCTTTTAAGGGCAGATGGACTGACTTCCAATTCTTTTGTCTTTCCTTATTGAATAGCACTATCCTAGGCACAAAGATTCAAGTGATTATTGAAGATCCAAGGCTGTCACTATTCTCTAGAACTGCTCTGGCCAATACAGTAGCTATAGTCATCTGTGGTTATTGAGTGCTTGAAATGTGACTAGTGAAACTGAGAAACTGAATTGTTAATTTTAATCAATTTAAATATAAATTTTCAGCTGGGCATGGTAGCTCATGGCTCTAATTCTGGCACTTTAGGAGGCCCAGGTGGGAGGCTTGCTTGAGGTCAGGAATTCGAGACCATCCCGGGCAACATAGGGAGACCACTGTCTCTATAAAAAAGTTAAAAAGTTAGCCAGGCACGATGGCATGAACCTGTAGTCCTAGTTACTTAGGAGGCTGAAGCAGGAGGATCACTTGAGCCCAGGAGTTCAAGAATGCAGTGAGCTATGATTGTGCCACTGTACTCCAACCTAGGCAACACTGCAAGATCCTGTTACTAAAGACAAACAAATAAATTTTTGATAACTGAACTCATTTTTAAAACTAAGTATGTTTGGAACAACTGACTATATGAATCTAATTTTTTTTACACTTGATCTTAGCCAAAAGGCCAAGAAGTGAATCTAATTTTTTAACTGCCGATTTTAGGAAATCTAAATACAGATCAGGTTTTCTTTCTTTCTTTCTTTTTTTCAAATTTTTAAAGTTCTTTAAAGAGACAGAGTCTTGTTCTGTTTCTCAGGCTGGAGTACAGTGGTGTGATCCTAACTCAAGCAACCCTCCTGCCTTGGCCCCCCAAAGTGTTGGGATTACAGGCATGAGCCACCATGCCTAGCTCCACATCAGGTATTTCTAATGAGAATTGAACCTACAAATTGAAATGTAAGTATAAAATATACAGCAGATTTCAAAGACAGTGGGAAAAAATGTACAATATCTCTATTGATACTTTAAAAATATTGATCACATGTTGAAATGGTAGTACTTTAGATATGTTGGGTTTATTTTTAATTTTTCAAAATGTGGCTAATAGAAAATTTAAAGTTATATATGTAGCTTACATAATATTTCTATTTGCTGTAGGATTCAGTGGCTTACCCAGCACTTCAGAAGACATTTGAAAATCAGTCATGTTCCTCAACCAAGTGATGCCTTTTAGCGGTGCAAATTCTGTGCTTAGGAAACTTGCTGCTTGCCCTAATCTTTTCTTTTTTTGTTTTAAAATGTGTCATGTGGCATTTAATTGTCCTCATCTTATCAAGGGTTCAGTGCACCCTAATGAGACTTGAATGCATCACAAAATGGTAAGGGCACAGCCTAGATATAGTAGGAACAATGGTGAACAACCCTTCTGAAAACAGGCTAGATTCAGTAGAGTTTTTTTTTTTTGTTTTGTTTTGTTTTGTTTTTCTAAAACAGGGTCTTGCTCTGTTGCCTAGGCTGGAGTGCAGTGGTGTGATCTTGGCTTGCTGCAACCTCTGCCTTCCAGGCTTAAATGATCCTCCTGCTTCAGCCTCCTGAGTAGCTGGGACTGAAAGTACATGCCACCACACCCAGCTAATTTTTATGTATTTTGTTGAGAAGGAGTTTTGCCATGTTGCCCAGGCTGGTCTTGAACTGCTGGGCTCAAGTGATCTGCCTGGCCTCGGCCTCGCAAAGTGCTGGGATTACAGGCATTTGTTTTTTAGAGACAGGGTCTCACTCTGTCACCCAGGCTGGAGTGTAGTGGAGTATCTTAGCTCATTGTAACCTTGGACTCCTGTGGGCAAATTATCCTTCTGCCTCAGCCTCTGGAGTAGGTAGGCCTACAGCCGCCCATCACCATCACCACCATGCCCCGCTAATTTTTTAACTTATTTGCCAGGGTAGGGCAGAGGAGTTCTCGCTATGTTGTCCAGGCTGGTCTCAAACTCCTGGACTCACTCAAGTGATCTTCCCACCTCAGCCTCCCCCTGGGATTACACAAGTGAGCCACAGCACCCACTTTAGGTTCAGTAGAGTTTTCATATAAATTAATTTTCTCTTCATACTTATTAGAGGGTCACACACAGAACTACCTACCCAAACAGTGTGAGCTATTTTTAGAAGCAGTGATGGGTAGACTTCACTCTAAGCAGCTTCACTCTTCATGAGCTGGTAGAGATACTGTTTATTATAAATGAAGTTACTGATCCTTTACATCTTTTCATCAGAGTATATCAGTTCATTGCATCCTAATGAGAATTCCACAATAATACTTTTCATGGTTAAAAAGATTTCATACATTGGACTTGAAAAGTAGATATAAACAGCAGCAGTGATCTCCATTTCAAAATGTGCAATATAAACTGATCGGGTATTTCAGAAAAGCATTTTTGAACAGAGTTCTACCCTTCAAAAAGATTTGTAAGAGAAATCTTTTCTAAGGTTACTGTCTCAATTTAAGAAAGAAAAAGGTTTGTAAGAATGCATAAAAACTACAGAAATTCCCTAACCCCTTTTCACAAATGGGAAAACTCATAATTGAGACTAAATTCTTCACATGTAGTAGATAGAGCATGATAAAACAACTTGTAGTACCTTTTTGATAAATCCAGTTTCTGCTGCTTCTATCAGAACCCCAAAGCTCAATTAGGCATAGAGAATTCTAGGAGCTATTCCTTTATTTGCTGACTGTATATATCTCAGTTTTCCTTTTGCATTTTCAGATGGGGTCTTGCAATGTTTTCCAGACTGGTCTCTAACTCCTGGGAGCTCAAGCGGTCCTCCTACCTCAGCCTCCCTAGTAGCCATGGTTAAAGGCATGCTCTACTGTGCCTGGCTCTGAATAATTTCATGCTGCCATGCTTCAGAGAAAAGAGAACATTAGCCTTCTTATTTCAACTTGCACAGGCAAATTCTTTACCTGCAACTCAAAATAATTGGTCTTTATTTCTAAAATGTCATTTCTGTATAATATAAGTTTAATTCAATTCTGCATTCATTGAACTTTGTATGCCAAATACTTTGCTGGGCCCTAGAGATACAGAGACTAGAAAAGCAAATGTTTACCCCAAAAAGCTCTATCAATCTAGAAGGGAGACAGTCATGTTAATAAATAATTGCGGCCGGGCGCGGTGGCTCACGCCTGTAATCCCAGCACCTTGGGAGGCTGAGGTGGGTGGGTCACGAGGTCAGGAGATCGAGACCATCCTGGCTAACATGGTGAAACCCCATCTCCACTACAAATACAAAAAATTCTCCGGTCGTGTTGGCGGGCGCGTGTAGTCCCACCTACTCCGGAGGCTGAGGCAGGAAAATGGCGTGAGCCCGGGAGGCGGAGCATGCAGCGAGCCGAGATCCAGCCACTGCACTCCAGCCTGGGCGACAGAGCGAGACTCCGTCTCAAAAAATAAATAAATAAATAAATTGCAATTTGGTTTGATAACAGCAAAAATATTCGTGCATAAGGAAAACACGTGGCACAAAGAAGGAAAAGTTAATTCTCTCTAGGAGAGGGGCCTGCTAAGGAAAGAAAAGAACATATTAGCTATATTTTGGAGAATAAAGACTGAGGTTAGACAGGCAAAGTGGGGTAGGATGGTGGAAGCTATTCTTCACAGATGAAACAGCATGTCACTGAGGCATGTTAGAACATATCAAGATGCCATTTTGGAAGGTCAGTTTCAAGGAGGTTAAACATAAGCAATAGGTACAGCATTAGAGAGAGGTTTTTTTTTGTTTGTTTTTGTTTTTTGCCGTTAGCCCCAGTCTTCATTCCTCCCCACATCCATGCCTTTGGCAGGTAACTGCAGTCCCTCCCATTAATAGGTCAGAGTATATGTCCCAGCTTTTTGTTTTGCTACATGAATTGCCCTAATGAAGAGAATGAGGCTGAAGGGACAGCATGCTAGCTCTGAGCTAAATCTTAAGAAATCTTGCCTATTTCCTCTGTTGTTGTCTCTGCCATTACCATGAAAAGCAGATGCCTAGGCTAACCTGCTGTTCCCAGGAGGATGAGAGACATGTGGAAGGGACTGGAACTGATTCACACATCAACCCAATTTTGATTAGCAGAACCATCACAGCTGACCCGTAGATTCATAAGATTAAGTTATTGTTTAAAGCTGCTAATTTCTGGAATGGTTTGTTATGCATCATTGTTCTAGCAATGGCAAACCAAAGTAGCTATAGTAGTGAATTTGGAATTTCTTGTAGATGACAGAAAATGACAAAAGGTTATAATAAATAGATTGTTTCAGAAAGATTGCTTCAACAACAGAAGATGGAGATGGGAAGAGAATGGTGGGGGATGTGGTAGCAAAGAAGCTATTCCAATGATCCAACCTCAAGATCATGCAAATGTGAACTAAAGCAATGGCATCAGGATGGAGCAGAGAAGATGGACTGGAGAGAGTTTTAGGAGGTAGAAGTGATAGAACTCTGGTGGTGACTGGCTGTAGGGAAAGAGGTCAATCATCCATCCTCCTCAGAATAGTTGGCAGGTCACCGTGTACTTTAAGATAGGAAATACAAGAGAAAGATCAGATTGGCCACTGAGGGATGGGGGTTGGGGAGAAAAGGAGAAAAAGTACTTAGTTTCAGACATATTACATTTGAAAAACCATAGCATCTAGACAGACATTCTGAAGACAGAAAAAGATTCTGCTCTGGGACTTCAGGATGAGGTTTTATCTGAAGGTATAGTACTGAGAAGCCATCAGCCTGTAAATGGTGGCTGCTCCATGGGAGTAGATGAAGATATTGGTGTCATGGGCTATCAGGAAGGACAGGGTGTTTAGCTATGTTGGCTGTTGTGGAAAAGTCGAATAAGACAAGGACTGAGAAATATCTTTTTGATCTGGCAATCATGTCACCCAAAAGAGAAGGAATAACTTTGAAACTATTTTTACAGATGGAGGAAGGTAGCCTGGGCCCAACTGAACTCACTGTGTATTCAGAAAATAACCCACAGTTGGGAAATTCACAGTGCCATTGCTTTGAATCAAATCCTTACTTCATACCAGGTCAGTATGGTATAATTCTGAGAATAGTTAGTAGCTTTATCCCAGGCACATATTTTGGGAATTCAACATCGTTTGTACTATATTCCCCCCAAAAAACATTATCCATGATCTCGGTGTGTGCCAGCAAAATCCAACATGCAGAGATTTTGCAGAAATTGTTTTTCTGAGAGTAATATACTTCAGAAATGTTTGATTTATAGGCAGCCACATATGAAAAACTAAAAAATGTTCCTAGCTCTTATTCATAAATATACATGTATTGAATTTCTTTGCAGTGTGCTATATACATGACATTTTCCTCTCAGTAAATTATGGCTCATTTCTGTCTCTTCATCAGGATGTACCATGATTCTTGGCAACATGACTGGGTATTGATGTCTTGTCTAGCCAATGAAATCCACATAGCAAAGATGTTATGAAGACATGGAAACATGAATATGAAATAAAATCAGTATAGCTATTTGGATGATTAGCTATCGACACAAGACAGTCCCTGGTAATTGCCTTTAATAGTAAGGTAGCACTAGGCCATGAAAGGTGCTTCAGTGTACCTGCCTCATTTGTGGCTCCCTTTTGGCCATGTGACCCTAACTCCCCTGGTCACAAGTGGCTGAACCAGCAATCAATACCTGACCTGAAGGCAACCCTCTATAGGCTGGCAAGTGGCCTACAAAGTTGCTCAGTGCTAGAGAACTGAGCCCAACAGAAGTACATTCTAATGTTTAGTGATTGGCCAATCGTATTCTTTGTGATGGTGCTGATGGGAAGGTAGTGATGTGCATCAGACATGCAGAGTTAGTAGCAGCTGGAGCAGACACAGAAGCCTCCCTAACAATGGGCAATGGAGAAAGGAACAACAGACAGTTCTGAAAGAATACCAAGTGCTCCTAAGCCAAAAGCTATAGTTAGGCTGCTGGAGGTACTGCCAGTCCTAAATGATGGCAATGATGGTCCATTTTTCTGTGAAACTTGACTGTATACCTGTTAAGATTTTTTTGTGTTCTTTTTAAGGCTCCATGAATGAATCTTTCCAATAAACAAGTTTGTAACAAAGGCAACCTGAACATTTCTGATACTTGAAACTTGAAAATATCTAATACAATTTTACATCACTTTCAAATCATGAGTGAAGAAGTTAATGTGTTATTGAATTAGATTCCCTATACATATGTCAGTTACTTATTCAATCAATAATATGTACTGATAACCTACTATGTGCCAGACATGTACTAGCATTAGGAATTTAGTAGTGAACAAGATTGACATGACTCCAGCCTAGATTGTGCTATGGTCTAGCCTGGAGTATTTAGACTCCTTGGGTCTTAATACATACGGAGAAACCTGAATGTATGTCAGAAGCATGTGATCTACATTTGTTTGCTTTCGTTTTAAATATTCATGGTTTCCGAATATATTACATGAATAAGGATGTAACATTAAAACCCATGTGTTAACATTTTAATCTAAGGATATTTATATCAAAGTACAGCTTAGTTCAGAGCTTTCTAAATTTTAGTACATCTGAAACAAAGTGAACAACAGAAAGAAGGTTAACAAAACCATAAACTGTTAAGTAGAACATGGCCCCTAAGTAGAGCCAGAAGTATAGTACTGTAACAAGATGACACTTGCAGAATCCAACAGAAGAAGAGAATAAAATGATGACATTTATATGCTAGCATTTTGCAACAGTGGTAATGTGCCACCTGTAAATGAAGTGAATCCTGGAAATAAAAAGGCTGGCCATTTTTCCTCATCCTGAGTAAAAGATAAACTGAAAATTAATGGCATGGATTGCTCAAGATAACAGACTGAAAATAAAGATACAGGTGATTCATTAAACTAGATGAAGAAAAATGGAGAAGATAGAATCTGATGCTTGGTGAAATTGAAATGTCAAGGAATTGACATTGATGCATTCTGTGATGATCCTGCTGGTAACTCAATAGTCAGGCAAAGGATTTTAATGTTATATTTCTTAGACCAACTAAAATTAAGAATGAATGTCTTTCCCAGTAGAGATAAGATGGCCCAGGGGGAGTGGAGAGTTGAGGGAACCCTGTTAAGTGCTTTAGAGTTTCTAGGGATTTTTTTTTTTCCTAGTCAATCTCTGCTTATCCATCTAGGACTCTTTAGTTATTATTTTAGTGGAGCATTAAGAGACTAAAAATGCTCTTATATTTTATCATTCAAACTTTTACAGGCTTTCTTTCCAAGATACTCAAATCCCTAAACACCTGAACTTCTAATTGCTTTACAAGACTTAGTCTCATTGGTTGCTATAGTACTGCTGTGGAAATTCTCTTCTTGTCTTCAACTAAATAGGTTGCAGTTTAAATATCTGCAACTCTCTGGGAACACAAACAACATTAGAAATTAGAAAGATAATATAACTGTGGCTACAGCAGGTAACTTTTAATTATCAGGTTTATATGTAATTTTATACATTCAAATTTGAAAACTAGAATGAATAGATGGCCTTAAGGAAACTATAAACTATTAAACAGAACCAAGAATAGGTAGAGAACCCAAATAGATTGATCATCATCTAAGAAACTGAAAAGATTTGGGAGGCTGAGGTGGGAGAGTAGCTTGAGCCCAGGGTTTCAAGACCAGCCTGGACAACATAGTGAGACTCCATCTCTACAGAAAGTTCAAAAATTAGCCAGGCATGGTGGTGCATACCTGTAGTCCCAGCTACTCAGGAGGCTGAGGTGGGAGGATCACTTGAGCCCGGGGGGTCAAGGCTGCAGTGAGACTTAATCACACCACTGTATTCCAGCCTGGGAGACAGAGCAAGACCTGTGTCAAAAATAAATAAATAAATAAATAAGAAAAAGAAAAAGAAATTGAAAAACGAGTCAAAGATCCACTCCAAAAAGAGATACCAGGCCCAGAAGAGTTTGAGAAAGTTCTACTAAACCATCAAAGAACAGATCATGCCTTTTTTTTTCCTTAAATAAGCTGACCAGAGCAAAGGAAAAGGACACAAAGTTTCCCATTTCATTTTAGATCAACATAATCCTAATAAACCAAAATGAAAAGTAGTCCTCCATCCCCCCAAAAACATAAGAAATAAATCTCAGCTATAAACAGAGAAACAAAAATTCCAAATATTAGCGCAGAATCCAGAAGTGTGTTAAAGGAATATTACATCATGACCAAGACTTTATCCTAGGAATATAGGACTGCTTCAACATTATAAAATGTATTAACACAAATTGCCATACTATCTGAATAAAGAAAATAGAAAGCAAATGATTGTTTTATGCCAAAATCTACACTTGACAAAATTTAATATTCATTCCTAGTAAAATGTCTTTGAGAGCTAAGAAAAGAGGAAAACTTTTGACACAGGGTTTTGCTCCATCACCCAGGCTGGAGTGCAGTGGCGTGATCCCTGCTTACTGCAACCTCTGCTTCCCAGGCTCAGGCAACCCTCACACCTCAGCCTCCTGAGTAACTGAGATTTTAGGTATGCACAACTACACCCAGCTAATTGTATTTTTTGTAGAGACAGGGTTTCACCATATTGCCCAGGCTGATCTCAAACTCCTGAGCTCAAGCCATCGTCCTGCTTTGGCCTCCCAAAGTGCTGGGATTACAGGCATGAGCCACTGCACCCAGCCTGAAAACTACCTCTTTTTCTTCTTAGAGATGGGGTCTCACTCTGTTGACTAGGCTGGAGTGCAGTGGCTTAATCAGGCTCACTGCAGTCTGGAACCCCTGGACTCAAGCAATCCTCCTGTCTCTGCCTCCTGAGTAGGTGGGACTACAGGCGTCAGCTATAGCACAGGGCCTTTTTTTTTTGAGATGGAGTCTTACTCTGTTGACCAGGCTGGCCTCAAACTCCTGGCCTGAAGTGATCCTTATGCCTTGGCCTCCCAAAACCTTGGGATTACAAACATGAGCCACCACGCCTGGCACAAAACTCTCTTACAGAGCATTTACCAAACCTTATAGTAAGCATCACACCTAACAGTTGAAAGCTTCAAAGCAAGCATTCCTTGAAAGTCAAGAACAAGAATATCTTTTGCCACTTTAAGTTTTAGTCAATATGCTAAAACAGGAAAAGAGACATACAAACGGAAAGATTGAAACAAAACTATTTCGGGCCAGGTGCGGTGGCTCATGCCTGTAATCTCAGCATTTTGGGAGGCCAAGGCGGGTGGATCACTTGAGGTCAGGAGTTTGAGACCAGCCTGGCCAACATGGAGAAACCCTGTCTCTACTAAAAGTACAAAAATTAGCTAGGCATGGTGGTGCATACCTGTAATCTCAGCTACTTGGGAGGCTAAGGTAGGAGAACCAGTTGAACCCAGGAGGCAGAGGTTGCAGTGAGCCAAGATCACGCTCCTTCACTCCAGCCTGGGTGAGAGAGCGAGACTCCATCTCAAAAAAATGATTTCAGAGAATATAGTTAAGTTAGCAGAACTAATAGAATTTAGTACTGTGGTTGGATATATGATCAACATTTTAAAAATTAATAGCTTCTAGTATATCAACACTGGGTAGAAAATGTTAAGGGATAGAGGTCCATTCACAAAAACAAAACCATACTATCACTTAGAAATAAATCTAATTAAAAAAATTAAAGACCTGTGAAAAATGACATAAAAGAAGATCTAAATAAATTGGAAGACAGATATTGTCGGTCCTTCCTCAATCCATAAAGTCAATGCAATCTCAGTCAAGATTTCCAAAATATTTTCTAATGGAGTTTAACAAATTAATTCCAAAAGTTTATGTGGAATACTAGAATTACACTTGGCACAGTGAAATGCTTACTCTAAGAGAGACACATAAAAACTAATACCAACTTAATAGAAAAACCTCTTCTAGCCTTGCCTCTCATACTTATGTAGAAGACAATAGTTGAGTGGAATGGCAGATATGCGTGTCTGCACTACTTAAATTGTTCTCTCTCATACCTCACTCTCTCTTCTCTTTTGTTCAAGTTCTCTAAATTAATGGGTTAAGTGCACCATATGGTATGACTACTTTGCATTTTTATACATATCCTCCAAATATACAAAATAGAATTTTGTAACTTTTCATGTGAATCTTTTTATATGACCCACTTAATCCCTCAGCTGAGTATGTGTGTGTGTGCGTGTGTGTGTGTATATATAGATATATATATATTTTTTTTTTTTTTTGAGATGAAGTTTTGCTCTTGTTGCCCAGACTGGAGTGCAATGGCACGATCTCAGCTCACCGCAACCTCCTCCTCATGGGTTCAAATGATTCTCCTGCCTCAGCCTCCCAAGTAGCTGGGATTACAGGCATGCACTACCACATCTGGCTAATTCTGCATTTTTAGTAGAGACAGGGTTTCTCCATGTTGAACAGGCTGGTCTCGAACTCCTGACCTCAGGTGATCCGCTTTCCTTGGCCTCCAAAGTGCTGGGATTACAGGCATGAGCCACCGCACCCGGCCTGCTGAGTATATTTTAATATATGATTGCTCAGAATTAAAGCAAATAATTACCATTTCTACTTTGAGACTCAAGAATTCCTGAAAATTTGCTGGGTGTGGTGGCTCACAACTATAATCCCGCCACTTTGGGAGGCTGAGGTGAGAGAATTGCTTGAGCCCAGGAGTCCGAATATAGCAAGACCCCGCCTCTATTTTTTTAATTAAAAAAAAATACTCATGAAAATTTGACCTCACGCCCTATTATCAGATAAGCTAGAAAATACAAAATACACACAATGCCAAAATACAATGTTTGTGATATACATAGAATCCCACTGTTTTACAACAGCACTGCTGCCAGAGTACTAAAAAAATCTATTATACCTTTTAAAATTTAAATTTAAAATATGTTTTGTCTTACTGATTTCCAGGGACAATCACCATACTTTCCCCCATTATTCTTTTTTTTTTTTTCTGTTTTTTTTTGTTTTGTTTTTTTGAGACAGGGTCTTATCCTGTTGCCCAGGCTGGAGTGTAGTGGTGTGATCCCGGCTCACTGCAACCTCCACCTCCTGGGTTCAGGCAATTATCATGCCTCGGCCTCCCAAGAAGCTGGGATTACAGGCGTGCATCACCATGCCTGGCTAATTTTTGTGTTTTTAGTAGAGTTGGGGTTTCACAGCATTGGCCAGGCTGGTCTTGAACTCCTGGTCTCAAGCAATCTGCCTACCTTGGTCTCCTAAAGTGCTGGGATTACAGATGTGAGCCACCATGCCTGGCCCTGACTACTTTTTAAACATTAGTTTTGCCACCAAATTGCTCAGGCTAAAGTACTCTCTGAACAAGTCTGCGCTTTATCTGTCTCCCTTGTGCCAATCAGCTTCCAAATCTACATTTCTAGCATAAACCATCCTTTCCTGCCCTGCAGGCTACCCAGCTGTCTACATCTACAGGATGACTCACAGATCCTTCCAAATCAATATTAAATCAACAACATTCTCTTTCTTCCTTGAGAGCTTCTACTTCTCTCCCGCCTTTTCTTCCTTTGTGATTAAGATCCTCCCTATTCATTCTTACAATATCTATTGAGCATCTACTTTGCACCAGTCACTGTTGTCGACGTTTGGAACAGTGAACAAAAAGAATCTTGTCCTCGTGCACCTATGAGTGTGCAGGGACTCATATTTGCCATGTGGACTGACAGGGACAATAAATGAATAAATGGTATGAGATATAAGAGGTAGGAAAAAATTGAGCAGAATAAGTGGGATTTGGGGAGAGGCATTTCCAGATAAGGTTGTCAGGGTAGGCGTCATTGGAAGGAGGTTAAGGGAGAAAAGACTTGAAGAGGTTTGAGAACAAAGACATGAAGGAGTTAAGGGAGTTAGCATGTGGCTACCTAGAGGAAGACTGTTCCAGGCCAAGGGACAGTCAGCACAAAGGCTCAAGGCAGGAGCATTCCCTTATATGCTTGTGAAGAGCAGTTGCAGCTGCAACTCAATGAATGTGGGTCGGGAGACAGTAGAAAATGAGGCTGGAGAGGGGATAGAGGCCTAGATTACATGGGGTTTTAGGGACTATCATAAGGACTGGTCATTGCAGGGCTTTGAGCAGAGACATTACGTGGTCTTATTTATGTTTAAAACGTTCACTCTGACTGCTCTGTTGAAATTAGGTGATAGTGGGGCAAGGGGAGACACATGGAAACTAACTAATGGTAGGCTATTCCTGCAACCCAGGTAAGAGCTAGTGTGGCTTGGTCTGCCATCCTCTGTCTTACCGAAGCTAGAAACCTCAGTGAACTCCTCTAGCCATTCCTCTCTCCCACTTCCCCACCCATTCCCCTACACACCCTGCAATATACACACCTGGATTCTATTTCCAAATACCAGCCACTGCCCTCTACCCAACCACAACAGCCTCCATTCAGGCTTATCTGGATCATTGAAACAGCCTCCTAATTGGCCTCCCTGCCTTTCACTTACCCCTTCTTCCAGTCTATCCTATCAGCTGGGGTACCCTTCTCATTACAGAGGGTCCTAGCTTGGGATATACGCATAGAATTCACTGGGTCTGTGACCTAGTGAATTCTGGAAAAGTTTGCTTTGATTTTCATTTACATCTAACTGAAATTTAGCATTTCCTTTATGCTTATAAACATAAGCAACAAGCTGCAGTACCAGTGACTGTCACCAACAGAAATTAGATATTTTCATAGCATAATTAAAGTTGACACATGTCTCAAGGTATCATTTATATGCATTACCACTTTGAAATTATATTAGACCTACCACTAGATTTTTTTAAATGTGCTAATAATGGAGCAAATATCACAATTAAGAACTATTTTGTATTTCAACATTATTGGATTCCTTTTAATTCCTATGTATTTTAATTTATATAAAGATTAAATATATAATATTTAACCTAATATAAATTATATTCTGGGGGATTCATGGGCTTTATCAGATAGCCAAAGGGGTTCAAGGCCAGAAAAGATTAAAAACCCATGTTCTAATCATATTTAATCTATTCAGACCTGATCTTATTACTTCCATAATTTGAAAATCCTGAGGTGTCTGGCTAGCATACAGGATAAAAATCTGAAGTTCTAACAATGCTGACAAGGTTCTCCCATCTTCACTTGGCTAACTTTTTCTGCTTTATTACAAGTCATTCCTTCTTTCTCCTATCCTATGTTCTGACCACCACAGACCCCTGCTGCTCCTCGGCTTATGGCCCTTTCATTCCTCTGGGCATTTGTTTCTTATGTTCCCTTTTCCTGCAAAGCCTGCACAACCATGGAAACTCTTGCTTCATCTTCAAAGACTTCCCTTCTTCCAATACTGCCTTCTCAGGCCAAATGAGTTTCTCCCTCATCCTTGCTTCTGTAGCATGTTATACACTGCTTTTCACATCTTACAGCAGTCTTGGTTGCCCGCTTGCCTCTCTTTCTCCACAGTAACACCTCATGGAAGAACCTATCTTACATATCTTGGAATCCTTAGAAGATGTGAACAGATGCTTCATAAATGGCTAGTTGAAATGAACTAAATACTTTTAAAAATAATTTATCTGAAACATGACTCACTTCTTTAATGCGTAAGAATATGACAAAATTTACCTTAGAATTTTTTCCCCAGTTTTCTTATAACCTTTAGGTTAAGAACATAATGTTACATTTGCTCATAAATAAATGTTTGCAAACCAGACTAGAAGATACTTGCAATACATATATCTAACAAACAATTTGGAACTACCATTAAAAAAAAAAGATTTCTTCAAGTTATTAAGAAAAAGACAACCAGCCCAATAAAAAATTGGGCAAAGACTTGAACAGAAACTTGAAAAGATAGATATCCAAGTGGTCAAAATTATGAAATAAAGCTCACGGGGGCTTTATATGACTCGTCAGGGGAACACAAATTAAAAATCACAAGAAACCACTACTACCACCCCAGAAAGGCTCCAATTTAAAAGACTGACAATCCTAAGTATTTTCAGGGATGTAGAATTTTTTTTTTTTTTTTTTTTTTTTTTTTTTTTTTTGTGAGACAGAGTCTGGCTGTGTCACCCAGGCTGAAGTGCTGTGGCAAGGTCTCGGCTTACTGCAACCTCCACCTCCCGGATTCAAGTGATTCTCCTGCCTCAGCCTCCCGAGTAGCTGGGACTACAGGCGCGTGCCACCATGCCTGGCTAATTTTCTTTTCTATTTTTAGTAGAGATGGGGCTTCACTGTGTGAGCCAGGATGGTCTTGATCTCCTGACCTCATGATCTGCCCGCCTCGGCCTCCCAAAGTGCTGGGATTACAGGCATGAGCCACCACGCCTGTTCCAAGGATGTAGAATTCTTATTTGTGGCTGGGGGAACATGCACAATGATACAATTGTTTTGAAAAACCACTGAGTTTCTGCTAGAGATAACCTGCATCTGCTTTATGATCCAGCAATTCCATTCTTTATACTTAAAAGAAATTAGTGCTATGTTCTCTCATTTGTACATTATATTCATAGCAGCTTTGTTCATAATATCCAAAAGATGAAACAATCCAAATGCTCAAATAAATTGTAATAGATTTACATAATGGAATATTGCACATTAAAAAATAATCAGCTCCAACAAGTTGGAGAAATCACATAGAGATACTATGTTGACTGAAAGAAGTCAGACACAAACAAATTCTAGTATGTGACTCATTTATACAAAGTTTAAGAACAAGCACAACTAAAAGATGTTTATAGAAGTCAGAATAGTGATTAACCTTTCAAGGCACAGACTGAAAAGTACACAAGAGAATTGCATGCGGTACAGAAAATGTTGTATAATTTTATCTAGAGTGTGGTTATACAGATGTATACATAAGTAAAAATTCAAGCTACACACTGAAGATTACTGTACTGTCTTCATTTTAGTATTTGTATGTTGTTACTCACTAAACAAATAAATAAACTTGGCCAAATCTGCTGAAGTGGTGGTGATTTTGGAAACTCGAGCCATGGCAAAACTTTGGAAAATGGTTTTAATATAGTCCAGAATATACTGCCAGTTGACTCAGTGAAAAAAAGAAAGTTATTACTGGACGAATAAAATGGAGAATGAAAATAGAAGTACAGATACTGGAAATAAAAGCACTGCATAAATGCACAGTACTAGCATCAGCTTGCCCCAGCCTCGGACAAGTAAAAACCTAGGTTAAGCCACTAATGGCTCAGAAATCACCTAGCACCATGACAAGGTTAGCCTCCTAACCATCAGTACCTGTTTTGTTTACTGTCTACTTACTCTCTGCTTTCTTGTCTGTGCCTTCACAGTGGTGGCAGTTGGGACCGAAGAACATTTTATTCCTGTTTCAGTCAGGCAGGAGATGGAAAAATGTCCTTGAGGGAGAATATTTGGCTAGAAAGAAAGGGCTCCAAGTTCCAACATTCCCACATCCTTGTAAAGTATATATGGTCATCCTTGATGGGTCCTCCTCCTGGTCCAATCTCCAAATCCTTTTAATCCTATCTTGTGCACAAGATAGGATTAAAAGGATTTGGAGATTTTTAAGGCCTTTATTTTTGTTCTGGTACAGAGTAAGTCTTCTTGCCTCAGTAAGGCCTCTTCACCCTCCCGTTTCACTCTCCAACAGAGTAACTCATTAAAAAAAAACAGATCTTATCATGCCATTCCACTTGAGTGGTTCCTTTTGTCTCAGAGAATCTAAACTCTGTGGTGGTAAACAGGGCCTTTTATAATCTGTCCACAGTATTGCCCCCTCCAGCCTTATCTCCCCAGCGGGCATCCTGTGCAAGTACTCAGAATATGATATCAAGTGGGAGTGTGCCCAGGTTAACCTGCAGAGGATCACCATGCCTTACTGTAGCATTCGGATTTAGTGTTTGAGGAAATCTGAAGGATACTAGTGGCATCAGCAGCAATTCAGTCTTCTGCCTTCTTGCCTTTGTTTCTTAGAATTTTCAGCTCTAAAGTGAGATTTCCAAACCTGAAGATTAATCACTAGACATGGGGCATCCTAAAACACAGCTTGTTTTTCCTTAATGCTCAGAATATGTGTGGGTATGCCATGAACTACTTTATTTTCAATGTATAAATTTTTCGAATCTAAAGTTTAGATTGTTAACATGAAATTAACTGAAAAGATTGACCATCAGTGGAGGAAGAAGGTAGATGCTTATTCTCTTTTCTACTACATTTCTTTTCTTTACAGGAACAACTCTATGATCTTCTTGGTGAGACTTTACATACCAAATTAAAATTTGCTTGTCAATAAATTTAGATTATAAACCCCTCAAAAGAAATAGGGAGGCATGAATAATATGTATTATTGTCCACGTGTAAAGTTCCTAAACCCACTTATTGCCTACCCCTCTCTAGGTTTGTAAGACTGTAATATATAACCCACAGTGTAGGAGTTCAAAACTAGTATCTAAGTATTGGCTTCAGGGGGGTCTCTGCCCCCTCTCCTCCCCTGTGAAAAATGTTGTAAGCTTATGTATTTTGAGGGAAAGAGTCCATAGCTTTCAGGTTCTCAACAGGATCCAAGACCACTTCAAAACATAGCTTTCAGGTTCTCAACAGGATCCAAGACCACTTCAAAAAAAGCCTTATTGTGACGAGGCTTTTTATACCTAGAAGCAACTACCCTTCATATTTATCTAGAGAACACTTAAGGAAGTGCTATCTAGCAAACTTGAATGCTGCAGACCAAGATGTCTGTAATTCCTCAGCACAATTAAAGATAATTAAGCAGTATGTTATTATTGTTTTTAAGTTGTTGCTTTCCTTTATTGGAAAGCAAGCAAAATAAACTCCTTGTTTTTTACCTCTCTCGTGGAAGTAATTTCTGATTCAGTTTTTGAATATATTTACCTCAACATATATTTAACAAAAGAAGACTTTAACAAATGGAAAGATATCCCTTGTTCTTGGTTAGAATACCTAGTCATCAAAATGTCAGTTCCCCCTAAGTTAACTTATAAATTTAACATGATCTCAATAAAAATACTAACAAGCTGTTTTTTCTGGAGCTAGACAGGTTGATAAAGTTAATGTAGAGAAACAAACATACAAGAATAGCTGGAAAATGTGAAAAGGAAGATTAGTTGAGGGGAAGGGGAGAGAGACTATTCCTATCACATAATTAAAATATACAACAAAGCCTCTATACTTAAAACAAGGTTGTACTAAAACATGAAGTAGACCAACAAATGAAATAGAATAGAAAAAGAACATATAGAAATATGGCATATGGCCAGGCCTGGTGGCTCATGCCTTGTAATCCAAGCACTTCAGGAGGCCAAGGTGGGAGGATAGCTTGAGCCCTGTCTCTACAAAGTATAACATTAACCAGGCATGGTGGTCTGAGCCTGTAATCCCAGCTACTTGGGAAGCTGAGGCTGGAGAATCACTTGAGCCCAGGAGTTTGAGGTTGCAATGAGCCATAATGGTGCCACTGCACTCCAGCATGGGCAACAGAATGAGACCCTGTCTCCAGTATATATATATGTAAATCATAGAGGTGATTTCTTCAATCACTAGTACAAAAATAAACTTTTGAGATTTCAGTACAACTGGTTAGCCATTTAGAAAGGATAAATTAGATCCTTTCTTCACAACACACACAGTAAACTTCAAATGATCAGAAATCTAAATGTGAAAAGCAAAATTATACTAATAGAAGAAAACAGGCAAATTTCTCCATAATGTGGGCATAAGGATTCCTAACTACGATTCAAAATTCAGATACTATTAAGAACAATACATTTGCCATCATAAGAATCTAAAATTGTGCATTAAAACACTTTAAGTAAAATTAACATACAAATGAGAAATTGGGGGAAAATATCTGTAACATTTTAAGATAAAGATATAATGTTCCTAATACAGAAAGAGCTTTGAAAATAGAGAAGACCAGGGCCAAGGTGGGAGGATCACTTGAGGCCAGGAGTTTAAGAGTAGTCTGGGCAACATAGCAAGACCCCATCTCAACTAAAAAAATAAATTTTAAAAAAGAGAAGACAAAAAATCTTACAGAAAAATGGGCAAATAACAAACACATGAAAAAATGCTCCACATCACTAATCAGAGAAATGCAAGTCAAAATCACAAGATTTTGTATGGGATACCATTTCATACCAGTCCGAATGGCTATAAAAAAGTCAAAAAACAACAGATGCTGGCAAGGCTGCAGAGAAAAAGGAACACTTACACACTGTTGGTGGGAATGCAAATTAGTTCAGCCACTGTGGAAAGCACTTTGGAGATTTATCAAAGAACTTAGAACTACCATTCAACCCAGAAATCCCCTTATCAGGTATATATCCAGATGAAAAATCTTCCTACCAAAAAGACACATGCACTCACATGTTCATCATGGCACTATTCACAATAGCAAAGATACAGACTTAACCTAGGTGCCCAACAAGTGAGCTGGATAAAGAAAATGTGGTACATATACACCATGGAATACCACACAACCATAAAAAGAAAACAAAATCACGTCCTTTGCAGCAACATGGATGCAGCTGGAGGCCATTATCCTAAGTAAATAATTGCAGGAACAGAAAACCAAATACAACATGTTCTCACTTATAAGTGGGAGCCAAAGATTGGGTACTCATGGACATAGAGATGACAGCAGTAGAAACTGGGAACTACTGGGGGCAGGGAGGGAGGAGGACAAGAGTTGAAAAAGTAACTATTTGGATACTATGCTCAGTACCTGGATGACAGGATCAACTGTACCCCACACCTCAGTATCATGCAGTATACCCAGGTAACAAACCTGTACATGTATCCCCTGAGTCTAAAAGTTGAAAAAAAAAGTGTTTCCAAAAAAAAAAAAAAAAAAGGAAAATGGGCAAAATACGTGAATGGATAATCACAAAAGATATAAAAATGACACTGAATGAGCATTTAAAATGCTCAGTTTCACCCATAATAAGCCATTCTGTCAGATACTTACCCAAGGGAAACAAAAACACATGTCCACACAACGACTTGTACACAAATTTTCATAGTAACTTTATTTGCAATAGTCTCAAACTAGAAACAGCCTAAATGTCAATTATCAGGTAAACAGATAAACAAAATGTAGTATATCCACACAATAGAATACTATTCAGCGATAAAAACAAACAGGGTCTGATACACATAACAATGTGGGTGAATCTCAGAATCACTATGCTGAAAGAAACCAGATAAAAGAGTACACATGGTTCGATTTTTATATGCAAATTTAGAAACTGCAAACTAATCCAAAATAACAAAAAGCAAATCAGTGTTTCCTTGGGCACAGGGGTAGAGGGAGGAATTTATTTAAAAGAGACACAGGAAAATTTTAGGGGTGATAGAAATGTTTTATACTGATTAAATTTTATATAGTTTATAGGATTTCAACTATACTTCAATAAAGCTCACAAAAATGGTCTTTAAAAGATCAATTTCATTCATAATAAGCAAATTACAAATTAAATTACCCTAAGATACTATTTCTTGCCCATCAGTTTGACAAAATGGTGCATTCTGTTAGCAAGGCTGTGGAGAAACCCAACCCATATGAAGGGAATTTGCTATACCTAACAAAACTACCTGATGGTTGCTTAACCATCAACCAGCAATTTTACTCCTAGAAATCTAGTAAAGATATACCTCCAAACATCTGAAAATACATATGCACAAGGTTATTCATTGCAGTATAGGAGATTAGTTTAATAAAATGTGGTACACACACCGGGGCCTGTTAGGGGGTGGGGGGCTAGGGGAGGGATAGCATTAGGAGAAATACCTAATGTAAATGACGAGTTGATGGGTGCAGCAAACCAACATGGCACATGTATAACTATGTAACAAACCTTCACGTTGTGTACATGTACCCTAGAACTTAAAGTATAATTTTTTAAAACAAGAAAGAAAAAAATTAAATGTGGCACATACACACAATAGAGTACTATATCGCTGTGTAAAAATTGGGGGCGGGAATGTCTCTGAACTAGTTTGGTGTGACTTCCAGGATATACTATTAAGAGAAAAAAGGCAAAAAGCAAAAGAATATCTATAGTATATACTACCTTTTTATAGGAAATAAGGAAGAAAGAAAACATACATAGATTCATTACTTTGCACAAAAAGAAAAATAGGAAGGACATATCAGAAAATAAAGAAATTGGTTACCTTTAACCAAAACAGCATGGTACTGGTACCAAAACAGAGATATAGACCAATGGAACAGAACAGAGGCTCTGAAATAATACCACACATCTACAACTATCTGATCTTTGACAAACCTGAGAAAAACAAGCATTGGGGAGAGGATTCCTTATTTAATAAATGGCACTGGGAAAACTAGCTAGCCATATGTAGAAAGCTGAAACTGGATCACTTCCTTACACCTTATACAAAAATTAACTCAAGATGGATTAAAGACTTAAATGTAAGACCTAAAACCATAAAAACCCTAGAAGAAAACCTAGGCAATACCATTCAGGACATAGGCATGGGCAAAGGCTTAACGACTAAAACACCAAAAGCAATGGCAACAAAACCCAAAATAGACAAATGGGATCTAATTAAACTAACGAGCTTCTGCACAGCAAAAGAAACTATCATCAGAGTAAGCAGACAACCTACAGAATGAGAGAAAATTTTGGCAATCTATCCATCTGACAAAGGGCTAATATCCAGAATCTACAAAGAACTTAAACAAATTTACAAGAAAAAAACAAAAAACCCCATCAAAAAGTGGGCAAAAGATATGAACAGACAGTTCTCAAAAGAAGACATTTATGCAGCCAACAGACATATGAAAAAATGGTCATCACTGGTCCTCAGAGAAATGCAAATCAAAACCACAGTGAGATGCCATCTCACGCCAGTTAGAATGGCGATCATTAAAAAGTCAGGAAACAACAGACCCTGGAGAGGATGTGGAGAAATAGGAACACTTTTACACTGTTGGTGGGAGTGTAAATTAATTCAACCATTGTGGAAGACAGTGTGGCAATTCCTCAAGGATCTAGAACTAGAAATACCATTTGACCCAGCAATCCCATTACTGGGTATATACCCAAAGGATTGTAAGTCATGCTACTTTAAAGACACATGCACACATATGTTTATTGCGGCACTATTCACAATAGCAAAGACTTGGAACCAACCCAAATGTCCATCAATAATAGACTGGATAAAGAAAATATGGCACATATACACCATGGAATACTATGCAGCCATAAAAAAGGATGAGTTCATGTCCTTTTGCAGGGACATGGATGAAGCTGGAAACCATCATTCTCAGCAAACTATCACGAGGACAGAAAACCAAACACCGCATGTTCTCACTCATAAGTGGGAGTTGAACAATGAGAACACATGGACACAGGCAGGGGAACATCACACACTGGGGCCTGTTGGGGAGTGGGGGGCTGGGGGAGGGATAGCTTTAGGAGAAATACCTAATGTAAATGACGAGTTGATGGGTGCAGCAAACCAACATGGCACATGTATACCTATGTAACAAACCTGCACGTTGTGCACATGTACCCTAGAACTTAAAGCATAATAATATAAAAAGAAATTTCCCAGAAAGAAGAGAAAAAAAAAACTTTGTGGTTGAAAGTACATATTGCAGCATTACATCAATTTAATTTGTAAATGAGGTATAACAGGTACACTGCAAAAGATAAATAAGCATACAGTTCAGTGAATTCTTAAGTATATACACAAGTAATCACCACTCAGATCAATACATAGATTCCCAGCACCAGAACAGGGCTCTCTTATCTTTAATGTCAATAGCACCAACACCCCCAGCCCCACCATCTCACTCCCAAGTAATCACTATTCTCATTTCCATCACCATAGATTAGTTTTGTCTGTTTCTGAATTTTGTATAAGTTGAGTAAAATATAATTGTTATATGATTCTTTTTACTCTATATTATTTATGATTTATAAGATCAGTTATGTACAGTAGAAGTTTTTGTTTCTGTGTGGTATTCCATTGTATTAATATACCATAATTTATTTACCTACTCTCTGATGTACATTTGGGTCATTTCCAGTTTTTCAATATTACATATTAAACTGCTGTGAAACAAACAAACAAAAAAGAAATTGGTTACTTTCAAGGCATGCAAAAGGAATGGGTTAGGGGAGATAGGTCAGGGAATTACACTTCTGTGAGTATACATACCTTATTAGTTTTCACTTTTGGAAGGATATTAATGTTCTACATATTAAAAAATAAAACTAAGGCAAGATGGAGTGAGAACTATAACAATACAAACAAATGAACCAGTGAACGCAATGTTCTCTCAAATGAGTAATAAAACCACAATGAAGGGGGAGAAAGAACTAATCCAACCAATTTGTGAACACAGGATCTTGACTAGCCTCAGTCTATGGAGAAAAGAACTACAAACAAATCTTTTACTCTGGTTAGTAGATGAGCTTTCCATAGTGGCATGGCTTTAGCAATTCAGAAATTATTTAATATGTATTGCAGGACTGGGCAAATGAATGCAATGATGTTGTTGGGAACTAAGGTTTTCACTAGAAAGGAGGGAGACAAAAATGTTCATCAGACAGGCTGTCTTATAAGAACAAACAACAAAAAGAAAATGTTCCAAAAAAGTGATAGGGACATGTCAAAAGGAAACAAAAACCAGCTTGAAAGACCCAAATCCGGGAAAGTTGAGCATCCAAATAAATAAGGACAATAATGATTATAACTCACTGACTAAAAATAGGAATTCATAAGTCTATACAGAGAATAATTTAGCAATAAAAGGGAGCGATGTATTGATGCATGCCACAAAATGGATGAAATCGAAAACATCATGCCAAGTACAAGAAGCCAGATCACACATTGTTTGATTCCACTGATATAAGATATTCAGAATACGCAAATCTGTAGAGAGAGAAAGTAGACTAGTGTTTCCCTAGGGCTGGGGGAAATGGGGGATGACTGCTAGCAGGTATGGGGTTTCTTTCTGGGGTGCTGAAATGTCCTAAAATTGATTGTGGTGATGGCTATACAACTCTGACTATACTAAAAACCACTGAGTTGCACATTTTGAAAGGGGGAGTTGTATGGTGTGTGAAATATATTAATAAAACTGTAAACAAATGGCGGTAAAGACTTCCTTATAACAGAATGTCATTTGATCAATGTAGAGGCAGCGGTGATATAATTGGAAAGTTACCATTTTACAACCATCATGGTAAACATTGGTTTGAACCAAGAATGGATGCTAAATCTAGGGGGAAATGTTTGATGCGGAGCAGGGTATTTACACGGTCTCATTGTCTTTCCGCAAATTGTTTATTGATTGCAAAGGAACAAGTAGTAAATACACAGTGGAAAAAATAGGCAGCAAATAGATAATTAAAATTAACACCACTCAATAGAGACAGATATCACACGTCTCCAGAAATGATATTCTGAGAAGGGCACAAAATCACCTATGAAAAAATCCAGCTGGGGATGCACAGCAGATAAACCCGTCAAGAACATAAAATGATCGGCCTACATTCTTCAAAAATGTCATTGCCATAAAAGACAAAGACAGACTGAGGAATTATTCCAGATTAAAGGAAGTGAAAGAGGCATGATTCAATCCTATGTTGGTGGGAGAAAAGTATTACTGTTCGGACAAGTGAAATTGAAATATAGACAGTAGGTTAGATAAAAATAATAGATCAATATTAAATTTCTGAAATTTACTATTTTGTGGTTACATGAAAGAATATCCTTGGTCTTAGAAAATATACACTGAAGGAACATGATATTTGCCACATACTCCCGAATGATTCAGAAAAAAAGTCAAATCGTGGAAAAGGGGAGAGAAGGAAGAAGAGAGAGGGAGAGAGTATGATAAAGCAAAAGTTTAATAAAAGTATGTTTGTAAGAATGAGAAATGCTCAAAGATACAAAATGGTATTGTTAAATTCATTTGCCTTTCCTACGTGAGCCCCTGAATGCCATTTTGCTTTGGATAGCCAGGAAAATCCCAGTCTCAAATCCACACCATTCCTGTCATAGAAACCTTATTACCAGAGGCTGAAACCTCAGGAGGCTTGGAGATGGTTTTCCGGGACTTCAGGAAAGGAGAGTAAAGTTACCCGGGGAAAACTGCACTGAATATTAAATTAGAACTGTAGTAAATAGGACAAAATGAAAAATGAACAAAATGAAGGGAAGGAGGTTGGGCAAGGCTGGGTTCAACCACACTTTCAGCATCTTGGGAGACTGATTCCACAACCAGACAGCTTACTCCTTCCAGAGCCACTCTCCTCTCTCACAGCAGAAAACGGAGGCAGAAGAGGAGAGGGACTTTCCTTCAGGTTCCAAAAGCACTTTTGGATCTAGCCCCAGTGTCAAGGCTGCTTCTGGATTCCCACTCCCAACCCTAGGATTCCTAGGGCACCTAAATGCTTGATGGGATCATCGTGATTAAACTGCAGGACACAAACTCTCCTGCTTGTGTGATTTATGAAGATGCATTTGCTTATCAGACTGACTTTATAATGGAGTTCAAGGTGTGGGGGGTGGTTTTTGAATCAAGGTATGATTACTGAATTAAGGCACTCTCTATTGCCTTGTTTTTCAATCTGAAAAGTGAGAATAGCTGCATTTGTAAAATCTACCTTGCAAAACTGTTGGGACTGAAGAAATAGTTTCTGCTAAACCACACTGGGAAAATAAATAACCCAGCATCCCTTTAAAATTGGGTACTTTTTTTTTTTCTGTTCCAGTTGGTCAAAAACAAATTCTCCTCAGAGCTTCTTACCAAAACGCTTAAGTCACTCATAATATTATCCAGTTGTTTACAGATAGCTAATTGTTTTACTAACATATTGTGGAGGCTACCTCCCTTCCTCCCTGGTAGGATAAGGTTTATTGCTAGTTGCTTTACTAGCACACTGTGGGAATCATCTCTCTTCCTCACTGGTAGGATGAAGTTTCTGACTTAACCGGAAATCACAAACCCAAATGCCTCCAGAGCCCAGTCAGGTAACACAATTCAGAGAAGCTGGCTGATGTAGAGGTGAATGATGAAGGGGTGGTAAGGACTGGACCCATGGAGAGTATGGGAGAGTACTCCCTGTCTGCAAGTCTTCGTGTTAAAAAACAGAAAAAAGAAAGAAAACAAAAAAGAAAGATGAACCTAGGCAGACCAAACAAAGCACATCCAGGCAAGTGGGTCAGTTTTGCCCCCTCTTTATTAGAAGATGGGTACATTCCTTTTCACCTCCCAAAACCCACGATTGATCATTTTGAAGTTTTACATTTGTCGTGGAAACTGGCCCAGAGCCTCTTTCCTAATGTTTATTAACCTGCATGTCACCTATCATTGCAAAATCATTGGCTTTTGCTGTCACCTATCATTGCAAAATCATTGGCTTTAATGTAGTAGAGTGCTTACTGCTGAATGAGAAGTTTACATAAATGTTTCTCATATCTGCTGAACTTTACCCCAAAGCTCTAATTCTACCATCTCTCTTAAAGGACCACACTACTGGTTTAAAAACTACAAGGTGCAGAGTATTTTTCACACTGACCTTTTAACGTAAAATGCATACAAGTCCCTTTCACTTGTATGTTCCCAAGACTGCACGCAGCTTCCACTTCATGCCCCTTGAATACTCCAGATCGCTCTCCCACCCCCTGCACTTGCTAGCCCCTTTGCCCTCCTCACTCGTCACCACACATCACTTCCCATCTCTTATCTCCTTAGTGCCATCACCCCTTCCCACTCCCCCTTTTCTCTGGACACATACCTATTGGGTTGTGTCCGCACCAGCCAGGAGCATTCCCTGACACAGAAGAGGGAGATGATCTGAAAGTCTACAGGCAGCGGCAGCAGCAGTAGACTCTGTTCGCTGTGCCTACTGTAAATAGAGCAAGGTAGAGGGCGGAGTCTGGGGGAGGGAGGAGCCCTGAGGCAAGCTAATTAGAGAGACTTGCCCATCAGGGAGCCCAGGCTTGTTGAAGGAGGCAGGCCTTAGACTGTTGGAGCCTGGCTAACTCAAAGTCATCTTGCTGTTAAGGCCTAGTTCCCAATACTGCAGGCTGATTCCTCTCAGTATGCTTTTTTATGGTTATAATTATGTTGAACCTAATACCCTGACATTTGTGTTGATGAGTTGATCTCTGACCTGCAAGAACTCAGAACCACAAATGTCTAGAGCAAGTGAGATGCTGACCAGTCCCTGCTGGGCTGTATTGCTGGCAGCTGATCCCAAAGGAAGGCAGAGGAAGGTCAGGTGTCCCAAAGTTTTAAGGCCTGGTGGGTGGGTGTGAGAGTTAGCACCTGGAAGAAGGCAGCTGTAAGCAGTCAAGTTTCTGTTCCTGTTGTTTGTGTATTTATGTGATTTTAGGTCCCTGAAACATAGGCTGGGGCCTACCAGCTCCTTGGACTCTTACTACAGTCTGCTGCTGTGCACCTCCTGGAATCCAGTCTCTTTCCTCGCTACAAGGCCCTCCCTGCTCTGTCTCTGCCAACCTCTCAGCTTCCTCCCCTACCATGTGACCCTCTTTCATTATGCTCCTGGCACACTGTCTTCTTGATGTGTCATATAGCTTAAATAAGCCAAATGAGATCTGCCTCAGGGCCTTTGCACTGGCTATTCCTGCTACTGGAACATTTGTCTCACTTCCCTCCCTGCTTCTTTACTTAAATATCTGGCTCCTTCTCATTCAGCTCACAGGGTCACAGTCCTTCTAAGGTTTCCCCTGACTCTCCCCTCTATCACAGTACACAGTTTGGTTTTCTTCATAGCTATTAACACTACCTGAAATTATTGAGTGTTTTTATTTACTTGGTCTCCATTACCCTCTCTCCACTAAATTGTAAGTGCCATGAGTTGGGTCTGTATTGCTCATGACATTATCCACACTTCTAGAATCAGTACCTGAAACATAGTAGGTGTTTCCTGTGTGTGTAGTGACTAAATGAATGGACACCATTCATTCACTGACTAAATGTTATTGCATACTTGGTGTGTGCCAGGCACTGACTGAGTCCTGGAGATACAACAAGACAAGCAAGAGCTCCCCCAAGGAGGCTTCTCATCTAAAGGGAAGAGGACCATTACATTAATAATCAATTGAAATTATGTTTTAAAAGAAATAAACAAAGAAGAAACCACATGTTTGTTCACAGATTGAAATGAATGCATATACCAGAAGTGTTAGTAGGGGGTGAGCACCCAGTCATAGAGCCTAGAATTCTTAGGAATCTGAGCCACGCCTATGAATTGATGAAGGGATTTTATTCCTGGAAACATGATGGGATCCCATGAAGCAAAGTCCCCATTCATAGCTCTCAGACTCACTTTCTGCAGAGGGGTATAATCAAGACTGCCCTGTAGCACCAGCATATTTATCAGGCCCATTGTGTTTCACTGGAGAATAACCTTTGAATCCTCTTTTCAACGTTCAAAGAATACAAATTCTAGGGATGTCCTAGGGCTCTCAGAGTTTTTTGGAGCTTGTAAAAGAGATCTGCCATGAGGCTAGGCATGTAATAGGCCAATGGGGCTTCTTTTAATGATTCAGAGGAGAATTGAGACCAGGTCATTTCCCTCTGGGAGAATTCACTTCAATAATCTTGTTGGAATCCTCCAGTTTCCTCCAGGACCCCAAATCTCTACTTGACTCATTTTTATTACCTGCCTGGCCCCTGAAGGCATTTGATTTTGTGGACCTTGCTTTTAGACATTGTTTTTGACATCCTGAGAGTTTTAGGATTCTGAAATACCTGGAAATTTTTCGCTAAAATAATGAAGTATTATTCAGGTCCTGTATCTCCTGGAAAAATTCAGATGTTAAAATGCTGGTAACTAGGGTACCAACCCAGAAAACTTTAATACACAGAGGTCTAAGATTCTAGTATTATCACTCTCAAATCCTAAAGATTCATAAAATAAAACTTTTGGGGAACATTCTTTTGAATTTCCTCAACAGGAGCAATTTTTTTTTTTTTTAAAGACAGGTCTCACTCTGTCACCTAGGCTAGAGTACAGTGGTGCGAACTCAGCTCACTGCAACCAAAAGGGCAAATTTTACCCTTTGCTGGTTGTTTAGTTATTATTGCTGCCTAACAAACCACTCCAAAACTTAAGGGCATAAAATAATCATTTTACTCTGTTCAAAGGTTCTGTGGGTTAGGAATTCTGACAGGTTAGAGAGGGTACAGCTTGAGTCTGCTCTGTGATGTCTGGGTCCTCAACTGGGAAGAAGGCAGGGGTGACTCAGTGGCTGAAGGTTAGAATCAGATGGAGACATCCTCACTCAGATGTCTGGTAGTTTATGTGGACTACTGGCCTAGGCACACCTTCACATGGTGTCTCAGTGTGGGAGATGCACAGGCTAGTTTGGGCTTCCTTATAGCATGATATCTGGGTTCCAAGAGCAAGTATTTCAAGACAGCAAGGCAGAAGTGCGTGGCATTTTTATGATCTGGCTCAAGTTCTCATGGTAAGAAGAGAATGTGGGATGGAATTATTTAAGGCACTTGGAAAATACAATTTGCCACAGTAATAGATTTGACTTTCAAAAATAGCTAAAAGTCATTAGGAGTTAAGCTTGATGAATAATGTGAGTGAAGCTGTTTTGATTAAAAATTGAGGAGTATGACCATTAAATAATAAGAGCATTTTCTTCTGTGGATCACATTCAGTCCAGAATGTATTTTTGAAAGAGCACTTCTAGAACTTTTCAAACAACCTGCATCATTCTACCAATCACCATGGTTGATTTGAGAGGGCGTTGTATAACGTATATCATCTTCCAGGGAAGAATTTGAAGAAGAACTTCCATGTAGACAGGTACCTTCTTGAATTTTTATTGAAGACGAACAAATAACCTCATCATCCTTATATCACATTTAGTACACACAGCCATCTTCACAAGCTACACTTTTCTTTTGGGATAAACTCTGAGATACTAGCAACGATCAGTGGAGCTAAAATGCTTTATAATGGTGTTTCCTAAAACTGTGTTCTGAGAAGCACTAGTTCCTGGAGATGGGACATTATCCTCCCAGAAATTAATAATTATCAATTCATATGAATATTAAAGGATCTCCACAAAAGAAACTTGTTTGACATTGTTAACCTAGTGACCAAAAAACTCCTTTTTCAAGGAGATCCTATTAATATCTCTTGGAACTAGTATACTGTGGAAAATACTGCCCTGTGGTCTTGTCCTTAAAACATGTTTGGAAATAGCAATGAAAACAACAACAAAACACCATTGGGTCGCCATTTTGTCCCCAGCATTCATTTTTAACTTCTGATTAAACTGGTGCCAGTTAATCTGATTAACTTGGGATGGAGGACACCTGGGGCCATTTGATAAAAGCTCATTAATATAACATGACTGTGTTGCCTGGGTTTCAAGGCTGCTTTCACAAATGTGAAAATCAATCTGGGGTATAGACTGTAAAAGAACCACAGAGCTGAAGGAAACCTTAGAGATTATCTACTTTAACTCCTTTATCTTAAAGATGGAAACTGAGGCTTAATCTCTGTTGGACGAGTTCCCCAAGAAGCACTGGTCAACGCCAAATCAGAACTGGAAGCCACATGTACTTTCCTAAGGTAGCTTTTCCAAATATTAAGAAGTGCATTTGTATATCTTAGAATAAGTCTGGATCCTGTGTCCCTTAGGAACAAGAATTTGGAATCAGGCCTTATGAGACTCTTTTCCATTTATTAGCTGTGTATTTTTAGGCAACTTACTAACCCACTCACCTCCTCCAAGCCTCTGCTTTCTCATATATAAAATGAGAGTGATATTGTACCCTCGCTGCTTTATGGCATAGTTGTGAGGGTCAAATGAGGTAATGTTTTTGGAAGCACTTTGAAGGAACTTTGTGTGGAGCATTATGCAAATATAGGCAATTGATTGCTCTCCGCTAATATGCAGCCCTCTCAGCCCATAGAATCGTGACTCTGGGCTCCTTAGTAATTTGATTGGCTTGAGATGTTGATGGACTCCCCAGTGTAATTAGTCATTTAAACCAGCCACTGTCTTTTTTACCTCTCCTTTTTACCTGTTTTATCAAAATGAATCATTGAGGACAAAACCTCAAAGCACATTTCCAAAGATTTTTAAAGATAAAACCTAAGATACAGCTGGGTGTGGTGGCTCACACCTGTAATCCCATCACTTTGGGAGGCCGAGGTGGGCGGATCACGAGGTCAGGAGATCAAGACCATCCTGGCTAACACGGTGAAATCCCGTCTGTACTAAAAAAAAAAAAAAAAAAAAATACAAAAAATTAGCTGAATGTGGTGGTGGGTGCCTGTAGTCCCAGCTACTCAGGAGGCTGAGGCAGGAGAATGGCATGAACCCAGGAAGTGGAGCTTGCAGTGAACCGAGATCACACCACTGTACTCCAGCCTGGGCAACAGAGCAAGACTCCGTCTCAAAAAAAAAACAAAAAACAAAAAACAAAACGAACCCAAAAACAAAACAAAAAAAAACCTAAGATATGATGACAGATGCCCTCTCATTGCACTTAGGAGTTGGAAAATCTAATGTTTGTCTTAAAAAATTCTGGGTATTGGGAGACCTATTAGGCAGGCTGATGACTATGATATATAGGGCTCAGGGCAAGAATACTGAGGCTCACACACCCTATGTCTACATATTTAAAAGTTGTAAATAGGGCTTACCAAGTGTTAAAAAATATATGTTCTATTCTTTTTTTTTTTTGGTGATAGAGACTTGCTCTGTCGCCTAGGCTGGAGTATAGTGGTATGATCTCTGCTCACTGCAACCTCGGCCTCCCAGGTTAAAATGATTCTCCTGCCTCAGCCTCCCAAGTACCTGGGATTACAGGCGTGCACCACCACACCTAGCTAATTTTTATTTTTATTTTTTTTTGTAGAGATGGGGGTTTCACCATGTTGGCCAGGCTGGTCTCGAACTCCTGACCTCAAGTGATCCACCTACCTTGGCTTCCCAAAGTGCTGGGATTACAGGTGTGAGCCACTTCACCTGGGCTGAATAAGCATTTCTAAGCAAAAGTGTTCTTATATTTCATACATTGGGAGTGGTTGCCAGCTATCAGGGACTACAGGTGCATGCAGAGCCCAGCTTTCTGCGTTTGAATGAAAAATTCTTAGACTCCTACACAAAATGTAGCATCACAGAGAGAGCTGACCCTGGCTCCAAGACCCTGGCACCGTGCCCATAGCCCACTTCCTCTTCTTCCCTGGACACCATGTAGCACCATGAAGGCCTCTCTCGTATGTGGGAGGTGAACTCCTACATCCAAACTGCATAACCACATCCCCTTCAAACAGCCACCCCAGGCTACCCTTTAGACCTAAGGACTTGCAACATTCATTGCCAGAAGGCTGGACCCCAGGAAAGAGCCTGCATAGCCTCTGGAAGCAGGCTCAGGACTGTTTGGACAAGGAATTACAGAGTCCAAACAATGATGTTCCAGTCATGGTCCAGAAATGGGTGCTTAGACTAGAAGTGGCATGTCCCTTAGCTCTGCAGTATCCTCGCTTTGCCAAGAGAGGCAATGCCAGAGGATGGCCAGGACAGGGGCTCCTCTTGCCTGGGTCTAAGAAGGGGACGGCCTCCTGCAAAAGTCCCAGTGAATGGTGACAGGGCTGTGACGAAAGAAGGAAAAGGGGTCAGCAATAGGGAAGGTCACATAGGGACTTCATGGTACTTAGAAACTACCAAGCCATGGGAGAACAAAAAAGGAAGGAGGTAACAGAAGACACCAAACTTTCAATCCTGGGTTGTCGGTGGGGCTGGGGGAAATCCTCTAACAGGAAAATCTTCTAAGGTTTCTGTTAGCATTACGATATTTCCCTGACTGAGCAACACTCTTTTCCAAATAGTTTTAAACAGAATTGTTACCCATTCATGTGTTTTCACAATAGTGCATATGTTTAAGCATTTTCTTCATGCATGAAATATAAGTACATTTTTGCTTAGAAATGCTTATTCAGGCCAGGTGTCATGGCTCACACCTGTAATCCCAGCTTTTTAGGAGGCTGAGGCCAGAGGATATTTTGAGGCCAGGAGTTCGAGACCAGCCTGAGCAACATAATGAGACTCCATTTCTAAAATAAATAAATAAAAATAAAAGAGAAGGAAATGTTTATTTACAGCAATATCATACAGCAACATACTTTAGGAAAATGTGTGATTTCTATTTAAATATGTTGTCACCTTAAGCCATACAAATGAACTTGATTCTGTAGCCTTTATGGCTAAGAATTCAGTCAGCTGCAAAATAGGGCTATTGAAACTGCTTCATCACTAATTTTTATTTTTCATTTTATATTATTTTTTGAAACAGTCTCACTCTGTCGCCCAGGCTGGAGTGCAGTGGCATGATCTCAGCTCACCGTAACCTCCACCTCCCAGGTTTAAGCGAGTCTCATGCCTCAGCCTCCTGAGCAGCTGGGATTACAGGGGCACACCACCATGTCCACCTAACTTTTGTATTTTTAGTAGAGTTGGGGTTTCCCCATGTTGGCCAGGCTGGTCTCAAACTCCTGACCCCAAGGGATCCACCTGCCTCAGCCTACCAAAGTGCAGGGATTATAGGCGTGAGCCACTGTGCCTGGTCAATCACTAATTTTTAAAGTCCACTTTTAGAGTATAACGGGGTGAGATTTTACTAAGCCTGAGCCCTCAAAAGTATAAGATATGGCTTTTTTTTTATTACAGGCTAATCCAGCTGGATCATAGGAAAGAAATATGTAGATGGACTATAATTATTGTGGTTGGAACATAGCCGTGACAGCTAGCCAACAATCCAGTCAGAAAAACATGGTTTTGTTGTTTGTTTGTTTCATTGCTTTTGTGAGACATCAGTTTGTGCCAGATAACTCTGAGAATGTAATTGAAATCTAGAGTTATTGTTCTAAACTCACTTATGAGAAATAAAAACATGTCTTTCTTTTAAAGTAATCCATTAAATGCTTACTTGAAAGATAAAAACATTTATTTAGTCTTATGAAAGTTTCCATTAATAAATAATAAATTGCAGAATTCCCAAGATGGTTTTTCCTTAGTAGAGATTTTTAAAATGTTTCACTCTTTCTCTTAATATTGATAACTACGCCAGGTAAACCACACAGAATTAAGTGCATCTTGGGTTAAAGGCCCTTAGAGCATTCCAGATGTCTCAGGTATCCACAATGTATCCCAAATCAGAGTCCAAGAGACATTGAAAAGGACTGAAGCAGGACATAACCATGGGTGACAAGATCTTCATCTCCAACTTTATGTGCTTTGCAGTTCACAGAATGCATTTGGTAAACCCAAGGTCTCAAACAGGGGTGGTAAAAGCTAGGGGTAGAGGTGGGCCCAATATGGCTACTAAGGAAATGTATGGCCAGGCACAGTGGCTCACGCCTGTAATTCCAGGACTTTGGGAGGCCAAGGCGGGTGGATCACTTGAGGTTAGGAGTTCAAGACCAGCCTGGCCAACATGGTAAAACCCCATCTCTACTAAAAACAGAAATTAGACAGGCGTGGCGGCGGGTGCCTGTAATCCCAGGTACTTGGGAGGCTGAGGCAGGAGGTGGAGGTTGCAGTGAGCTGGGGTCGTGTGACTGGACTCCAGCCTGGGAGTATAGTGAGACTCCGTCTCAAAAAAAAAAAAAAAGAAAGAAAACGTATTAGAGTAGATTCTTCCTCTTTCTTCAGAGGACATGGAGAAGCAAGGGAGTAGAATTCCTTGCTAAGTCATTCCCCTCAATCTTTGTTGACATCTTAGGAACACCAGGCAATCATATGCTTCCTCTTTTCTGGTTCTGAATCAGTTGAAAAATAGGCATACAAATGTAATGGAAATCAAAATGCGTCTTTACTCATGGTAAAGCTGGACCAGGGAACACAGCTACCACCGTGGCCTGGATAGGGGCTACTACCAACCGAGTTTGGTCCATCATTTCTACCTATGCATAGAGAGAGTTCTCTTCAGAGCACACTTGACCTGCCTATGCTGGGAAGGGAGTCTCTGCTCTCATTCCCTGTTAAACACAGAGAAGAGAGCCGCGGGACATCAGCCTCCAGAAGGTAGGCCCTGAGCCCTCATCCTGCTCTGCTGGATGCAAGGGAACAAAATTAGAGAGGACTGCATGCGGGCAGGTCTCAGCTAGGGAGAGAGAGCAGGCAGCTTGACCTTTACTCGCATCTGACTGACTGTATCGGTCACTCCCCCAACTCCCTACAGGGCAGAACTGGAAGCTGCCTTCTTGCTTCTCTGAGAGGACAAAGTGTGGACAAAAGGCACTATTTTAGGGCCTAATGATGTAACACAAGAAGAAAGGGAGAAATATTCCCTCGGCTGTCATGTGGCTCAGTGTTATCCTCTCAGAACATTCCAGAATAGGTGGGTTCTGGAAGTTAGATTTCAAAATGAGCTCAAGTTGTAGTCAGGGTAGCTCTGGCTGATATCCACTCCCTGCAGCTCACTGGTGGATGAGCTGGGGGAGGCAGATGTAAAATGTGGTTTGAGCACTTGCGACTGGAAATCTTGAAATCAATCCCGGAAAGGAGCCAGGGATTCCCTCCTGAGAACCGCACAGGACATATGTGGAGAAAGGAAAGTAACTTATATTTATTTTTATTTGAAACTGTCCTTGAGAATAAAAGGTGTCTCCCTCCTGAGGCTGTCAGTCAGGAGGAGAAAAGCCTTGGTGAGGAGTGGGCGTATCTGGCTATGTGTTTGAGGGCAAGGTTGAGTTTTAATGGTGTCCTCATTCTGCTCTTCATTTAAGCAAAACCCTCCCTTATCTTCAAGATGACCTTTGCTTCCACCTAAACTCGTCAAAACAGGCATTCCTTCATTCCTTCAAGTGTGGCTCATAGGTAGATGGTAGAAGAAAAATAAATTAATTGAAATAATTAACAATGAATTGTGAGTCTTAGATCTCTTTAGCTACCTCAGATGCATTTCTGTTTTGTTTTGTTTGTTTTTTTTTTTTTTTTTTGTGAGATGGAGTCTTGCTCTGTCACCCAGGCTGGGGTGCAATGGCACAATCTTGGCTCACTGCAAGCTCTGTGCCTGGGTTCATGCCATTCTCCTGCCTCGGCCTCCCAAGTAGCTGGGACTACAGCCACCCGCCACCATGCCTGGCTAATTTTTTGTATTTTTAGAAGAGACACGGTTTCACCGTGTTAGCCAAGATGGTCTGGATCTCCTGACCTCGTGATCCGCCTGCCTCGGCCTCCCAGAGTGCTGGGATTATAGGCGTGAGCCACTGCGCCCTGCCAGATGCATTTGTATTTTAAAAGAACAGTGAGTCTACAGGAATAAATACCTCATTGGTTTACATTTTAGGCAGAATTCTGAAGCTATTTGTCTGGGAATCAGAGATAGATAGAGTTGTTCCCAGCACCATGGAGACAATACAGCCTTCTATGAAACGTAGAATGAGTAAGGACCAGGCACAGATTCAGCAGAGGTCAAGGAGGTTGAAGACACAGAAATGAGCATTGATTGGCATAGAATGAGGTCATTGGTCACTTAAAGGAATTGGGGAGCACTAGTGCTTATGGAAGATAATGCCTGTAGTATGGTTCAATCCAACTAGTACTAACAATGGGGTACTATCTGCCAAGCTCTGGGCTGGACACAACCAAAGCTTGAGTAAAAGAATACACTCACCTGGAAGAATGGGACAGTGCTCGGAAGAAGGAGTAGAAAGAAGTATTTTAATAGTCTGGACGTTTGAACTGGTGAGTAGACATTTCAATAGTCTGGATGTTTGAACTGGTGAGTAGACTTCCCTTTTTCTAAGCAAATCCCTAGCCTTGAACGAAGGAAATGCCAACCCCTTCCTTTCTGGCCGTAGAACTCATGCCATTCACCGCCTAGATGATGTGCTCTGGCTAGTCCTTTGATCCATCCAAATATGCATTCAGTTCCTCCCCTAGGCAATCCTTCTGCTCAGCCAAGCTGGTACCCAGTTGATACCTCATACCTTTCACACATCTCTCCTTGCCTCTGCTCCTGCTGTCCTCCCCTCCAGCTTCCAAGACAGGGCTCTTCACGCCCCTTCTGAATTCTGCACCTCCTTTGAAGCTGGCCCAAGTACTCAGGTACTTCCTTTTCTGGGCAGGCTTCCCTGAGTACCAGGATCCTTCCCTTCTCTGAACTCCAGGTATTGTATTAATAATCATAATGGCAATGATCACAGCAGTAATGATAATGCCTTACATTTGAATAGGTACTAAGAATTTTTCAAAGTGCTGCCACATACTTCATTACACTTATGCGTCACAGGATGATGCAAAGGATGGTAAGAGATTAATATTATTTCTGCCTAAAAACAAAATAAAAAATTCAACAAGGAGGCCGGGCACAGTGACTCATGCCTGTAATCCCAGTACTTTAGGAGGCTGAGGCAGGAGGATTGCTTAAGCCTAGGAGTTCAAGATTACAGTAAGCTATGATTATGCCACTACATTCTAGCTTGGGCAACAGAGTGAGACTCTGTCTAAAAAAAAAAAAAAAAAGAAAAAAAAGAAAAAATCAGCAAGGAAACAGGTCCATAAAGAGTAAATACTTTTCTACTTTTTCCAGGGCCATATGCTCCAGGATGCATTGCATCTGCCATTTGGGTCTGATTTAAGGTACAGTTTCTGATTAAATGTTATTTTACACTGATTTCAAATTATTTCATATTGCTAGTCTTGGCTTTCTAATAAGATTTATACTTTTCTTCAGGGCAGGAAAAATCTCTTGTGTTTTTTGGTATTTCTCTAGCACTCAGGATTACACTGAGTCCACAACGGGGGCTTTTAAAATGCTTTAATGATGATGTTGATGGTCACAGGTTTATGTTCCTGCACATTGTATGAGCATGAATATTTGAGTTTGCTGGGAGGCACCAAGGCAGCATAATTCCATTTGACCCTATTTCAAGTGTTGGAGATCGTGGGGCATCTGGAGATGATGGGACATGTGTAGACTGAGGAGTAGCTCTCTGCGATGAAGTTCTTTTAGATTAGGAATGGTAGCATTGTCGACTACATCAGTAGTACATCGTCAGTAGACAACGATGTACTACTGATATAGTCGACAATGCTACCATTCCTAATCTAAAAGAACTTCATCATGGGTATACAGATGGGGAGGAATAAAATATCTTAAAGTGTCACCTCCATAGCCCCTACAATACTAATTTTAATTTGGAAGTATGTGCCCTGACCTTTTGAGCCATCTGATGTGAAATTCCCTGCCTCCCTCTCTCTTATCAGTCGTGGCATTTTAGCCTGTACCTGGTTCAGTGGGGAAGAGGGAAAACACTTGATTCTACGGCATGACAATAACGCTCATAGAGAGAATGTGCTGGAAGGTTGGCCATCCTGCTGGTGCCTTTGGCCATCTGAAAGGGAAACTGGGGAGGCATGAGATGGTCCTCTCTCTCCTGGGGCTTTGGGAAGGAAGGATGGTCTATGGATCACTCCCCTGGCTCCATGGTTGACCCCTGAAGGAGAGGAGTGGAGCTCTGCTCAGGCTCCAAACCCAACTCCTTGAGGGTAAAGCTACTGAAGATAATTGAGGTAACAGGGTAAGGACAATCCGGGGTTCAGCTCAGGGATGGGCTGACCGCGTGTCCCAGGAGTGACGGAGCCACTGCTTGCTGTATCTACTGGCTTGTTGCTGTGTAGATTTTATGTCCCACAATTAGGGTATGCGGTCTCAAAATATGAAGACATCATGACGGTTTGCTTATACATTAATTAACATTATAGTTTCAATACTTACAGAAAACCCTATCAACTATTGATTACTGTGTAAAAGATTAATTGGAACCAGCGTTCAAACTCAAGTATGTGTAGGCAAGCCAGCAAGATTATCGAGGCAAAAAATATCAATGTATGCCTCTCAGTTTCTGAATCACTCTTGTGGATCACTTTTAATAAACATGTAACACCTACTTCTTTTCTAAATAATGACATCAAATGTTCCAGAGAAGTTGACCTTTTCCAGAGGGAAATCAATCAAACTCTGACAATGTAACAAACATCCTGAGACAAATGTAAGAGCAAGGGAAGTAAACAGAATATTTATTATGATAAGAATTATTTCCTTTTCCAGAATTCTTATCTTTGGGCTTATCACACTGGGAAGTCCTAGAATTGGCTGTGAGATGAAAACAAAGGAAGTAGTTTAAAAATTCTGAGTAAGAAAATACTAATTTTATACATATTAAAGTATAAACCATATAAAAGTATAAAATCTTATTACAGAGCCAACACTAGCAGCAAGAAAGAATTTTAAAACAGTGCAAGATAACACTGAGTGATAAACCATAAATCAGAGTGACCACAATGGCAGATATAATGCATGGGCTGGTATCTAGTTGTTTAACTCATGAATTAAAGTAAAACAAGCAAGTACTCATGTAGTGCTGATTCTATGCCAGGCACTATCCTAAGTGATTTAAATATGCTAACTGACTTAACTCTCATAATAACCTGATGAGATAGGTCTTATGATAATCATTTTATAGATGAGGAAACTGTGGCACAGATCAGTTAAGTAATTTTCCCAAGGTCACACACCCAGTAAGCGACAGTGTTGGGGATATGACCCCAGGGAGTCTAATTCCAAAGTCTGAGATCTTAACCACATAGCATCTCATATGTCTAGTACTGGTGGTAGTAATAATAACTCTTTTGTTATTATCTCCTATGTCAATACCTGAAGTCAACCTTCAGGTATTACATGAAATGCATACATGCATGTAACTGACCATTGTTGTATAACAAGCCATATCCAGAATACCCCATCTTCACATATCCAGACTATAATGGGCACTGTGCAAGTGTCCTGATCATTATCTAGCTCACTTAGGTGGAGCCGGAAATTGTTTGCAGGCCCGCAGCCCATTCCCTATAGGCAGGTTGCCATAACTTGTGCCATGGAGGCACGACCCACCAGGCCAGGCATGGACACCTGCTCCAAAGGCAGCCATCTGAAGATTGGGCAGTGACCTGTGACCAGCCTCACCTAAGCCCTTCGACCAACATGGTGGTAATGGGACCCGTCATACTCTGTCTCTTGGAGACTTTTCACATGAGGCCATAGAGCAGATGCTGAATGAGTGAACTGGTGTTGAATTGGAGAGAGACCCAGAGAAAGCACTGGAGAGATGTCATGAGGCAGTAGAAGCCATGAACAAGAGGGGGCATGAGGTAGACAGGGAGAGGGCGGGAGTCAGTCAGCTGTGGGTAGGAGGAAAACATGAGCCAAAAGCAGGCTGTGAGGAATGGAGTCACAAATTCAGTTGCTGATGGAGAATGCGGTGAGCCCTGGGTTGACACTGGGTGACCAGAGCTATGTGACATCTTGAAATTTCATGAGTGACACTTTCTGTGAAGCCAGCGGTGCAGTTCTGGAGATGGTTTCTTGTCCTCTTTAGGTTTCCATACATTCTTATATTAATCTCCCATTACGGAAGTAGTTTGACTTCTTTTTTTTTTTTTTTTTTTTTTTTGCATCTTGCAACCTGAAAGAACCTAACCTAGGTAATTACAGTCCTAGCCTTTGCCTTCTTTTTGTTCCTCCTCCTCCTATATGCCATTACCAAATCCTTGCCAAATTTGTCCTCAGACCCCTTCTCCCTCCTTTCCACACTACCTGTGGTCCTTAATCCTCCCACCCAGGTGCCTGCGGTGGCCTCCTAGCAGGGGCTGCTTTAAAAACATCAGAAACATAATTTTCTAAATTGTTTAAAAATCATTCTGATGAAGAATTTCAATGAGCTTTGGACTCACTTGTTACAAAAAAGTAAATCGGCTCTTTTTGATGGATGTGCTATTATCACTGATTGAAATAAAAGAATATGAACATTTCCTAGCTGAATTTCAACAAAAATGCTTGCGTAATGGTATGTGGGATTGAAAAAGTAATTTTAATTTATAAGCATGCTTCTTCTTTTGGGTCGGCTTTACTTTGGTAAAGTGTCTTTTATCAGCCGTGACAGCCCTAAAACCCAGTGTCAGCATATAACAGTCTTCTGTAAGTCAAGATTTTCAAAATAATCAATCTTAGCCCATCTTATTTATTCACCCCTAAATTATTATTTTAAGGAATAATTATATTAAATATTATTTGAAATGCTTATACTTTCTAATCTCTCATTTTAAAAAATTCTTTGTGAGCATATGTTTTACAATGCATATATTAGTAAAATAGTGTGAATATTTTATAAAGTGGTACAAGTTCAAAGCATTTTAAATGATGAAGTATGTGACAGAAAAAAGGTGGGGCCAAGGCCTATGGGATAAAATGTTAGGTTTTCAAAGTTTTTCTCTAGCTAGCCTCCTCTTACCTTGCCTCTCTGGCCATTTTCCATCCCAACTTCTCCGCTCCATTCAAGCTCTCCATTTCTGGAAGCTGATGCTACTACAAGCTCCCCTCTCAGCTTCTCCTTCATCAGGTGAACTCAGTTGACATTCCTTTCTCCTTCTACCAATCCAGATGATCAAATTTTATTTTATTTTTGATATGGTTTGGTCGTGTCCCCACCCAAATCTCACCTTGAATTGTAGCTCCCATAATTCCCACATGTTGTGGGAGGGACCTGGTGAGAGGTAATTGAATCATGGGGGTGGGTCTTTCCTATGCTGTTCTCGTGATAGTGAATAAGTCTCATGAGATCTGATGGTTTTATAAAGGGCAGTTCCCCTGCACACACTCTCTTGCCTGCTAGCATGTAAGCTATGCCTTTGGTCCTCATTTGCCTTCTGCCATGATTGCGAGGCCTCCCAGCCGTGTGGAACTGTGAGTCCATTAAACCTCATTTCTTTATAAATTACCCAGTTTCAGGTATGTCTTTATTAGCAGTGTGAAAACGGACTAATACAATTTTTAAAAAACCTTATAGTCCCAAAGTTTTAATTTCTTGCCCATAACAGTGATACAGACACTAGTTTAAAATATGCTAGTGTCTGATATTTTAGTTCTGTTTTGTTTTATTGTTGAACTACAAATTAGATCCTAATATTATAATTTTATACCTAAAGTGTTTAGATTTACCTGCATGTTTGCCAATATATTGACTCATTATTTCCTATAGCATGCCAGATCTTCCCTTTGCCATCATTTTCCATTTCAGGCAGTCCATTAGTAGTAGACAATGCCAGTAGCCCTTCCACATCCTCTCAGCACAATTTGCAAGCTCAACTGGCCCTCGCACTCTCAACACCTGTGATTGTGCCCAAGGGCTCTCTCTGGCTGCTGCAGCCCCTCTGCTTCTGCTGGAAGCAGGCAAAAAATGAGGGGGAAGTAATGTCTCCTGGGAACAGCCCTCAAATAAGGTCTGTGCGGAGACCAGCTCAGTCAGGTAGACCCTAACCCAGCAGCGCTAGAGGAATTAAAGACACACACACAGAAATACAGAGGTGTGAAGTGGGAAATCAGGGGTCTCACAGCCTTCAGAGTTGAGAGCCTCGAACAGAGATTTACCCACATATTTATTAACAGCAAGCCAGTGATAAGCATTGTTTCTATAGATTATAGATTAACTAAAAGTATTCCTTATAGGAAACAAAGGGATGGGCTGAAACAAAGGGATGGGTCTGGCTAGTTATCTGCAGCAGGAACATGTCCTTAAGGCACAGATCCCTCATCCTATTGTTTGTGGCTTAGGAACGCCTTTAAGTGGTTTTCCGCCCTGGGTGGGCCAGATGTTCCTTGCCCTCATTCCGATAAACCCACAACCTTCCAGCCCGGGAGTTATGGCCATCATGAACATGTCACAGTGCTGCAGAGATTTTGTTTATGGCCAGTTTTGGGGCCAGTTTATGGCCAGATTTTGGGGGGCCTGTTCCCAAGAGTCTGCAGGGAGTTGTTGAATACCCCAGCTCTCTTGCCCCTTAGGATGGAAAACTGAGAATTCTCTCTCCTGGCCCCAGGGTTCCTCAGTAGGATTAAGCTCCGGTTGCCAATGGTGGTGACTTGCTTGATAATGAAATTTTTTTGGCTTCCTTTCCTTTTTCCTCTCTCACTTTCCTACTTGCCTACAACTATTTCCTGAGATCACCTTGCAAGTAAAATACTGGCACTCATATTTTGGAGGAAACTCAAATGAAAACAAGATTCTTTATAAGTTCCCTTAGTGCAGGTCCCATTGGTGGTAAATTCAATTTTTGTTTATCTGGAAACATTTTCATTTCATTATTGTTCTTGGAAAATAGTTTTGATAGATGTACAGTCCCAAATTGTCAGGAGTTTTTTTGTCAAACTTTGAAAGTATAATTCTGCTGTCTATTGCCACGCACCTTTATAGGTGATCTGTCTTTTTTCTCTGAGAAAAGATCTTCCCTTTATCTCTGGTGTTCTGCAAATTTTACTATGATATACCTAGGTTTCGATTTTTAAGAAATTTATTTTTCTTTGTGGGGATTGCTCTTACTGGATCTGTGGATTCTTATCTTTCATCATTCTGGAAAGTTCTCAGCAATGATCTCTTCAAATATTGCCTCTCTTGCAGTCTCTCTGATCTTTCCTTCTGAGACTCTAGTTAGACATATGCTGAACATTTTCTAACATCTAAACATTTTAAGATCTCACTACCAGTTAGCCAATTTTTGCTTCAACTGTTTCTAATCTATTTAATCCTTCCATTGAGCTTTTTAAAAATTCATATATATATAAATAGTAGACATCTTCAGAGTATATTAATTCAGTGGCTTCTATATTCATGTTTTTATTTTTAAATTTCTATGTGAATCTTTTTTCAATCAGCTCTATCATTTTTTAATTTTTTTTTATTTTGTAGAGATGGGGTCTTACTATGTTGCCCAGGCTGGTCCTAAATTCCTGGGTTCAGGCGATCCTTCTGCCTTGGCCTCCCAAAGTGCTGGAATTACATGTGTGAGCCAACATGCCCGGCCACCTCCATCATTTTTGATTGTCTCTTTTTTCTTTGTGTGTGATTCTAACTTCTATTTCTTTAGACATTTCATACAGTTTTATTTTATACTCTTTATCTGATAATTCTAGTACTTAAAGTTTTAGGAGGGTTCTAACTCTGTTGTTTTTGCTGATGCTCACTCATGGTTTCTCTTGCCCCTATTTTTGTTTTATTTTGAGACAGGGTCTTGCTCTGTTGCCCAGGCTGGAGTGCAGTGGCTCGATCACAGCTCACTGCGGCCTCAACCTCCTGGGCTCAAGCCATCCTCTTGCCTCAGCCTCCTGAGTAGCTGGGACTATAGGTGTGTGCCACCATGCCTGGCTAATTTTTTATTTTTTGTGGAGACCAGATCACCCTATGTTGCCCAGGCTTGGCTCAAGCTATCCTCCCACCTCGGCCTCTCAAAGTGTTGGGATTACAGGTGTGAGCCACTGTGTCCAGGCTCCTCTTACCCATGTTGATCTTTGGTAGTGTTTGTACATTTGTTTGATCTTAATCTGTAGGAAACCTTAGGGCGTAAACTGAGATTGCTTTCTTTCAGAGGAAATTTTCATTTGTATCTGCACGCAGGAGGCACTGCCCACATGGGAACATTTGACGTCTTCCAGGGTCCTTGGCTTACTCTGAGGTCTAGGGTTCAGCACCTTCACTTTGCTGCTGACCCAAGTCTTAGGCTCTGTTATGGCCTGAATCATGTCCTTCTCAAATTCATATATTAAAGTCGCAACCACCATTACCTAAGAATGCAACCATTTTCAGTTAAGATTTTTAAAAAGCGATTAACTTAAAATGAGGCCCTTGGGGTGGGACTGTAATTCAATATGACTAGTGTCTTTATAGAGGAAGAGACACCAATGAGGTGTGCCCACAGGGTTGACCCTGGGAAGAGGCAGCAAGAGGGCCACCATCTGTAGACCCAGGAGGGCAGCCTCAGAAGAACCCAACACTATCAGCTCCTTGATTTTGCACTGCTAGCCTCCAGAACCGTGAGAAAATAAATTTCTATTGTGTAAGCCACCCAGTCTATGGTACTTTGTTATGGCAACCCAAGCAGACTAATACAGCCTCCATAGGGCAGTTTGTTAGGGTTTGCCTTTAGGGTAACTGCAGCTTTCCTGTGCACCTGCTATTCATCATTTGGATTCAGCTCATATTTTCATCCCTGCCCCCGGGGAATTTCCCTTACTTCCTACAAGCTCACTGATGCAAATAAAAGCATGTTTCCATGCAGGTCTAGTTGTTCTGTTGGGGTATCTATTCAGAGTGTCTGGTCTGCCACACTGCCTGAAGTGCCTCAGAGTCCACTGCTTCCTTAAATGCTGATTTCACGGCTTTCTTCTGTGATATCTTCCTGAGAAATCATCTCCCACAGGAATACTTCCCTCCTTAAACTCTTAGCACTTATTTATGCATTATTTATTGTCACTTAGGCTTCCTTAGAATTAGTCACTGGCTGGGCACTGTGGCTCACGCCTGTAATCCCAGCACTTTGGGAAGTCGAGGTGGGTGGATCACCTAAGGTCAGGAGTTCTAGACCAGCCTGGCCAACATGGTGAAACACCATCTCTACAAAAATAAAAAATTACCCCTGGTGATGGGTGCCTGTAATCCCAGCTACTGGGGAAGCTGAGGCGGGAGAATCGCTTGAACCCGGGAGGTGGAGGTTGCAGTGAATTGAGATCACACCATTGCGCTCTAGCCTGGGCGACAGAGCAAGATTCTGTCTCAAAAAAAAAAAAAAAAAAAAAAAAGAGTTACCAACTATTTCCTTGAAAACAGAGGTCAGACCGTACACCTCTTCCCTCATGCAGCTCATAGGACAATCCTAGACACAATGTGTGCCGATTTCATGTTTCTGGAATGAGGGAATATAAAATAAAAAACCAAGAGCCAGAAACCTGTTCGCTGTCAGTATTACATTAAAAAGACTGCATGAACCATAGAGTTGACTGTGGATATTAAGTGGTCCAAACATGTTTTAACAACAAAAAGATCACATCTCAGGCCTGATTCCAGGGAGCCCTGGAGTAATGAAAAGACCTTTCATTATTGATCAGAAACACCCCTGAAAGGAAATGAAAATTGAAGGGATCAGATCAGTAATCCTAATTTATTTAGCAAGTTCTGATCTTCCTGAGAAACAAAAAAAATAATAGAAACTAAATTTATCTTGCACTGCCTCAAACCGGAAAGGAAAATACAGTCACCTGTTGTGACTCATTTGCAGTCTATTTTGTAATGGTTTCCAGATTCCTCTTCCAATTAAAAAGCAGGCCAGAAGAACCAAGATTGTTTAGTTAAGTCTGTTTGGTAATAGGTTTTAGACCGTAACTACATAAAGTCACTTACAATAAGGGATCAGAGTCTGTAAATGAATTCTGATTTTAAAAATTAGTGAGATTTCAGGGTTCTGCAATTAATTGGGTCATTTCATTTTGCTGAAGAAATAAAAAGGAATGAAGTGCAAAACAAATATTTAATGGTCATATAGCCACATGGTCATAATAATTTTATTATATTAGGATTTCTTTCTTTTCTCTCTCTCTTCTCTCTTTTTTTTTTTTTTGAGGTGGAGTCTCACTCTGTTGCCAGGCTGGAGTGCAGTGGCGTGATCTCAGCTCACTGCAACCTCTGCCTCCCGGGTTCAAGTGATTCTTGGGGTTTCATTTTTAAAAAGCTAATACATGAATCCCAGTCAGGAAGAAGAGGGACGATGAATAGTTAGGAAGCTGAAGGGGTAGAAAGAGGAGAATGGAGATGTAAAATGCAGAGACCGCAGCAGAGAGGAGTTGGCTTCCAAGGCTACCTTTTTTGAGGTGACTCAGAAATCTGGAAGTAGCCCTCCTCCCTTCCAGCCCCAAAGGGCTTCTTGAGGGGTTCCAACAAGCATTTGGAGTCTGGACAGCTATAAACTGTATATTACCCTGTCCCTGCCTTGCAACTAGGTGTATTCTATATCCATGATACAAGAGAAGCCCATTCTTCATTGACTGAGAGACTGCTAGGAGGTCAGGATTGTTCTTAGACCAGTTTGAACCCCAAAAACCTAAACTGAATTTGATTTAGATTCTTGAATAGGCTCCAGTTTCTGAAAGGATCACATAGCCTTGTAATCAGAATGCTGGTGGTTTCCGAAGCTGTTGCCTTTCTTTTTTAACCAAACTCACCACCTGCTTAAATTTAGCCTTCTTTTCTCTTTATGGAAGGGACAGTTATCTCCAAATGGGTCTAAACTCAAGTTACTTTCTAGCCCAGCAGTTGCTCAGCTGGTAGCTTGTGGGGATATATTTATTTAAGTGAAGTGTCTGCATCCTCTTCTGTTAATCAATTCTGGAAATCAACATCTCTCCACTCCTTCTTTTGGTGAGAGAAAAATCCACCCTCCCCAAATCTGCAAAGACTCTGCATAGCACACATGCTTCAACTTTTGTCCTCTTCTCACAGATGGCATGATCCATTTCCTGTTGACTTGGTTTGTCTCACGCACGTGCCATTAGATCTAATGACTAACGCATGCCACCTTCTGAAGAGAACCTAAATAACCTTCCTGTAATTCTAGTTCTTTTGTAATAGACCCAAATCTGGTTTCTCTTCCTGGTCTACTTAAGGCAAATGCTATGGAGGTAATTTTTCTATCCCCTTGCCAAAGGATGTGAGGGTAAGGTTAGCGACCCACTGCTGCACTGCACTTCTGCTTCAGAAGCAAAAGAAAGACAATAGCCAAAGGGTTACTGGAGAAGCATAATAAATAGTTTTCACTTATTACAGCTTTTATGGTCCAATTCTCCAAGGTGCATAAAACCAGCACATTGAGATAGGGCAAATGAGTCTAAGTGTTATATCGTGGCTTTCTTGTCTCATAGTACACCCCGGAGAATACCTGAAACCCTGCGTTAGCCAACACCAAGGTTAAAAATACCTCTCTCTCCTCTGGCTGGGGGAGAGAGCAGGTTTCACCTTGTCGAGGGACAGTGAAGGCCATAGCCGCACTTTCTTGACTAGGACATTCTCTTGCTGGAGACCTGCCTAAATACAAGTATAGCCCACCATAGAATTTCTCCCAGAAACATGGTCGGCTCCGTCTTGAGCTGTCATCATAACTTCAGAAGAGTTGGGAAGGGCTTTCTTCTAGCAAAAACTACCTCCTCTACCTTAATAGCTAGAGAGTCAGCCACCTGAAATTCTTTTCCTTTTTTCCTTTAAAAAAAAAAAAAAAAGACAGACTCTTGCTATATTGCCCAGGGTGGTCTCGAACTCCTGCTTTCAAGTGATCTTCCCGCCTAGTCCTTCCAAAGTCCTGGGATTACAGATGTGAGCCACCCTACTTGGCCAGCCACCTGAAATTCTATCAGTGACAGATTCCTTTAGCTGAAGTCATGTTCAAATGTAATCCTCCCAAGAATGGTAACATTATACATCAATGCATTAAACAAAACAACCTGTGCTTATTGAAAAAGTCATATGTGCACACGGTAAAACAAAATTCAAATAGTACAAAAGGGTATATAGCTGGGCACAGTGACTCATGCCTGTAATCCCAGCAGTTGGGGAGGCTGAGGCAGGAGGATCACTTGAAGCTAGGAGTTCAAGACCAGGGCAAAAAACAAGGCCCCTGACTCTACAAAAAAAAAAAAATTAGCTCAGCATGGTGGCATGTGCCTATGGTCCCAGCGACTCAGGAGGCTGAAGTGAGCTATGACTCCACCACTGTACTCCAGCCTGTACCGTGGAGTGAGACCCTGTCTCTAAAGAAAAAAAAAAAAAAAGAGTATACATTAAAATTGGTCTTCTTCTTCCCCAGTATCCTCAGTACCCCAGTTATTCCCCATCTCGCCAACCCCCATCCCCCAGCAATCACACTTAGCAGCCTTATCTGGGCTTCCCGAAATATTCTGTACATATTCAGGCATATGTATAATATATACCCCTTTATAGCCCTCCCTCTTTTTGCCTCCTTGCTTTTGCTCCAAGGGTAACTTAGCACTTGGAGAGGGATTTCATCCTTCCCAGCAGCTGCCCTGTGTTCCATGGTCACCACAACAGAGGGTAGAAGCTGGCCTGGCTTAAGGATGATTGAGAGGCTCAATATTTCCTTCAACAAACAAACAAAAAATGCCAAGGCCACCTTAAGGTGGCTTGCTTTAGTAAGAGATAAGCTCATAAAACAGTATTTATTCAATAAAACCTGGCAAAATATTTTAGGAGTAAGTTAAGTTTTGCCAAGAGAAGTGCTTATAAACTTTGAGAGCAAGGTAGACCTTCACATATCCAGGCTTCTTCTACCTGAATTTGTTGCTGCTACTCTTGCTTTTGTCCCTTATGGGTTTAGGGTGCAGGTAGAGACCAGGCAGAGCAGTTGTGAAAGTAGAAGGGGTTGGGCCTTGCCCAGAATGAGGAGTGAGATCAGGATAGCGTTGTAAGTCAAAAATAAAAACAGACAAATCCATTTCCCAAGAGAACACAAGGGAGTTTCCTGTAGAAGCCTGTAACATTCTGATTTCTATACAAAACATTTCATGTTTGTGACTTACTTGATTCTAAGGTTAGAGTTAAGTAGACTCCATTCATATAATGAATAAATAAGTAGGTTTTGTGTTTCATGAGATTAAGATAAATGTGGTCTAACTGAGAAGTACCAGTTTCATACATGTTTGATACTTTATATAACTTGTATAATGATCATTTATGTCACTCAGCTTTTCCGTGTGACACTTTCTCCATTTATAAGATACACTTAGCATTCTGTCAGTTTAGAAACGTTTACCTGAATCTCAAATTTTAGATCTAACTTCCAGGTTACAAAAAATTCAAAGAATAGAGAAAAAGCTGTATAACATCACTAAGAAGCCATTAGACACATCCAGGAGGCCTGGCATTTGGCAGGTCAGCTGATGCCATGTCAACAGTCAGTAGCATGACAGAAAGAGACTGTTAGAGATTGAGAGACTATAGGGACATTAAAAAACAGGTGCAATGTATCGTCTTGTATTGGATCTTAGTTTAGAGAAACCAAGTATAAAGGACATTTTTAGGACAATTTGGGAAATTTGAGTTTTAATTAGGAATTATATATTAAAGAATATAATTATTTTATTTAATTTTTTCCCCAGAAAATCCTTACGCAGAAAGGAATATAACCATACCATTTGGCTACATGTAAAAATGTTATTTTGACTCTAAAAAAAGTTTTATTTGCAAAAGATGTACCCTGAAGTTAAAAAAACAGTGTTTTTCCTCTCCTTGAACTTTGAGTTCTTGAAGGTTACCAGACCAGGATAAACATGGCTATGCTACATTTTCATTTTTGTGCTGGTTGCTCAGAAGCAAGTGTCATTACTGACAACTGGGATGGGGTGTGTGGAGAGGAAATTACAGCAAATCAAAATGTTTGCAGCCATACATGGCTGTGATTCTTGAGTTACCTCTTTGTGGGTGTTGAGTTCTTGTATTAAGTTTTGCACCATCAGCAGAGCAGGACATGTGTTATGTAAAGCCAGGGTTCTTGCATCACAGTATTCAAGCCCTCTTACCCAGATCCTATCACATTCAGCTGCAGATGTAGCAAGAAGTTCCAAAGCAGGAAAAAAAAAAAAAAAAAAAGCATGTCCCAGGACTACAACCTGCCCTCTGGGTCTCAGTATATTATGAATGAAAGTGAACAATAAAGACTCCCTGTTGGGTGGGAAGGCAGAGGGAAGTCACTTGAGGCTTCAGGGCCCTCCAAGCATAGAAACCTCAATCATGCCTGAGTCTCTCTTTTCTAAGAAGTCCTTTCTCAGGAGGAACCAGTGAGAAGAACCAACTATTATCGGTGCGCTCCAGCTTCCTGGGCTGGAAGATTTGGACTAGACCTTGAGGTTCCTATAGAGACAGCTGCCCTTAGTGGCCCCCAACCTGGGCCTGGACCTGAGAGTCAGGAACAGCTCCCATTGGAACTGCCTCTTTAAGCTCATTCCTGTCTGTCCTAATATCCCTCAAGCCTAGGTCCCAGGGAGCCCTGCTGGATTCTGGCTGATTCAGAAGGCCATGTCCTACACATCCTTCCAAGTGGCTGCTCTGCTGAGTGGGCTGGGAGGAGGTGCAGCCTGCTGGGCAGTGAGCGTTGACTGAGTATTTTGATAGCACTGGGGAGCTCTCTGAGCAGGCACCACCATGCCCATCTGTCCATTAGCAGTAGGCTATGGATTAGGAGTGGTAGAAAGGATATCTTTAAATAGATTTCTTTGTTTGTTTGTTTGGTTTGAGGCCTAGTGATTGAGGTCACTCTGGGAAAAGCTTCAGGAAGCTCTGGTCAGAAACTTTGGGTTTTACATTTCACAACAATTATCCTTCCACTGGGGAAAAGAAAAGGTTAGTTAGGTGGGGTAGAGAAATGAGGACCAGAAGTTCCCCGCCTAGGAAAATCAGAATATGAAACATTATTGAAATACATATTAATATTTCATATGTCTTAGTCATGGCTGGGAGGGTTCAGCCTAATTGGCAAACTCAGCTTTATCAGGGAATCCTTGGTATCTGCTGCTGAAATGCAACTCAGATCCTTGTCACCTTTGAGCCTGTCCTTCACAGATAAAAGACATGAGTTTGGAATGGGTTTCTGCACTGTGGAAGGGGGAATAGACTTACTCAACGTCTTGGCTTTAAGTCCTAGCTCTGGTACTTGTTAATCTTGGTATTTTAAATAAGTCTCTTGGCAGGCACGGTGGCTTATGCTTGTAATCCAGCACTTTAGGAGGCCAAGGTGGGAGATCCCTTGAGCCTGGGAGTTGGAGACTAGCCTGGGCAACTTAGTGAGACCATTTCTACAAAAAACTTTAAAATCAGTTGGGCGTGGTGGTGCACACCTGTAGTCCCAGCTAACTCGAGAGGATAGCTTGAGTCCAGAAGGTCAAGGTTGCAGTGAGCTATGATCACACCACTGCACTCCAGCCTGGGTGACCAAACAAACAAACAAACAGAAAAAAACAACAAAAACAAGTTTCTTGACCTCCCCGGGGCTCAGCAACTAACAGATAACTGAGATAACTGTGGTCAGGTATAGGCTCGGGCAACTGCACATGGTGAGCAGATTTTGGGTTTGTGAGAGAAGACAGAAGAGAATTGAGTGGAGCTCCTCCCAGGCCCGCAACAAAAAATTATAAATTTGGAGGCTGGGCATGGTGGCACACACCTGTATTCCTAGCTACCTGGGAGGCTTAGGCAGGAGGATTGCTTGTGCTCAGTAGTTTGAGGTTGCAGAGAGCTGTGATCACACCACTGCATTCCAGCCTGGGTGACAGAGCAAGATCGTCTCCAAATACATACATAGATATGTACACAAATACATAATTTGGCTATAGTTTTATTTTTAAAATATGTTTTAAATGATGGAACTTCCTATACTAGCATATAATTTATAATTTCTTTGTAATTCATTTTTTTGAAAGTGTGAAACATTTGCAAGTCACCCTTTATTCTTCTTTCACCAGTGTGGTATTAATCACCCAGTGATTACCCAGAAGTAATGCTTAGGGCTCCTTCCTGATGCCCCAGGCTAGGGGAAAGCGTAGGGGATAGGGTGGGGATGGGGTAGGGGCAGGTAATTTTGCCTCCAAGCCTTACATCACTGTTTACAAGTTCATTCCTCCCTGCCTCATCATGTAAATCCCCATAAAAATGGCATCTCCCTATAGTGACTGTCCATCAAATAATGACTTTGTCACCTTCTGCTCCTGTGTTCTGGATATCTCATTGTTTTACCTCCCTCTCTTTATGCTCCCTTTTCCCCTGGGTTTTGCTGATGGTAAACTGGTCAAGTGCTGCCACCTACTGGCCAAAATGTATATTACTAAAGAGCTGTGGTCTGGAAAAGGTTAAGGCCCAAGGTGCCTGTGTTACAAATGACTGGATTGCGGCTTTTCACATAATTTTGTTAGCAACCTATCAGCAAAGAAAGAGTTCACAACTGTGCTTTCAGGGAAAAACGAATTTTGACATAGTTGTTTAATGAGTGTTAAAACTTTTTATGTTGAAATAGTTTTAGATTTACAGAAAAGTTGTACAAATGGTACAAGAAGTTCTGCTTGGCCTTTACTCAGGGTTCCCTAATATTAACATTCCTAAGAGTAACTGCAGGACAATAATTGAAACCAGGAAATGGACATTTGTACAATACCGTTAATTACTCCACAGATATAATTTGAAGTTTGCCAGCTTTCTCACTAATGCTCTTTTTCTTGTCCAGGATCCAATGATTCATTATCTTCTATTATATTTATTTGTCTTGTCTCCTGGACTCCTCTAATCTGTGATAGCTCCTCCATCTTTCTTGACCTTCACACTTTATTTTTTTTATTTTTTATTTTTATTTTTGAGACAGGGTCACCCAGGCTGGAGTGCAGTGGCGCGACCATCAGGGCTCACTGCAGCCTCGACCTCCTGGGGTCAGGAACTCCTCCCACCTCAGCCTCGTGAGTAGCTGGGACCACAGGTGCGTGCCACCACACCTAGTGATATGGTTTGGTTCTGTGTCCCCACCCAAATCTCATCTCAAATTGTAATCCCCATAATCCCCAAGTGTTGAGAGAGGGACCGGGTGGGAGGTGATTGGATCACGGGGATGGTTTCCCCCATGCTGTTCTCGGGATAGTGAGTGAGTTCTTACAAGATCTGATGGTTTTATAAGGCAGTTTTCCCTTGCTGGCTCTCCCCTGCCTGCCACCATGTAAGATGTGTTTGCTTCCCGTTCTGCCATGATTGTAAGTTTCCTGAGGCCTCCCTAGCATTGGGGAACTGTGAGTCAATTAAACCTCCTTTGTTTATAAATTACTCAGTCTCGGGTACTATCTTTACAGCAGTGTGAGAATGGACTAACACACCTGGCTAATATATATATATATATATATATATATATATACATATATATATTACATATAAAACCCTGTCCCCACTATATATAGTATATATAGTGTGTATATATATATAGTATATACATAGTGTATATATATACAATATATATAAAACCCTATCCCCACTACATATATAGGTTTTTTTTTTTTATGTTGCCCAGGCTGGTTTTGAACTCCTGGGTTCAAGCCATCTGCCTGTCTCGGCCTCCCAAAGTGCTGGGATTACAGGATTACAGGTGTGAGCCACTGCACCCGACGACCTTCACATTTTTGAAGAGTAATGGTCAATTATCTTGTAAAATGTCCCTCAGTTTGTCCGCTATTTTCTCATGATTAGGTTGAGGTAATCTGTCTTTGTCGAGAATACTGCCATGTTCTTAGTGCATCATATGAGGGGATGCATGATGTTGATACGTCTTATTTATTAGTAGTGATGCTAACTTTCATCTCTTGGTTAAGAAGGGGGGAACTGTCAAGTTCCTCCTGGTTAAATTGCTATTTTTCCTTCACAATTAATAAGTATTGCAGGAAAATGCTTTGAGATTATGCAAATATCCTATATCTTACCATACTTTACCTATTGACTTTAGAATTTCTAGATGGTTCTTGCCTGCAGCAATTATTAATGCGGTATTCGTTTGCATAGTTGTGATTACCTATTTTCATCTTTTCATCTCTCCTACATTTTAAAATAGGAATTCTACTATAAGGAAGAACTGTCCCTTTCCCCCATTTATGTATCTATTCAATTATATAATTAGCTCAGTATGGACTCATGCATATTTTATTCTGTGGACTATAATCCAGTACTATCATTATTTATTTTGTTGTTCAAATTATCCAAGCTTAGGCTTTGGGAGCTCTTTCAAGCTAGCTTCTGTGCCCTTTGACATGCCCCATAATTTTTAAAAAACAGCTTTCTGGAGGTATAATTGACAAATACAAATTGTGCTAATTTACACTGTATAACTTGATATATATATATCAGCTTTCTCAGGAACCTCACAGAGCACACCATGTTATTCTCAGTGTGTGAACTCAGAAAAGGGCACATGAAATCATCTTCCCTGAGCACAGTGACTCAGTTACTACCCAATTATCACAAGTACCCAACCCAGGACCTCAGGACCTTGGCATTTTACCCTGTGGAGAAATAGACTTGGCATGACAAAAGTAACAATTATGAAGAAGTTACAAAGGTTTAAAAAAAAACTTTGAGAGTGGGTGCGGTGGCTTATGCCTGTAATCCCAGCACTCTGGGAGGCCAAGGTGGGCGGATCACTTGTGGTTAGGAGTTTGAGGCCAGCCTGGCCAATATAGTGAACCCCCGTCTCTACTAAAAATATACAAATTAGCTGAGTGTGGTGGTGCACGCCTGTAATCCCAGCTACTCAGAAGGCTGAGGCAGGAGAATTGGTTGAACCCAGGAGGCAGAGCTTGCAGTGAGCTGAGATTACGCCACTGCACTCCAGCCTGGGGTGACAGAACAAGGCTCTGTTTCAAAAAAAATGATTTTGAGTTCTGAAGCTTTCTGAACCACTAACATGTATGGCTGCTGGCTTCCTTGCTGAGAGGGCATGTGAACATCAGCTTGGTGCTTTCATCCTTGGGCAGGGAGGAATGGCAGAGAAGAAGCTCTGAAAAGCATCTCCTCTACAAAGGCGATGAGAACAATGGCAAAAATGGTCAAAGTCAACTTTTTCAGAACTCTGGAAATTATCCAAAGGCTTGCAACAATTGAAGGAATGTTTAAGAAAAACAGCCTGAATCTCAGTAAGAACAGCAGGTTTGTGACATTTTTGTCAGGCCTCTGAGCCCAAGCTAAGCCATCATATCCCCTGTGACCTGCACGTACCTGCACGTACCTGCATGTACACATCCAGATCGCCAGTTCCTGCCTTAACTGATGACATTCCTCCACAAAAGAAGTGAAAATGGCCTGTTCCTGCCTTAACTGATGACATTGTCTTGTGAAATTCCTTCTCCTGGCTCATCCTGGCTCAAAAGCTCCCCAACTGAGTACCTTGTGACCCCCACTCTGCCCACCAGAGAACAACCCCCCTTTGACTGTAATTTTCCTTTACCTACCCAAATCCTATAAAATGGCCCCACCCCATCTCCCTTCGCTGACTCTCTCTTCGGACTCAGCCCGCCTGCACCCAGGTGAAATAAACAGCCATGTTGCTCACACAAAACCTGTTTGGTGGTCTCTTCATGCTGACGCAAGTGAAATTTGGTGCCATGACTCGGATCAGGGGACCTCCCTTGGGAGATCAATCCCCTGTCCTCCTGCTCTTTGCTCCGTGAGAAAGATCCACCTACAACCTCAGGTCCTCAGATCGACCAGCCCAAGAAACATCTCACCAATTTCAAATCCGGTAAGCGGCCTCTTTTTACTCTCTTCTCCAACCTCCCTCACTATCCCTCAACCTCTTTCTCCTTTCAATCTTGGTGCCACACTTCAATCTCTCCCTTCTCTTAATTTCAATTCCTTTCATTTTCTGGTAGAGACAAAGGAGACAGGTTTTATCCGTGGACCCAAAACTCTGGCACCGGTCACAGACCAGGCAAGGCAGCCTTCCCTTGGTGTTTAATCATTGCAGGGACGCCTCTCTGATTATTAATCCAGGTTTCAGAGGTGTCAGACCATGCAGGGACGCCTGCCTTGGTCTTTCACCCTTAGCGGCAAGTCCCGCTTTTCAAGGGGAGGGGCAAGTACCCCAACCTTCTCTCCGTGTCTCTACCCCTTCTCTGCCTTTCTGGGGGGCAAGAAACCCCCAACCCCTTCTCCTTCACCTTTAGCGGCAAGTCCCATTTTTCTGGGGGAGGGGCAAGTATGCCAACCTTGTATCTCTGCCCCTCGATTGCTTATTTCCACACCCCGACCTCTTATATCTCTGCACCCCGATCCCTTATTTCCGCGCCCCAACCTCTTATATCTCTGTGCCCCGATCCCTTATTTCCACACCCCGGTCTCGTATCTCTGTGCCCCGACCACTTTCCCACTTTTCTGGAGGGTAAGAACCCCCGAACCCCTTCCCTCCATGTCTCTACTCTCTCTTTTCTCTGGGCTTGCTTCTTTCACTATGGGCAACCTTCCACCCTCCATTCCTCCTTCTTCTCTCTTAGCCTGTGTTCTTAAGAACTTAAAACCTCTTCAACTCTCACCTGACCTAAAATCTAAGCGTCTTTTCTTCTGCATTGCCGCTTGACCCCAATACAAACTTGACAGTAGTTCCAAATAGCCAGAAAACGGCACTTTCAATTTTTCCATCCTGCAAGATCTAAATAATTCTTGTCATAAAATTGGCAAATGGTCTGAGGTGCCTGACGTCCAGGCATTCTTTTACACATCGGTCCCTTCCTAGTCTCTGTGCCCAATGCAACTCATCCCAAATCTTCCTTCTTTCCCTCCCGCCTATCCCCTCAGTCCCAACCCCAAGCGTCGCTGAGTCTTTCTAATCTTCCTTTTCTACAGACCCATCTGACCTCTCCCCACCTCCCCAGGCTGCTCCTCGCCAGGCGGAGCTAGGTCCCAATTCTTCCTCAGCCTCCACTCCTCCACCCTATAATCCTTTTATCACCTCCCCTCCTCACACCTGGTCCGGTTTACAGTTTCATTCCATGAGTAGTCCTCCCCCACCTGCCCAGCAATTTCTTCTTAAAAAGGTGGCTGAAGCTAAAGGCATAGTCAAGGTTAATACTCCTTTTTCTTTATCCGACCTCTCCCAAATCAGTTAGCGTTTAGACTCTTTTTCATCAAATATAAAAAACCCAGCCCAGTTCATGGCTCATTCGTCAGCAACCCTGAGACGCTTTACAGCCCTACACCCTAAAAGGTCAAAAGGCCGTCTTATTCTCAATATACATTTTATTACCCAATCTGCTCCCGACATTAAATAAAACTCCTTCTGGCCCTCAAACCCCACAACAGGATTTAATTCACTCGCCTTCAAGGTGTACAATAATAGAAAAAAGTTGCAATTCCTTGCCTCCACTGTGAGACAAACCCCAGACACATCTCCAGCACACAAGAACTTCCAAACACCTGAACCGCAGTGGCCAGGTGTTCCTCCAGAACCTCCTCCCCCAGGAGCTTGCTACAAGTGCCAGAAATCTGACCACCAGGCCAAGGAATGCCTGCAGCCCAGGATTCCTCCTAAGCCGTGTCCCGTCTGTGCGGGACCCCACTGGAAATCAGACTGTTCAACTCACCTGGTGGCCACTCCCAGAGCCCCTGGAACTCTGGCCCAGGGCTCTCTGACTGACTCCTTCTCGGCTTAGCGCCTGAAGACTGACACTGCCCGATCGCCTCAGAAGCCCTGTAGACCATCACGGACACCGAACTTTAAGTAACTCTCACAGTGGAGGGTAAGTCCATCCCCTTCTTGATCAATACAGAGGCTACCCACTCCACATTACCTTCTTTTCAAGGGCCTGTTTCCCTTGTCTCCATAACTGTTCTGGGTATTGACAGCCAGGCTTCTAAACCTCTTAAAACTCCCCAACTCTGGTGCCAACTTAGACAATACTCTTTTATGCACTCTTTTTTAGTTATCCCCACCTGCCGAGTTCCCTTATTAGGCCGAGATATTTTAACCAAATTATCTGCTTCCCTGACTATTCCTGGACTACAGCCACATCTCATTGCTGCCCTTCTCCCCAACCCAAAGCCTCCTTCGTGTCTTCCTCTGGTATCCCCCTACCCTAACCCACAAGTATAGGACATCTCTACTCCTTCCCTGGCAACCAATCACATGCCCATTACCACCCCATTAAAACCTAATCACCCTTACCCCGCTCAACGCCAATATCCCATCCCACAGCATGCTTTAAAAGGATTAAAGCCTGTTATCACTTGCCTGCTACAGCATGGGCTTCTAAAACTTATAAACTCTCCTTACAATTCCCCCATTTTACCTGTCCAAAAACCAGACAAGTCTTACAGATTAGTTCAGGATCTGCGCCTTATCAACCAAATTGTTTTGCCTATCCACCCTGTGGTGCCCAACCCGTACACTCTTTCGTCCTCAATACCTTCCTCCACAACTCACTATTCTGTTCTTGATCTTAAAGATGCTTTTTTCACTATTCCCCTGCACCCCTTGTCCCAGCCTCTCTTTGCTTTCACCTGGACTGACCCTGACACCCATCAGTCCCAGCAGCTTACCTGGGCTGTGCTGCCGCAAGGTTTCAGGGACAGCCCTCATTACTTCAGCCAAGCTCTTTCTCATGATTTACTTTCTTTCCACCCCTCCGCTTCTCACCTTATTCAATATATTGATGACCTTCTTCTTTGTAGCCCCTCCTTTGAATCTTCTCAACAAGACACACTTCTGCTCCTTCAGCATTTATTCTCCAAAGGATATCAGGTATCCCCCTCCAAAGCTCAAATTTCTTCTCCATCCGTTACCTACCTCGGCATAATTCTTCATAAAAACACACTTGTTCTCCCTGCTGATCGTGTCTGACTGATCTCTCAAACCCCAACCCCTTCTACAAAACAACAACTCCTTTCCTTCCTGGGCATGGTTAGATACTTTCGCCTTTGGATACGTGGTTTCGCCATCCTAACAAAACCATTATATAAACTCACAAAAGGAAACCTAGCTGACCGCATAGATCCTAAATCCTTTCCCGACTCCTCTTTCCGTTCCTTGAAGACAGCTTTAGAGACTGCCCCCACTCTAGCTCTCCCTGACTCATCCCAACCCTTTTCATTACACACAGCCGAAGTGCAGGGCTGTGTAGTCAGAATTCTTACACAAGGACCAGGATCGCGTCCTGTAGCCTTTTTGTTCAAACAACTTGACCTTACTGTTTTAGGCTGGATGTCTCCGTGCAGCTGCTGCTGCCACCCTAATATTTTAGAGGCCCTCAAAATCACAAACTATGATCAACTCACTCTCTACAGCTCTCATAATTTCCAAAATCTATTTTCTTCCTCACACCTGACACATATACTTTCTGCTCCCCGGCTCCTTCAGCTATTCTCACTCTTTGTTGAGTCTCCCACAATTACCATTGTTCCTGGCCCGGACTTCAATCCGGCCTCCCACAGTATTCCGGATACCACACCTGACTCTCATGACTGCATCTCTCTGATCCACCTGACATTCACCCCATTTCCCCACATTTCCTTCTTCCCTGTGTCTCAACCTGATCACATTTGGTTTATTGATGGCAGTTCCACCAGGCTTAATCGCCACTCACCAGCAAAGGCAGGCTATGCTATAGTATCTTCCACATCTATCATTGAGGCTACCGCTCTGCCCCCCTCCACTACTTCTCAGCAAGCCGAACTAGTTGCCTTAACTCAAGCCCTCACTCTTGCAAAAGGACTAAGCGTCAATATCTATACTGATTCTAAATATGCCTTTCATATTCTGCACCACCATGCGGTCATATGGGCTGAAAGAGGTTTTCTCACTACACAAGCGTCCTCCATCATTAATGCCTCTTTAATAAAAACTCTACCCAAGGCCGCTTTACTTCCAAAGGAAGCTGGGGTCATTCACTGCAAGGGGCATCAAAAGGCATCAGATCCCGTTGCTTTAGGCAATGCTTATGCTGATAAGGTGGCTAGACAAGCAGCTAGCTCTCAAACTTCTGTCCCTCACGGCCAGTTTTTCTCCTTCATGTCGGTAACTCCCATCTACTCCCGCTTCCCACATGAGGCAAATGGTTCTTAGACTGAGGAAAATACCTCCTTCCAGCCTCACAGGCCCATTCTATTCTGTCGTCATTTCATAACCTCTTCCATGTAGGTTACAAGCTGCTAGCCCGTCTCTTGGAACCTCTCATTTCCTTTCCATCATGGAAATCTATCCTCAAGGAAATAACTTCTCAGTGTTCCATCTGCTATTCTACTACTCCTCAGGGATTATTCAGGCCCCCTCGCTTCCCTACACATCAAGCTCGAGGATTTGCCCCCACCCAGGACTGGCAAATTAGCTTTACTCAACATGCCCCAAGTCAGGAAACTAAAATACCTCTTAGTCTAGGTAGACACTTTCACTGGATAGGTAGAGGCCTTTCTTATAGGGTCTGAGAAGGCCACCACAGTCATTTCTTCCCTTCTGTCAGACATAATTCCTCAGTTTAGCCTTTCCATCTCTATACAGTCTGATAACAGACCAGCCTTTATTAGTCAAATCAGCCAAGCAGTTTTTCAGGCTCTTGGTATTCAGTGAAACCTTTATATCCCTCACAGTCCTCAGTCTTCAGGAAAAGTAGAACGGACTAAAGGTCTTTTAAAAACACACCTCACCAAGCTCAGCCACCAACTTGAAAAGGACTGGACAATACTTTTACCACTTTCGCTTCTCAGAATTCAGGCCTGTCCTCAGAATGCTACGAGGTACAGCCCATTTGAGCTCCTGCATAGATGCTCGTTTTTATTAGGCCCCAGTCTCATTCCAGACACCAGACCAACTTAGACTGTGCCCCAAAAAAACTTGTCATCCCTACTATCTTCTGTCTAGTCATACTCCTATTCACCGTTCTCAACTACTCATACATGCTCTGCTCTTGTTTACACTGCCGGTTTACACTGTTTCTCCAAGCCATCACAGCTGATATCTCCTCATGCTATCCCCACACTGCCACTCTTAACTCTTGAAGTAAATAAATAATCTTTGCTGGCAGGACTATGCTGAATCTCCTTAGGCATTCTCTAATCAGATGTCCTGAGTCATCCCAATTCTTAGACCTTTTATACCTGTTTTTCTCCTTCTCTTATTCCATTTAGTTTTTCAATTCATAGAAAACTGTATCCAGGCCATCACCAATAATTCTAAATGACAAATGTTCCTTCTAACAACCCCACAATGTCACCCCTCACCACAAAATCTTCCTTCAGCTTAATCTCTCCCACTCTAGGTTCCCACGCCGCCCCTAATCCCGCTCGAAGCAGCCCTGAGAAACATCGCCCATTATCTCTCCATACCACCCCCAAAAATTTTCACCGTCCCAACACTTTACCACTATTTCGTTTTATTTTTCTTATTAATAAAGAAGACAGGAATGTCAGGCCTCTGAGCCCAAGCTAAGCCATCATATCCCCTGTGACCTGCACGTAGCTGCACGTACACATCCAGATCGCCAGTTCCTGCCTTAACTGATGACATTCCTCCACAAAAGAAGTGAAAATGGCCTGTTCCTGCCTTAACTGATGACATTGTCTTGTGAAATTCCTTCTCCTGGCTCATCCTGGCTCAAAAGCTCCCCCACTGAGTACCTTGTGACCCCCACTCTGCCCACCAGAGAACAACCCCCCTTTGACTGTAATTTTCCTTTACCTACCCAAATCCTATAAAACGGCCCCACCCCTATCTCCCTTCGCTGACTCTCTCTTTGGACTCAGCCCGCCTGCACCCAGGTGAAATAAACAGCCATATTGCTCACACGAAGCCTGTTTGGTGGTCTCTTCACACGGACGTGAGTGAAAATTTTAACTTGGGCTATTCCTATCCCCTCTGATATGGTAATACAGGAGTTACTAAGAAATTATTCTAGTCAGTTAGAGCAGGTAAAAGAGTTCTCAGTGGAATTTTCCTTTAATAAAAAGCAGCCCCCAAACCACTTCTTCACTAACAGAAAGCAGCCTGAAAAATCAAGCTTCAGGCATAGATATGCAAGCTAGGTGCTTGCATATGTAAATGCCAGCAGGTGTATCTGGAAGCCAGGTACATTCAATATGGTGATTCCCGCTCCCTTTTCTTTGTCACCATATGTGCGGGTTTCATGGCATCAGCCAGGTAAAGCCACGTGTGCAGGTGTCACGGCGACAGCCAGGTAGAAGTCACATTTGCATAATAAACGATTAGGGTGGGAGGGCCAGTTTCTCCGTAGGCTATGTAAATGACACACCTAGTCAAACCAATCCCCTGGGCCCTATGTAACTCGATCACTGCCTCCTCAAGCCTCTCTACAAAATCAATCACGTTCCACCCCAAACCTGGAAACCCTCTCTTGGGTGACCTGCTTTCTCCAAATGAGAAATCTTTCTCTCCCTTTCCTCTTCTTTGTCTATTAGACTTTGCAGTGCTAAACCCACTCCTTGTGTGTGACTGTGTCCTTACTTTTCTTGGTGTGAGACAATGAACCCCAGGTATTTACTCCAGACAATGGAGCTGTTTCAACGGTTTCGCTGTGTCCCCACCCAAATATCATCTTGAATTGTAATCACCATAATCCCCACGTGTGTAGGGAGAGAGCTGGTGGGAGGTGACTGGATCATGGGGGATGGTCTCCCATGCTGTTCTCATGATAGTGAGTGAGTTCTCACAAAATCTGATGGTTTCATAAGGGGCTCTTCCTCCTTCACTCCTCACTCTGTCTCTTGCCTGCCACCATGTGAAGAAGGTGCCTGCTTCCTTGCTTCCCCTTCTGCCATGATTGGGTTTCCTGAGGCCTCCCTAGCCATGTGGAACTGTGAGTTAATTAAACCTCCTTCCTTTATAAATTACTCAGTCTCGGGTAGTATCTTTATAACAGTGTGAGAATGGACTCATACACCCTCCTCCGCAGCTTTGCAGTCTCCTTAAAAACTAACAGCCTGGCAGCCTCTGGAGGGGGAGGGGGACGGCACAAGGGGTTTGGTGCTCTCTCAAAACACCGTTCTCAGATCATGGTCATTCTTTGACTTATCAGGAAGTTCTCTGGGAACCTCCATTCACAGGGCTTTTAAACATTTTACCTGGCTCTGATGCCAGTGGGCTGAGGGAGGCCCACAAAAGCAGGTGGGACCTTGACCCCAGCAGTGTCCAGAATGTTGACATCATCATGAGAAGGAATTCAAGGATGAGTCAGAAAACAGGGAAAGCGTGGAGATTTATTATAAAGGGAAAACTCAAAAAAAGGGGAGTGTGCATACTCAAGAGAGAGTCTTACAATGGGGTTTGTGGTTTCTATCTTCATGCGTTTCTTTCACCAAAGGGGTGGAATATTCATGAAGATTCCTGGAAAAAAGTAGAGATTTCTTGGAACTCTGGTGCCACTCATTTTTACACCAAATACAGGTATTCCCGTAACTGTTATGGTACTGATGGGCATGTGATTGAGTATGTTAATGAGCATACAATGAATTCCTAGGAGAAACCTAGGTCAAATCCAGTGCCATGTTGGGTCCAGTTAGTCTTAGCCAGCTTGGTTCACAACCCTGCAGCTATTCTGACAGTTACCTTTTGCTTAGCCATGCGAAACTACTGCCTGGAATTTTCTGTTCTCTTGTGACCACCCTGTGTTATTCCTGTCTCAACTCAGTTTCCATCAATTCCTGAGGCATTTGTCAAAAACAATCAGGGGGCTGGGTGTGGTGGCTCACACCTGTAATCCCAACACTTTGGGAAGCCGAGGTGGGAGGATTGCTTGAGCCCAGGAGTTTGAGACCAGCCTGGGCAATATGGCAAGACTCTGTCCCCACCAAAAAACTGAACAACAAAAACAATCAGGGATGATTGTTTAATATTGCAGTTGCCTGAGCCAGTGACAACAGTTGAGACCAACTCAAAAGCTGACCAAAAATCTTAAAGGAAAATTTGGGGAATGAGATATGAAATGTGAAAGGAAAGTAAAAACTTGGGACCCTACTTTACTCTGCCAAAAGGAAAAAATTAATCTGAAAGCTGAGTCATGCAAGAAGCTGCCTTTTCTTTTGTTCCTAAGCAGATAGCTACAGATAAAAGGTCAAATATCTTCACAGGTAGCTACTCTATGTTCACGTTATCTTATATAATGTGCTGATTTACTGAGAGTGAGAGGAATATATAATTGACTCTTCCCCTACTGCTCGTTTTCCCTTGCAACATGTGGATGACCATGCCTTCCCTCTTTCCCCTCCAGTCCACTCTGCCCCTTTAAATATTGAAGTGCTCAAATTCATCTTTGGAGAAAGGCACAGACCACAGACTGTTTCTGTGATTCTGTGTTTTTTTCTTCCAGGGAAGTCCTTAAACTTGGCCAAATAAATGTCTAAATTGATCAAGACCTGTCTCAGATACTTTTTGCTTTACCCCATTGAGGGCTTTGAAAAGTTTCAATATATTCCTGAGAATCTGGACTGCTCTGCACACCCGTGTGAGATATTCTCCTTTATTTAAAGTGAGCTGATTATGAACAGCAATCACATCCACAAAATACCTTCATGGCAACACCTAGTGTTTGAATGAGTAACTGGGGACCAGAGACTAGTCAAGTTGACACATAAAACTGATCATCACAAGAGAGAACAGAGCTATATAGGAACAAAATGTTTATATAGTATTGAAATTGATATTAATCATCCTTGGGGCAGAGCTCAGCATACCTCCCACCATCCCACTGGTATGCCCCAAAGCCCACTCATGACTATACATGTGAAAGTATTGAGAGATAAATGGGCATGATATATGCAACCTATTCTCCCAAGGTTCCAGGAAAATAATTATGTAAACATATACACAGAGAATGATAAAGCAAATGTGACAAAATATAAAGCATTGTTAAATCTGGCTAATAGGTACATAAGAATTCCTTATGCATCCTTGCAACTTTTCTGTGAGTTTGAAATTATTTCAGAATAAAACTTTTTAGAAAATGTCCACAAAAAGCTTTGTAGAAGAACATTAATATCACCTTCATTAAAAATAGCCAAGGCTGGGTACAGCGGCTCATGCTTATAACGCCAGCTCTTTGGGAGGCCAGGAGTTCAGGAACAGCCTGGGCAACGTGGCAAGAACCTGTCTCTACAAAAACAAAACAAAACAAACAAACCAACAAAAAAACCCCACACACAAAAATTAGTGGGGTATGGTGGCATGTGCCTGTATTTGCAGCTACTTGGAAGGCTGAGGCAGGAGGATCACGTTAGCCCAGGAGGTCCAGGTTGCAGTGAGCGGTGATTATGCCGCTGCACTCCAGCCTGGGTGACACAAGGAGACCCTATCTCAAAATAAATAAATAAATAAATAAAAATTTAAAAAGGGAGATCAGTCTTACCCCTATATTTAAAAAATGAAAAACCTTAGAAAATAGTTTTTTTGTTTGTCTACTTCTTTGTTTTGAGACGGAGTCTCACTCTGTCGCCAGGCTGGAGTGCAGTGACACGATCTTGGCTCATTGCAACCTCCACCTCCCGGGTTCAAGTGGTTCTGCTGCCTCAGCCTCCTGAGTAGCTGGGACTACAGGCATGCATCACCACGCCCAGCTAATGTTTTTTCTATTTTTAGTAGAGATGTGGTTTCACCATGTTGGCTGGGATGGTCTTGATCTCTTGACCTCATGATCCGCCCACCTTGGCCTCCCAAAGTGCTGGGATTACAGGTGTGAGCCACCGCGCCCGGACAAAAATAGTTTTTTTAACTGGAAAAAATCTGCATTTTAAGATATTTGCTGAGCCTGTAATCCCAGCTACTAGGAAGGCTGAAGCCCAGGAGGATCGCTTGAGCCTAGGAGTTTGACGCTAGCCTGGGTAACGTGGCAAGACCCTGTCTCTAAATCAATCAATCAATCTGTCTATCTATCATCTATCTAATTTGCTGATAATAAATATAGCTAAGATTTATGGAGGATTTATATGCCGGACACTGGGCTAAGCTTTACCTACTTCTAGTGTCTAATCCTCACAACCACGCTATAATGTAGATACTTATGCCTATTTTACAGATGAGGAAACAGACTGAGGGAAGTTAAGTAATTTGCCTAAGGTCTCACAATTAGTAATCAGCACAGCAGGAAAGCCAAACTGTGTTTCCCGAGCCAGGCCTCTTGATCGGTTACTACATTGTATTAAAGAGGACCTTAATTTCCCTGCCCCCCAGCTTCTGACACACACAACTGCCTACACAAGTTATTTTACTGGAGAGGGCTTTTAAGGACCATCCTCTCTAATAATAATTTTTACTTCTTCTGAGAGTCAATCAGGTTAATATAAATGGCTAATCTCTAGAAATAGAATGTTCCACTTTCATTTAAAAGCATTATTTTGCTCCACTAGAGAACATCTCTTTATTTCCCTGCATTAATCTTTCTTTGACCATGGCACTGGCTTTTGTTTTCAAGCGTGTTGTCCTCTCCGTTTCACCCTTCCTCCAAAGAAACTCGATGAGCTACTTGCTTAGGATTTCAGGTAGAATAAAAACAAAAGAAGGCAAGGATTGTCTAAATTTAAAGTGCTGGAAAATCCAACATTTTATTTACTACATTTTGGTGACTACATAAATGCTGAAACATTTTAACACTGAAAAGCATGATGGCATCATCACTTGCTTTTTTTTTTTTTTTTTTTTCTTTTTTGCTTAGCAAACACAGCAGATGATATTGCACGGCATAAAGTGAGAACAGTAGCGAAGCTTAAAATAAATGAAAGAAACCTTAATGCAGTACAGGAGATACTCAGAAACAAACCAGAATAATGCCTAATGCATTACACGTTTTTGTTGCTACACACAAAAATACAGAAGAAGCATCGGACAGAGAGAAAGAGAGAGAGACAAAATATTAGCAAACAACCATAACTGGGTACAATAATCATTTAGTCTGAAATGTAGATGCAACGTAGAAACTACCACTGTTTTCTAATTGACAAAGAAAATGACAGCAACATTTGTCTTTTATCAAAAAATCTTCTAAGCCCCTCATGGTTAGGGTTTTAATTAACTATTTAATTATGTATTTACCCTTTTTTTTTGTCTTTTTTTCATTGCTAAGGAAGAACTCCCTCTGCTCTTGGAAGATTTTCTACTCTACTGATCTTATTTTATTTTATTTTATTTTTACCTGATGATTGTCTTAGGCACCCTCCTTACATAATAAACCATCAAGCTAACTTGAACAGGGAAACTGAGTCACACTCAAACAATAGCTAAGGTCAAAAGTGTAGTGAAAGTAGAAAAAGTGGGGAAGGGATAGGTCTAAGTGAGTGACAGATGGGCTGATTCAGACAGGGCAATAAGCACAGGGAGATATGAAGACAACTACCAAAGCAAGTGGAAGACAAGGTTTTCAACTTTATTGTATTGAAAAATACTTGTCACTTGGTTCAGATGGCAAATCTAAAATGAGCCCACAATGATTATGTAATAAATGCAGAACGTACCACAACAAATCGAGACTAACACAGAAACAGAAGATGTGACTTTGTGAATACAACGCCGCTCAGCGCTTCACTGCTGATGTAGGAGTCGACTCCCTCAACCATTGTCCTAGGTTTCTATAACTCATCGCACAGCATTTGTATTAAAAACAAATCATTGGTCAATGCTTTCCAACAGAACACTGAGTGATCCTGCAACCCAAAGCAGATTTATTGCCCTATTAAAATACATAATGAGTATAAAAATGTTCCTAAGAAAATGTAACATTTGACCTGAAGTCTAAGCCCTCTCTTTCCTTCCCCACCACAGTCACCCCTGTGGGAGGGAAAGAGAAAGGTAAAATTTGTATGTTGAGAGGGAAAGTATTTACATCTATGGGTTTATGATGTGTAGTGAGGGCAACTTCTTTCAGCAAAATAAAACAAAATAGTGGGCACCGACTCTTCTGAGGATGCCACTGTCAGTTGAGAATTCTGTGTGTGTGCTCATCACAGGTAGGGCCAAGTATCTGAACTGCCTCCATGAAGGGAGCTGAGGGCAGGGATCATCTCTAGTGCAGAAAAGAAACCAGTGGGAAGATGAAGAGTGAGCAGAGACAAACTCAGAGAGGCGTGGAGTACATTCACCCCAGTACCCTGACATTTGAGGATGACTCCTGTGACTTTGGTAGGGGCGCGTGGGGAGAGGAGGGGCAGTCATGAGTAGCAGATTCCAAGAAACTGATGTGGAGAGGGATGTGTAACTTTGATTTTTCTCTTAAATTCTATTGATAATTGAGGCCAAGCAATTGTATTTTGTGTCTACTGTGGACTGGCCAGAGGGGTAGGGGCTGGGTCAGCTGCTCCCCAGCCTTGACTTTCTGCTTAAGGGCATGAGGCCATTACACTCTCCTCTCAGCTTTGCAAAAGGAACTGTGTCTCCATGCCCTGCCCCCTGCCTTGAAGCAATTCAGAAACTTGGGAAAACCTAGAGGATTTCCAAATTCAAGTTAGCTTGTCTCTCTGAGTTTTTACACTCTACTTTTCATACCCGTGCGAATGGTTAAAAAAAAAAAAAAAAAAAAGAAGTAGCAAAGTATCTCACAAATGCCGGTGCTTTGAAATATTAAAAAAGTCTCAAATTCTTTGGAATTTCAGGTCTTACCTGCAAAGTAATCTTTTCTAAAAAAAAATTAATAAATTAAAGGAAGAACACGAACAATGCCTTTCTTCTGTCTAAATGACAAAAAGGACTATCTTGAAACACTCACTTTGGCATGTACAAGTTTCTGAGGGGGACCTGGCAGTGTTTACAGCACACATTGAAGTACCTACTAAGAAAAAGCTAAAGATACACCCTGCAGTTAAGAGAAGCTCTTGCCTTCAGCTTATCTTAGCATCGAGAACAAAAAGATTGTAACATAAAGCTTTGGCCATTTTGATTCTACTATATACATTTTAAAAACTACACAGTCATAAATTAAAGCAGTGATTAAATAAGCTCATATAAAATGTAATTAAATTAAAAAAAATCACAGCACATTATAGAGAAAAATAGGAACCAGCTTCACAGAAAAGAGATTTTATATATATATATTTTTTTACCCTGTGGAAACAAATTTTCTACGGAACACAAAAACTTCATAAGTAACCATCAAAATGAAAATCATTTCGTATTCCATTCTTGCATTTTTACACAACCCTTAACTCACCCGGGGAATATTTCCAGAAACTAAGTCTTCCTTGAGCAATAGAGCAGTTCTGCCAAGAAAATAAACCCCAAATCAAAGAGGGGGGGGGGACATCCCAAACATACAAACTACAAAATAAATAAGAATTATAAAGTTTTTTTTAAAGTAACCTTAACAATTATCAAACTAGTAAGTTCTGCCTTATCACATAGACTCTCTATACAACATAACCCTAAAACTTTATTACTATGAGGTATTTGGAGGAATTGGTAAAAGTTATGCACGGCCTGCCTGGTGGAGGGACAGGTGAAGTCAGGTGGGGGGAACTTGAGAGGGAACAAGGAGGAGGAGCTTTGGTTTATCAGCAAGAAATTGGGAAAAAAAAAAGTCATCCTTTGGTATCAAAGAAAGTTTCATTGCATGGTTGCACGGAAAAAGCACCACGGTGAATAATTATTCCTTTTTTTTTCATTAGTGGCCTTTCTAAGAGGCTGAGGTATTCAAAGAGTATAAGGTGAAAGAGGTCAACAGCGGTTTAACACTTTGGTTCAAGCAAGGCACTCGTCCTAGGAGTTTACAAAGTTTGCAACATGTTTGCCTAGAGATTTACAAGTAGAACTAGCAGTAATAAGAGTAGTATTTCCTAATGTTGTTGTTGTCATTATTGTATCATTATTAAGAATGAAGACAAGTTTACACACTGAGTGAAGAGTTAGGAAGGGGGAGGGGTGGGGGAAGGGAAGGGGCGGAGTTCCCTCTGCAGACTGAGACCGTGCATGAAAATATCTTTGGTATTCTTTGGTATCATCAATGTGATTAAAATCACCAATGGAAATTGAGTGAGGTAGCGTCTTTGGTTCACACTATAAATAGTAGATCTTTACACTTTTTTTTCTTTTTTTCTTTTTCTTTTTTTTTTTTACACGTGGAAGTCGCTATTTCTTACCTTCTGCTTCTTTGTCCTTACTATTTAGGAAATAGTTACCAAATGTACTGTAAAGCTAACCACACCACAGTAATAACCCAGAAGGCCAAACATGTCTCAAAACAGCCTCTGGTGTTTGAATGCACCCTAAACAACTAGATAGAAAAAGAAGTGCTTTCTCTTTGTTTGCTAAATGCATAGTTTTCATCCTTTATGTACAAAGAAGGGAGGACCTTTCTTAGGGAATATGCCTTTATAGCTCATGTGAAAATGTCCTAGGACTCTTTGGTATAGCAAAGTTTGCATTTAACCTGCAACCACGGTCATTCACCTGGGGTAGCAATGGGAGTGGAATGAATCCAAAAGTAGCGTAGTGCTTTTATATTTTCCTGGAAAAATAATTTCGCTTTTTTGAGGGGGCACAGTGAGTGACATGTTCATTTAGGACTTCTGGATTTCCCACACATTTTCTTTGGTCTTTGGAGTCTATTCCAGCTGCATCCAGGGACTGGAATACTCAATTCCTGACATCCAGAGCTCTTTTACCTGAACATTTACTGAAGTCTGGGGTTTTGGGGTGTCCAGACGTCACAACTCCCTGCCCTCTACAGGAAAGCTTCCAGTGATGAGAGGACCTGAATGTCTTATGGCCAGAAACAGACTAACTTCCATTCTACCAAAAAAAAAAAAAAAAAAAAAAAAAAAAAAAAAAAAAAAAAAAAGGATTACTTTAAGTGCAGTTTTGGAATAAACACATGTACAAATAAAAGAGTAAGATAGATACCTTTTTCTGGTGAATTTTGCAAAAGAATTGAGAAATGATGGGTGAACAAATGGCACATGACCTGCTCTGTGGAATGTAGATTAAAAAACTCAAGCCAGAAATTAATGTTACACTAAATAGGAATGGAAGCATTGTGTTTTTTTTCTACATGCCAGTTCAGGAGCAAGTAAAGAATCAGTCATACATGATGTAATAAGTGTATTGCTTGTGAGAAGCTGAGTTTGTCCATCACGATTTCTAAAAAGCAAAGGGTGTGAGTATGCTCAAACAGTCGAGTAAAAAAATTGCTTTTCAGGCTCTGATTTGTGCATCTGTTTATGAGAAAATATATCTCTAAGCCCTGAAATTGCATAATGGGTGCAAATTCAATGCTGGTATGAAAATTATCTTTGGTGTTAGCAAATAGGATAACTGGGTAGTTTCTTAAAAAACCATTATGGTAGGATACTGAAAATGAAGCAATATTCTGTGAGACTGTGCCTACACAGTACCAAAATAATTGGTCAAAAATGTAACATGAGCCAGGCGCAGTGGCTCATGCCTGTAATCCCAGCACTTTCGGAGGCCGAGGCGGGTGGATTACCTGAGGTCAGGAGTTCAAGACCAGCCTGGCCAACATGGTGAAACCCTGTCTCTACTAAAAATACAAAAATTAGCTGGGCGTGGTGGCGCCTGTAATCCCAACTACTTGGGAGGCTGAGGCAGGAGAATCACTTGAACCCAGGAAGTGCAGGTTGCAGTGAGCTGAGATTGCACCACTGCACTCCAGCCTGGGTGACAGAGTGAGACTCTCTCAAAAAAAAAAAAAAAAAAAAAAAAAGGGTAACATGTAGTTGGATTGATTTTGGGGGTAATATATACTAGCAACAAATAAAAAACATGGTTGTCTGAATTCTGCTATTCTTTTCTTGGGGTATTGAATTTGGTAAGATTGTGTGTAGACACAGCTTGAATTTCCCTGCATTTAGAATTATCACGTTTTAAATAAATAAGGCTTTCCTCCCTCCTAAATTATAAATACATTATGTAGCTGTATCCCCGGCTCCCTCCATCCCTGGAGAGAGAGAAAATGTTAATCAGTTTTTTCCTTTTTGTTTATGTCATTGACAAGATTCTATTTTTTAGTAAATCTTGAAGGGTGGCCATTTAAATGGTCTCTTTCAATAGCTGAACTATAATTGTGCCATATTTAGAAGGGAAATTTTTAAGCTGGAGTTGTGGGTGAAATTAAAAACAAAAAACAAAACATGTCAAGGCAAATGAAGTATTTCATCAAAAGAGAAGTATATGTTGGTTTCCTCTTCTCATTCGACAGCAGACATGAAGGAGACACAGATAGATGGCTTGTTGGTTTTGCTTTACCTCTCTAGTTGCCTGCCTGTTACAGACCTAGACAAGGTGCTGAGATTTGATGCTAAGGAGTTATGTTTTGTGTCAAGATGGTTCAGTTTTGTTCTTTGGCATTTTTAATGAATCTCAATAAAACAACTTATCATTAGGATAACATTTAATTTCATAGTTCTAAGTAGGGGTGGTAATTAACTTACAGTATCCAATTCTTTACCTAATGGCATAAGGGGCATCCACTTAGATAAGTTACAGTCCAACTGAATTCAGAGAGAATTTTTCTGGGAATCAAGTGATTCACTGGGGTACCACTAATACGACTTCATTTTTTTTTTGACTTTGACTTCTACAGCTCTGGTTAAGTGATTTGGACAAATAGAAATTTAAAATTTTGTATTTGTAAGCTCAGGTCTAGTTTTTAATCTGTCCCTGTTAGAGAGCAAAATCTATATTATAAAATTTCCAGCTAAATGCAGTAGCAAGAAAGAAGGCAGAATGCTTTGGAGGCTATTCTTAGTTCCATAAATTGATTAATACCAATAGATCAAAAGTCTTGTCGTCCACCAGAACACTGGCTTTTTTCTATACAGTTCCACCAATTCCACCATTTCTCAGTTGCACCTGCTGTTTTGTTGACGTCCAAGTCATAAAATTTCTGGGATTGGCAATAAGTTAATTTGATAACTTTTTAGGATAGTTATAAGTACTGAATAGCTCATTTGAATAATAATGTTGTTTTTTTAAACTTTATTTGTATTTGTAAAGTATTTAAAAGAGGTTTTTGGTGCCAGATGCATAAAGCAAATATAAGTCAATTAATCTAAGGATAGTTCTTTATTTAGTGACCTTTTACTAAAAAGCATTACTTTGAACAAATTTTCTAATTTAGTTACCCTCCCTGTTAAATTTAGTTTTCTAGTGTAAAAATGGGGTACTACTTTGGAAAGATCCTCAGGTTTTCTCAGCTAGGAACAGATTATGGAACCATGTCTATCTCTCTACTTAAGTGACATTTATGGATCCTGAAAAGGAGTGTGCCATCTGGATGTACACGTGTACTGCATCGACCTCTCTGCCATGATATTAATTGCTTCCCTGAAGCTACATTCTTTCTTGCCAGTTCTGAAAACTCATATTTCAAATGCTTCAAGAGTCATAAATAATAGTCATGATTCTATGTGGCATGTGTATTACAGCTAGATCAGTTCATACGTATAACTTTTCATAGTATCTTGTGTAAAAATAGCTTTGGTTATTAAAATCATTGCAATAAAATACCTGCACTATAATATTAAGTGTGTTCTTTGGTACCTAGGTGATTTTTTTAATGGATGGACTCATGTTTCATTTCTTAAAAAATATCTGAACATTCCTTAACAAACAAAGAGAATGCACTGGTTTAGGTGTCATTCAAATTTTCTTTGCTGGGTTTGAATCTGCATTTAGGTTGCGGGCCTGGCAGGTTCAAACGTTAGGCTAGACGAGCAAAATCACACTCCTAATCCAATGAACTCAGACAACCCCATACCATGTTGGTTGCACTCCTATAGAACAACCATTTCTGAAGACCAGCTCTGCCTAAGTCTGTAACCACTGGTGGTGGTAGTACTGAGACACCATACACCTTCGTGGCATGGTAGAACAGATGAGAAAGTTCGATCTTAAAAGATGTCCGCTCAATGGCTCAAAATCACTATGCTCCAAACCACTAAACAGCCAAGCACAGCGAGGATGGTCATGGATTGAAGGTGTGAGATCCAGTGGTGTTTTCCTGCTCATCATTTGTCTTGCCAAGTCGCCGCCCTGCTGAAGTGTGTGTCTCCAAACAAAGTCAGAATGCAGGTGAGCTAAGTCTTTGGTTTCTTTGGACTATAAATAACGCTTTTTTTTCTTCAAATATTTCTAAGTATAAACCTGCTATCTTGAGGTCCTGGTCTTTTAAAAATTTTTTTTAATTTAAAGCTTTTCCACCGAGGTTTTAGTTTGTGGTTCTTCCTTCATGCTTTGGTACAAGTGCTTGATGAAGAAGATGAGTTGCCTGAATTGGAGCTGCCCTCGTCCTGCCACTTGTCCAGACTCCTCCTTCTTGCGTTCATGAAGAAGTTGCTGACAGTGCTCAGCTCCAACCCCAGCTGCTGGGAAATGGTGATTTGCAATTCTTTGGATGGACGCTTATTTTCCTTGAATATTGCATGTAGAGTTCGACGCTGGACATCTGTGAAGACCAACCTGGGCTTTTTGGGTGTGTTGCCTCTATCCTTCCCATGTTCTTGTTCTTTCCTTTTGCATGCTGTGAAGAAACACAGAAGATGTTAGAACAAATGGTCTAGGGGAGAATCATGAGTAGAAAGACAGAGCTCATAAAATTTGTTAGCCATTCCTCATGGCCTGCTTTCTGTTTGCTGACCTCTGCTTTAAGCACCATTGGAGGCTGGGAGGAAAGTGTAATAGCAGAATGGAGAATTGGGATACAGGTGAAGTTCTGTGAGGCCTGGGCATGGGTTGTGGCTTTGATGAGTATTTGCTCTTTGTCCTGGGTAAGTCAGTTAACTCCATCTGGGCTTCAGATTCCTCACCTGTAGAATGTAAGTTTCTGGCTAAATGAACTTAATCAGTTTGAACCTTTATTTCTTCATCCTCAAAATGCATATAAGAATACCTACCTTGCCGTGTTGTGGTATGAAATAGTGTATGCAAAAGTTTATGCTAACTTTACAAATGCAACACCTTGTCAGCAAGAAGTGGTTGTAGCCCTCAAAGGGTTTATAGTCTGCTGCCAGTAGAATATTAAGAGCCTAATCAGAGTCTAAAAACATAGTAGAAAGGAATTGCATTTGTTTCCCTTCTGATCTTTTTTATTTTCCAGGAAAATCTGTATATAAGAAAGTTAAGTATATAGTTTTTTTTATCATGGCCATCAAACAGTCTTCCACTGATTTTCTAGTGGAACCGGGAACTGTGGAGGTGTGAACCGCTCTTCTTCGACATTGAGACTAAACCTGCCAAGTTAGCCATGTTCATCTCTGGGGTCTCTCTGTGCCTCCTTTTTGCAAGCCATGCTCTTGGAGTCCCCCTCATCACTTACTTGGTCTCCCACTAAGGGGCCCATTCCCTGCGCTTGCATGTCTGGTCCTGTATTATGAAGCTGCTTTTTGGCTGATGGAGTTATTCTAATGTATCATCCCAATGGAGCCCTCAGACCCCAGGGTTTGGCGCCAGATCAGGGTCTCTCCTGATTTTAGATGCCATAAGTCTCTTTCCACCCTAATGAGGCTCACTAGTTTCCACCTGCTAGAGGACTATCAAGGCTGCATTGGTAACAATGCACACTGCCCCTCCACCCAATCTCCACCATCAATCAATCCTCACAACCATCCACAAATAACCATACAACCCAAGTAAAAATAGTGCTCTGATATGTGAATGCAGCCTTAAGAAAAGGCTCCTATGCCCTCACTGCAATCAGATTGCTGCCTCTTAGCCCCCTATGTAGGCGTTCTAGAGCAGCCACTGCCACCTTTATATCTGGCTGGCTGTACTCTCATCATGACCATAGTGGAAGATGGACGGGGCATGCTTCGTGATGGAGGGAGGGATTGCCATTCTTCCATAGCACATCCCTCCCATTGCTGTCCTACCTGTTGCTGCCTTCCGCTTCACTGTATGCCTCTGTGTATTCCAGGTTCTCAATTCCTTACCTGATGGTTCACCAGCTCTGGCTAGATTCAGCCTCTGTGCTCTCCTCAGCCTGCCCCTCCCTTTCATTTCCAGCTGGGTAGATCCTGGACTTCAGAGTTCCTGTAAAACTTCAGGTGCCATTGGTACAAATTAGCTCAGCAACAGATCAGCTGCAGAGCTCATAGGATGAAAGCTGGAGAGGCCTCAAGGCTTTAGAGTCCAATCCAGAAGGCTCCAATTTTTTAAAACAATGTGCTACTTAGTAAAAAAAGTTCTGAGTGTATATTCCCTTATATTATTTATTTATAAATCATATACATGTGTTAGTATACTACTATATTGTGCACATTATAAAACATACACAATACAAAGACATTTTTTTGAGACAGGATCTCACCCTGTTGCCCAGGCTGGATACAGTGGTGCAATCTTGGCACACTGCAACCTCTGCCTCCGTGGGCTCAAGCGATCCTCTCACCTCAGCCTCTGGAGTAGCTGGCACTACAGGTGCGTGCTGCCACAACCTGGCTAATTTTTTTGAATTTTTTTTTTTTATAGAGATGGGGTCTCACCATGTTTCCTAGGCTGGTCTTGAGCTCCTGGGCTCAAGCAGTCTGCCCACCTTGGCCTCCCATTAGAGGTGTGAGCCACTGCCCCCAGCCCACAATACTAAAATTTTTAAAGGGATACAATAAAAATAAATAGACATGGAATTCTCTTCTAGAGATGCATCTGCTTGCCAGGCTCTGGAGTGTATTCACCCTACTTACGGGGCCACTGGTCCAACCATTAGTAAATATAAGAGTGATAATTTCAGAATGGACATGAAGGGAGGGCTCAGTCATGAAAGAGAGATTTGTAGGCAAGGCAGGCCTTATGGCCTTTTGTAACATGTCCTGTAGGTCACTTGCTATGCCTCTTGCCCACCATGAGGGGCGGCATCAACCTAACGGGCAGTATTATTAAATGTCCAACTCCCTCAGAGCCTCGAGTTATAGACATCCTGAGCCAGGTGAGAGTCTCCAAATAGAGTTCTTCCTCCCAGAGGCCTACAGCCCTCACCGGGCACCTAGATTAAGTCCCAGAAAAAAATGACTAAAGTCAACTCCAGTTGGTTTGAGTCAGCCCGTGTGGACACAGCCTCATACAATACTGATGCAGATGGCTGATTCATTGACTTAAAAATGAATACAACACAGGTTTTGCTCTTAAGGATGCCAGATTTAAGTAAATAACTGCACATAAGCAATTAACTACAAGAGTATAAAAAGAGTGTACAGAGTCTACTGCTTGAAGATATTCAGGAAGGAATTACAGAGAAGGCACTCAGATGGGCCCTAAAGGATAAATGGAGGCTTTCTAGTGAGAGGAGTGGGAAAGCTCATTCCCTGCAGAGGGAGCAGCATTGTGAAGGATTGATAAGTATTAGTAGATTGGTATTTGTGAGGCAAGAGGGCACACAAGAAGGAAAGGCTGTGGGAGATGGCTTCGTGCATAGACAGAGTTCAGATATGAATCATCTCATAGGTAAGGAGGAGGTAGGGGGAGGCATGAGTAAGGGTGTAGTGTGATTACATTTGGGCTTAGAAAAACCCCTCTGGTGGAGTTGTGGAGGGAGAACTGGAAAGCAGCAAGATTAGGGACAAGAATGCTACAGTGGGTGCTGTGGTCTACTACCCAGATCCCCCTTCAGGACTGTGCACTTGTTCCTCCAGCTGCTGGAAGGGTTGGTGACAGGTGGCTCTCGAATTGCCCTTGGCCAAAGGTTATGCCACTCTGGGGTGGGGTGGGGGTTTGCCCATATCTAGTGGGGGTGGGTGGGGGGCTGTAGGAGATGGGGGTATGAAAGGTGGTGGTCTAGGAGAGTGGAAATGTGTTGGTTTAAGGACCCTCACCCCAATCCCTTGCATCAAGTGAGACAACTCTAAAGAGTCATCTGGTTCAAGAGCACTCCATATAATTGGATGAGGCTATTTTTGCACCTACATTGTTGTTCAACTCCTCCTTCTGTCCAGTCTTACTTCCTTCACCACCCCCAGGGGGATTATTTGCCATAACATGCTCCGAAAACCTTTCTGAATGCACATCTCAGAAACTCATAATCTGCTTTGCAGAGAACTGTACCTAAAATACAAGTCAGAAAACCACCGTAGGGCCAGGCACAGTTTCTCACGCCTGTAATCCCAGCAGTTTGGGAGGGCGAAGCAGGCAGATTACTTGAGGTCAGGAGTTCGAGACCAACCTGGCCAACATGGTGAAACCCTGTCTCTACTAAACATACAAAAATTAGCAGGGCATGGTGGCAGGTGCCTGTAATCCCAGCTACTTGGGAGGCTGAGGCAGGAGAATTGCTTGAACCCAGGATGCAGAAGTTGTAGTCAGCTGATATTGCAACACTATACCACAGCCTGGGCAAGAGAGCAAGATTCCATTTCAGAAAAAGAAAAGAAAACCACTGTAATGAGGACCCAAAATTAGACAATGGCAGAATCGGAGAAGAACTTCTTGGGCGGTCAAATCAAGAAGACTTCTTGACTACTTGGCTAAGAAGGTATAGTCTGGAACATCTGCCAGGTTTCTGGTTGGATGATAGTAATGGGGCCATTAGGAAATGCAGATGGAGAAATGAGTTTTATGAGGATAGTAACCACTTCTCTATGGAACAAATTGCATTGGATGTGTTTGCTGGACATTCTGTTAAAGGTCTCCATTAGGTGGTTGTACAGCAGACAGCAGGATGTATGGGATCTGGAGTTCAGGGGAGAGATCTGGGCTAGAAATATAGACTTGGAAGTCATTAGGTCTCTAGATGGTAAATTACACAGAACACTCACTCATGGGAAAGTAAATAACTGAGCATTGGGTACAGACTTGACTTATTTATCATTCAAAAGGCAGAGCTAAGGGAAATCAGAAAGAGATATTCATCTTCCATCTAGCCAGATTGTATGTTTGAATGACTTCAGTCTGGTCCTTGGCATTTGGCAGGACTGTCTGCTGAAGCTACCCCTGAGCCAGCATTTCCCAAATGGCATCAGAAGAATGATACTCTCTCAAACAGGGGTTCCTTGAAAAGATGGTTTGCAGATTAAGGACATTTAAAAAAATCTATTATATATTGCCTCTTCCTCAAGATTCATAACATATGTAAGCACAGCTAATTCTGTTTCTCAAATTTGTTTGACCCCAGAACCCTTTTTGGTGGAGACTGTCGATTAATGTCTTATACAATATTAATGTTGGGGAAATGCAGTTTGGAAGTTCCTGCCCTGGGACCTCAAGCACTGTAGACGTTACAATACCAGAACCTGGGGAAGTGAGATTCTCTTGGAGCAGGGACCCTGGCTGACTTGCTCTGTATCTCCAGGACGCCCTGGCCTAGGGCCTGGTTGTAAGGGCAGATCAGTATCCACGTGGGTATGGGGCAGGGGTATGTCTGCGAATAAGTAGATGTGATTAGATCTGGAGGAAATGCTGCCAAAGCTGGAGGTGCTGAAAAAGAAAGCAGAGATATCAGTAAAATGGAGAGTAGACTAAAGCTTACTGAGAGTCACCGATGACCAGGGGAGGCTAAGTGGAGCAACCCACAGAAACAAGTCATACTTCTAGAAGCTTTCACCAGACTATAGCTGTGAGAGCTGAAATTTCCACGGAATTGATTTCAGAGTAGAGATTACCCATTGTAAGGTAGGAAACCCCCAATTGGAGGTTATGAGAGTCGACAGGAATGTGCAAGATAGACAGAGAGAGAGAGAGAGAGAATGAAAAAGGAGTATGACAAGAAGTAGTGCTGCTTAGGGAAGAGCAACACACATGTTTTATGTGAATGTAATATTTTTATGTAGGGGTACAGTTTCCATTAAAAATAGAGAAATACTTGTCAGTTAACTGGATTAAGTGGAAGGAGATGGCCATTGTTGGTGAAAGGTAGTACTAATGATGAAGATCTGTTAGGAGTCACCTCCATGAGGGTGGGCAAGCAGACAGCTCTATAGGATTCACTGGCAAAGTATATCAGACAAATGACTTTGATGTTTATGGGTGAGGTCACCCAAAGTGAGTACCATGGAGGAGGTAGAAGTAGGCATGAAAGATGGTAAAAGTCAGAGCATGACTTTGTGTGCCACGGGAATAAAAGATTATGAAGAAAAAAAAAACAGAGCATGAGGGTGTGGGCAAAGGACAGAGACTTCTAGTTCAGGCATGCCTGGGGACTGCTTTGCCTATAGTGGGCAAGGCAGAGCCAAGTGGGTTTCAAGAAATGTAACTTTGCAGGAGGTTGAAAGGTATTTTGTGAACAATGAGTTGTGAGGTCAAGTTGGTTTGGGAAATGCTGAATTAATTAATGATTAACCAAATTTCTTTAATGCAGGACTTTTCAGAGCTTTAATATGTTACTGAGCATCAACACTTTCTAGCTTACAGGCTCTCCCAAACTTATTTGATCAAAGAACTCTTTATTCAGGGAATTTCTCTTAGGAATGGTGATCCTTAGAACAGTTTCTCAGAGTGTGGTTGGCAGACCTGTGCTGGTCTGTGAACCACTACTGACCTGCAACGAGGTCAGTAAAAAATATTGAGAATAAGCAATTAGAAATGTTTATGGCAGTTTGACATTGCTGCAACATTCAAATGTGTGATTATTTCTCTAGTAATATATTTTTTATTGTATTATCAAAATTATTCATTCAGGACAGATGGAAGTTAGAAACAAACCAACAAGCTAGTCCTTCACTACCTAGAGTTTAAGAAGCCCTGTCTTAGAACACACTTTCTAAAACATAGTATATAGTAACATCTTAGGATCAGTTGTCACTCAAGCATTTGTATACTAACTTATATCCATTTTCCTGACTTAATGATACAAAGGACTTTAGAACATATAAAGTGCTGATTGGATTATGCAAAAGTCTGCCAAGAATTTGTCTGGGAATATGTGGGCATACATATATTGGCCTGGGAGGCATTAATAAAGCCAAATGAACTTATGATACAGCTTCTTAAATGAGCCTGGACTCTTGAAGACACAAGCTCTGGCCCAGCTCCGTGGATATGCACCTGCAAATACCATCAATATTATGAATTTGGGGATTATGTTTCCAACACATGAAATTTGGGGGACACATTCAAACCAGAGCAAATATATTGTCTTACTAATTCTTAGTACCATTTTGTGAGGTGAGAGAAGCCATCGTATTCCATTTTGCAGCTGGGGACACTAAGCTCAAAGAAGGTGAAGGACTTGGTCAAGATCACACATCTATCAGTGGCCACAGAGCTGGGCTTGAGCTGTGTGCTGGCAGCTTATCCACTCATATGTGGCTTGCTCTCTGTGAGTCCTTAGACTCTAGACAAGTATTTTCTCCCTCGAAATAGCTGCCCTAGAATATGTTGTCCTAACATCATCGCAGAGAAAGTGGACTAGAGAGCAGTAAAGGGGAAAGGCTGAGATGTCCAGGACACCATGAAACTGCCTTGACATCTAAGGACAGCTTGGCATTGTCATAAGGGCCTGCTGGAGATGCAGCATCTTCACCCTAAAGGCTGATGTAGATGCTGAAAACTGCAACCCCTCAGTAGCATGCAGGGCCAAGTGTTCTCACACAGGTAAGTCTGTGACGTCCGAGTCACGCAAGGGGTGTCTTGCCTGGATTTAGAAGAGAAACGTCCAGGCGGCCCTCAGCCCCTTTGCTGCTCCAATGCCTCTGGGTCAGATGGGGGTGCACTGGTAAGGCAAGACACATCCTGAAGTTCTCAAGAGCCAGCCCAGGGCTGCTACCCAGATTCCTGATGGGCTTGGCCATGGCATCCCTGCAAACCCTGCTCAGGAGAGCTTGGGGCTTCAGGGGTAGGGAACAACAATATCAAAAAGCATGTGGGCCAGAATATGAAAATCCACAGGGATAGAAAGCACACTGGTGGTTACTTATGGCTGAAGGGGTAGTGGTGGGAAATGGGAGTGACTAATAGGTATGGTTCTTCTTTTTTGGGGAGATGATGAAAATGTTCTAAAATTGACTGTGGTTGCAAAGCTCTGTGACTAACTGGATGACTTTAAATGGGTTGAATTCTATGGTATGTGAATTACATCTCTATCAAGTTGTAAGAGCAGCGGCAGCCAGCCATGCACACAGGGTGAGCCCTCTGCTCTCACCCCTACCTGCCACTGAGAGAGACCCTTTTCTGGTCTGTGGCAAAGGACAAGAGGTAGTCAGCTGTTCATGTGCATTGAGCCCTGAAGACCCTCTCTTGTCAGCTGAAGCTGTTTTTCAAAGTAAACTCTTAGAGACAATATATGTGGATGAGCGAGCACACAAATAAACAGATTTCAGTAAAACGCAGTGGGGGTAGGGAGAGACAAATGAAGGGGAAACTATGCAAGCAAACATGGCAGGACTGTTCCTGAGCCTGTATTCCAGGCCAGTACCTACACTGTGGAGATTAAAGAGCCTTTGGATTGACCGAGACCATCAGGATTAGAGCTCAGACTCCAGGAGTCCTAGGTCAGAATGTTATCTGCCTTGCCTTGAGTGATCTTACTGTGCAGTGTATATTTTTATAAGCTGTGTCCCCAGTTGTTTGGGTGATAAAGGAGCTCTTAAGTGGCAAATTCAGAGGGCACAGCCCAGTGTGCCATTTGAAAAGCAACACGAGTGAGCTCTAATTGATACGGCCAAGGAAATCCTTTGCATGGGAAGCAAAGTCCTGCACAGATTGTCTGGAAACTGATGGCCAGCAGAGGGAGGTGGAGCCCAAACAACCTACTGGACATGAGCTGTGTTTGCTGTGTCTCTGTGAGTAGCCAGAGCAACTATGGAAACTCTTTTGGTCACACACATGGAAAGCCTAATAAGAACATGCAGAGAGCAGACATTCCCAGTGGGGAATAATCACCGTAACTCACCCTTGTGTCTTGCTTTATAGTGCTTAAAACACCTCCATAAAACCTTATCATGTGATCCCCACAAAACTCAGGTGAGGTAGAAATAGGTATTCTTCCTTTTTTTTTTTTTTTGTAGGTGAAACCCTGTCAGAGAGGTTAGGCAGCTTGCCTGCGGGCTGGTTAGTAGGGGACTTGGGCCTCCAGCTTCACTGGACCCTGGAAGCAGAGGGCAGCACCAGTGAAACATCATGGAAACTTTCCCCAGGATGGTGAAATGGGGGCAAGAGCTGAGGGAACGGGTGAAGTGGAGCTCAGAGAACTTGCACCCAAGGTGAACAGAACAGCAGCAGTTGGTCAGCCAAGCAGCAGGCCAGTTGTCAGCCAGATCCGTCTTGATGTGGCTGAAAGGACTGCAGTTTGGCCTTCCAGGAAAGTGGGCTGGATGGAAGTTGAGACAAAGGGAGTTCTGGCAGCATAGCAGACAGCACACCCATGCTGGCCTGGGAAAGGGACTGGAGTAGTCCCATGTCAGGAAGGATGCAGGGGAGCATGGGATAGTTGTCTCCTTGTGTGTATCAGCTTTGAGAAGAAGCTGAAGGAAGCAGCTCACCCAATGGAAAAGGAAAGAGCGGGAGCAGAGGGCCTTGGCAAAGCCAGGTCGGGAAAGTCATTGGAGCCTCTCCCTGCCCCCGGTCTGCTTCTCTAGCAGAGCTGTCCAGGACAGAATCCTGCCATCCCATAGTCTGCTGCCTGGAGTCCTTCCTGAGTCAGTGAATAAAACATGGTGATGGACCTGTCTTCTCCAGGTGAAGCTCCACAGCTGCATCCCAGGAGAGATGGGAACCCTGGACAAGGTTGCCTGGGCCTGGGAGGGGTGGACAGCATCTCCTGAGCTAAGCCCCATTCATGAGTCACCTTACCAGGCCTCACAATAAGGGCGTGAGGGAGACACTGTTATTCTCTCTCTAGTTGACGAATGAGCAGCCTGAATCTCGGTGAGGTTAAGAGACTGGCCCAAGTCACCCCAACAGCAAAATGGTACAGCTGGGATTTGAGCCAGCACAGGGCCCCATGACAGCACTGGAGGACATCGGGAGGTACACCTCCCGCTCCTCTGCAGGCACAGACTATGGGGAAACAGAGAACCATACCAGCTTTCGCTTTCTTTGACCCCACAAACAGCTATTTTGGTGTGATTCTAGACTATCTCAGTTCTTCTCTCCACAAGGTTTGTCTTCTCTCCCTTGTTCTGTTTTCCCTGTGATAGAGGCTAAACCTGAACTAGAATGGTAGCTGAGAATTCTCGTTGAAAGAATGCATTTCGTACCCAATGATACTGGCATCGTCCTCTCGCTGGTCATTCACGCGCATGTGCACACACTTTCCTGAGCACAGCCTCATCAGTTTTTATACTCACAGGAAGAGACACCCATCAACCTGACCCTTCCCTCCATGAAGCTCTCCCCCTGTACTGCAGCTTCAAAGGAACTGGTGGGAAGAGAGAAGCTGCGGCCTTGCGCCTGCTAGTTTGGTCAGTAGCAAAGGGCAATAGGTCTCTTTTCTGGAAGTTTGGCTCAAGAATTTTGATTTCTATCAGTATATGAAGAGATATCTGCACTGCCATGTTCATTGCAGCACTATTCACAATAGGCAAGATGTGGCATCAATCTAAGTGTCCATCAACAGGTGAACGGATAAAGAAAATGTGGTAGATATACATATATACATATTATTCAGCCATAAAAAGAATGAAATCTTGTCATTTGCAGCAACACGGTTGGAACTGGACGGTATTACGTTCAGTGAAATAAGCCAGGCACAGAAAGGTAAATATTGCATGTTCTCACTCACGCGTAGGATCTAAAAAAATTGAACTCATGGAGATGGAGAGTCGAATGATGGTTACCAGAGGCTGGGAAGGGTAGTGGGGAGTGGGGGATAAAGAGGGGATGCTTAATGGGTACAAAAATACAATTAGATAGAATGCATAAGACCCAGTGTTAGGTGGCACTATAGGGTGACTACAGTTAATTATAATTTATTGTATATTTCAAAATCGCTAAAAGAGTAGAATTGGGATGTTCCTAACATGAAGAAATGATAAATGCTTGAAGTGATGGATACCCTAGTTACCCTGATTTTATCATTACACATTGTCTGCTTGTATCAAAATATCACATGTACCCCACAAATATATACAACTATTATGTATCCATAATTAAAAATTAAAACTAAAAAAGGATTTTTCTAAATTCTTTTAGAATTCTAAATTCCTAAACTTCTGTTATTGGCTGATCAGTTGGAGTTTTATTCCATCAGTATCCCTCACTTAAAAAAGACTCTCAATAGTTTGCCTCCAATAATTGGAGTGATATAGATGCTCTAGTTATTATGATGATTCCACAAAACAGTCAAAACAAAAAGCACATCTGATGAATTACATGCTTATTTTTACCTCATATATGCCTATTGTGAATTGTAAGTCTTAGCTTATCGACCTCATTTTTCTAATTAATAGATGTATATGTTACTTTATAGTATTTATAGTAATTGAGAGTTATAAAACAGAATTTCTTTAAAAAACCTACAATCTTGAGTTTTCACTAAGTCATCAGACATTTTCTCTAATTAATTTCAAATTAGTGAAGTTTTCCTTGTTTGCTTTTTTGGAAAGTTGTCTGTAGAATCAAACTGTAAATGCTATTCTTCCAATGACATGCATGATACAATTAGTTTCACAAGGGTCTCCCAAAAGCCCAAGATGAAAGCCCTTGGCGGCTACTCTACCATGATATTCAAGGACCTTGACACCCTGACCTCAACCACATTTCCCATGTCACTTCCTACTACTACTGCCCACTCAATACCAATCATTCCTGCCACACTGCTCAGAAGTCATTCCTAGATATGAACCTCCACATCCCTACTACTTTGCTCAAGATGTCTCCTACATCCAGAATGTCCTTCCTTTTCTCTTTTCCATACAAAAAGATCCCTGTGCAATGAAGGTCAACCTCAAGCATCTTCTTTTCTGCTAAGCCTTCTCCATCCCCTCTCCCATCCAGGGAGAGTTGTTGTCTTTTGTGCCCACAGAGCACCTTCCCCACAGTATAATTAGTTAGTTACCTACCCATCTCTCTCACACAGTCTGTAATACTAGAACATGGATTATTTCCTTGGCATACTCAGCACCCTTGTTGGGAAAGCAAGTTGGATGTGGCTCCATAGAAAATAGAGATGCAAGAGACACAAGTCTTTTAAGTTTTGAAAATGTGTGCATAGAATGAAGTTCCATGAGATAGCCTTAATCCCTTTACTGGATAGTGATTTTTGCAGTAGTTTAATGGCACCATGGGGAGATTTCTGAAATGTTATATCAGAAACATATGGGGATATATATGGGGAATATATGGGGATATAGCTGAAATGTCACTGACTGGGAAGTCAGTAAAGGTTGGCTGAGTCCTTGGTATTGCCACCACTCCTATAACTGGGTCTGAAGTGAGCTCAGGGACAGGTAAGGAGCAGACTAGAGCAACAGAGCTGGAGAAGCAGAAGGCACAGGGGAAACTAATTTGGGGTGGAACATTGAAATTAGTTGGGAGTAGGTAATCACCTCCCTTTACCAAGGTTAGGTGCCCAGGAGGGGCCACTGAGTACCAGAGGGCAGAGGTGTACTGTCTGCATCCGTCCTTGCTAAGTTTGGGTGGTGACTGGTCCATATTTGCCTTAGAGAGGAGATAAGGATCAGATTTATGGATAATGTCAGCAAATATCCAGAGAGTCTGTGTGGTAGAAACCTTAACAATAAATTAATGAGATGACTCCAGCAGAAGAGTCTTGAAGAAATTCAAATTCAAGGGATGAAAGACTCAAAGAATGCTTTATAAATAAGGTGAAATGATATCCCATTTTGTTTCTTTTTCTTCTGGCAACTGCCAAGCCATTGGGCTTTTTGAGTAGGACCTCTGGCTATTATAGAGCCCTGGATCCATGGGTTAGGGTATCATTTCTCTCTCCTGGGCTTCAGGGCTGGCCTGCATTCTGCAGTGGGAGAGACTGGAAGGACCCTCAGAAGTTCTTAGTCTTCTCTGCAAATGGGAACCACTGAGAAACTTTAAAAGCACTCGTGCCTGGGATCCATCTCCAGAGATACTGATTTATTCAGTCTCGCAGAGGCCTAAGCCTGGGATTTTTGAAAGCTCCCTCGGTGATTCTAATACTTAGCCAAGGCTGAGAACCACTCCTCTAAATCAGTCTTCTCAAACTTAAATCACCTGGACATCTTGTTAAGACGAAGATTCTGATTCGGCAAGCCAGGGTAGACTCTGAGATTCTGACCATCTAACAAGCTCCCAGGTGATGTCTAGCTGCTGGTCCGGGACTGCACTCTGAGTAACAAGGGCTGAGAGTCCCGAGCGTGAACTCCAGTAAAGGTGTGGCCCAAATACATCAACATCGCCTGGGAGCACAAAGGGGCGGCTTGTTCACAATGCACATTTTGGAACCTCATCCTATACCTACTGTCTCTGAGAGTGAGATTCACAAGCCGATATTTTGTTTTTTAATTAATTTTTTAACGTGGAAAAAAATGAACTTTAATATGGCTTAAAAATACCACAAATCAAATCCAAAGACAAAAATTGAGAAGCAGTTGTAAAATACACAATAATTTCTTTATACAAATCACTCAGAAATAAAAGAACATCCAGGGCAAAGGATATGAACTCTGTGTCAGTTTATGAGAGAGAGAGAGAGAGAACATTTATTTTAATTTTTTGTCTGAGCTTGGCAAAGATTTAAAACCTTACTAATCCTCAATGTTGACAAGAATAAGGAGCAATAGGCACTTTTGATGGGAACATCAATTGGAACAACTGTTCTGAAAGATGATCTGCATTTATATCAATATTAAAATATATTTACTTTTGATCTAGTAATTAACACTTCTAGGAATTTATTCTAAGGCTATATTCAGGCAAGTGCTCAAAAATATAAGTACACATATTCATCATAGATCCTTTTATAGTAGTGAAAACTATAGGGAGTTAATCAATGAATTATGGTAAATTTGTGTGTGCAAAGACTTGCTTACCTATGACTACATCCCCAGAATCTAGCTCAGTGCTTGGTCTATATATGAACATTTATTGAATAAATGAACAAATAAATATAGTAGAAAATTCTATAGCCATTAAGAATGATGATGTAGATGTATATTTATTGCAGTGGAAAACTATTCATCCGATCTTACAAAAAGGACAAGCAGATGACAAAACTGCATAGATAGAATCATCTCATTTTTGCATAAAAAGCAAGTGTGTGTGTGTGTGTGTGTGTGTGTGTGTGTGTGTCTGTGTATATATCTATGGAAAAAAGTTTAGAAGAATGTATACCAACATATAAATTGTGTTTCTTCCTAAATGGTGAGATTATAGATGTTGTTTGCATTCTTATTTATATCTTTAAGTAATGTCTGTTTTTTTTTACAATGAGCATGTATTAACAGATGTAATTTTGATAATCACTAAATTTTTTTTTTTCATTTTTGTTCCATAGGTTATTGAGGTACAGGTGGTGTTTGGTTACATGAGTAAGTTCTTTAGTGGTGATTTGTGAGATTTTGGTGCACCCATCACAGGCAGATATTTTAAACAAGCTTCTCAGTAATTTGGATGCCCAATAAATTGGAGAGCCACTTGCTCCTAGGACAGTATTTTAGACCTTTCCAAGCTCAAGAGAATTACTCCATACTTTGGCAAAAACACAGGCTGACTAAATCAGAATCTTAAGAGTGGCCTGGGAATCTGTGCTTTGAGAAGAATACCAGGTAATTCCTGTGAGTTCAGGTCCAGGAAAGCCTGCTTTGTGGGATCTTTCTGTGGGACTGGGCCCAGGTAACCCTCCTCTCTCCCCACAGTGAACTTGTACTTGTAAAACCCAGCTGCATTGATTGTCATAGACAACCTGGCAGAGGAAAAAAAAGCGAGATGTGGCCGGGTGCGGTGGCTCACGCCTGTAATCCCAGCACTTTGGGAGGCCGAGGCGGGTGGATCATGAGGTCAGGAGATCGAGACCATCCTGGCTAACACAGTGAAACCCCGTCTCTACTAAAAATACAAAAAATTAGCTGGGCGTTGTGGCACACACCTGTAGTCCCAGCTACTTGGGAGGCTGAGGCAGGAGAATCGCTTGAACCCGGGATGCAGAGGTTGCAGTGAGCCAAGATCGTGCCACTGCACTCCAGCCTGGGCGACAGAGCGAGACTCCATCTAAAAAAAAAAAAAAAAAGCGAGATGTGTGTGAAGTTTGTTCACGGAGTTCATTGGAGGCAGAGGGTTTTGTTCTGTGATTATGATGAAAGAGGAAGTTGGGTGAGAATGGAGGAAAAGATCAGAGTAATGGCTGTGAGCTTTTTAGCGCTAATTGACAGGGCCTCCTTCATCTTGACTTGTCTGAATTTACTGCCAAGTGCCTAACATGGAAGGGAGGGAGCTGTGGGACTGAAGGGCATCCCTGTGGGCAAGTAAGTGTATCTCATGCCCAGAAAGAGGAAGAACAAGGTTTTTGTGCCACTCCTTATTATCCACCGGGCTGGCTCCAAGAGATGAACTAAAGAACTGGAGGGTTTTTGTTGTTTTTGTTTTAATTTCTGCAGCTCCACACCCATGCTGTGACAGGAACCCTATTAGTTTGTACTGGGCTTGTTTTAGGGTTGTTACATTTAGAGGATGTTTAAAGTGTTATTTTATATAATAAGACGTGGCATGAGTGCACACACACATACGCATATAACAAACCCAAGCTGCATATTTTGGCGTGTGCTTATCAAGCTGTAACATGCATTAGAATCACTTCCAGGGCTTGTTAAAACGTGACAAGCCAGAGTTTCTAGCCAGAGTTTCTGATTCCATAGGATTTCTAACAAGCTCCCAAGTGATGCTGGGGCGTGGGTATGGCAGGTGGGGTGGGGAGAGAGAACTGCAAATGAATCTTAACTAAAACATTTTTAAGCAGGTTTGTTTATTTTATGGGTATGGGCAAAGCAATTTTGAAATGATTTTAGATGTATTACAGGATTGAGCAAATGAGTAAATGTGTGTGTGAGAGAGACAGAGAGAGAGAAAGAGAGAGAGAGAGAGGTAGATTACTGGGTACCAGAGTTCCCACTGTGCAGGAAAAGACATATAAATAGGGAATGGGGGAAGGCAGGGAAAAATCCTCTGAGGATATATTGCAATTGGAGGTGGAGGTACTGGTATGAACTAATGATTTTAGAAATACGTACATGAGCACGTATATAAGCATGTTTATGCGTACATGGATATTATGTATGTATGATGTGTATACACATATTTGTATGTGTGTGTAAATAAATGTATATGTATCTGTTTCCTGGCTTTGTCTGAGAGGGTAGAAAACCAAAAGTCACCCTAAAGCCATGAGCACACTTAGTGCCTAGGCTGTCTTGGACTCTAACATGTTTCCCCACCAGGATAAACCAGGGCTCATCAAAGAAGTGGCACATTCTAGGATTGGGGCAGAATATGTACCAAATGAGCTTGGAACATCTTATGATGCCAGAAAGTTAAAAAAAAATGTAAGCATTGTCATAGGGACACAGGAGTCAGAGGGAAAGGGCTCTCGTCAGTGAAATCTGGGACAATTTGAGCACCAAAATAGTTAAGTACAGTAATGAATTGTAAGCCACTGGAAAAAAAAGGAATGCCTGAGTCCACTCCAATCATAAATGGATAATGAGAGAGAAGGAAGGCTCTTGCAAATATCCTCTCTCTCTATCTATATGTTGAATAAATGAATGCTATTCATGATATATTTGGGAAAGGACAGGGATGATGGAATTACCAGAGATTTTTTATTGTCTCCATTATTCTTTTATGTGTTTTCAAATACTCCACCATAAATTTAATAATGGGATTTTTTAGTTTGAAAAGTTACAAAGTAGTAGTATGTACCATCCCATAGGGAAAAGATTGGAAGGATACACACACACACACACACACACACACACACACACACACACACAGAGGGTTATCTGTGTGGGGTGCTGTGGGTGATTCTTTTATTTTTTTTCTTTATTAGTGTTTTACCCTGCAGCTCCAGCTCAAAGGATGTATATAATACTAATAATTTGCAACAAGAAATGAAGTTATTTATTTATTTATTTATTTATTTTTTGAGACAGAGTTTCGCTCTTGTTGCCCAAGCTGGAGTGCAATGGCTTGATCTTGGCTCATTGCAACCTCCGCCTCCAGGGTTCAAGTGATTCTCCTGCCTCAGCCTCCCAAATAGCTGGGACTACAGGCAAGCGCCACCATGCCCAGCTAATTTTGTATTTTTAGTAGAGACGGGGTTTCACCATGTTGCTTAGGCTGGTCTTGAAATCCTGACCTCACGTGATCCTCCCACCTCGCCCTCCCAAAGTGCTGGGATAACAGGCGTGAGCCACCGCACCTGGCCAGAAGTTACCTTTTAAAAAAGCATTGAAATTAAAACATAAATTAAGAAATAAGATACAAGGTGCTTGAACATGGTAAGTATCAAACAAATGTTAAAAAAAATTTACTAAGGCTATGTCATGACAAAAGCAGAATTCAAAAAAGTATATATAAGCGGTACAATAATTAACTTTTTGGAAAAAATCTCCACCCTTGTGTTGAGGGTAGTGCTCCAAAATGATATTGTAGTTGTGTCTGAGTGTATTTATTACTTTAAAAGAGGAAACTGTATGGTAGATATAATGTTTTATAAGCTTGCATTTTGAACATCTTTCACACATTGAATTGTCTTTCATAAAAGAGCTAGAATAAGAGGTTGAGGTGGGCAGATCACCTGAGGTCAGGAGTTCAAGACCAGCCTGGCTAACATGGCGAAACTCTGTCTCTACTGAAAATACAAATTGTAGCCTGGTGCAGTGGTACACACCTGTAATCCCAGCTACTCGGGAGGCTGAGGCAGGAGAATCACTTGAACCCAGGAGGCGGAGGTTGTAGTGAGCTGAGATTGCGCCACTGCACTCCAGCCTGGGTGACAGAGCAAGACTGTCTAAAAAAAAAAAAAAAGAGCTAGAATAAGCTAGAATAAGGGGACCACCACTGAAGCACTTGGGAGCATTTTCAACCTACGCAGAGGGGTGGTCACCCTGTACTACTTCTCTTTTAATTTCATTACTCAGATAATTGCACTGGGCAGCATCTTCTAGGGAGGCAATTTTCTGGCCAAATAATTAAAAGAAGTAAGAGCCATTTAGTACTTTCCCTAGAAAGTTATCTTTTGGGAGATGGGAGAGGCCCTTGATTATTTTTAAAGAGGAACACACACACACACACACACACACACACACACACACACACTCTTAAAGAGCCATAGACTATCTCTTAAGAATATACAAGAAACTGGTAACAGGGGTTTCTTCTAAGGGAGGGGGACTTGGGGACTTAGGGAATATGATTGGGAGGAAAACTTGTTTTTTTCTGTATACATTTTCATGCTGTTCAAATTAAAATAATGATGTGCATTTAGTATATGTTCAAAATATTTATTAATTAAAAACAATTCTTTAAAAAAGTCTGTTGCTTATGGAACAACTGTGAAAATAACTAGATCGGAGGAAAGTAAAATGTGTTTTCTTATGAAAATATGCTTGCCATTAAACTGATTAGTTTCCATCACAGATAGATTTGTAAGTGACTCAAACCAAGACTTTCCAACATTTGTCTGCCCCACCTACATGTCTGTGCTTCTGTCTACTCTGCTGTTCTCTTTGTTTATAGATAGACAGCTCTTGAGCTACCATTACTGGGGAGTTACTTTTGTTTCTCTAACAGCAGGGATGGATTTGGGCTAACCCCTTCCACTGGTTCTTCAGGGCTCCTTGTACCCAGGGAAGTGGCTGGATGGAATGTGAGTAACCATCACTGCCCACCAACACCGGGAAGTGAAAACTGGACCCAAAGGACCCACAATCTTCACCTCATTAGCATCGTGCTCACATCATGTCTCTCTCAGTAAGTAACAGGTTCCGGTGAGGCAGAAACAATCTAACTGATTGGATGCCTCAAATCTGTACAGAAGCCAGAGAGCCCACCTATCGTAGGAATGTATTTGAGAGGGTGAACTATTCTGAAACATTCCATCTTTATATTGACATCCACATAACCACTCTGCAGCTAAAGGTATATCCAAGCACCCAGCTTCCCATGCCAGAAGCAAGGAGCCTGTTCCATTTCCATTTTCACTCTCCACCATGTCTACTCGACTTTAGAAATAGCTCTCAAATTTTGCCACCCATTTTCTCCACCTTTGCTGACAATGACATATAATCAGACCCTCAGAATCTATTGCCACTTCTAGCTAGTCCCTTGCGACTTTTCCTCCCATTATCTTCCTCTCCAGCATGCTTTCAAAAGCACAAATCTGACCATTTCATTCCACAACAGGTCACAACTTCCTTTGGGCTGCACCAACACACCAGGTCCTTTGTCATCTCCTTTCAGTCTCCTTTCCAGTTTTCCTGGCTGCTCCCACAGAACTTTATTTCTACCCAGATCAGAGACTTTGTCGGTATTTATTTTCCTGCATGCTTCCTCCCTGTGAGCTCCTTCAGGATACAATAAACACCTCATTCCTCTTTCGTGCCCCTGTACTCAGCCTAGTGCCTGGCACATAGGAGGCACCCGATCAGTGTTTGGGCGAATGAAGGAAAACAGACCTTTTGAGTGATGTAACATGGCCATCAGTGGTGCTTCTCAGACTTTAATGGACACAAGAATTTCCTGGGGGTCTTGCTGAAATGCAGATTCAGGTTCAGTAGGTGTGGGGTGGAACCTGAGGGTCTACAGTTCTTACAAGTTCCCAGGTGAGGTCGATGTTGCTGTTTAGGGAGCCACACTTTGAGTAGTGAGGACCTATAGAACATTAATAACTTTTTTAGATGGAGGAGCATGTTGAATCAATTATTCCTCTAAGGATCTTGAAGTTTTGAGTGAACTTTTGATTTCAAAAAGATCAAAAGAAGTAAAAGATTTTATAAACACACACAAACACACAGTTATACAGAGTAAGCTACAGAGCTATAGGTTATTCCAGAAGTAAGTAGGAAAAGGGAGTAAAAATAAGAGTCATCTACCCTTAAATTCTCAATACCATTATTCTAATTTGCCACTTGAATTTATATTAGAATCACCGGGGAAACTTTTTAAGCAGCACATATTCTCCCCCCTTCTCTCCCTCCAATCTGATTTGCTCTTCTAGAGGAATAGGACACCCTCAGTCCATGGCTCCCTACCACTGAAAACCACAGCTTTGGAGAATGCTTTTGTAATTGATGGCAATGTTTTGTGTCACTCAGCTGTGCTGGGAAAGAAACAAGCTTTTAGCTTCATAGTAATTCTGATCTAAGAGCTCTTCTACAAAAGGAGTTTAGCCAGGGCCCCCACGCATGCTGTTGTTCCCTCTTCCTGGAAACTTCTTCCTCCATTTCTGTCCCAAGTCCTACTCATCCTCCAGATCTTCAAAATTGTCCCTTCATCACACCTTAAACTCCTCCTTCCTGGAAAACACACACACACACACACACACACACACACACACACACACAAAAAAACATGTAAAGTTATTTGTTCTCTTCCCTGCTAGACTGTGAGTTCCAAAGAAAAATTGTGTTGTACATTCCATTCCCGGTCCTGAGCACGGAACTTGCTACAGCAGGTGCTCAAATGAGTGAAAAAATTAACTCTTTTTTCCATATTTAATGAAATTCCCTCTTTTACTTATTTTATCCTCCCGTCCAAAAATGGCTGAATGTAATTCCTATGAGAGCTGATATTTAGTATGGGGCTAGAACCTGCTTAAATGACAATAGAGTATGTCTTGAGGTTTGTTTGGTCTGAATTGCTTGGGTTGAGGAATCAGACAAAAACAATGTTTCTACCTCCTCAATGTTAAAAATAAATAATAATCACTGCCTACCAAACAATATGTATCATATATGTAAGATATGAAGCACAAAAACAAAATGAACATCTATGAGTCCACCACTCAATAAAAGAACTAGAACATTAGTTGCCTTGTGAAGCTACAGGGTGTTCTTGCCTCTTATCTCCCTGCCTTCCCCTATCCTCTAAATTTATGTTTATTACTCATTTTTTTAAAAATAGTTTTTATATATCATGATTTATTTATGCATTCCTTGTCAGTGAACGTTTAGGCTTTTTCAGTTTTTCTGCTCTTAGGAACAATGCTGCCAAGAACAGTCTTTGCATGTCTCTAAGAGCATTTATGAATTTACCTATAATATATGCCAAAGGGTAGAATTGCTAGATATATGTAGGTCCAGGTTGAGAAGATGATGCCAAGTCATTGACACTATGTTTTTGTAGTGAAGGTGCCAATTTACTTTCGTTTCCACCAGTAGTGGCTAAGAGTTCCTAATGACCCATATCCTTGCTAACAGCTTGTCTTACTAGAACACAAGCAATGGAATCTCAAGCTGCAGCACTTTGGGGCCAGAAGGCAGAGCTCCTGCCTGGATAGGTTATTTCCTCCTGACCACCTGACAAGGGACTGGCCCCCTGAGGCTTACACTTTGTTGAGACCTGAAACTGCAGACAGAGCACTAAACTTAGAAGAGACTAGGGCCCCAACTAAGCTTCCCCATGGATAGATACATAGTCATCATAGAAGGCAATCAATCATAGAATGTGACACCTGGAAGGGACCCTAAAGCCAAATCCTTCATTCTACATTTATTGAGACTGAGGCCCAGAAAGGTTAAATTACTTGACAATGTCTAAGAGCTAATTACTACAGAAATCTTCCTCTGGGGCACTTTATTCTTAATCCAGAGAGGGTTTTCTTTTTTTTTTTTTTGTAACTGAAGATGGTGTAATACGATCCATTACATTAATAATGACTGTAAATATTCAAATAACTGACTAGTTTATTTAATTAATTAATTTATTTTGAGCTGGAGTCTCGCTGTCGCCCAGGCTGGAGTGCAGTGGTGTGATCTAGGCTCACTGCAACCTCCGCCTCCCAGGTTCAAGTGATTCCCCTACCTCAGCCTCCCGAGTAGCTGGGACTACAGGTGCAGGCCACCACACCCGGCTAATATTTTTTTTTTGTATTTTAGTACAGACAGGGTTTCACCCTGTTGGCCAGGATGGTCTCGATCTCCTGACCTTGTGATCTGCCCGCCTCGGCCTCCCAAAGTGCTGGGACTACAGGCGTGAGCCACCGTGCCTGGCCGACCAGTTTATTTAAAAAAAAAACTTGTTTAACTTAAGTGGCATGAATTTGATAACTTTCATTTCTTTGGTTATAAAGACGGGTGATATTATTCGATGGGATAAAGAAACCAAAATTATAGTTTCAATATGCAAATTTAACTCTCCTAAGAGACACTGGTCTCCTGGGGGATAAACAGTCCCCAATTATCTGATTGATCATTCTTGTCCTTGGATCATTCCCCATACCCACCAGGCAAATACTAGGTGCCTCCTTAAAAAGCCATTTTTGTAAGGAAAACTTTAAATTCATTAAATTTAAAATCATCTTCCCCTTAGGAGCACTCATAATTAGGCTATACTAAGACTCTGGGAACGATCTATGGAGATATGGCAAACTAGCCTCCGTGACTTGACGGTTTCTAATCCACATGCGAATGTGGAAAAATGCCAAAAAGAGACCAATCTTCAGCAGAGGTACTTAGCGCTCTCCAGAGTATGCATAATAACCGAGTGTGGTATATAAGTCTAGGGCAGAGGCATCTGTCTCCATCCATCAGACAGTAAATGTGGAGCTGGGGAGGAAAAGGAGTGCTTCCTAACAGGATGGGTGTTGGTGTGAACAAAGGGGGCTTTTGAAGCCTGTAGTGGAAATTTTCCTTCTGGAGCTGTGTCCTTCAGGAATTCTCTTCCTCCCTATCCCTTCCCATCTGCCTGGTCCTCTCTACACCAAGTCCTCTTTTACCATTTAAACAAATCTTTTGGTTTAACAACGTCTGCAGGCAGATGCTAAAAGCTTTCTGTGAGGCAGCCCTTTTTTAATGTCAGGATGAAACTCAGGAGCTGTTTATTACTCTGGGGTGGGGGGCTTGGAGGGAAAGAACACCAAGTAATTTTGTGCAGGAATGCTGACCAAACAGTACTGAGGTACTTCTGGTTCCAGTTTTCCTCCTAGCAGTCATTTTAATCAGCACTTCCCCCTTTTAATGAGCTGGTAGTGCCATTACATAATCACCCAGCTCACTGGATTAATGATGAAAAGAGGAACTGATTTTTCCAGTTGCATCATTTGAAGTAAATGTTAACTTTCTTTCTGAGTCCTTAGTTAACCGCATTAGTGTGACAAATATGTCTTTGTCTAGCATAAGTAATTAGAATTTAATCACTTTAACTGCATCTTAATTACCCCAAATGAATTGAAAGGACATTTAATAGCAAAGATTAAATTGCCTTAATGAACGATTTTTGTGACTCCATCAATACTCGAATCGCTTTAGCCACTCCTCTCACGCACTTCAGTCGCAGAATCTGCAGCGAGCACAGAGGTCACTAGGTGGCGCGCTTCGCTCGTTTGTTTATTTAATTTTCCCCATTGATCTGTTTTAGAAGACAACAGGAAAGAAAGCAAAAAGCACATAGTTTATTGCGTTCCTTCGATAACCTCTCTTTGGGACTATGAGATCATCACCAGATGTGAAAACGAAAGCAGTGATTTCAGAAACCGTCGATTCTGAATATCCCGTGGCGGCATATGCAAAGGAAGATGAGAAACACATGGTGACTGGAAACATGCAGTGTTTGACAGAAATTGCAAGATGCCCTCTAGACAACTCCCAGCCTATATACTCTGTTTTGGTCAATTTATTACTTTTTAGTGCAGAGCCCTAAAATTTGAGTTACAGGCAATCTTTGAAATAGCAAGGCAGGCACTGATGTGGAGCCAAGAAGTGTAATTGCTGTCCAAGTGCAGATCAGAATGCCAATGCCTGAAGGTATGGGAAGATCTGAGCCCTTGGGCCCCCCTCAAGGCAAGGGACCGAATGGACCAGCCCCACCCACAGGCACATCTAATGAGATAGGTCTTGTCCATCAATAATTGTTTAAGTGAACAAAGGGATGGGAGGCTGGGGTTTCACATCTACTTCTGGCACTTCCTCACATTTTCTGGCTGCTTCTTCAAAAAAGAGTAATAAAAAATCTCTTTTACAAGTCTTGAGTATAAAAGAAATAAGTTTTCATAAGTGACTCTTTTTGAGAGTCCCAAAGGAAAGACACACTTTCTCTAATTTCAAGAGCTTATTATGTAGAGACTTTTGAATCAGTTATTTCCACATTCTGACTCCACTAACCTGGTGCACCTGTCCTGGCAACAGAAGCATGGGATGGAGGATAAAATGTTCTGGGCTTTGGACTGGGAAAGCTGAGCTCAGGGCATCACTGTTTTCCAGTGGTGTTATCACAAGTAAATTATTTAACCTCACTGAAGAGAGCAACAGGGAAAAAAGTGGTAAATACCACTTAGACTAATGGTTCCCAAACTTGGCTGCACATCAAAATCACCTGGGAGTTTATAAAAATCCAATGCCCATGTCACGTCCTGTACCAATTACATCAAAATATCTGAAGCTGCAGCTAGGCATCAGTTTTTTTAAAGGTCTCTAAGTGATTCCAATGTATAGCAAGATTTGGGAACCACTGGTATAAATGTTGAGTCTTCAATGAGAACATCTATGTTCCGATCACAGTACCCAACAAATAGAATGTGCACAAAAAACTTAAGCTTCTTCCTTATCAGTTACTATGACAAATGAGATTGGTTGTACTTTAGGGTCTAGTTCTGTCCAGCTGTTGTCTTATTAAATTGCCTCATCTAAAAGAGAAGAAAATTTCTTTTTTTCTTCAACTTTTATTTTGAGTTCCAGGGTACATGTGCAGGATGTGCAGGTTTTTTACACACGTAAACATGTGCCGTGGTGGTTTGCTGCACAGATCAACCCATCATCTTGGTACTAAGCCCAGCATCTATTAGCTATTAAGAAAAGAAAATTTCTAGAAATTAATTTGTTACAATTTTATGATACCGTAACATCTCTTGGAAGAGACATATGTGGATGCTTCTATAGCAAGACCCTGTGATAAGTAATTTTTATGTTTGTATCAAAATAATCAGATTGTCTTGTGATTGGTCTAGTCACCTAGCCCAATCTTATTATCTCAGGAGGAAATTAAACTTCGTTAGTATTAACATACTTGTATTAAAATAAGAACCTATACAAACCTATTGATAGAAGGTAGGAATTTATGATTGTGCACTAAATCCATTCACATAAGAAATATTTTTCTTTTTACTGGACTCTATGAGACTGACATTTTTTATGTAGAAATAATGTGGCTTTCTTCTCCCAAAGATGCTTATCCATCTTATTCAAATAGAGACACAATGAGAGTATTATTTAATAAATATTTGTTAAATGTTTTCTCCAGCATTATAAGAAATGCACCCTCTAACAACCACAACTTCAGTAACACCTTCCTTCTGTTGCTACCCTAGGTTGGGGGCCATTCAATTTTACCAAGAGTGTGGAAATTCTGCTGTTTTAATGGGGACTGAAAGGAAACTAGTCATTTCTCATTCAAACCATCAAGGCTCCTAGATTGATTTAAAATATTAAGTCGGTGTTTAAATATTCCAATAAATGGACTTTACAAAGAGCACAAGCAATGTCACTTGAGGAACAAGGCCTCAAGCTGAGGAGCAGGATATTGGAGAGCCTCCTTCTTAATTACCCACCTTTATTAGACTTGAGGATTTTCTGTCTTACAAGAAAATCAGAAATAAATTTTATTGGTATGCTCTGTAAGAACGATTTCTTCTGATAACTTGGGGTAGCAGCATTTGTTTGATTAGCTGAATTTGCCATGAATGTGGAAATAATGACATCAAAACAGCTCGTGTAACAACCTCCTTAAAGACCTCGTAGATTAGAGATGACTATAGATTTTCCCCAGCGCGGATCAAAGGGACTGAATTGAACGTTTTAGCTTAATGATCCAACCCCTGTCACACCCACAGGGACGCGAATTCCGATTTTATAAGCAGGTGTGCACGTGCACTCAGATACTCACACAAAGCCGCGTGGAGGGACGAAAAGATCAACCACCCGATCGACGAGGATAGGTTTGATCTTTTCGATTACCTCAGTGTGCCAGTGTATATTCCCGGCTGGGCCTAGCGCCCTAAGAAACTTCGGAACTTTAGCTGTTAATTTTTGTTTTCTTACTATGACTTCCCAAAGACATTCTATCTGCCTACCGGGGCGAAGAGAAATGGGACCAGGCGTCAGGGCGGTGGGACCCTGTCCAGGGTCCTGACTCCGCGCCAGGGCTCCAGACCAGTCGGCCTCCGAAGGCCCTTTCACCCACCCCACACAAGAGGAAACAAAGACTTCTCAGCTCAAGGCCTCAGGGCTGCCTCCTGACTCCGGTCAGTTTGCAGGAAGAGGAAACAACAAAACAAAGGAACCGCCAATCCGCCGGGTATTATATCCCTCAGCTCCAACCTCCGACTTCGGACCGCCAGGGTCACCTTCTCTACGCTGACCCCGCTTTTCTTAAATGAAAACACGCCAACAAAAGCATACTTCGGATACAAAATCCAAGTACGCATCTTTTTTGGGGAGGTTAGAGCTGAGGTGTACTTCGGAAGATGAGAATTTTGTTTTCATGAATTGGGTAACACCCAGGCATTGTTAGGTACCCCGACAGACCCTCTAGATATCCTTCTCTTCCTCCTTCACACTTTCTTCCTATCAAAATAGTTATTGTTTTGAAATTCACTAGAACAACGACGTTCTAAAAACAAAGGCGCAGCAAGCATCCCTTTCTTCGCTGCCGCGGGCTGAACCACGGACGCTCGCGGGTCGCCCAGCCCCGACGGCCCGCAGGGGGCGCGCGCCGCAGCCGCAGCACAGCCCGGCTACCCCCAGAAAGGGAGCCGAATGGAGGGAAGCAGGGAGCGCGGAGGGCTCGAGGCTTGCAGATAAGGAGAGGCGCATCCTGGGATTTGGGTCCTCTGCTGCTACAACACAACCGTGCTATTGTTGGCACTGTCCGACCCAAGTGTCGGTGGTAAGCGGCGATGTCGGGGCTGGGTCTCTAGCAACCGCTGTGCCCTGGGTCAGGCTGGTCGCCCCAGCTACCGGGATCCCTCTCCGGATGCTTCCAGGGCGATAGGTGCTGCACCCATTGACGGGATAGCCGCATACCTCCGAACAGGTAGTGGAGTTCGTCTCTGGCAGGCATCCTAGCTGCGCTGACACCAAGGTCGCCACACAATAGCCATCAGCCCCCCTTAAGCCCCAGAAGTAGGTTTCCCCTGCCCCAGCCATAGCGGTTCCAGTCGTCGCCACGAGCCCACTTCTTATCCCCAAGCGCACCTCCCTCTCCTCACCCGGGTTTATGCCCGTTACACAGAGAGAACTACACAGGGGGAACTATGGTCCTACACCCTCGAGGGGACAGACACCGGCCGTGAGACAGGCACCACGCAGAGCCTTCTGGTGACTGTCCGCAGGAGCGAGACCTTTTTTGGTTTTGCAGTCGGCTAGGTGTGTGTGTGTGAGGGTCCCCAGTTGACTACCGGGATGCACTGCCACTTTTCGGCCTGGCGGGCTCTGGGACTCCTTGGTCTCCGTAGGAGGCCATCCTAGGCCTTCGGAGGAGGCGCTCCCAGCTGGCGGCGCCCCTCGCCCCGGGCTCAGAGGCGGACACGGTCGGTCGCGCCCTGCTGGCCCTTTGTTCGCGCCGCAGCGGGCTGGGAGCAGCTGCGCGACACCAGACCCACAGCGCCAAGACGCGAAGCGCGAGGAAACCGCTGCGCTTGACTCCTTCTCCCCCAACTCTTGGACCCAGGAACGCTTCCAGCTCCTGCGTCCCACACGCCCAGTCCTGGCTTCTCTCCCGGCCCAGAAGTCTTCAAGGATTGAAGGGCTCTGCCTAGGGCCCCGCACTCCTGCCTGACTCCCATGGCCCAGAAAAGCAGGGGGACATTTGAAATGTCACCCCGGGATAAATATTAACAAAAAAGCAAATGGACTTGTGCAGGGGCCAGTTATCAATCAACCAGGCCGCAAGGCCACTCAGGGCAAACACAGCCCAGGTTGGGCTGGGCGAGACTTTCTCATGGCCGCCCCCCGACCGAACCCCTCCCCCCTTGGCTCAGGTCCTTCTTAGGTCGTTCTGGGGCAAACACCGGACGGGAAGGGGGCGCCGCCAACTCCCCCGCGGGGTTTGGAGGTTTCCTCGCCTCCAAGTCCCGCAGGGCAGGGTCGGAGTGCCCAACACCCACCCCCGCCCGAACCTCGGGCCTGCGCGCCGCCTTCCCCTGGGTCCGCGGTGCTGCGCTTGCTGTTGGGTGTGTGTCGCTGTCTCTTTCCGAGCCGGCAGCTCCTGCTGTGTGGCCGAAGCCCTCTGGAATCTTTAATTGGAAACTAATCTTGGTCTTGATAGACGCCCACGTCAGAGGCGCGCCACCCACCCACACCCCCCGCCTCATCCCGGAGGAGACGCGGCGAGAACCCTGTCGCTCTGCTCTTTAATGGGGCAGCAGCAAGTAGTACATGGAGGGAACATATATTGATTTTTAAAAGGTAGTTAATTTGGTGGGAATTTCCTCCTGTCGCCCTTCTTCCACCAGCCGCTGTTATTTCGTGACCGGAAGGCGCCTCCCCAAACACAGCGCCACGTGCAAGAGGGTTTTGACCCTCTGCAACAGGCTGCCGGCAACTGGAGGACAGAGGGGCGTGGAGAAGCCACCACTCTCCCGCTGCGGAGCGAAGGAACCGAGCTCAGTGAGCCCTGACCTCGCAAGGTGGTTGGAACGAGACTGGGGAGGGTCTCTGAGCGCAACAGCAAGGAAAGCTGCCAGGGGCACCTCCCCATATGGGAGCTGGTAGTGGGGGGCAGGCACTAATGTCCCGTAGGAACGGCCAAGGCGCTCTGCAATCCATTTTAAGGCTCATGCACTTGGCCCGTTAGAGATCATTTGGAAAGTTCAGAAAATAACCCCACTCTTTTTAAAATATGAAAATGTTAATGAGATGGCTCCTTCTTCAGTAACTTAAAAATAGGTTGTGAAGAGACTGTTCCTGGTTCCTTGCAGGAGACCCTCCTGGACCAACACAGAATCCTCAGTCCTAGCCCTTTCCACCATCCCTTTTAAGTTAAGGAAACAAAAATGTAATAGACATGCTTCCTCAGGGTCTCAGGACACAGAGTCGGCTTGGTGTTTGGTGCCAAATGCCTGCCCTGCTGGACTCTCCAGTGTTTCACTTTTTCGAGGAAAAGGCCATGGGCCTAGGGCCGAGGGCTGCATGGACCTCTACAGGTTGCTGGGTGCCCAGGCAGGCGCTCCTTCGATAGCCTCCTGGGTGCCACAAGCACCTGCCAGGCACCATGTTTGCGCCTCCAGCGTGCGGGTCCCAGCACTCAGGCTCCCTCCCCCTCCACAGTGCCGTCCCCTGAGCTCGGCTATGTAGCTCTCCACGCTTGGAGGTCAGAGGGCGCTCCTGCGGCCAGGTTTCCATGGCTCAGAGGTCGTCTCTGAACAGAACGTGTCAGTCTGTCCTTCCAGGGGGCGACAGCAGGCAGTGGGGGGAGGAGGGATATTGAAGTCCAGAGCAAGAGCCTCCAGGGGGCGGGGGTGGGGGATGGGGACCGAGTTTTCCCGGAGGGGTAGCCTTCTCCATTTCTATCTTCTTCCCACATTCCCCCGCTCCACTCTTTGGCTTCAGCGGGCACTGCCTGGGTAAGAGGCCCTGAAGCCTGGCTCTGGGGTGGTGTGGGTGTGTGAAAAGGCACTACCTTGGGCTCTGGAGAGACGGAGCAGTCAGGACGAGGAGCAGCCCCTTCGCCCACTCCCTCCGGAACCTCAGTTGCTCGCGGGCAGCCCACGGGTGGAGATATGGTGCCGGTAGCACAAGAGCTAGAGAGTGGAAAACCGGGGGCCAGCGATTCGCTGGGGCGCCCAGCGAGCCTCTTCTCCCCTGACTGGTTCCCGGGCGCAGGCTGCAGGAACCTGCATGAGGACTTTGCCTGGGGCGAACGAAGGCAGAGCTGGGCTGGAAAACCTGGCAGGGCAGAGTCTCAGCCAGCGCGGTGCTTTGGGACCGGTGGCCTGCAGCGCCCAAACCCAAAGAACGCTTTGGGTCGCTTCGGGGCACGAATCGCAGGCTGGTCGGCACCTGCCACCCCCAGCTTCTCATTGGCAGGCACGAGTTGGAGGAGGGGGCTTTGGCCTCACGCTTTGATTTTAGACTGTGAAACGGCTCAGTGCCCCCGGCTCAGAGCGGATTGACTGTCTCTCGTTCTCCAGGGACGAATTAATGGAGAACGATCAGTTAATTAACAAACCCTCATTCCGGCTTTTACCTTTTCTCTTCGCCAAGGCTCAGGCCTGGGCGCTGGGCTGAGATGGAGGTGGAGGTGGGGGGTGGGGGAGTGGGGGGGGAGGGGGCATGGACCAGGAGTCAATCAACTTGGCAACCGCCGGCCGGATCTCATCAAACCCAGGCCACCCTCCGCTGTCCTTAGCTCTACCTCCCCTCATGTTCTCTACCCTCAAGGGTCGCCGAATCCTCCTGAAATCCCCGGTGGGGTTCGGGCTGGGCTCAGCTTTCTTCTCTGCCTATCCGCGGTCTCGGGGAGCCAGGCGCGGTGTCTGCGCTGCGCCAAGGAGAGCTTCCAGCTGAACTCAGAAACACCTGGGGCTTGGGGTTTCGGGCAGGAGACCTCTGCTCCTAGACTTGGGGGTCATTTACACACTCTCATCCCCAAACCCCCCTCCCGCACGGGGATTCAGACGAAAATCGCGAAGAGGAATAATAAAACAAAATGCAAAGTCCTCAGGGAGTCGGCAGCGGAGTCGGTCCCAGGACATGGCTATTGCTTTGCAGCTCTCACTGGGACCTTGGGACGGTCAGCCTCCCTCTCCTTTCCACAGCCAATTCCATGCGCAGAGAGCGTCCTAACCCTTACAACTCGTCTGTGCTACACACCCACCGCCCAATGGCTCTGAAACTTTTTGCCCATACTCTTAGATTGAGGTCACCCCAGCCAGCGCCAAAAGAATGAGCGCGGGAGGGGGTCACAGCAGCCAGTTCGGCCAAACATCGACGCTGCTCCGGCACGCTCCAGCCCAGCGCCTGGGATGTGTCAGAGGTACCTGCGAGGAACATTTGCGTGCGATTCCACGCACGCGTTGCATCCCTCTTCCCAAACCCGGATCGCTGAACTGAGAGGTGGCGCAGAGTGTCTCACCAGGTGCGGGGATTTCTCTCCGCCTCAGGCCGTACGAGCTTCCCTCGCTGTCCCTGAGCGCAAATGAGCCTCTTCAGTCGCCGAGGCCCGGCCGCTTAGCTCTCGGAGCCTTCCACAGCCCAACACCCTGAGCCCTGGAGTAGGCAATTTGCTCCCACAGCCCTGTGCTGGCCCTTCCAGGCACAGGGAGTCCCCCTTCTAGGGGTAGGGGCGGGCGGGATGAAGCGCACCCAGCCCTCTCTCCTACCCTTCCTCCTTTGGTCCCTTCGGCTTTCGTGTACCTTATCTCCCGCGCGCCCAGCTCCTTGGCCGGCTCACCTGCTAAGCGGAGCGCGGACATGCGCTGGAACTCCGGCTCCTGCAGCCACTTCCACATCCTCCGGAAGGTCTCCCGGCCGGATTTGAGTTTGCTCCAGGGTTTGGGGTTGCGCAGCAGGTCCGAGAGGGTCCCCTGGGAGCGGCAGAGCACCCTCTGCGCGAAGATGGCCTGTGGGATGCTGTAGCGCTTGAGCTCGGTGGTGATACGCTGCGCCACCTCTTTGGTATTGATCTCTTCCATCTGCCCTGAATTACTTCCATTGCTGACCTGCGCGCCGGTCACCGAAGGGTTGGGCTCCCGGGCTGTGCCCAGGAGTTGCCCGTGGCCCTGGGCGTTCAGGTGGGCGTGGGGATGGTGCGGAGGAAGGCCGTTGATGGGCACCATGCCGGCCGAGGTGGGCGTGAGGTGCTGCTCCCCGTGGCGGCCGAGCATGGCCGGGTGGTGGGCTTCGAAGCCGTTGGGGGTGAGCATCTTGTCGGTGGGCATGGCGGCCCCCGGGTGGGCATAGTGGGGGAGCCCTTGCTGGGAGTTGTGGATGCTGCCCAGACCGGAGCTGGAGAGGGGCGAGAGGCTCTGGCCCATGCCGGCCACGTCCTTGTGGTAGGGGGTATAGAGGTTATTCATGGAGGCCAGCCCGCGCTCATCCCGCATGAGCGTGAAGCTACCGCTCACGTTGCCCGCCAGGCGCTGGTGGTGGTGCGGGTGGTGGTGGTGATGGTGGTGGTGGTGATGGTGGGGGAACTTGTCCGAGACTGTGGAGATGGGAGGCAGCGGCTGCAGAGGGGTCAAGGTGGTGTAGGTGGTGGGCATGCTCATACCTGGGGGAGTCTCGCAGGCCATGGTCATGGTGGGATGCAGGGGGCCGGCCAGGCTGTGCTCAGGGGCCCGGTGGTGGTGGTGGTAATCTCCGCCGCCGCTGCCGCCGTCCAGCAGGGACGCCATGCCCATGGAGCGCGGGTGCGCGGGGGGCAGGTGGCTGCCGCGGTGCGCCACGGAGCTGCGCGCGTGGGGGCTGCCGCCCAGCAGGTCGGCAGGGGCGGGCACCGGCTCATGGCTCACCCCGTGCAGCTCGCCGATCGCTTCCATGGTCAGCTGCGCGTTCATCGTGATCCGGGCGAGCAGGCGGCGGACACAACATCGATGTGGCCAGGCAGAGGCGGCGAGGGGCGCACGGAGTCCGGTCTTCACATCGGCTGCTGGCGACTGTTGCCTTCCTTCCTCTCACTGTGGGGCTCTGTCTCTCTCTCTCTCTCTCTCCGTGTGTGTGTGTCCGTGTGTGCGTGTGCGTGTGTGTGTGTGTGTGTGTCTCGCCTTCCCTCTTACCCCCCACCTTCCCCTCTGCGTCCTCGGCTTTTTTTTTTTTAATATTAATTTCCAAAGAGGATCCGCGCCGTTGGGAGAGCGCAGTGCCCCAGCCCGCCCGCCTCGGCCACCTCTCGCCCCTCTCTTTCTTAAAATTCTGAGGTCTCCGGCTCCCCTGCCGCGGCCCGCGCGCCTGCCGCGTCTGCTGCCTGCCCGCCCCGCTGGCCAGCTTGAGCCATGGCTCTGTTACTGTTACAGACTCTGTGGCCGCGGTTCGGTAGCCGCCGCCGCCGCCGCCGCAGCGGCCCGCCCTCACGCCCGCCAGGCGCAGCGCGCATGCGCGAGGCCCGCCCCCGCCCCCTAGGTCGCGGCGCGCCAGGCCCTTGGCGTCCCGGTACAAATGAAGGAGGGGGCCCAGCGCCTTCCCTGCGGCGCTGGATGGCCAGGGAGCTGCGGGCACGTGCGAAAGATTGGCGCAGAGCGCGACCTGGGGCCGCCGCTGCAATCCCAGGAGACTCGCGCCTGGCTCGCTCGCCTCCCTTGCTTGAGTGGGCTCTGTCCTCCCAGCCCGGGGACGCTCGTGTCGGGCTTCTAGCGGCTGGAGTGCTGTGCTTGGAGACATCGCCCCTCTCTCTCCAGTTGCTGCTTCCCGGTGCAGCTTGCCCGGGGAGCTGGGGACTGTGTCATCACCCCTTCGGCTCTAGCCCACTAAGCTTTATTTCCCGGGGGGCTGCTGGGAGTGCGCTTTCCCACCCTTGAATTCACGGCCTATTGGGGGATGGGGGTTGGGGTGGGGTGGGGTGCAGATTGCTTAAAGGGCTGGGTCCGTTTGGCGGCCGTTGACCCGGCACCCTTCGTCCTCCCAGATACATACTTGCCCACCCTTTCTCATCCATGCCCTGGGGAGAGGAGTAATCAGTGCCAAGAATCCCAGTTCGGGCCATACCTCACTGTCCCCCGCCGCCTGGCTCCTTCTCCCGCTCAGCTCATAATTAAGGCTGTGCGTCCGCTTCGCCGATGACTCGGCCTGTGGAGGGGGGCGAGGGAGAGCGGAGGGAGTGCCCTGGAGGGTACCCATGTTAACTTCCGGGTGCTGGTGGGGCCGTGGAGGCTCGGGCCGTCCCTGCGGTTACTCCCAAGGCCCTCCTGCTAAAGCACCCGGAGGCGGTTGCTTTCCAGAAGTACTGACGCAGACAGGGTGGACGCCGGCGCGCGGGTCTCCGCTTGGCCCCTAGGGACGCCCTTTTCCCGGCGTCCCCGAGAGACGCCTCCAGATTTGAAAATCAATTCAGCTTCGGGAGTAATTTCGCCCTTCCCACAGTCACGCTCCAATCTGGAATCGAACCTGGTCTTTGGGCCTGGTGGGGACGTGTGCGGAGGCCCCCAGTTTGAGACGTACACCCGGCCGCCACATGCCGCGGCTTTCTTTCATTTACAAAAGAAAGAAAAAAAATCCGCAACAAAAGGCAGAGCCGTGTCCGCTTAGGTGCTTTCATCCCTCAGAGAAAGGACAGATGTGCCCATTGTCCAGCCCGTGGCAGTTATGGCCGGGTCAGCGCCGAGCCTCAGCCCCAGGCAAGCGGTGGTTACAATGAGAATAGCCTCTCAGAGCCGGGGTATCTGGACTCAGATATGGAATAAAGTGTGTGTAGCCTGTGCTGGGCCAGACTCAGACTGTAGGTTTGCTTGCTGGGGCACCGAACTGCAGCCCACCCGTGGTGTTTCCACTGCAAATGCTCCCAAGCCCTTAGAGAGGCCAAGGCTGTGGTAGTGGTGGTAGTTGGGTTTCCAAGGCAAAAGTTTGGGCTGGCCAACCCTTTGGGAAAAGTTCCCACCGGCCCAGGCATGAGTAGGCCTATCTCTTTGCCCAGGTCCCTGCTACCACCAGGGCAACATCCTAATCCAGGTAGGTCAAGTTCAGTGGATACAGTCAACGTGACTTCCTTGAAGGCGGCCATGTCCTGGGACTGGTTAATCTAGCTGGTTTTATCACCAGAGGCACTCCCATCCTGTCCAAACAATGCATATGGAGGCCCTGCAAATAATTCATCTCAATGGATTTCATGTCTACTTTCATAATGAACAGTTAGGAATTTAGGAACCCCCAGAGAAGAAAAGATATTTTAGGGAAAATACACTGATGTAAAGGAACTCAGAAAACACGATTAACTCTTTAAACTTGTATCTATATCTACCTATTCATACACGCATACACACAAGCACAAAACATATATTTCCTGCCTAGTATATTACAGTACCTTGGTGGAAAGCTGCATCTTTGGTTTTTAATTGTTTCCATTCTCATTTCCTACAGCATGAGACCAAACAATGGGTTAAAGTAGCAGGGAGTCTTTCAGCTAAACAGTTGTCCCCCCGCCCCCGCCCCAATATTTTAATCCCGCTGAAGTGATTGATTTGCCCTTATGACAACTATCTTCCCAAAAGGCAGTTTGTTAAAAGAAAGAAAGAAGTAAATACCACCAAGTGCACAAATTGTTCATGGTTTTCTCTTTGTGTAGCTAATTAGGAACTTGATCTTGGAAACCCTCCTTCATGAGAGGCACTCAGCTGAGCCTCTGGAGTCCACCTGAATAAGGCTGGCATCAGGTGAGCTCAACTTCCCCTCTCCCCCAAGGGCATTTATGAAAAGGGGGGCTGGCTCTGTGTTGGTCCCTAAAGAAGGAGCCAACGAAAAGACCTGGAGAAGCACCATATGTGTTGGCTTGCTCAGTAATTTTTGATTTTTTTCTAAAACATTAAAATATTGTATGTGCAGGATTTGCTTTGGTTTGCAAATCTCCCTAATCTTTCTTGGCTATTCACACCATTTATCTAACCATTGTTCTCCCGTAATTGACTGAGTTGCAGTGGTTTCTCAGTCAGAAACAACATATTACTGTGTTCTTATTTGACCTCTCAAAATTTTTCTTCTTACTAAGGAAGTGACGGGTAGGAAGAATGCTCTTCTTAGGCCTAGTTAAGGTGAATTTGCATGTGTGGAGGGAGGACGGGCACTAGAGAGATTGTTAACTGCTGGAAGGCTGGGACTACTTTCTGTCGTTTTGTCCCTCTCCTTCTTTCCCCCTTCCAGTGCCCAGAACAGAGCCTGGCACCCATTAGGTACACTATGGGGATTGAAGGAATTAAGAGTCCACAGAGGAGTCCCTGGAAACTTGGTAGGTGTAGGTCAATGTGTGTGATTGAGGAGGAGGACTTATTTTTAGCTGCTTAGATTTTGAGTAGCTGCAGGAAATTTAAAGAAAAAAATAGTGTCAATCACTAGCAGAAAATTACATAATGTATATATGTAAGAAAAAAGGAAATAAGACTATGACTGGATGCTTGTTGCTGACAATATTTTCAGAGTGAAAACAAGGAACTTAGGATGTTTATTTTGTAAATGTCAGGAGAAGAACCTGGGATATGAGATGGACAGGGGCAATCCTTCTTTTGCTAGGTAGGCTAGAGCTTACCACGCTGCCCTACCAGGTTCAGCAAAGAAAAAGCGCAAAGAGAATAAAACCATTCCTCCAAATACTGGCCACATGAGCTTCTCTGAAAACCTTCCATTGGTTTCAGAATTAATGCTTTAATTATTTTTGTGAGTAGTAGAGGCGTAACGTATGGCCCAGTCCCAGTTCTCAGGACCATTCCAAAGAAATGTTTCTAGCTCCTCCGAACCATGAAATGTCTACTTCCCATTTTTTGGACTCACAAAGAGCGAGATCCTGGGTGTCAGGGCAAATTCCTCCACCCAGGGATCCAGGGGGAGGCTGGCTCCTTGGCTAGAGCCCCAGGGCATATTCACTGGCATTTCTGATGCCTGTAGCTAGTCTAACATTAAACTTGTGGGGAGGAACCATTTCTTTGGTATCTGGCTACAGTAGAGCACTAGATAGCTGGAGAGTGAAAGACTTGGTCCTGGGTGCTTCCTGGCAAGCTCTCCTGTTCCACTTCTAGAGAAATTTTATTCAGAAAATTGCTGCAGGCTTAGAGTAGAACACCAAGAAATTCAGAATGGGGTGGCCTGGTGACTCACTATTGAAAACCATTAAAAAAAAATCACTCAATGACTTCTCTCCACTCTCTGGGGACCAAGGAAGTGGTAACTAATTATGGTAGCCCCTTGCTTCAATCTTTGATACTCTGTTTAGCGTATCATTTTATTCATATGTTCGGTAACATTTTTCTTTCTCAAATTACAGTTTTTGCCCAAGAAAATATTTTTAAATTGGGCTTTTTTTTTTTTTTTTTTTTTTTTTTTGCAGTTTCCTCTGTTTTATCTACTTCTTGCCCTTCCATATCCCAAAGAGAAGATGCTCTGTCAAAGGGCTGTCAGCTGGTGCCATCCGCAACTAACTCCACGTTCTGGGAGTTGCCGAGGGCTGCCTGGGCGGCCATCCCAGGACACCAGACCACTCGGCTCGTATCTCTGGTTACTTCCTGCGCTGGGGAAAAAAGAACACGCTTGCTCTCCTGGGTCCTCGGGTAAACTACAGGCGGCTTCTCCTGGGTTGGAATCCGTTTTGGCGGTCGCCTAATTCCGCGAGGGCTTTTTCACGGCTTCAAGCCAAGAGCGCTGAAGGGAGGAAAGGTATACTGATGCCGTAGGGCTGAGGGAGGGATTCCAGGCTCCTGGGGTGTTCTTCTGCAGCAGGACCCCTCGCTGGCCGCTGCCAGCCCACTTCCGGAGGAGTTGGCCTCGTCTAGCCAACAGTTCAGTGGGATTTCTTTCTTGGACATAACTTCATATCATTGAAATAGTCTACAAAAGACACCAGCTCAAGCCGCGAGGGCGTTGAATTGTCCGGATTTGGGGTGGCGGTTAATGCTCCTCTTCTGGTGCCTCCCCCGCTGGGGCCCTGCATTCCATTAGCCCCGCGCTGGGGTAGAGATGCCAAGTTTAGGGGCTGGAGAGGACAAGGGGAAGGACGAGAGAACTCTTGCACCGACGGATGTAGTTCCAAGCGACCCGAAATGAGGAAAACCCAGAAGGGGCGGACGGAGGGCAAAGTCGGCCCAGGACGATCTTCAGGCGCACCATTCTCTCGCCCTGGAGGGACAGGGAAGGGCGGAAGCGGAGGGTGGCTGTCCAGCCGGGAGCCTCTGATCCACGGGGCTTGGACCAGCCACCCCACCCGAGGGCGGCTGAGGACTGGGCGGCCGAGCTCGCGGCCCACTTAGCTAATGCCGGGTAATGCCGACCCCGGCCCAAGAGCAGCAGCTGCACTTGGGAAGGAAAACTCTTTAAACAAATCATTTTGGTGTCTAATCAATTAGTGTTTGCGCAGTCAAGTACCGTAGATTTAACAGAATAATCGTTACTGCCCTTGTCTTTATTTGACCCGCAGACACCTAGAAGATTTAAAAATGAAACGCCGGTGTTCCGGGCTCCCCACCCGTTGCCTTCGACTCCCTCCGGGGCCTGCTAGGCCAGGTCGGGGCTTTTGCTTTCTCCAGGCCTAATCTCCTCTTTGCCTCCCTCTTCAACCCTCCTTCCCCTTCACACTTTTCCACACTTTACCTTGTTTTCTTGCCCTTCCAGCCCTGTCGGCCTTCCGAGTCTCGATCTCCTCATCCCCCCGTTCTTTACCCCCGTGGCTGGCACGAGAAACGGCTTCTGATTGTGGGACACCCAGGATTCTGGGCGAGCGCACCTGCCTTTTGGCCTGAGAGCCATCTGGGTGTAGAATTAGGGACTCGCCAAGCGCCCAGTTGTCTTTTCCCTGGACCCTCACTCTCTTACCCCTTCCTGAACCAGCCCAAGACCCGAGGGGTCCTATGCGAGCTCTTTGGCTTCTGTGGAGCTTGGAAAAGACTTTTACCTGCGGGCGGGGTCTGCCTGAGTCTCTCCCGGTAAATGCAGTGACCCACGGCGCAGGACGGGGGTTGAGAGGAAAAGCTGAGAGTATAGCCTTGGTCCCTAAAACCCGTTTGCAGGGCGGGGAATTGGGTCTAACGGCGGGAGGGAGGATGTTGTGGGGGGAATTCGTGGGGGGCTTCCCAGCTGACTGTTGTGTGGTGACTGCACTCTCTGATGCATGCTTCTCTGGGCCAGGTTATCTCCCAAGGTCCAGGGGTGCAGCTAGGAGGTTCTCCAGGCGCTTCTGAATTGCTGCTCCTGCACCTCCCTCCTCACCCGGAGTCTTTTTCAGGCCTAACAGGTGTGGACGCCTGTGTATGTGTAGACAGTCTGGTTCTGCGCCATGCCTGGCCCTCATGCCACCAACGCTGGGTTTCAGGAGCCCCACCAGCCCTGAATCGAGGCTCCACAGGGTTGGAAGGATGCTTACCAGGGCCAAGAGACCTCGAGGTGGGGCTGCGGGGCAGATGGACCGGTGGGGTGAGGAAGTTTGGGCCACCCGAGTGGCCAAGAACACCTCCACTCCTTAATTCCGCTAATCATTTAGCTCAGCAGGGAGGATGAGGTTGGAGGCTGATGCACCCGGGTAGTGGGTTGGTTAAATAAGAGGCTGTAATTCTAAAAGGGGGAGAGGGAGATGAGCTGGAGGTAAAGCTGCGTCTTCCTTTCCACATTTGGGGCTCTGGCTGCCTCAAATTGAGCCTGGAATGTTTATACGCCCCCAGAACTGCCTCGCAGTCCCTGGTCTCCATCAACCACCTGAGAAACTTCGCTCTCAACAATAGATGATTATAATGTACTTGACTAATGCCTGTATTTTCCTGTTTAACATACATTAATCTGAGTAACAAAAAAAATCAATATTGCTAACAACATTGCAAACAAATCCTGGTCTCTCTCACACAAAAACCTCCTCCGATTTTCAGTCACTCCTACCTCCTTGAATTTTGTTATTCACCTTTAGTCTACTGGCAGTCCTTGGCTAGTCTAGAATCCAATCCTGGCTGGCTGTCAACAGCCCTTATCTAAAACTCCTGATTTTTTTTCTTTCTCTTTGTCTTTCTTTCTTCCTTTCTTCGTTTCTTTCCTTTTCTTTCTTTTCTTTTTTCTTTTCTTTTCCTTCCTTCCTTTCTTTCTCTCTCTCTTTCTTTCATTTTTTTTTCAGCCGTGAGTGGAATCTGGGACCCTTCAAATGCCATCCTCCTTTCAATTGGGCCATTTGAAGACCTCGAGTTTACCTCAAACTTCATCCCTTCCAGCACCAGCAAATGCCCAAAGTCACTGGCCAATGACTTATGCTTTTGTTGTTTTCCTTCCCTAACAATCTCCCTTGTGTGACAGCCACCAGCACCTCCCTAGGGCAAGAGACCCCACGCTCTGCTCTCACGTAGCTGCCACCTGCAGCTAATCTCAGCTGGCAGTTGTTGAGTTTATGATTCTTATTTTGATTATTTTTAAAAATTGGTGTTTTCCACCTGGAAGGAACAAACCGGAAGGACTGGCTAATGAAGGAACTTAGGTTTGCAAAACACCGTGAATAATTTAGTATTGTATTTCAAGGAAAAAAATAGCTTTCTTAAATCATCCCCGCAATATAAATTGCAGACTTACAGTATGGTCCTGGTAAGTCTAAATTTTTAAAGGAGCAATATTCAAAGAGACATAGATGTCTGTATTAATTATTTATTCGCTGGTGCCTTCCTTCGTTTCTAACTTATTATTAATTAGGCGCCTCTAGTCTTTCGCAGAGCGCTCCACTGAGCCGGTTGCAGCTTTAAATATGAATTAAAAGCAAATCCAAGCTACTGTAATGCGAAAATTATTCCGTGTCTTGCATGGCAGAGATGAATAGCTGCGTGGATCAATACCGTGAAACTCGGCTCCCAACGACAGGGTTATTGATAGCTTATATTAATGATGTTAATGATGGAAAAAGGAAAACAACGGCCCACCCGACTTAGAAACTTCTTAGCCGCTGAAACCCCGCAATAAAAACGGGAAGGGGGCAGGAATCGGGCTTAAGTGTAATAAGAAAATTATTTATGAAACCGGATAAATGACTTCAGAGCCTTGATGCATTTGAACCTAACGCTCTCGGCTCCTGGCAGCCCCGGCTCCAGCTGGGGAGACCGCGAAAACCCCAAGCCACGGAGAGCTGGGGGGCGGGGGGCGCTCTGCTTGCCTAGGCAGCCTCCGGCTTGCCGCCCCTCTTCCTCCGTCCCCGCCGGAAGAGCCCTCTAGGGCGCTGCTCGCAGAAGCTTTGGAAAGTTGGTGGAATGGGGCAGGGACAGAGTTGGTCCCTGCTGTCCAGGCGGGGACAGAAAGCCGGGTTAGTGGTGCCCAGCGGTCTGGGATTTGGGTTCACTTTCTTCACTGGTTCTCTTGGCACCCGCTCAAATTCTGCGGTCTTGTCGGGGGCCCAGGTCGGGCTCTGCACTGTGGCCTCCTGCCCATCTGGCCAAGGCTTTCGGGATCCCCAAAATGCAAACGGGTGGCTGGTGCCTGAGCAGGAGAGGGAAGGCTTTATATGAAGAGAAATCGTTCTAAACACGGTAGGAAAACTGGAAAAGGCGCTCACCCTCCTCCCCCGTCCCCCGTGCCTCCGTGGGTTCTTTACCAGGCCCGGGGTTTAATTGGGCCTTGGCATAAGGCTCCCAGCAAGCGCGGGACATTCTAGGCTAGCTGTTCCCGGGCTAGAGGAGAGTGAGCGCTCAGGTCTGGGCCCAATTCTCCTGTAATTCGGCACAGGCGCCGCCCCCACTTACCCACTGGCCCCAAATATCGACCCACTCTCGGTTTTCCCCTAGTCAAGGGCCACTGAGAGGGAGGAGGAGAAACAGAGGGGGTGGGGGAGCGAAAGGTTAAATCCTGACCCTGGAGGACCGCGGGAAAGTTCAGAGCCCGAGGGTCAATCTCAGGCCCGAGTTCCCATCCCCCACTGCTGGGGGTAGAGCCGCCAGGTCCCCTCCCCCTAGCTAGGGTCCTGGGCCCTTGGAGGCGAAGCTGAGTGAGGGAGAGGGGCGACCCCTGGCCGCAGTGGGATGGGGCGATGCAATGCTAGGGTAGCCGGTGGTGTCCCGGCCTGGCGGTGTGGTCGGGGGTGCCCTGAGTCCAGTCTTTCTGATTGGTGCGGAAAGTTGAGGAGCTTTTAATTTACACAGGGGCTGTCATTTGCTCAGTGCCTCAGAAGGGAGGAGAGGCCGTCTGGTACTGCAGGCAAAGGCCCAGGTGGTCCACCAGGGCAATTACAATTTCCTAGAAAAGACCGGGTAATTTTGTGTTTTTTATTAGGTCTTTTAAGAGCTGTTTTTCTTCCTTCTCTCCCTCCCGTCTTCCTTTCTCTCTCTCCCTTTTACTCCCTCCCTTCCTTTCTCTCTCATTGGTTCCCTCCCTCCATTCTTTTCTTCCTTCTCTATCACTCCTTTCTTATTTTCTTCTCCCTTCCCCCCTCCCTCCTTTTTTCTTTCTTTTTCTCCACCCCTGTCTTATTCTTTCCTTCTCCCTAGCTTTCTTCTCTCATCCCCTCCCTCCTTCTCTACAGGGGAGCCTGGTGCAGGTCTCTGCACCTCCAGACTTTTATATGAAGGGTGCCAGTCCATTTGGCATGACAAACTAATCCTGTTTCTGAAAAAAAGGAGAAAGAAAGGAGAGTGCCAGGTGAGCCTCAGGATGCAGAGGCGGCACCTAAGCTTCTGGGGCCCTTTCGCTGTAACTGGCCTTTCCTGATGTTTCTCAGTTAGGCTTCAGTCCATAACCTGTGCAGGGTCGTGCCCCTTTCCTGAGCGTGGTACATTTCTGACATCCGTGGAGGTTGCATTCCTCTTGCTAAGTAATATTCCCACGGTGCCATCTGGGCCCCTGACATCAGCAAGATTTGGGGGTTGTTTTTATTTTTATTTATTTGATTTTATTTGGAGAAAAACTTGAGCCTGTCAATCTCAAATGCTGTAACCCCTAAAAGCACCGTCAGAGCCTTAAATCTAGTCTAGGGCACCGGGGCGGCCCATTCAAATCACTGTCTCAGACAAAACCCAAACTTCCTTCCACCCAGGAAAAATCCCTTGTCAGCTATCTGGCTTCAAAGTCCACAACGTGTTTCAGATAAGCACCAGCCTGCATAGACGCAGCCCCGTTGCCACACAGTCTAAAAGAAAACAGCCCTTCTTCAGAAAGGAAACACAACAGCCACTACAAAAAATCACTGGATTCTGGAAAAAAAATCAATATCAAAATTAGATTTATTGTCTGCTTATGTGATTAAAAATGACAAAGTGTTGCCTCTTATTTTCATAAAAAGAGAGAAGGCTGAACAAAATAATTTACTATCGAGTTGTGCTCGTTTCATTTGCCTGGCAAAACCTGGAGGAGGCCTGTAGGGCGTTTGTGGAGTGCAGTGGCAGAACCAGAAGCCCACTGCGCAGGAGTGAGCTCGCTGTCAGAGGATGTGTGTGCTACAGTGTCTGAGAACAATTTCCTAGTCCCCAATATGTGGCCACGCTGGTTCAGCTGAGCAGGTCTCAGTTCTGCCTCGTTCCAGAGAAATACAGGGTGATCTGTCCCTTGCTCACAATTTTTTGATTCAAACCCAGACTCCAGGTCCTGTTCTTCCAAATAACTTTCAAGATGACACTGCTGTATTGGTTTCCGTCACAGTCTTCCTGGTTCGCTTAGCCACCGCCTCCCAGATCCGCATCCAGCCTTCGATCCTGCGAAGAGCTACGCAGTCCGTGTGTGTGTGTGTGTGTGTGTGTGTGTGTGTGTGTGTGTGTGTGTGTGTGTCCGACTGCTTGGCCCAGGCCGGGCTCTCTTTCCTGGGAGGCTCTCAGGGTTTCAGTCTAGGCTGGAATCACTCAAACTGGGTTTCCGAAACCTCTGTGGGCTGGATTCCTCAAGTGTGGCAGGCGGAGAGCGCATTCTAGGAAAACGACTTCATTGGGAACGTGCTGATTACACGGACGATGGGGTTATTTATCTACGTTAAAAACAAAAAAGGAAAAACTAAAAAAATCCGGTGTGTATCTCATCTTACACTCCCCTTCCGTTCCCCAAGCCGAATCAGACTACCCGTGTCTTTCCGCTGCTGCTGCTGCTGCTGCTCTTGGGTTAGGGTCCATGTGCGCAGCCAGGGTTCCTATTCATCCGCTGCCTTCCTCCGGAACAAAGTGGCTCCCCATCGTGCCAGGGGTCTTGGAGCGAGGCCCGCGAGAGTGCAAATAGCTTCACTCACACTTAACAGCACCATTGGAAAAATAACTACCAAGCCGGGTCCCTGAGAGTCCCTAAACGTGCCTTCCGATTTGGAACTGGCGTTGTTTGGCGGGTTGCACACGCCAGGGACTAATTTGTACAGGCGTTAATTGGTCCTCCGTTTGTTCTGAAGCCAAACCCAGAGGGTTCATCTCCTGGTATTGATGCAAATGAAACCCAACCAAACAATCTCCTCCATAGAATCCCCAGGGGGCATGGCTCCTGCAAGGTCGTCCTGGCCTCCCCTTGGGGTCCAGGGCTTAAGGAGAAGCGGATATGGTCCCTTGTTACTTGTAAAGGTGACAGGCCCCGCTGGACGCCAACGCTGGACTAGCAGTGGCCCAAGACCCGCCAGCTCAGCAGCCGCCTGCTGTTAGGCTCGACTTTTGTCTCTCTTCGCCCCCCGTCGTGCGGGGCCAGAACACCCTTGAGTCAGGGCGTCTTTTCCCCAGATGCTGGAAGGGAAGTGGCAAGGGAGCCTGGATCCCAACAGACAGGCCTGACCTGCCCGCCTCTGGGATGGTGAAGGCAGCCAGAGGGTCGGGCGTCGGGTGGCCCCTGCTGTGGGGCAGCTCCAGCTCCTTTCTGCGTCAAGGTAGATTACTCCACTAGCTTCCTGGGGAACAAACCCAGCCTTTCCTATTGCCCTGCGGGCCCCTGTCTAGCCTCGTCTCCCAACCCGCCTCCCTCTGCAGACTCTAGCACCCCGGAGCTGCCGGGCCAAGGGTCAAAGGTCAGGCCTTCTCTAGGCCCAGACTTCCTTTCCGCTTGGGCTGGTGTGAGTGCACGAGTCGCCCAGGCCTATCATTCCCGCTGGACGCCCATTTCCAGAGTGAACAGGCGCATACCCCAGAGCTTAACCTTCGCTTCCCAACTTAGCCGCTCTGCTCTTTGATTATGTGGGGTCTTGATGGGGGTGGAGCAGTTTAATTTAGGAAATTATATCCAGACCATAAAGTGACCTATCTGGACATTTTAGGAGGTTTTTTGTTTGTTTTTGTTTTTGAGATTTTAATGATTTCTCTAAGCTTAAGCAAGTCAAGGTGGCTTTGACCACAGGACTGAGGAGGAGTCTCCCATTGCATCATTTCATTGCCCCAACCTGGCCACAGCTGGAAAGAAGTTGCCAGAAGGGATACAGGAAAAGCAAACGAATGCCCAGCCCTTCAAATAGACAGTTCTGTTCCAAAGGGGCCGACCTATTGCCTGAGTGGGGGCAAGGCTGGGAGAGTAAAAAGCAGATTTCTATGCATGCTCATGTGGCCCAATGTAATGAACACATCTCTATCAATTTCTGGAGGCAGAAGGCTCAATTTATTTTGGTTTTAGTGGTGGAAAGTCCTCAGCCTTAGCTCTGACTGATGACAGAGCAGCCGAGTAGTTAGAATTCTCTCTCCAACGAAAGCGATGGTCAATAGAATTCTCAGTATCAAATGAGCAATAATTTGCTGTGGCTACATGCTGGATAATGAAAGATGTTAGCAGGATCAATAAAAAATGAAAACACTTTTACTTACATCTTGAGTTACTGTTTTAAGAGAGCGAGAGATGTAACAAACCCAAAGCCAGGTTCAGAGCCACCCAACACACCCCTCAAAACCCCAAGGCACACAGTTTTGTCACCACCTGACTGGCCCTTCCAGAATGCCAGGCCTCCACCTTTTCCCTCAGGAGAGTAGATTATTTACATTAAATTAACCCTGTAGAGACCAGTAATAATTTAACTGCCAGGGTTTAAAATTTTTCTTTTGTTTCCTAAAGCCAGGAATACATTTTAAATTGTTTTCCACCAGGATTAAAGGTCACGTAATAGGTTGCAGTTTACCAAAAAAGTGTGCAAGTGTCCCAGAGCTGATCTGTCTGTTGAAATGCCTCAAAATGTGCATCTGACCCAGATGCCTAGGAGGGCAAAAGAATAGATTTAATTCCTTTGGATTTGTTCTGTGTTGCCATTTAATCTGTAAAGTTCAGACCCTAAACTCGATTTTTTCCAGACAAGTTAATTCCCCCATCTTCTTTCATAATCATTTCATCTGTTTAATTTGTTTTCCATTTGGATTGGGTTTATTTGTACTTTCCAGTCTGCTTTTCTCACCACTCAATCCCAAACGTTTTCTTACATATCTGGTTGTTAAGGAACATACTGTGAAACAATCAGAGACACATTCTACATTTTTAAAAGATACCAAGACGTAAAAGACGAGAAAAACATCCCGGGTGCTCTGCATAAACCACACGCAACGAAAAAGCTCACCGCCAGACAGCTTCCAGCACTCGAACCAATACAAGTAAAGCACATTTGCAAATGTGTTTGACTGTTTTTGTAGGTTTAAGAAGACTACGTTTTTCTGACCACTTCAAAAAAACAAACACGAATTCAGCCGCTGCTTTAATAACCTCTGACCAGAGGAGCTGATTTTGCCACCGAGTTATCGGTCAGTGCTGCGAGGTCAGTGGCCTGTGATCATGTTTATAGCAGGTTTGGCTTGGATTTGGTGACACAGCCAGCAAACCTGGGAGATTATGAAACCGTGAACCAGCCCAGGGAAGTGTAGTCAAGTTTCAGTTTGGGCATTTCTCCGGGTGAGGGAATCCGGTGGGCTCCATTTCTACAAGGCTCACAAACGCAGGTGCAGTTCGGCCGCCGCACGCTGCCTGGCGGGAGAAACGCGCACAAACCGCAGACGCGTGCTCCTGTAGTTGCCACTAGCTCGGGGCACGCCCGTGTTATTTACACCCTGCTCGGGGGCCCCCCTCTCATTTGTTACTTTAAACTCATGGGGAGGAACTGTTAGCTGCCGTGGCGGGACTGGCAGGCTGGGAGGGGGGCGCCCCCGCTCGGCTCCCGGGCCGTGACGCGGCCGCTGCCCTCCGCCCCTGGCTTCCACCCTGTTTGCATGGCCACAAGCTCAGCGGTGGACCAGCGTGGCCAGGCCCCCGGAGCCCTTGCCCCGGCCTACCGCCCCTACTTCTTCCCCCTCACCACCCCCCCCAAACGCTTGTGAGACTGGCTTACCCTGGTGGGCGAGTCGCAGCGCATTAGCGGATTTCATGGCAAGTTGCTTCTGTGACATGAGATCAGGTTCGCGTTCGAGGATTTGCCCCCTAGGAGGGAAGGAAAGGAGAGTCAATCTGCATAATTTCAAATGAGAAATAAATAGGGAAACAGGGAACTGAATTTCAAGCCCCCTAATTCCTCCCTCCCCCCGAACCTGTGAGCCACCCCGCACCCCCCACAACACGCCCCGTGCACAGGTAAAAAAAAAAAAAAAAAGTAATCAGCACACGTCGCAGGTGATACCTTTTATTGTGCTCATTTTAAAGACAGGAACAGGATGGCCTCCTGCCCGAAGACTTTCTCTGCAGCCAGGCCCGGGGCAGGAGGGTCAGCTGGGCAGCATCCGGGCCCGCGGATTCCTGCAAGGTCGCGAGGTGAGAGGTGCGGGGAGGATAGACCTCGGGCTCGGCGCACAGGGTCTGGGCCAGACGCACAAGCCCAAATTCCCTCCAGCTTCTTCGGCTCCATCTTTAAGTCCAGGCAAAGATCAATTCCCTCTCTCTCTTGAACACACACATTTGCAGCCATAAATAAACAGCTCCCAGCTAAATCAGGAACCGGAGAGGAGAAAGGGAAAAAGAAAGGAGAAAAGAGAAGGATTGAGAACCCAAGCGCGAGTCTCGCCTCTTCCGGGCGCCGACTGGCTCTTTTTGGTCAGGCCAGCCTCGCATTTGGGGATGCAACTTGCATTTGAATAGCTGCCTGGGCTTGTTATGGACCCGGGAAAGCTCTGAAAGGGAATCACTATGCAAATTGTCCCAGTTACAATCGAAAGGTTCGATCTCCAGGAGCTGCCTGACGGAAGTTGATGTCAGCTATCTATGCATTAGGGTTGCATTACCGCCTTCGTCGGCCTCCTCGCCACCCCCGCTCGCGCCTGCAGGGGAGGCTTTTTTTTTTTTTGCTTATGTTTATATTTTCCCTCAGTAATTAAAAAAAAATAAAAAAAGAAAATAAAAGGCTGAAGGTGGTGGCATAGCTGGCTAGGGCCTGGGAGGCCCACGGGCTGAGAGGGGAGGAGGTGCGGAAGGGCGGGGTTGGGTGGCGGGGGGGGTCGTTCTTTTGCAGCAGGTGTTGATGGTGCGTTTGAAATCAAACATTTAGATTTTTTTTTCGCTTTGCCGGACGAGGCGGCGGCGGCGGCGGCGGGGGGTTGGGGCGGCGATGTCTGCCTCCTCCCGCCCGCTTGATCCTACAATGCCGGCTGCGGATCAATACCCGCTCACTGTAATCCCAGTAATTGTAGGGCTCGCAGCTTTTATTTTAAAGAAATAGGACACTAGGGCGCCGGCAGGCGGCTGAGGCAGAACGGTTGGGCTGCGGTGCCTCCGGGGGCCTTTTGGGGCGCCTTTTACCCCAGAGCTCAGAAAGCTCCGGGCAGCGGGGTGGTGGCGGGATGGCCAGTAGCCAGGGCCCACCTGGCGGCCCGCCGGGATGTGGAGGCCCACTGGGTTCCGGCCCGGCATGGCGCTGGCGAGAAGGCGCCGCTGGGCGCGTAGGGTAGGCAGCACGCGGGATTTAGCCTTTTCCCGACCTGCGCGCGGGCCCTGGCGGGAAGGCCAGGTCCGGGATGGGCGTCTTGGGCTTGGGCGCCGACTGTGGGCGGTCTTGGCCCCAGACCCCGACGCGTGGGGACCCAGGATGCTGGAACTCAGGCCTTCGGCCTAGAAAGACAGAGGTTTTGTCTCCTTTCTGCCGCCTTCCAGGGCCGGAGGCCGGGCCAGGCTCCCGGGTGGCCTAGCTCGGGCCTAGTCTGCGTCTGGCCCTCGGTCTGGGAATTGGCAGGGACGCTAGGACCTGGTGATCTAACGCCCGCGCGGCCTCTTACGCCGGGGTTTCCTCCAGGTGCTCGTTGCCACGCGTTCGCCCGACGCCCGCAGATCCCGTCGCGCCCGCAGGCTAGGCCAGCTCCGCAAGCCGCCTGCTACCTCTGCCGCCCGCCCCTTGCTGGCAGAGTCCGGGCAGGACTGCCGGGGCCTGGGGCCGCAGTCCCCGCGCCGCTGGCCGCCCGCAGCTTCTGGCGCCCCCGAAAATGACCATCTGTCATTCAATTAAGGTTTCAGGGCAGCTGATGGGGGAGCCAGGGTCAGCGACCCCAGGACAAAACGGCCTGCTGCCTCGGATAGGAGAAGTTCAAATGTTAAATGCAGAATATTGTGCCCTCTCCCAGTCCGGGGCCCCACCCGGCCGCAGGTCCGGCCAGTGGACAGCAGTAGGGTGAAGGGCAACGGTCATTAGCACTTAGATTTCAGCTCTGGGCCCAGCTCCTTCTGTTGGGCTATTTTGACCAGAGAACCTTTAACCCTTTCACGCCAGCCCTCCCTCTAGAGAAGGCCAGATTGTCCAAAGGGGGAAAGTAAGAGAGGGAACTTAGATGCACCCATATGAAGAAGGTTCAAAATGTTTTTTGTGCTCACTTCTTCATAGGAATAGCAGACAAAATACCCGCAAATTAGAAAAATGTTAATTATAGCCAAAACAAACGAAAAGTCCTCAGAAAGTTTTAATATTTTTAGTTTTGGGGAAAGGAGTGCATTTATTAAATATGACTGTGAAACTGCTGGGCCAGTGTGGAGAGAGTCTGTAAAATATTCCAGACTTTTCGCCCATAACTGTGTTTACCCAAATGTGTGTGAGTGGTGATGAGACTCTGCTAGCTATAGACAACTCCATTTATGTGCTGGTGATGAAGTCTCCATTGCAGCCAGTCTCATTTACAGTTGAAAATAAGTTAGACAGTTGGCTTTTCCCTTTTGAGACGTTCCTATAATAAAATGAGGTAAAAGTAATTGTAACTAATGGAATTCATAAAGTACATTCATTAAGCATGTACATAATGCCCACAGGCTGTGGGTATTTAGGTATTAATATGCTTGGCTTTTCCACCCCAATCTGAGGAGAAGCAGCCGCACACTTAGCAGTTTTCAGTGGAAGATCCAACTAGTCCTCTTAATTATTAACCAGGAAGCCTAAAAACAGCTATATTAGCAAGATATCATTTTAAGGCTTGGAAATCTAAGTCCTTCAGCAGGCTAGTTAGCAATAGAGGAAGAACTCAGAGCTTCTAGCTTCCAGCGCCTGGTTCTAAACATTAAATCTAGTCCTTACTTTTTGGAAGTAACTATCAAGCAATCAATTAATCAATCAGGCATTCAGCATTGAAGCACCTTAGAAAATTTTTCATTGGATAACAATGAATAATGCATGGCCCTCCAGTATATTGACTGTGGTAAATGGTCTTTAAGGTAAGGTGCTGCAACAAGTACCTTTAAATAAAATCAAATAAAAAGTTTACCACAATCATAATAAATTGTTCAGTCATCTTCTTATTGACCCACATAGTGTCTTTCTTCAGGGGCATTTGGAGTTATTTTTTCCCCCTTACAAACAGACCAGAACAAATTGATGAATTGAGCTTTCGCTATGCTAATTTAGACATTATAAATATTTAATTAACATCCCTAATAGCCAGTCATAGAGCCCCCCCTCCACACTGCTTTACACTCTTCTTAATCTAAAGTAAATGCTTTTCCCATTAATAGCCTGATGCCATATTAGCGCTTCCTCGGTAAAAGGGCCCCATTTAGTCCAAAAGGAGGGAGCATTGAGTAGTCTGCATTAGGTAGGGGTTTATGCCTGTTTGTAAAGGATCCTGGGAGCCGTTACACATCTCTACAAATTCTACCTTTCTTGGTTCTTGCTTAAGTGAAACCATTCTAAGAAGTGGGGGAGCCTCTCAATTTCATTTTTTGAGATACTTTTGAGGTTGTAGTAGAATAAAACTATTTATTTTAGTAAGCCCTAGAAGTGGGTCATAGATAATGGATAACAAATTTCTAACCAGGGACTGTGCTAGTCTTTTCAGCAAAAGTTATGCAGTGAAAATAATTTTGAACCAGGAGTCAAAGGACCTAAGTTCAAATCCTATGGCACCCACTAGCAGTGGGACTCTTGGGCAAGGGATTTAACCCCTCAGAACTTCAGTTTTCTCTTTTAAAATGGAGATAATGTCTATGCCACAGAGTTAAAGATTGAATGGGAGAATGTATGTGAAATTGCTTGGCATATAGTAGAAATAAATATTAGGTTAATTCCTAAATGACTGCCCCAAATTCATGAGTCCTTCTCTCCCCTTATATTTATTCTTGTCATCCTTAAAATACCCTATTATCATAATCTAACATTGCAATAGCACTTTATATTTGCAAGCATTGTTTGTCTTATTAATCCTTTGATTTAGTTTCTATAATGTAAAATAGGGAGAAACTAGAAGACCTAAACTCTGATCAAGAGACAGTTTAAAAACAGATACTGGAACTTAGATGCTCAAAAGCTCTGAGTCATAAACTCTGATGACTGAAATGTCCTTCCACAACAGTCCTTGTGTGGTTTAGAAAGATTCCAGAAGCTGCATTATATTTCCCTGGGGGTAGGAATCAGGTCAGAACGGAGAGTTCAAGAAATTAGAAGCTCTCCAGGCTGATCTAACTCTGGAACTAGAATCTGCAGATGCTGAACATTAAATAGCTGAAAAAAGGAAAAGAAGCTTCAGACAATTTAAATGTAAAACATTGGAATGATAAGCCAGTTTATTCTGAGAATATTTCTCTATCTGAGAAAAATGGACTTAACTTGTGGGATATTGCTGGTTATAGAGAGAGTAGAAACTCTGAGTTATTCTTTTTGTTTGCCAGTACAAAATAAATACCACTTAATGTAATATACACATTAATACTGACAAGAGAGATATTTATCTAGATAAATAATCCTAGTAAAATCACATATTTTGATTTTTGGTGGAAATCAAATTTTTCTTTTCCTTTTTGGTTAGCGGTGGAAAGGCCCAGATAGAAAAAATAATGGGAAAAGGGCAAGAAATTGGCTGGAACTATTTCCTAAGTAGCAGGGAGTGGCAGGAGGTGTGAGCTGACAGACAGCAGAGACTGTCCTTGGATAGCCACCCTCTCTTTCATGCTCTGCTCTTCTACTCTCCCTCTGTCATTTTCTCTTTCTAAGATGTGCTGATCTGTTGAATAGGAAGGGAAACATTTTTGCACCCTCCCCCAACATTTTGCTTGACATACCTATGGGGAAAGTTTTCGACAAGTGCTTCCCAGGGGTGTGTCCCACAGTGTCACTCCCTGAGAACACCATCAATTTGTTCTACAGGAATGATTGGTGTGGGCCCAGAGAACTCTCATTATCTACTTCTTGGGCTTTCCATGTGAAGACAAGGGGCCTCTTGGAGTTAGACTATGGAAAACTGCCCTGAAGCTCTTGGAAACAAGGTAGAAAGTGATTTGCAGAATGAAAAACTTTGTTTCTTAGCTATTCACTGCCCACTATGTGCTGGGCTCCTTGCTGGGTATACAGGGGTTCAGAGAAAGTAAGAAATAGGACCTTTTCTGTATCTGAGGGAAGTGACAGACATTTAGATGGCATTTCAGAGATCCGAGGAAAGCTGGGAGAGAGGGTGGGGAGCTGCCAGGGACAGGGAGTTTGTCACCAAAGGCTTTACCTAGGAGGATGAGATGGAGCTGGGCAGGTGAGAATGATTGTAGAGGAAGAACATAGAGAAAAACAGAATGAATAAAGTGCCCAGCCTGGCAGACATGAGGGTAATAGCTCCAAGAGAAAGTCAGCTGGGGCCTGGGAAGGGCCTATTGCCAAGTTGGGTTTTGATTTTCTCATTTACCCAACAGGGAACCAATAGAAGTTTTTAAGCAGGTAAATAAGGTAATAGGATTTATTGCTTAGGAAAAGAACTGGTTTAAGAGTGAGGAGAGTGGGGACAGGGAGGTCAGTAGAAACACAAGAGCAACACACACAAACAAAGCTGGTGTTCATGTTGTTGGTGTATAAAGCGTTAGTTCATTAAATAATTTTCCAGATATCCATTTTTTCTTAAGTACAAAAATCGAAGTATCAAATTTATTTGAGGAGAATAAGTGTGATGTTTTTCTATTTACTATTATTGTTGTTTAATTTTCCCTTCTATTACCATAAGCACCCCATCATTTTGCCTCTGAATTTTGTTGTTCTCTGTTGAAGTTGATTGGCTTGTTGTGAGTGGACAACCATTGTCTTAGAACTGAGGTTCTGCCTGTGTCTGAAGCTTGTTCTCAGTGGCTATGTGCACGGGTCACATTTGAACAAAACACACGGCAACTCAAAAAGCCTTGAAGAACAATGCGAATCCTCACTCTGTCTTCTTTTTTTTTCTATGTTTATTTTTAGAGATGAGGTTTCATTTTGTCCCAGGCAGGAGTGCAGTGGTGCGATCACAGCTCATTGCCACCTCGAATTCCTGGGCCCAGTGAATCCTGCCTCAGCCTTCCAAGTAGCTGGGACTACAGGCACACTCTATCATGCCTGGCTAATTTTTTTTTCCACAACATTTTGGTTGTGAGAACTCACCACCTGGCCCAGGCTGGTCTTTAACTGGGCTCAGGTGATCCTCTCGCCTCGGCCTCCTAAAGTGCTGGGATTACAGGTGTGAGCCACTGCACCTGGCCCACTTTGTCTTCTTGAAAGTGTTTTAAAACCTGCACTGCCCTTTCTTATATGACACTCTACACAATAAACTTCCCAAAGTTCATATTTAGATGTCTGTTCTTTCTTGCAAGTTTCCCTGTGTTGCTAAACAAGCTCTTCTCACCTCTCTGAGAGTCCTTTTCAGCTATCCTGCTCTTCCGTTGGCTTTCTTCTTCTTTGCTCCCTTGCTGTTCACATACCATCAGGTGTAGAAGCCCATTTCCCCAGGGCAGTCCTGTGGGAGTGTCTCCTTCACCAGCTGGATTTCTTAAGCATCCCTGCTAGAATTTTGGGGGGAAAAGCCTCTTTCTTCTTATACTGGGGGAATATAATACTCGCACCCACAAAAGAGCAGAGAACATTGAACTGCTAAGAGGTTTGATAGACTGTGTGTGGTGAGAATTCAGAGAGGAGAAGATCAACTGGACTAGAGTAATCAGAGAAGGCTTGAGCCAAGATTGGTAGGATTTGGGGAAGTGGGAGGGAGGCCACAGAACATTTTGGTTGTGAGAACTAGCCCACAAAATGAGCAAAGGTACAGGCCTAGGAACTGAAGATTTTCTTTGTGCCTTACACTAGAAAATGAAGTACAGAGTCAAGCAAAACTATAGAGCAGAGTTGGGAGACTCTCAGAAGATCATCTGGTCTGTCTGTCCTTGAAACAGAGAGCTCAAATAGGCAATGATTAATCATTATTTTCAATACCTGTGGATAGCTTATTTATCCCATCCTTAGGGGAATCTGTAATTTCTAAGTAATGAGCAAATGAACTGCCAAGTCAATATCCATATTCCTGTTCTTCCATATTAACAAAACTCCTGTATTGCTGGATGTAGCCATGTGCCCAGATATGCAACTGTTATCTCCTAGTCTCTCTTGCAGAAAGATGTTGTGGTCCATGAGAGGTAAGCAGGTGTCTTGTGAGAATTCCAGAAAAGCACTTTAAAGGAGTATGAAACAGCTGGAATGTATGACTTGGTCCTTGCCCCTTTCTTCATCCTGATATCTGGATCACGGGCTTGATGATTGGAGCTGCAGTGACCATCTTGAAAGTAAGAGATGATTTTCAGGATAAAAGCTATGTGCTAAAGATGGCACAGCAGAAACACAGAAAGAGCTTCATTCCTGATGACCATGGAGCCATCATTTCAGCCCTTGGTGTGTATCTCTTGATTTTTTTCATGAGAGAGATATAAGCCTCTATTTATCTAGGTCTTTTTCCAATGTGTTACTGGAAGTTGAATATATTTCTAAGTGATATAACCCCTACAAACTTTGAAAGTAGATTCTAAATTCTGGCAATCCTGGCAGGAGTGTGTCTATATTATTAATAATTCAATCAAAAGAATATAATATCTCCTCTTTGCTTCATTAGGTATTTTAATATAGTTTTGTGCTTTGAAAAAAAACTTAGGTCAGGCGGGGTGGTTCACGCCTTTAATCTCAACACTTTGGGAGGCCGAGGCAGGTGGATCACCTGAGGTGAGGAGTTCAAGACTAGCCTGGCCATCATGGTGAAACCCCGTCTCTACTAAAAATATAAAAATTAGCCTGGTGTGGTAGCATGTACCTGTAATCCCAGCTACTCAGGAGGTAGGAGAATCGCTTCAACCCGGGAGGCAGAGGTTGCAGTGAGCCGAGATCACGCCACTGCACTCTAGCCTGGGAGACAGAGTGGGACTCCATCTAAAAAAAAAAAAAATAGATTGTAGGGCTAGGGTCTCACTCTGTCACCCAGGCTGGACTGCAATAGCATGATCATAGCTTACTGCAGCCTCAAAGTCATGGGCTCAAGCCCTCCTCCCACCGCAGCCTCCCACATAGCTGAGACTACAGGTATACACCACTGTGCCCAGCTAATTTTTAATTTTTTTTCTGTAGAGACAAAGTCTTCCTATGTTGCCCAGCTGGTTTTGAACTCCTAGCTTCAAGTGATTCTCCCACCTTGGCCTCATAAAGTGCTGGGCTTATAGGCATGAGCCACTGTGCTTGGCCTGTGCTGCGGTTTGAATATGTTCCCTAAATTTCATGTGTTGGAAACTTAATTCCCAATGCAATAGTGTTGTGGTGCAGGTCTAATGGAAGGTGTTAGATAACGAGGGCTCTGCCCTCATAAATGGATTTATGTTGTTATCATGAGAATAAGTTTGTTATAAAATCAAGTTTGTCCCCCCCACCCGTCGCTCCTGCTCTTGCCCTCTCTTGCCCTTCTGCCTTTTGCCAGGAGATGGTGCGGTAAGAAGGCTTTTACCAGATGCCAGTGCCATGCTCTTGGAATTCCCAGTCTCCAGAAGTATGAGCAAAATAAATTTCTGTTATTTAAAAATTACCCAGTCTCAGTTTTCCGATATAGCCGTACAAAAGGGCTAAGACATCACGCCTGAGCATTTACATTTTCAAGTGTATATTCTTAAAATATAAATTGCTTTTTACTTCTTCCTTACATCTGTTAGAGCCTTATAAAACATGTGCATCAGTGGGTTATACTATCAGTGAATTTTACTTTAGGATAGCAAAGGAGACATAAGAAAATTTCTCTTAATAAAGAGGGTATTGGGTGTAATTGGGCTGAGCAGTGCTCTTTAGACCTATGCTACACAAAATGTCTGCTTACCCAGACTGACCCAGGCTGCTCACTAAGGCAGGTCTGCATCCAGGTGGGGGTCAAAGTGATGAAGACTGAAAAGAATGCAACAGTGCTTAGTGGAGAGGGTGCTCTAAATGATCTAGTCCACAAGGCATGCAATTAAGGTTTTCTCTCGCTTTTTTTTTTTTTTTTTTTTTTGGAGACGAAGTCTCACTCTGTCGCCCAGGCTGGAGTGCAGTGGCACGATCTCGGCTCACTGCAAACTCCTCCTCCCCGGTTCAAGTGATTCTCCTGCCTCAGCCTCCTGAGTAGCTGGGATTAGGCGCGCACCACCACGACTGGCTAATTTTTTTTTGTACTTTTGGTAGAGACGGGGTTTCACCATGTTGTCCAGCCTGGTCTCGAACTCCTGACCTTGTGATCTGCCCACCTTGGCCTCCTGAAGTGCTGGGATTACAGGCATGAGCACTGCACCCGGCAAGGTTTTCTCTTGTCCTTGAATTTAATTTATTTATTGCTATGTTCCTTTGAAACTTATAGCATTATTTTGTTCTGTTGTGATATACCCTCTTCTATTTCAGATTTATTGATATAAAATAGTGAAATCCCCAAATCTGTAGAAAGCTGTAGGAAGCTGTGTTCACATGCCTTTTTCTGTTATTGTTGTTCTTATTTCAGTACCAGGGAATTTGGCCTCAAACCATTGACTTTTATTGTCATTACCAAGTGTAGTGACTAGTCGTACATTACAGTGGGCAGTGTCTTATGGCTCATTTGATTAAAAACAAAGTCATCCTCCTAAAAACAATATTGAATACATAAAAATACTGAATATATCCCTTGAAATACACATTCTTTCTCCTTTGTGTTTTAGGAATTCAAAACTCATTGTCACTGCAATTGCAGTGCCTGGAAACAGAATAAAAGCAGAGTAAATAGTATAAGGAGATAGAGAGAAAGACAGTCACATTGAAATAGGAATAGAAATAGAACTAATACTGTAAATCAAAAACAAATTGAACATCTGATGCTTCTTAAACTTGTGTTATAAAATCCATCATTTTAAACAGGATCCAAAGTAAAATTCCAGCAACTTTTGTGGATTGTAGTGAATCTTATAAGTCTTAGATTTTTCTTAGGAAAACTATCGTGAGGAGATGGCTCAGCAGGTGGAGCTCCGGATTTTTACCCCCATTCAAACCAGGGTACTTCTATTTTATAAAATATTTTGGGTATGAATTTCTTTGGGTATATACTTTTTCTCCAAAGCAATAGGAAATCAGTTTAGAACTATTTTGGTTGAACTGAAGTGGGCGTAAGTAATCAGTATTTTCTGCATGTCTGGGTAATTTCGTTCTCCCAATTTTTAGGAATATCTGTGGTTGCTAGCAAGAGAGAAAGTACAGTGAAAATTCTCTTTTACAAAGTAATTTTAGCATCCATACAAAAATAAATCTTGACTCATATTGGTAAAAATATTCCACTCGATTTTCTGAATTTTTATTTTTGTTTTGAATTGTTAAAGATTCTTAATTAGATATTTGACATTAGGAAAAACTAGTGATAGTTTCTTATTGACCCAGGTGGTTTATGTATTTCAAGACCTTCTTTGCCAGAATGACAATGCAAATAAAATTTTTCTCAGTAGAGATAATCCTGAATGGGGAATAATATCACAATTTTCAGGGATATTAGAGGATGACACAGACATTTAAAACATGGTTTAAAAATGAATTCAAGAGATGTAACATTATAGGTTCTTAAGAGTTTTTACAAAATAGGACATATATTTGCTGCTGACTTAATATAACTCTGTAGGATGAATTGTAGCCTGAAATTCCATTAATGCTTAATTCACACTTAAGTTGAGGTAGACATGGCCATTTTATGCATTATGACCTCTCTGCATGTTTCAGTTTTCCAATTGTCAGAAAAGAATGATGTTATCTGCCAGTTTCAAATTTTATCTATGAGGCAAAAATAAAGGAATATAAATGTTAGATTTAAATAAAAGGACAGAGATGGAAGGTATTAGGATAATCATTTCTTTTGGATGTAGGCAGTATGCCACCCTCCTTCTGCTGATTCCAGCAAAGCTGAAATATATTTGCTCAAAATCAATAAATGTGTCTGTTAATTTGATGCTTAAAGCATAGCAGTTGAGGGCTACAGTGGCACAAGACAGGAATGGAGATTTGGCAGAGGCTGGACCAGATGGCATCATGTGGGTCATGATAAAAACATTGGTGTTGTAGTCCAAATGCAATAGAAGCCCTTGAAGACTTTTTTTAAAACTCTTGGTTTATTCATTGAATTATATTTTTCATTGTGAATATGTAACATTAAAAAAATCTGAAATTACTGTATGTTACAATCATCAACGGTTTTAAGATTTTCTTTCTTTTTTTAATTATACTTCAAGTTCTGGGGTACATGTGCAGAATGTGCACGTTTATTACGTAGGTATACATGTGCCATGGTGGTTTGCTGCACCCATCAACCCGTCGTCTACATTAGGTATTTCTCCTAATGGTATCCCTCTCATAGTCCCCTAACCCCTGACAGGCCCTGCTGTATGATGTTCCCCTCTCTGTGTCCATGTGTTCTCATTGTTCACCTCCAACTTATAAGTGAGAACATGTGGTATTTGGTTTTCTGTTCCTGTGTTAGTTTGCTGAGAATGATGGTTTCCAGCTTCATCCATGTCCCTGCAAAGGACATGAATTCATCCTTTTTTATGGCTGCATAGTATTCCATGGTGTATATGTGCCACATTTTCTTTATCCAGTCTATCATTGATGGGCGTTTGGGTTGGTTCCAAGTCTTTGCTATTGTGAATAGTGCTGCAATAAACATACATGTACATGTGTCTTTATAGTAGAATGATTTATAATCCTTTGGGTAAGTATCCAGCAATGGGATTGCTGGATCAAATGGTATTTCTGGTTCTAGATCCTTGAGGAATCTCCACACTATCTTCCACAATGGTTGAACTAATTTACACTCCCACCAACAGTGTAAAAGCATTCCTCCCGGGACACGGTGGCTCATGCCTGTAATCCTGGCATTTTGGGAGGCTGAGGTGGGCTGAGGTTGGGAGTTCGAGACCAGCCTGACCAACATGGACAAACCCTGTCTCTATTAAAAATTCAAAATTAGCCAGCTGTGGTGGTGCATGCCTGTAATCCCAGCTACTCGGGAAGGCTGAGGCAGGAGAATCACTTGAACCCAGGAGGCAGAGGTTGCAGTGAGCCGAGATTGTGCCATTACACTCCAGCCTGAGCAACAAGAGCAAAACTCCATCTCCAAAAAAAAAAAGTGTTCCTATTTCTCCACGTCTTCTCCAGTATCTGTTGTTTCCTGACTTTTTAATTCTCACCATTCTAACTGGTGTGAGATGGTATCTCATTGTGGTTTTGATTTGCATTTCTGTAATGACCAGTGATGATGAGCTTTTTAAAATATGTTTCTTGGCCACACAAATGTCTTCTTTTGAGAACCCCACTTTTTGATGGGGTTATTTGTTTTTTTCTTGTAAATTTGTTTAAGTTCCTTGTAGATTCTGGATATTAGCCCTTTGTCAGATGGATAGATTGCAAAAATTTTCTCCCATTCTGTAGGTTGCCTGTTCACTCTGATGATAGTTTCTTTTGCTGTGCAGAAGCTCTTTAGTTTAATTAGATCCCATTTGTCAGTTTTGGCTTTTGTTGCCATTGCTTTTTGTGTTTTAGTCATGAAGTCTTTGCCCATGCCTATGTCCTGAATGGTATTGCCTAGGTTTTCTTCTATGGTTTTTACGGTTTTAGGTCTTACGTTTAAGTCTTTAATCCATCTTTAATTTTTGTATAAGGTAAGGAATGGGTCCAGTTTCAGTTTTCTGCATATGGCTAGCCAGTTTTCCCAGAACCATTTATTAAATAGGGAATCCTTTCTCCACTGCTTGTGTGTGTCAGGTTTGTCAAAGATCAGATGGTTGTAGATGTGTGGCGTTATTTCTGAGGATCTTGGTTCTGTTCCATTGGTCTATGTATCTGTTTTGGTACCAGTACCATGCTGTTTTGGTAAGTGTAGCCTTGTAGTATAGTTTGAAGTCAGGTAGCATGATGTCTCCAGCTTTAATCTTTTTGCTTAGGATCGTCTTGGCTATATGGGCTCTTTTTTGGTTCCACGTGAAATTTAAAGTAGTTTTTTCTAATTCTGTGAAGAAAGCCAATGGTAGCTTGATGGGGATAGCATTGAATCTGTAAATTACTTTGGGCAGTATGGCCATTTTCACGATATTGATTCTTCCTATCCATGAGCATGGAATGTTTTTCCATTTGTTTGTGCCCTCTCTTATTTCCTTGAGCAGTGATTTGTAGTTCTCCTTGAAGAAATCCTTCACATCCCTTGTTAGTTGGATTCTTAGGTATTTTACTGTCTTTGTAGCAATTGTGAATGGGAGTTCACTCATGATTTGGCTCTCTGTTTGTCTATTATTGGTGTATAGAAATGCCTGTGATTTTTGCACATTGATTTTGTGTTCTTAGACTTTGCTGAAGTTGCTTATCAGCTTAAGGAGATTTTGGGCTGAGACTATGGGGTTTTCTAAATATAGAATCATGTCATCTGCAAACAGAGACAATTTGACTTCCTATTTTCCTAATTGATTTCACTTTATTTCTTTCTCTTGCCCATTGCCCTGGCCAGAACTTCCAATACTGTGTTGAATAGGAGTGGTGAGAGAGGGCATCCTTGTCTTGTGCTGGTTTTCAGAGGAAATGCTTCCAGTTTTTGCCCATTCAGTATGATATTGGCTGTGGGTTTGTCATAAATAGCTCTTATTATTTTGAGATATGTTCCATCAATACCTAGTTTATTGAGAGTTTTTAGCCTGAAGGGGTATTGAATTTTATTGAAGGCCTTTTCTGCATGTATTGAGGTAATCATGTGGTTTTTGTCGTTGGTTCTGTTTATGTGATGGATTACATTTATTGATTTGCGTATGTTGAACCAGCCTTGCATCCTAGGGATGAAGCCAACTTGATCTTGGTGGATAAGCTTTTTGATGTGCTGCTGGATTCGGTTTGCCAGTATTTAACTGAAGATTTTCGCATCAATGATCATCAGGGATATTGGCCTGAAATTTTCTTTTTTTGTTGTGTCTCTGCCAGGTTTTGGTATCAGGATGATGCTGGCCTCATAAAATGAGTTAGGGAGGAGTCCCTCTTACATTGTTTGGAATAGTTTCGGAAGGAATGGTACCAGCTCCTCTTTGTACTCTGGTAGAATTAGGCTGTGAATCCGTCTGGTCCTGGGCTTTTTTTTGGTTGGTAGGCTATTAATTACTGCTTCAATTTCAGAACTTGTTATTGGTCAACTCAGGGATTCGACTTCTTCTTGGTTTAATCTTGGGAAGGTGTATGTGTCCAGGAATTTATCCATTCCTTCTAAATTTTCTAGTTTATTTGTGTAGAGGTGTTTATAGTATTCTCTGATGGTAGTTTGTATTTGTGTTTAAAAAATACTTTTTGGGCTGTTCCCTGGGGAATGAATAGCGGAGGTTCAAGGGTGGGAAGCTTTTAGGGGGCGATTGCAGCTTCACCTGAGGAAGGAAGGTTTGGACTAAGGTAATGGCAGTAGAGAGGCAGAAGAATGGGGATTTTTGGAAAATGATTCAGAAGTGGAACTGATAGCAATTGTTGATGAATTGGAAATGTGGCAGTGAGGGGAAACAATTTAAAAGATAACTATTAGATGGTTGGCTGAAGCCACCAGATGGATGGTGGTGCCATTTTACAGAGATGAGGTGACTGGGGGAGGAGCAGGATATTCTTTTGAGAAAGAGAGGGAGGAGGAAATAGTCTCCATTTCGCATTTTACATTTGAGGAACCTTTTATATGTCCTCATTTCTTCCTATGAGAGATGATAAAAGACAGTGAAACCATCATGGGTCAGTTTAATGCTGTGAAACCAGTGAAATGGATATATTGAATTATGAAATCACAGTGTGGTATACTGTATCTAATTTGTTTTTCTGAAGATCCTACATTGAAGAGGATTTGTTTATTGTTTTTAGGAATTTCGTTGAAATGCTGTAATGTGTCAGTTTGATCAGACTCTTACAGGCAAGAGAGTGGCCTGTACTCAGAAAAACCTAGGAGCATACTTATGTGAGAGGAAATTGCTGCTGGAACATAACTATAGATTTACTCTTCCCGTGGTGACTGTGAAGGAGGCAATACCAATGCACGGTGGCAAAGAGATGGTTTCCCAAAGTCATTTGCTTTCGGTTAAAGATCTTTTATCAGTCAGTAGATTATCTGTTATAACAAACTCTGATAATTCTCATATCCCAGAAATTGCCCTACTTAGTTTTAAAGAAAATCTAAAAGTACTATGAAATATCAGCCCTATCCTGCTATCAATTTGGATAGAATTAGATCTTAAATAGACTCCACTGTAATCATCTTGACTGGCATGTTACAAGAGTTTTCTTCTAGGTGCAGAGTACGCAAAAGTCTCACTAACCCATGCCATTTCGCTTCGAGGGACAGAATATGGAAATGGTGTAATTAATGGCTATACTCAATTTATATTGCTTCTATTAAAAATAATAGAAGCTACAGCAAGAATCTTAATTTTATTTTATAATGCTCCACAATACATTTCAGAGACATGTCTCTAAGGTTATCTGTATTCATTATCTATCTTTTCTATCTATCCATCCATCTATCTTTCTATCTATCCTCTCTGTGTTAGGGTGTCCAACTTGTTCCTGATTTGCCTGGGACTCTCCTAGTTTTAGACCTGAAAGTCTTGAATTCCAGATACCTCCTCAGTCCCCGGTAAGTTGGGATGATTGGTCACCCTGATTTGTGTAAGTGTGTGTGTATGTGTGTAAGTGTATGATCCGATTCAAAGAGGTTTTTAAGAAATGCAGCGGAGAGATGCAGTTTTGTCCACTTTTAACTGAGATTGCTTTTACTGATCTATCCAGGGTGTAGATTTATAATCCTATGATGTTTAATAGATAATTTCACCTAACATCTTTTCAGTGTCTTATATCATCAAATAATTGCTATTCTTTTAGAGACCTTGGGAAGTCTCTTGGAGTTTTTTCCAGCTTTATGATTCTACCTTTCCAAATCTAGTCTATTCAAACCCTGTCATATCTTAATGTCCTTCCTGTCAAGTTTCAGTTACCGAGAAACACCCCTTCCCTTGTAATCACATTTACTTCTCACAAATCTTCACTGCAGACACAGAACTGTTTTCTTGTCTTGTCTAGTTTTTTCTTTTCAATTTTTCACCTTCTTGCCTAAATATTCTGTCTTCCTCCTATAATTGCCCTTCTACTTAGTCATCAGTTATTGTTTTGAATACTCTTATTCTTCAAAAACCCTCCATAATAATAGATACCTTGTGGCATGATTAATTTGAATTATTTATTTGAAATTTGTGGCAGTTGGATTGGGCTTTATATTATCCACCAAAAACATTTTGTCCTGGCCGTGCACGGTGGCTCACGCCTGTAATCCCAGCACTTTGGGAGGCCGAGGCGGGCAGATCAGGAGGTCAGGAGAATGAGACCATCCTGGATAACATGGTGAAACCCCACTTCTACTAAAAATACAAAAAATTAGCCAGGCGTGGTGGCACGTGCCTGTAGTCCCAGCTACTTGGGAGGCTGAGGCAGGAGAATCACTTGAACCCGGGAGGCGGAAGTTGCACTGAGCCAAGATCGCGCCACTGCACTCCAGCCTGGGTGACAGAGGAAGACTCTGTCTCAATAAAACAAAGCAAGACAAAACAAAACAAAAAAACAAAAAAACTCCCATTTTGTCCTTCTAATGAAAAGTGCAAACAAAATGGACAGAGGTGGTAGGAAGATAAACAGAAAGAATGTTTAAGAAATTGAATTGTATATTCAAGTTTTGAAAATCAGTATCATTAATGTTGACAATAATACTGTGTAATATTTATGTGTCTCTGTTAGTGCAGATCCAATGACACATCTTTTTTCCGTTTATTATCTTAGTCTAAATATGTATATGTACATATGTACATAATACACACAAATATATGTGTTACATAATATATATCTATATATATTTGAAAAATACAATTAAAGCTACTTATTTGTAAACAAATCAGAGAAATTTATTTAAAATTAAAACAATAGCTAAAGCTAATATATACACATGTTAAAAACTCAAGGCTTAGTGCAGTGGCTCACGCCTGATATCCCAGCACTTTGGGAGGCTGAGGCGGGTGGATCACTTGAGGTCAGGAGTTCAATACCAGCCTGGCCAACATGGTGAAACCCTGTCTCTACTAAAAGTACAGAAATTAGTTGGGCTTAGTAGCAGGCAACTGTAATCCCCACTACTCAGGAGGCAGGAGAATCCCTTGAATCCAGGAGACAGAGGTTCCAGTGAGCTGAGATCATGCCAATGCACTCCAGCCTGGGTGACACAATAAGACTCCATCTCAAACAACAACAACCACAACAACCACCACAAACCCCCCTCCCCCAAACCTCAAAACATAGTAAAGTATGAAATGAAAAATAAAACTCTTTCTCTGTATATTCCCTCAACCCTAGGAATTACTGTCAGTTTCTCATGTAGTCTTTTAAACATTAAAACATTTTAAAAATTTCCCCATGTGTATGCAGGCATATGCTTTTAAACATTTATACAAATGGAACATGTTACAACCAGTCTTGTGAGTCTTTTTTGTTTGTTTTGTTTGATAACGTATCTTAAAGATATTTCCAGTCCATATCAACTAGATCTACCTAATTTTTGTCAGAACTGTGAAGTATTCAACTGTTTGGATATGCTATGATTTATTTAACTGGACCCCTAATTATGGATTTTTAGTTTTTTCCTGATTGTTTTCTCTATTGGAAACAAAACTGTGACTTATAGTTCTATGTGAGTGTGTGTATATTCTGAGCTGTGGAATTACAGGGTTAGAGTATACACGTTGAAAAAAATGTTAACAGGTTTTTCCAAAACATCCCCACCTGAAATGTACTGATTTATCCTTTCCAACAGTGTATGAGAATGCCCATTGCCCACTTATCATAAAAAAGTATGTATTTTCAGTAATAAAACATTTGATATTCTGGCAAAAATTCCAAGTCAGGTATCGCACTCTTATTTTGATTTTTAATCTTGAAAACTTTCTTTGTGAAGCACTTGCAGCTCCCAGCAAGAGTCACTTCCTCCTCCTCTGGCATTGACTGGAGATTCTTGTACTGAGAACTAGTTTCCTCATTCAACCTTTCCCCAGAATGAGCCACTTGAACAAAAGGTGGTGATTGGTGGGGTGTGGGGGCTGGGTCCTGAGAGGTTGAGTAAGTGGTTTTAGGACACGTAAGCCTCATGATCTTTGGTGAGTCCTTATGGAGAGGAGATGGGTCATACTACTGGGTTCAGGTTGGAAAACTCTGGATTTGTGAAAAAGCAGTGATTTCTTGGAAAAAATAATGGAATATAGAGGTTTATTTCTGTCTGGCCATTGACAAAGTAACTCCCGTTCCTTACAAGCTCATTTGCATGGGGGGCAGCAGCCCAGCATGGTGGTGAGTAGCTGGGATTCTAAAGCCTGGCTGTGTGGGCCTGGGTCTTGGTACCTCTACCTGGCAGCTATGTGAACTTGTGCCTCAGTTTCCTCATTCATAACATGACAAGGTTACTAATCATGGATACATCACAGGGTTGTTATGAGGACCAAACATGTTAATATCTGAGAAGCACTAAGAGCTGTACATGGCACATGGTAAGCCCTAAACAAAGGTTTGTTCAGTGAGATAAATGGGCTAGTTGGTGAGTGGCTTTTCTCTTCGAGCAAGTTTGAGAGTGCACACTTCTAATTTTTTCCTTCTGTTCTTCAGTGACCTTTTGGCTATTTTCAGAATGCTCTCTTTCTAAACTCATTAGCAACAATAAACAGTTGAGTAAAATTGATGAAGTCTAAACATGAATGCCAATGGAGGTGAGCAGCTGGTTTTTGGAGTATTTTATTTGGTTTGCAAAAGAGCCCATAGTAGTATGATATCAGGTGGAGCTCCCTGTGCACCTTTACTTAGGAATAATGCCTTTGGGTTAGCTCCCATTGCACTGCATTGCTAGGTAGAAGCAGATGCATCTTGAATCACTAGGTCCTGTCTCAGGACAGGGCTGGCCTGATTATGGAAGTTATGGAAGGAACTGGGGGCAGATTGGTAGAGGAAAAAACCGGGCCTTTAGTCTGCGATGAGTAGGCGCTTGGACGAAGATAAGGCAAGGCTTCTCTATTGTGCCAGGCACATAGTAGGCCTTCATGGTATTTTTGACTAACTGAACTGAGCTCAGAGGAGCTGCAGAAAATTCCTGTGGTGTTCTGGGCCTGGTCAGTTCAAACCAATTGAGACAGGGGTTACTCAGAGGAAAGGGACTTATTGGTTGGGAGTAAAAAAGGATGCCCTCTTGTCCTTACTTTGGCCACACTCTCCTATATGTCTCTTGTCTCTGTAGATCCTGGCTCTGACTGGTGCCTCCTTATTTGTAAATAAATTATATGTTTTCCAGATTGTACTTGCTTATCAAATGGTGAAGAGTAGAAAGAAGAAAAATCTCATTTTCATTCTTACCATCAAGAGATAGCCATTGTATTACTGGCTGTAGCTAATTCCATTCCATTCCATTCCTTGAAATGATTCCATGTAATCATTTATTCTATATTTTTAAATTGTTATAGAATACTTAAGAGGTACCAAAAGGTATAAGGAATAGTACAGCCAACAATCAGTTACCCACCATCCTGCTAAAGAAATGAAACATTCAGAAGGGAAGCCGTGACAGACTGTAGCTGGAAAATTGGGACACTGCCACCCAAATACTGCACTTTCCCAGTGGTATTAGCAAACAGCACTCCAGGAGATTATATCCCATGCCCGGCTCAGCAGGTCCCACACCCACGGAACCTTGCTCATTGCTAGCACAGTAGTCAGAGATCAAGCTGCGAGGCAGCAGCCTGGCTGGGGGAGGGGTGTCCGCCATTGCTGAGGCTTGAGTAGGTAAACAAAGTGGCCAGGAAGCTCGAACTGGGTGGAGCCCACCTCAGCTCAACGAGGCCTGCCTGCGTCTGTAGATTCCACCTCTGGGGGCAGGGCATAGCTGACAAAAGGTAGCAGAAACTTCTGCAGACTTAAACGTCCATGTCAGACAGCTCTGAAGAGAGCAGTGGTTCTCCCAGCATGGTGTTTGAGCTCTGAGAACGGACAGACTGTCTCCTCAAGTGGGTCCCTGACTCCCACGTAGCCTAACTGGGAGACACCTCCCAGTAGCGGCTGACTGACACTTCATACAGCCAGGTGCCCCTTTGAGACGAAGCTTCCAGGGGAAGGATCAGGTGGCAATATTTGCTGTTGTGCAATATTTGCTGTTCTGCAGCCTCCGCTGGTGATACCCAGGCAAACAGGGTCTGGAGTGGACCTCAAGCAAACTCCAACAGACCTGCAGCTGAGGGACCTGACTGTTAGAAGGAAAACAAACAAACAGAAAGGAATGGCATCAACATCAACAAAAAGGACATCCACACCAAAACCCCATCTGTAGGTCACCATCATCAAAGACCAAAGGTAGATAAAACCACAAAGATGGGGAGAAACCGGAGCAGAAAAGATGAAAATTCTAAAAACCAGAGTGCTTCTTCTCCTCCAAAGGATCGCAGCTCCTCGCCAGCAACAGAACAAAGCTGGATGGAGAATGACTTTGACGAGTTGACAGAAGTAGGCTTCAGAAGGTTGGTAATAACAAACTTCTCTGAGCTAAAGAAGGATGTTCGAACCCATTGCAAGGAAACTAAAAACCTTGAAAAAAGATTAGATGAATAGCTAACTAGAATAAACAGTGTAAAGAAGACCTAAAATGACCTGATGGAGCTGAAAACCTTGGCACGAGAACTACGTGACACATGCACAAGTTTCAGTAGCCGATTCGATCAAGTGGAAGAAAGGTATCAGTGATTGAAGATCAAATTAATGAAATTAAGTGAGAAGAGAAGTTTAGAGAAAAAAGAGTAAAAGTAAACAAATAAAGCCTCCAAGAAATATGGGACTATGTGAAAAGACCAAATCTACGTTTGATTGGTATACCTGAAAGTGACGGGGAGAATGGAACCAAGCCGGAAAAGACTCTTCAGGATATTATCCAGGAGAACTTCTCCAACCTAGCAAGGCAGGCCAACGTTCAAATTCAGGAAATACAGAGAACGCCACAAAGATTCTCCTTGAGAAGAGCAACCCCAAGACACATAATTGTCAGATTCACCAAGGTTGAAATGAAGGAAAAAATGTTAAGGGCAGCCAGAGAGAAAGATCAGGTTACCCACAAAGGGAAGCCCATCAGACTAACAGCGGATCTCTTGGCAGAAACTCTGCAAGCCAGAAGAGAGTGGGGGCCAATATTCAGCATTCTTAAAGAAAAGAATTTTCAACCCAGAATTTCATATCCAGCCAAACTAAGCTTCAGAAGTGAAGGAGAAATAAAATCCTTTACAGACAAGCAAATGCTGAGGGATTTTGTCACCACCAAGCCTGCCTTACAAGAGCTCTTGAAGGAAGCACTAAACATGGAAAGGAACAACCGGTACCAGCCACTGCAAAAACATGCCAAATTGTAAAGACCATGGATGCTAGGAAGAAATGGCATCAACTAACGGGCAAAATAACTAGCTGACATCAAAATGATAGGATCAAATTAACACATAACAATATTAACCTTAAATGTAAATGGGCTAAATGCCCCAATTAAAAGACACAGACTGGCAAATTTGATAAAGAGTCAAGACCCATCAGTGTGCTGTATTCAGGAGACACATCTCACGTGCAGAGACACACATAGGCTCAAAATAAAGGGATGGAGGAAGATCTACTAAGCAAATGGAAAGCAAAAAAAAAAAAAAAAAAAGCAGGGGTTGCAATCTTAGTCTCTGATAAAACAGACCTTAAACCAACAAAGGTCAAAAGAGACAAAGAAGGCCATTACATAATGGTAAAGGGATCAATTCAACAAGAAGAGCTAAGTATTCTAAATATATATGCACCCAATACAGGAGCACCCAGATTCATAAAGCAAGTTCTTAGAGACCTACAAAGAGACTTAGACTCCCACACAATAATAATGGGAGACTTTAACACCCCACTGTCAATATTAGACAGATCAATGAGGCAGAAGGTTAACAAGGATATCCAGGACTTGAACTCAGCTCTGCACCAAGCAGACCTAATAGACATCTACAGAACTCTCCACCACAAATCACCAGAATATACATTCTTCTCAGCACCACATTGCACTTATTCCAAAATTGACCACATAGTTGGAAGTAAAGCTCTCCTCAGCAAATGTAAAAGAACATAAATCATAACAAACTGCCACTCAGACCGCAGTGCAATCAAACTAGAACTCAGGATTAAGAAACTCACTCAAAACCGCTCAACTACCTGGAAACTGAACAACCTGCTCCTGAATGACTACTGGGTAAATAACGAAATGAAGGCAGAAATAAAGATGTTCTTTGAAACCAATGAGAACAAAGACACAATGTACCAGAATCTCTGGGACACATTTAAAGCAGTGTGTAGAGGGAAATTTATAGCACTAAATGCCCACAAGAGAAAGCAGGAAAGATCTAAAGTCGACACCCTAACATCACAATTAAAAGAACTAGAGAAGCAAGAGCAAACACATTCCAAAGCTAGCAGAAGGCAAGAAATAACTAAGATCAGAGCAGAACTGAAGGAGATAGAGAGACACAAAAAACCCTTTAAAAAATCAATGAATCCAGGAGCTGTTTTTTTGAAAAGATCAACAAAATTGTTAGACTGCTAGCAAGACTAATAAAGAAGAAAAGAGAGAAGAATCAAATGGACGCAATAAAAAATGATAAAGGGGGTATCACCACTGATCCCACAGAAATACAAACTACTATCAGAGAATACTATAAACACCTCTATGCAGATAAACTAGAAAATCTAGAAGAAATGGAAAATTCCTGGACACATACACCCTCTCAAGACTAAACCAGGAAGAAGTTGAATCCCTGAATAGACCAATAAGAGGTTCTGAAATTGAGGCAATAATTAATAGCTTACCAACCAAAAAAAGCCCAGGACCAGATGGATTCACAGCCGAATTCTACCGGAGGTACAAAGAGGAGCTGGTACCATTTCTTCTGAAACTATTCCAATCATATGAAAAAGAGGTAATCCTCCCTAACTCATTTTATGAGGCCAGCATCATCCTGATACCAAAGCCTGGCAGAGACACAACAAAAAAAGAGAATTTTAGACCAATATCCCTGATGAACATCAATGCAAAAATCCTCAATAAAATACTGGCAAATCAAATCCCACAGCACATCAAAAAGCTTAACCACGAAGATCAAGTTGGCTTCATCCCTGGGATGCAAGCCTTGTTCCACATACAGGAATCAATAAACGTAATCCATCACATCAACAGAACCAAAGACAAAAACCACATAATTATCTCAATAGATGCAGAAAAGGCCTTTGACAAAATTCAACAGCGCTTCATGCTAAAAACTCTCAATAAATTAGGTATTGATGGGACTTATCTCAAAATAATATGAGCTATATATGACAAACCCACAGCCAATATCATACTGAATGGGCAAAAACTGGAAGCATTCCCTTTGAAAACTGGCACAAGACAGGGATGCCTTCTCTCACCACTCCTATTCAACATAGTGTTGGAAGTTCTGGCCAGGGCAATCAGGCAAGAGAAAGAAATAAAATGTATTCAATTAGGAAAATAGGAAGTCAAATTGTCCCTGTTTGCAGATGACATGATTGTATATTTAGAAAACCCCATAGTCTCAGCCCAAAATCTCCTTAAGCTGATAAGCAACTTCAGCAAAGTCTCAGGATACAAAATCAACGTGCAAAAATCACAAGCATTCCTATACACCAATAATAGGCAAACAGAGAGCCAAATCATGAGTGAACTCCCATTCACAATTGCTACAAAGAGAATAAAATACCTAGGAATCGAACTTACAAGGGATGTGAAGGACCTTTTCAAGGAGAACTACAAACCGCTGCTCAACCAAATAAAAGAGGACACAAACAAATGGAAGAACATTCCGTGCTCATGGATAGGAAGAATCAATATCGTGAAAAGGGCCACACTGCCCAAGGTAATTTATAGATTCAATGGCATCCCCATCAAGCTACCAATGACTTTCTTCACAGAATTGGAAAAAACTAATTTAAAGTTCATTGGAACCAAAAAAGATGCCCCATTGCCAAGGCAATCCTAAGCCAAAAGAATAAAGCTGGAGGCATCACGCTACCTGACTTCAAACTATACTACAAGGCTACAGTAACTGAAACAGCGTGGTACTGGTATCAAAACAGAGATACAGACCAATGGAACAAAACAGAGGCCTCAGAAATAACATCACACATCTACAACAATCTGATGTTTGACAGACCTGACAAAAACAAGAAATGGGGAAAGGATTCCCTATTTAATAAATGGTGCTGGGAAAACTGGCTAGCCATATGCAGAAAGCTGAAACTGGATCCCTTCCTTACACCTTATACAAAAATTAATTCAAGATGGATTAAAGACTTAAATGTTAGACCTAAAACCATAAAAGCCCTAGAAGAAAACCTAGGCAATACCATTCAGGACATAGGCATGGGCAAGGACTTCATGACTAAAACATCAAAAGCAATGGCAACAAGAGCTGAAATAGAGAAATTGGATCTAATTAAACTAAAGAGCTTCTGCACAGCAAAAGAAACTACCATCAGCGTGAACAGGCAACCTACAGAATGGGAGAAAATTTTTGCAATCTACCCATCTGACAAAGGGCTAATATCCAGAATCTATAAAGAACTTAAACAAATTTACAAGAAAAAATCAACCCCATGAAAAATGGGCAAATGATATGAACAGACAGTTCTCAAAAGAAGACATTTATGCAGCCAACAGACACATGAAAAAATGCTCATCATCCCTGGTCATCAGAGAAATGCAAATCAAAACTGCAGTAACATACCATCTCACACCAGTTAGAATGGCAATCATTAAAAAGTCAGGAAACAACAGGTGCTGGAGAGGATGTGGAGAAATAGGAACGCTTTTACACTGTTGGTGGGAGTGTAAACTAGTTCAACCATTGTGGAAGACAGTGTGGCAATTCCTCAAGAATCTAGAACTAGAAATGCCATTTGACCCAGTGATCCAATTACTGGGCATATACCCAAAGGATTATAAATCATGCTACTATAAAGACACATGCATACATATACTTATTATGGCACTATTCACAATAGCAAAGACTTGGAACCAACCCAAATGTCCATCAATGATAGACTGGATTAAGAAAATGTGGCACATATACACCATGGAATACTATGCAGCCATAAAAAAGGATGAGTTCCTGTCCTTTGTAGGGACATGGTTGAAGCCGGAAACCAGCATTCTGAGTAAACTATTGCAAGGACAGAAAACCAAACACCGCATATTCTCACTTATAGGTGGGAATTGAACAGTGAGAACAGTTGGACTGAGGGTGGAGAACATCACACACTGGGGCCTGTCAAGGGGTGGGGGAATGGGGGAGGGATAGCATTAGGAGAGATACCTAATGTAAATGAGGAGTTAATGGGTGCAGCAAACCAACATGTCACATTTATACATATGTAACAAACCTCCACATTGAGCACATGCACCCTAGAACTTAAAGTATAATAATAATAATAATGATAAAAAAGAAATGAAACATTCAGCTATACTACTGAGACTCCCTGTGTCCTCTTTTCCTGTCATGTCTCTCTCTCTCCCTATAAGAGATAAGCATTATGTTACATTTCTTTATATTCTTACTCTACATGCATCTATTACTAATTAGTATAAAGTATTGATTTGTATGTTTTAAAGGTTTACAAAGCTATTTTTTCCTGAATTTACATTTGATGCTCAATATTATGTTTGTAAGATTTAGCCCTGTTGATTTTGCTATAGTTCCTCCATTTTCATTGCTGTATAGTATTCCTTTTTTTTTTTTTTTTGAGACAGCGTCTGGCTCTGTCGCCCAGGCTGGAGTGCAGTGGCGCGATCTCGGCTCACTGCAAGCTCCGCCTCCTGGGTTCACGCCATTCTCCTGCCTCAGCCTCTCAAGTAGCTGGGACTACAGGAGCCCGCCACCGCTCCCGGCTAATTTTTTGTATTTTTAGTAGAGACGGGGTTTCACCGTGTTAGCCAGGATGGTCTCGATCTCCTGACCTCATGATCCACCCGCCTTGGCCTCCCAAAGTGCTGGGATTACAGGCGTGAGCCTTTTTATGACTACCATTTATTCATCTCTTCTCTTATTAATAGAAATTAATAACTAACTGATGAGTTGCTTTTATGATGCACTGTTACAAACAGTAAACTTTTCTGTGGCTGTCCCTTTCCATACATGTAGAAGATTTCCAGTGGGTATACACCCAGAAAAGGAAATTCTTCAAGTTTACTAGATGTTGCCAAATTATGGTTCCAGTTCCATTTATTCCATAGCATCACCAACACTTGGAATTTTCAGACTTTAAATTCTGATGGTGTGAAATTCTGTCTCACTGGAATTTCTATGTGCATTTTCCCTAGTGAGTTGAACCCCTTGTTTTTATGCCTTCATTTTATATAGTTAAAACCATCTTGTATGTACGCTTTGTGTATTTTGTGTATATTTTACACTTACAATTAAAACACAAATATATTCCCTTGTTATGTGCTTTTCACAAGCAATTTCCTTTTCTCTTCTTTTCTTTTTTCTTTCTTTTTTTTGAGATGGAGTCTTGCTCTGTCATCCAGGAGGCTAGAGTGTAGTGGCACAATCTTGGCTTACTACAACTTCTGCCTCCTGGGTCCAAGTGATTCTCGTGCCTCAGCCTCCTGAGTAGCTGGGACTACAGGCACATGTCACCACGACTGGCTAATTTTTGTGTTTTAATAGAGATGGGATTTCACCATGTTAGCCAGGCTAGTCTTGGACTCCTGACCTCAAGTGATCCATCTACCTTGGCTTCCCAAACTGTTGGGATTGCAGGCATGAGGCACTGAGCCTGGCCTTCATAAGCAATTTTCAATGGCTGTATGATGTTCCAACATATGAGTGGAATAAAACATTCTTCTATTACTCGACATTTAGATCCATCCAGGTTTACACTGTTATAACTGAGATGCCGAGAGAATTTAACTAGAAAGCCTTTTATGTATTTTGGATTATTTCCTTAGGTTGACTTTTCAGAAGGTGAATTATTGGGCCAAATAGTATGCACAATTCTAGAGCTCTTCCTATGAATATTGCCAAATTGCTCTTCAAAATGTTTGTAGTGATATTCTTGCCATCTAGCAATAGACAATTAGAACTTGGAATTTGAAGGGCATTGCTGATGTCTTTTCCCAGTTCTGGGAAAAGTGGTTCCAATACTTTCTGTAAGCAATTCAGAGTATATCCTGGACTGGAAGGCACAGAGAAGGGATAGACTCTAAAGAGAAGGGGTAGAGGATGAGATATTACATGGCCTCTTGCCCAGAGGAGAGGTCTGTTCCTCGTCCCTTTTCAGGGAGGACTGACTGCAGGAACCAGGGGCAAGCATGGCTGCTCAGAAGACCCCTTTTTTTCCTCTGTTTTTTTTCTTCTGATGTAGCCCATCTCTGATTTCTTTTCTGTCTTCTTTTAAATTTTCAAGTTAATGATAATTTCCGCAGACCTAAACATATGGGAATCAGAATTCACTTTTTAAGAAATTGAGTCAATTCCATTTTTCCTTGGAAATAAGACAGTATATTATCTGTCATATTATATACAATAATCAAATCTAACAAATATTAGGCACCTGTCATATCCCAGTTTATTCCCTGAGAATACAATGGTGGACAAAATATATTACAATAGTTTATTGTGAGCGAGAATCCTATAGTAGTATATTTATTATACATATACTCTATGATATTCATACTGGTGACAGAAAGTAATAACAGCCATACCTATTATTAGCAATAATACTATAGATTGCTATTATGACTAGCAATGGCTGAGAATATGTTGTTATGAAAAAGTGTTTTTCCGGGCACTGCTGGAAATGAGGTGTTACAGTATAGGAGGGTAATTTTTCCTGAGTTTTCAGATCTTTCATAGCTGAGCTGGTGTGCCAGATTGGTTGCTTATTAAAACTGGCACGGTGCCCTACAGGGCTAATGTGTTAATAATAAGTAGTGCTCCTCTCGGGCACTGGCCCTGCCCCTCATTAATGTCCCCCAGGTTCTGCTGCTGCTGTGTGGGTCTCCATTCTGCCCCCAATGTTCCGCTGAAAGCCTCTAGGAGTGGGGTTTCAGAGACACTCATACATCATAGGTGACTCTTTAAAAAGAGATCTTAGAGATGGGAGGATAATTTAATGTCCATGCATAACATTTGTAGCTCCAGAGGCTATGATAATGATGAAAGCAATGAAGCCCTAGGGTCCCGAGCAGGGTCTTTTCACCTGAGAGGGTGAGGAAGGCGCCTGATTGTCCATGTATGCTGTGGAGGGGGTACTTTTAATTTTTTTGATCTTCCTTTGAATGTTCATATACTTGCTAACAGGTCACAAATGAAAGAAGGATATAGAAGTAGCTAGAGAGCCCTGCGATTCTTTGAGTTGGGATGATAGCATGAGTCCTTTCACCTGTAGGGTGGAAACCAGAAGAGGAATGAAAAGACCTAGGCAAGCTTGGCCACACGGCCCAGCCTGGGAACCTCTTAGCTACAAATATCATGCTCCAATTCTTCATGGAGATGGTTTTCTCAAGCTCTGTCACACCCTGAACTCTAAGAATAATTTTTGTTCCCTTTATGCACACATTCTCAAAAAGGATTTACCTATATAATTTATGCAATTGTAATATTTAATAATATACATTTTGCGATGTTTCAACTTTTGCTATTTGGCAACATTTTCCAATAATAATACAGGGCAAAAAAAAGTATGAGCTCTGAGAGCCTACATTGTTAGTGAACTGATTTTGTTAGGCAACAGAATTTAAAATACTCTTGGATAAAATTTCTCAATAAGGAAAAATCATGTGAGTTGTTAATTTTATAAGTATATTCATTATTATTACTATTAGTGAAACTAATGAATTCCACTTGGCCTTGGATTGCCATATAATTAGAGAAATAAAATTCTCTCTTTGCATGCTGAACTCATTGGCAATGGGTAATTTGACAACTCCAGCCAGCTCTATTATTAATTTCAGGCTTGTTCAATTCAGCTTCAATTAAAATCAAACATTTATTTTATTACTTTCAGTTGAATTGAATTGAATTGTTATCTTTGAATAGGTAATGTGGGTAATATATGCACAAGGTAATATATGCAATGGTAATAAAATTCAAACGTCTAAATGTACACAGAGAGAGGAAGTTTCTGTTCCACCACTGACCCTTCATGTCTGCCCCCTCCTCAGTGGTAACTGCTGTCGTCAGGGTTTTTTTTTTTTTTTTTGTGTGTGTGTCCTTTGAAAGATTTATCAGAGATACATCTACTTATATCTATGTATATCTCGATTCATATGATTTTATTTTGCATGAATGGGAACATAATATTACCCTTTTCTGCCTTTGCTTTTTACTTAATGTAATATTTTGTCCATAATTTCATGTGTTTTCTGGGAATGGTAACTCAAAAATGTGTAAAGCACCTACCACGTGTTGGGTGCTGCCTTGGAAGTAAAGATAAATATGAGAGGCCTCTGTCTCCCTGGGGCCCACGTTGTGGCGGAGGAGAAAGTGTGTACCTGGGTAATTATAAAAAAGATTAGGCTGTAGGTGTGCCATAAGGGAGGTGTAAGCAGAGTTGAAAGCATTAACCTCGGAGGAAGAGATTAATCCTCTTTAGAAGACATGCGAAGTCCTCTTAGAACTGGAAGATTTGAACAGAGTACCAAGTAATTGGTAGGTCTCTGACAGGTGCTGATGTGGGCTGAGGATACCCAGGATGGGAAGGGTTGCATGCTAAATCTGTTCAGGGCGTGGCAACTGTGGGGTGTGGGTGGGACATGAAGTGGGTGGTGATAGTGGGGATGTTGGTGGGAGGATGGGAGTGGGAACAAAACTGGAAAGATGGTTTAACGCTTTGAATGTCAGAGTGAAAGACAAAACTGTGTGCGTGAGTGTGTGTGTGAGTGTGTGAGTGTGTGTGAGTGTGTGTGTTGAATGTGTGTGTGTGTAGTGTAGTGTTTAGAGGCCTGGAGAAGTGGGTGGAGGAGGAGGAGGGAAGGCTTTCCTGTAGGTCAGATGTAGGGGGGGCCTGAATTAGAGCAAGTTTTGTGGGAGAGGAACAAAAGAGATGAATTCCTGAGACATCACAGAGCTAATTTTTCTTATGAATGAGGGTTGGCAGCTTTGTAACATCATTAGCCATTCTAAATCTATTCCCTGATGGACTTGGAGTTTTGAATTCCTAATGAGGACAATCTGACTGACAACCCATTTAGGATAATACACTTTAATAGAAAAGTCAAACACACTTATTTCAACAGAGACATGCAACACCGTTAATTTGCAGAGGAAAAATAACAGTGGGGTGGCATTCTCTGCCATGCAGCTATCATGGACATGGCTGATTGGAAAAGTCACTGAATAATTGTCTATGTGGGATTCTGAATTGGAACAGAGAGCACACTTCTATGTTCAATTGTGCCACTGCTTGCAAAGGTGATTTTACAAGCTAAAGTGCTCGAAAACCTCTAAAGGGCAAAAAATGAAGGGAAATAAAATGCTGCAGTTAACCTCAAGAAAGTATAAATGACATTTTGCAAGCCAACTTCATGAGCCTATCTCCAGCATGACCACCATAGTGATAAATGAACACTACTTGTTTTTCTTCATTATTTTGTAATCTCTCAAAATTCCAAATGGTTCTCTGTTAGGAAATTGTTAGGAAATGGGGAGCTAGACAATTGGTACATGAATTTATTTGCCAAATTCAAATTGACTAGATTCTTAAAACAGTATACTATATTCCTCTTAGCCCACAACAGCTTTTTTTTTTTTTTTTTTTTTTTTTTTAAAGCTAGACCTCTCCTTGCCCTCCAGGGAGAAATACATGTAGCACAGTAAGTGAAATTAATATCCTTTTCTATGTGCCCCTAATAAATAGTTTCTTGCCCTGAGCAAGTGGCTGTTTGCAAGGCCTGTCAAATATTTCAAATTGCCGGCTGGAGAGATGTTCAGGTGAGTGATCCACTGCCTTTGTTTGGCAGAAGCCACATTAAAAGTTCAAAGTGGGTGGTGGGTGAGTTGCAGCAAACATTCCGTGAGTCCTCACTATACTCCAGTTTGGGGATTTTCTTTAACCTGAGAGACATGACTATGTTGAGTAATGACAAGTGGCTGGAACTTGGCAACCTTCATATTCCTTGGAGACCAGGGTGGCCAGAAGTGGTGAAGGGAACGTGTTGAAGTGCACAAGCTGCTGGCTAGATGAGTCTTTGTCCAGCCTCCAAAACAATGCAGAAAACCCTTCTGCAGTTTGCTTTATCCCTGACCTTCCCTGAACACTCCCAGAGTCTGCCATATCTAATTGTTAGAAATAGTGAGTGGATTTCTGCTTCTTTATAACCCACTTGTCCTAGCTTTACCCAAGAGCAGAACCTTAGGGTGCATGAGAATCAACTTGGGTTGCTTTTTCCTTTCCTCTTCTCTTAAATATTTTTATTACAGAAATTTTTAAACATAATACAAAAGCAGAGAAAATTATATTATAAAACTATGTACTCATCATCCACTCTCAACAGTTATCAGCATTTTGAAAACATTACTTTATTGATCTCTTCTGCTTTTTAATAGAGTTATTTAAAGCAAACTTCAGTCATCATATAATTTCATGTGCATATACTTCAGTACACTTCTCTGCCAGATGACAGTTTTTTCTACATATTCACAATGTCATTATCACACATAACAAAATTAACGATAATTCTCTACTATTATCTAGTATGCAATACATACTCACATTGTCCTGATTGCCTTTAAAATGCCTTTTAAAGGTGAATTTGAATCTTGATTCAAACAACATCTATACATTACACGTTGCACTGGATTTCATATTTCTTAAGAGTCTGTTAATCTATGAATGTCTGCTGATCCATTAAAAAATACCATCTATATGTTGAGGAAACCAAATCATTTATCCTGTACAATGTATTGCATTCTGGCTTTGACTGGCTGTTTCGTCATGGTGAATTTTAATTCTTTTGCCTCTATTTCTTGTAAACTGATAATCAGATATGAGAGTTGTTTAGATTTAGTTCCATTATTATTATTATTATTTTTTTGGGAATACACGACAGGTGGTGCTGTGTGTTTCCTAGTGTGTGACAGTGAGAGGTATCCCACTTTTAGTGGTGCTGAAATTGATCTGTGAATTCAAGTGCTGGAGGCCTAAAAGTGCTGATTCCTGGGTCCAGCCTAGAGCTCTGAATCACCATCTCTAAGAGAGCAGTGCAGGTGAATCTGAGACAGGTGACCCATGGACCACCGGTGTCTGAGGAACATTGTTCTTGAGAACCATTCCTTGGTGGAAGAAGTTTTGGAAAATTCTGTGTATGATGATTAATTTTGTGGGTCAACCTGACTGGGCCATGGGTACCCAGATATTTGATCAAGTCTTATTCTCGGTGTGTTTGTGAGGGTGTTTTTGGCTGAGATTAATATCAGAATTGTTAGGCTGAATAAAGCAGATTGTTCTCCCTAATGGGGCTGGGCCTCGTCCAATCAATTGAAGACCTGAATAGAACAAAAAGTCTGAGTAAGAGGGAGCTCTTCCTGTCTGACTGCTTGAGTAGGACATTAATCTTTCCTGGCCTTCAGACTCAATTGAAAAATCAGCTCTTCTTAGGTCTTGAGCCTGATGATTTTTAGACTGGAATCCACACCATTGGCTTCCCTGGTTCTCAGGCCTTTGGACTCAGATTGGAGCTATACCACAGTCTCTCCTGTGCCTCTGGCTTGCTGATTACAGATCCTGGTGCTTCTCGGCTTCCGTAATCACATGAGTCAATTCCTTATAATACATCTCTCTCTCTGTCTATATTTATATATCTATATTTATATCTATATCTATATCCATACCTATATCTATACCTATATTTCTATACCCTGTTTGTTCTTTCTCTAGAGAACCCTGACTAGTCACTGTGCTAAACGGTACAAAACTTTTTTTTTTTTTTTACTGCAGGACTTCTCAGATCCTTTAATATATGCTAATGTGTATTATGATATTCCAAGCAGTAGGATGTTTCATAGTGTTTCCCAAACTACTTTGACCAAGTGATATGATTTGGATGTTTATCCCCTCCAAATCGCCTGTTGAAATGTGATCTCCAATGTTGGAGGTGGTGCCTGGTGGGAAATGTTTGGATCATGGGGGAGGATCCCTCATGAATGGCTTAACACCATCCCCTTGGTGATGAGTGAGTTCTCACTCAGTTACTTCATGCAAGATCTGCTTGTTTAAAAGTGTGGCACTTCCCCATTGGCCCGCTTGCTCCCTCTCTGGCCATGTGACATGCTGGCTCTCCGTCACCTTCTGCCATGATTGTAAGCTTCCTGAGGCCTCACTGGAAGCAGATGCCAGCATTATGCTTCCTGTAAAGCCTGTAGCACCGTGAGCCAATTAAACTTCTTTTTTAAATTTATTATTTTTTTAAATTAAATTTAATTTTAAGATCCAGGATACATGTGCAGGTTTGTTACATAGGTAACTGTGTGTCATGGTTGTTTGCTGTACCTAACAACCCATTACCTAGGTATTAAGCCCCGCATGCATTAGCTATTTATCCTGATGCTCTCCCTTTCCCTGTCCCCCTAACAGGCCCTAGTGTGTGTTGTTCCCCTCCCTGTGTCCATCTGTTCTCATTGTTCAGCTCCCACTTATAAGCGAGAACATGCAGTGTTTGGTTTTCTGTTTTTGTGTTACTTTGCTAAGGATAATGGCTTCCAGTTCCATCCATGTCCCTGCAAAGGACATGATCTCATTCATTTTTATGGCTGCAGAGTATTCCACATAAACCTCTTTTCTTTATAAATCATCCAGCCTCAGGTATTTGTTTATGCAGATGAGCTAGTACACCAAGGAACTCACTGTAATCATGCATTTTGCAGGTCCGGCATTCCATAGGATCTTTTGATAATACAGCTTTGGTATGATATAGAATAAATCTCCTTCCTTTTCCACCCACCAGCCCTTCACATTATTTGAAGGCAGCAGTTTCTGTGCTTGGACTTCTCTTGTTTGGGGTGAATGTCCCCAGTACCTTCAGGTTTTCCTCTTGGGGCTTGCTCTAGCACCTTCTGTTTCCTTTTCTTTCTTGGTGTGTTCTCTGGTTGGTCAGGGGGCCTCTTCCATGGCTATGACTCACCTCTCACATGGTGTGGGGACTCTGAGGAAGTCCTTCTGAAATAGCTGGTGTCCACCTGGCCTAGAAAGAGAAGGACCTCCAGTTGGCCAAGAGGAACTTTCAGTGATTCGAATTTTATACCGCACCCTTTTCAGAGTTGTCTTCATAAGTTCCTGGTGCCACCATTTCTTCTTTAATTTTTTAACAGTGAAGGGAATTTGTTCATGAAATGGAAATTTCAGGCATAGCTTGATCTAGAGCTCACACGATGTGAGCAGGCCCGATGTTTCTCCATTTTTCAGCTCCCCTTCCTGATTCCTTCATTCTCAGGCAGATTCTGTCTGGTGGTTACAAGATGGCTGCAGCTGCCTCCATGGCCATATCCTTTGTCATTCATGTCCAGTAGGAAAGGGCAGGTTCTTCTTCATGTGATACTTCTAATGTTCAGAGACTTCTGACTGCTGAGAGTGTATCTGTATTAAGACAGATAGGCCTTTCCTTTGGTTTATTTCCTGACTGAGTGTATTTCTGAACACACTGACTCTTTCCCATGTGTCAGCACCTAGAGGTGGCTGAGTTTGGTGGGAAACAAGAGAAATGCAACATCAATAAATGGAGAGGACCTCAAATGTTATCTTGGTCAGCCTCTGGTCTTTGGTAGCTCTATAATTTCTCTTCCTTTTTTCAGCTGAGTCTCAGAGAGGTTAGGTAATTTTCTAGAGGTCACACAGACAGTTGTGGGCAGACCTGTATCAGAAGCTCTATTCTGAGAAGGCTGAGACTCCATATCGTAAGGGAAATCCCACTCATGGACTCTATTCCTTGGGCAAATGACCCATGTACTCTAAGGACATGAGCTAGTATAATACTATCTTAATTATGTCTTTATATAGTTATGATTATAATATAGATATATCTTTTGCTGTGTTCATGTAATATGTGATATGAAACAATTCATCTGAAATAATTACAAATTTTTGTAGAAAGAACTTCCTGGGAAATTCAGTTTGTATACTCCTTTGCTGCCCAGCTTAAATTTCCTACCCTGGTATCACATTTTCAATCCTCTGCGGCCCTTGATTATCTTAGGTCCACTCATGCCAACTAGTCAGCAGCTCTGCCTCTCCTTTCCTTGGCAGCTGGGCTAGAACTTGGAGGGGTCAGGATGCACAAATGTTGTCTTGCTACCAGTGAGGGGCCTCCAAGGGCACTTGGCTAGACCAGAGCCATGGCTGTGCTAAGTCAGGCCAACTGAGTCTGTTCAACTTTTCTTTGTAGGAAGTCCCAGCTGTTTCCTCCCCACTGTTTATGGTATGTGTCCAAGAACAATGGGATCTTGTATTTAGAGTTGCTTTCTCTCTCTCTTTCTCTGTTATTCTAAGGTGCTCCTTCAAAAGGGCAAACATTGTTTTAGAGAGGAAGAGAGAGCATGAACTCCTATGTAATTCCATATGGCTGGGCCAGGGGATGGCTGTGGGAGTTGAGGATCAGAGGAAAGCTGACTGTCAAAGGCTCCTGTCCCTAGGATCCCCCAGCATCTGTTCATCTAGAGGATGCTACCTGAGCATTTAGAGATGTAAGGACCTGACATCTTTATCTAGTTTAGCTCCAGAGGCCTGGGCAAAATGATCAAAGTAGTAAAACTTGTCTCTTGCATGCTTCTAGGTCCTGTGGGTGTCTCCCCACCTCTCCTCTACTCACCTTCCCACCAGCCCAGCCATAGACTGTTCTGCTGTTCATGAAATCATGGATAAAACTCAATCACAGGTGATAGTGATGTCATGCTACCATCCCTGGGAAGTTCATGTTTGTAAAGGGGCATCTGGAGAGAGGGAAATGCTTACTACTTGGAATCTGGAGATTTGGACAAAAATTTTGTTAATTGATGAGTTGTTTTTGGACCAAATCTCAAATACTTTGGCCTCGTTTTCTCATCTATCTAGCAAAAAAAGCTAATGAGATGATCTGGATATCTAGAACTTAGTTTTCCATGAATATCTGTATGTATGAAGCAGGCCAGGGAACAGACACTTGAATAGAGGATCTTTCTGGTACTTTCTAAATCAGTCACAATCTATGCATCCTGCTCCATGTTCCTGCCCTGAGAGCTGCCAGGAATCTGAGGGGCTCAGGGTGAGGGCAGGAGCTACCACAGTTGTGATCCGCACCCTCTATCGCTATGAGCTGAGGACCACTAGATGGACTACTCTTTAGCAGGTATAAGGAGCAACTAGAGGAATTCACCAGATGCTGCCAGCTGCATGTGGTATTGTTCTCAGGCCAGGGACAGGCATGCAAACTGCCATTTCATACATATTTAACCTGCATGGGGCTAGGTCATCTGGAAGGAAGGTGACACACTGTTTCTGCCTTCCACCAGATTAAAGGACACAACTTCACCAGTGGAAGCATGAGTGTTCTTGAAAAAGATTTGCCTCTTTAGTGACATCTCCTTTTCTGTCTGGTGGTTTTGGTCTTTTGCATGGCATTGCATCAGTGGGGTCCTGGTGAGTCTTTTGGCTTGACTCCTGGTTTCCTTTGCCTCCTCTGCTGTTTTTAAACTTTTCATAGGTCTGACTTGTTGGATTTTCTCCCTTTTCCTTCCTCTTTCCCTGTTTTCCTTTTTTTTCTCTCTCTCTCTTTTCCCTCTGACTCTCCCTTCTTTTATCTCCCTTTCTTTCTCACTCCCTTCCTTCCTTCCAATACCATTTTATTTGATTCGAACATATTTTACCTACTATGTGAAAAAGGGCAAATAAACCACAGATAAATAGTTAAAATTCAAAGTAATCTGTGCTATTGTAAATTTAAATGCAAAGTGCTTTAAGTTGTATAACTGAGAGTAACTGACTTTGAGTTAAGGTTAGGGGAAATGGTTCACAGAGGATGTGAAATTTCGTGTGGGTCTTGAAGGATATCTAGGAGTTCTCCAAGTGTGTAATGGTGGGAAGAGGTACCCATATGTGTGATGGAGCCAGTGAATCTGGAGAGCAGCAGGAAGTCTAGAGTGACAGACAGGTGAAGGGGTGGGTAAGATAGGAGGGAGAGGTCAAACTCATGTTCTGGAGTTTTGTAAGTGTAAACCGAGGAGTTTAGAATGTTATTCTGGTCAAAAGCTTCCAATGATGTTGCAAACTTTCTAAACAGTTTGCAACATCAGAGCTGAATATACATGATTAGTTCTGAATTTTAGTTAAAATCTCAACATTGCCATCCCCATCAAGCTACCAATGACTTTCTTCACACAATTGGAAAAAACTACTTTAAAGTTCATATGGAACCAAAAAAGAGCCCACTTTGCCAAGTCAATCCTAAGCCAAAAGAACAAAGCTGGAGGCATCATGCTACCTGACTTCAAACTATACTACAAGGCTACAGTAACCAAAACAGCATGGTACTGGTACCAAAACAGAGATATAGACCAATGGAACAGAACACAACCCTCAGAAATAATACCACAGCTCTACAACCATCTGGTCTTTGAAAAACCTGACAAAAACAAGAAATGGGGAAAGGATTCCCTATTTAACAAATGGTGCTGGGAAAACTGGTGAGCCATATGTAGAAAACTGAAACTGGATCCCTTCCTTACACCTTATACAAAAATTAATTCAAGATGGATTAAAAACTTTTTATTTTATTTTATTTTATTTTGAGACGGAGTCTCGCTCAGTCGCCCAGGCTGGAGTGCAGTGGCGCGATCTCGGCTTGCTGCAAGCTCCACCTCCTGGGTTCACGCCATTCTCCTGCCTCAGCCTCCCTAGTAGCTGGGACTATAGGCGCCCGCCACTACACCCGGCTAATTTCTTTTTTTTGGATTTTTAGTAGAGACGGGGTTTCACCGTGTTAGCCAGGATGGTCTCGATCTCCTGACCTCGTGATCCGCCCGTCTCAGCCTCCCAAAGTGCTGGGATTACAGGTGTGAGGCACTGCGCCTGGCAAGATGGATTAAAAACTTAAATGTTAGACCTAAAACTATAAAAACCCTAGAAGAAAACCTAGGCAATACCATTCAGGACATAGGCATAGGCAAGGACTTTATGTCTAAAACACCAAAAGCAATGGCAACAAAAGCCAAAATTGACAAATGGGATATAATTAAATGAAAGAGCTTCTGCACAGCAAAAGAAACTACCATCAGCATGAACAGGCAGCCTACAGAATGGGAGAAAATTTTTGCAATCTACTCATCTGACAAAGGCTAATATCCAGAATCTACAAAGGACTCAAACAAATTTACAAGAAAAAAACAAACAACCCCATCAAAAAGTGGGCAAAGGATATGAACAGACACTTCTCAAAAGAAGACATTTGTGCAGCCAACAGACACATGAAAAAATGCTCATCATCACTGGCCATCAGAGAAATGCAAATCAAAACCACAATGAGATACCATCTTACACCAGTTAGAATGGCAATCATTAAAAAGTCAGGAAACAACAGGTGCTGGAGAGGATGTGGAGAAATAGGAACACTTTTACACTGTTGGTGGGACTGTAAACTAGTTCAACCATTGTGGAAGACACTGTGGTAATTCCTCAAGGATCTAAAACTAGAAATACTAATTGACCCAGCCATCGCATTACTGGGTATATACCCAAAGGATTAGAAATCATGCTGCTATGAAGACACATGCACACGTATGTTTATTGCAGCACTATTCACAATAGCAAAGACTTGGAACCAACCCAAATGTCCATCAATGATAGACTGGATTAAGAAAATGTGGCACATATATACCATGGAATACTATGCAGCCATAAAAAATGATGAGTTCATGTCCTTTGCAGTGACATGGGTGAAACTGGAAACCATCATTCTCAGCAAACTATCACAAGGACAAAAAAACCAAGCACCGCATGTTCTCACTCACAGGTGGGAATTGAACAATGAGAACACCTGGACACAGGAAGGGGAACATCACTCACCGGGGCCTGTCATGGGGTGGGGGGAGGGGGGAGGGAAAGCATTAGGAGATATACCTAATGTGAATGACGAGTTAATGGGTGCAGCACACCCACATGGCACATGTATACATATGTAACAAACCCGCAAGTTGTGCACATGTACCCTAGAACTTAAAGTATAATTAAAAAAACTCAACATTATAGTGTAAAAATAGACAACAAAAATAATGGTAATAGCTAACATTTGTTGTGTATTTGCTATGTGTTAGAGATCCTGTGTTAGCCATTTTATATTCATCAATGCATTTGATTCTTTCCATCACATCACAGTGTGGGAGTGTTATGGGCTGAATTATGTCCACTTCAAATTCATTGGTTGAAGTCTGAACCCCTAGAACCTTAGAATGTAATCGTTTTTGGAGATAAGCTCTTCAAAGAGGTAATTAAGTTAAAATGAGTCTGTTAGGGTGGGCCCTAATCCAATCTGACTGGTGTCAGAAATTTGGATACACAATACACCCGAAGTGTGTGTACACAGAGGAAAGGCCATGTGAGGATGCAAGCCAAGGACAGAGGCCTTCGAATGAAATCAACCTTGCCAACACTTTGAGCTTGGACTTCCAACCTCCAGAACTGTGAGAAGAAACAACTGTTTTTTTAAGCCACCCAGTCTGTGGTATTTTGTTTTGGCAGCCATAGCAAACACAGGGAGGCTGTTATCCCTACTTTGTAGCTGCAGTGACCAAACTATGGAAAGTCATTTCCCCATGATTGCATAGAAACCCACGGCAGAGTTGATATCCGGCCCTAAGTCACTACACTCCAGGGCCTTCTCAGAGTCCCTAAGGGTCCCAGAGACTATGAGGACACCTAAGGCATTAGTCCACTTGGGGTTGTAAAGATGATATGAAGAGGTGGTAGAAGGATGGGCTTGAGGGGCCCATGTAGAAGGCCAGTGGTATTTCCCAGGCCCTGCTTTCATTCAGAAATATGCCACTAACTCATCTCTTTTTCCTATCTTACATTAGTAACATGAAGAAGAAATCCTACAGTTTCTCTCAAGATCAAAGGTGAAAATCTGTAAGTGTATTTTAAAACTCAGGAAATAGTCCATATTAAGATGATCAAAAAAGATTTATGAGGCTGCCTCCCTTGCTATAAATCATGTACTTTATGTTAAAAATGATTATTACCACCACCCACATGGCAGCTGCGCTGAGTGTCACCGTGTCTGCAGCCCATCGGATCACCCCGCCATGAGCCCAGCTTCGCAGAGTGCACAGTTTTGGTTTTCCAGGGTATAACTCAGTGTCAGAAGAGTTTATGTGCTGCTTAAGCCCCTGCAGCCTAGAAATAGGAAACACACTCTAAATGCTGTAATTATATTTTTAGAGTGCTGGGTTTGTGCTAATAAATCAGATCAGAAAGCCTAGCAGGATTGGGACAAGTGCTAAAGACAATAATGTCAGGAATCTGGCCTCCTGCCACCCTGCTCAGCCCAGCAGATCCTAGCAAGGAGGGGATGGGAACCCACACATAGCAGGGGAGCCTAGGATGCAGCATCTGGATGCACGGTCACTGGAGAATTCCATAGGTCTGTCCCTTTTCATGAAGATGAGGGATTGACAAACACCTTCTGCTGACTGTGCTGGGGAAATTGGAAATATGAGGAAGATTTATGAATGAAACCTTCTTTTTAGTTCCCCTTTCTCTGCATCCTCATCCTTTCATTTTATTCCCATTTTTCTTATGAAAATGAATGACAAAAGAATGGGAAGAGAAGACTTTAATATCTGTAAAAATATATGCTGTGTGTGTTGTCAGGAGATCTGGATTTCAGTTCTGACTTTACCACTAACTGGTCATGTGACCTTGGAGAAGTCATTTTTACCTCTCTGGGCCTCTGTTTCTGACTCTATAAAAGCAAGGGGCTAGACTATCTAATTTCTAACATTTGATGATCTTAACTTCTCTAAGCTCTGTGAAAGAATGTTGAAAGAGGTTGAAAGATATCAACTAGCATGCATTGTTGGTGTTAGGGTCAGACCCAAGAGAGTCCTTTGTTTTGACTGGACCTTTCTCCTCTCTGTTTTTTCCGGCTGTGTCCTCCTGGTTCCCACTGGTGGTAAGGACCTTACTGTTGGGCATTCTGTGGATCATGCTTCAAGGCATTTCTCAGTCCTAACCTTGACTGTCAAACCTTACCAGTTCTGTATCTTATTCTCGTGTAGTATACGCAGGTGAAAGAAACAAAATGGACAAATGATTTTATAATAAGTAATAATTAATTTCCCCCAAATGGCATCATTTTTCATGTGCCATAGCTTCTTCAGCCCAATAACCACTTATTGAGCACCCATCATGTGTAAAGCACTGTGCTATTGACTATAGGGATTTAGATAGATAAGATGTGGCTGGGTGCAGTGGCTCACACCTGTAATCCCAGAACTTTGGGAGGCCAAGGCAGATGGATTGCTTGAGCTCAGGAGTCCAAGACCAGCCTGGGCACCATGATAAAACTCTATCTCTACAAAAAATACAAAAATTAGCTGAGTGTGGTGGTGCATGCCTGTAATCCCTGATACTCGGGAGGCTGAGGTAGGAGGATGACTTGAGCCTGGGAGGTGGAGGATGCAGTGAGCTGTATTGTGCCACTGCACTCCAGCCTGGGTGACAGAGCAAGATCTTGTTTTTTAAAAAAAAGAAGATGTGGTCCCTGCTCTCTGGAGGGCACACTCTAGGGAGGGAGGCACACCCCTGATGGTGCTGCAAACAACTCTATGAAGAGAGGAGGAAAACTGTGTTAAATTGGGTCTTGCTGGTTGAAAGGCAGCAGTGCACAGAAGGGAGGGTAGGCTGGTTGTTGGAAACCTATTGGATGAAGGCCAGGGAGAATTCAACGTGTGTTTAAAAGAAAGGCAAGTAGTCTGGGTGGTGAGTAGATGAATTGGGTGTGAGGATGGGATTGGGAGAAGAGGAGCTGCAGTGGAAACAGAGTGACTGGGGCTTTGAATGCCATGCTGAAGAAGCTGGGCTGCCTTCTCTAGGCAGTTGAGAGCCATTGAAGATGGGCTGAGTTCTGGCGAGCTGAAGCTGAGTTCTCCCTAGAATCCGGTGTGTTTAGAGGACTGGAGTTGGGGGTGCAGACCCAGCCATGGTCTATTTTTATGAGGAATCCAGAGTTCTAGACTTCAGAGGGCAGCACGAGCACTGAGAGGACACCCACGATGATACTATAACAAGTGGGATTGGGAGAGGGGACATTGGTAGCCTCATCAGGATAGCCCAGAAGTTTGGTTTTTGGTCACCTTGGAAACTCCTTTGGAGATTCTTGGGATGATTTGGGAGGAAAAAAAGGGGGCTGTAGGTTCTGTACAATGGGTGGGAGTAGAACCGGAGAAATGCTTTTGTGTGAATGTCACTGTCTCACTGGGAAGCAGTTGTAAGAGAAGAGAAGGGGGTGTATTAGTCCGTTTTCACACTGCTATAAAGAACTGCCCGAGACTGTGTAATTTACAAAGGAAGGAGGTTTAATGGACTCACAGTTCAGCACTGCTGGGGAAGCCTCAGAAACTTACAATCCTGGCAGAAGGTGAAGGGTTAGGCAAGGCACCTTCTTCACAAGGCAGCAGGAAGGAGAGGTGAACACAGAAGGAACTACCAAACATTTATAAAACCATCAGATCTTGCGAGAACTCACTCACTATCACGAGAAGAGCATGGGGGAAATCACCCCCATGATTCAATTACCTTCACCAGGTCTCTTCCTTGACACATGGGGATTATGGGGATTGTGGGGATTAAAATTCAAGGTCAGATTTTATGTGGAGACACACCCAAGCCATATCAGGGATGTTCTAAGGGCAGTGAAACAGGGCAGTGGCCCTGGGAGAAAAGGGCACTGATGACTAAGACTTTGTGGAGCCACAGGGATGGGGATGTGGCCCTTTTAGTCACACCTGTGGTGGTGGTGGTGGGGTGGGGTACTTGTTTGGCCTCTGCAGAAGGCTGACACTATGTAGACTTCTTTCTATGCCTTCAAAGTCTCCAAAGGTTGGGGTAGGGGTGTGGGGACAACTCTGGTGAGCTCTTTGTCACTTTTGATTTGCTCAGTAACATCCTAGGAGACACCGTTGATCTTGTACCCTTTTAAATTTTTTCAACTCTTTTAAAGCCCAGGGATTAGCCAATGGGCTGCTTCATGTCACGGAAAGGACTAAGGAAGATCTGGAGGAAGAAAAGCTGGCTTTTCCTCTCTCTCATCTGTTAGACAAACAGATCCTTGCAGCTCGCTTACCTGCCTTGCCCAGGAAACCTGGAGAGTTAGCACAAGGAATGTGGGAAGACCCTTTAGTTCCAGACAATAGCTAGAGGGAGATGCAGATAATGAGCATCAGAAGGCTGAAGGCTTATTCCAGTTGAGGTAGAGTTGCCTTTCACATTTCAGCGCCCCTGATCTTGCATTCTCATGGCAGCCCCCACTCAGATATGCTCAACACATCCACTTAAGTAACTCGATTACTCTCGCAGGCGCTTTTAAATAATGCACCTCCCTTCAGGTGGGGCGCTCAATCATTCAGCAGAGGACCCAGCGTCTCTCCTCTGATATCACTTTACACACAGCTAATGAACACAGGTTCCCAACAAGTGACTGCATCAGTCAATAAAGGACAGCACAATCCTACCTGCCCATGCCACCGCCCAACCCCTCTAGAGCCAATTAGCTTGCTCCTTCCCTGGTGTAGCGGGAATACCTTCCTCATAGTGGTTTTCCTGCTCACACTGGGGCTTTCTTGTTCTCCTTCTTTGCAGAGGGCACAGAAAACACAGGAGGCTGTGGCAGTTCTACTGTCAACTGGACAGGCTAGCGCTGGGAGCTGAGGGCATGATTTGAATTCACTATCCAACTCCAGAGCCTTGATCCAAGCAAAGGGGTGCAGAATGATTTGAGGTGTTGGGCAGATATCCGGACCCCCCACCATTCCTGATGCTCTGAAAAGTGAGGAAGCCACTGAGAGAACAGACTGGTCTGCATCTCAGCCCCTCTCTTTCTAGTCTCATGGCTTTAACTGTCACCTCACAGATATGAATCCAGGAAGAAATGCATGCACCAGTGCAGCTTCTGCTCCTGTCCTTTTTCCTGCCTACTGTGCTGTGAGACCCCAGCTGGTGTGAAGAGACCATGATTGTGCTGGGAGTCAAGATGCACTGACAATCTCTGTTTTTTCTGACTTCAGGCAGGAAAACTCACCAAGATGGCTCTCCTGTGAAATTTCTGCTGTGCCTCTCACTGGGCTGCTGAGGGGACAAATGATAAAATTTCCGTGAAGATACTTTGCAAAAGTAAAGCTCTGCACAGATATATCTTGCTGAATGGTAATGAGAGGAAGTGGAAATGACCGTGGCTGGAAGACAGCAGATTAGAGCCCTGAAGTATTTTCTGCTCAGCTCTTCCACTTACTAGCTTAGGGGTCTTGGGCATGTCACTTCACCTATATGGGACTCCGTGCTCTCATCAAGAAATTGGGGGAATAAAACCTACTTCATAAAGTTGTTTGAGAATTAAAAGAAGCAATAGGTGTGAATATGTAGAAAACTGTGGGATGTTATGCAGATGGAAGGAGTTATTTATCATTGCCTATGTTGATTTAATTGTGGCCTTAATCCAACTCTCCCTGGCCCTTAGGTATTTCCTTTGCACCATATTCTTTTCCACTGGTTTTCATATGGCTTTTTCTTTAGTTTGAAAATTGTCTCTCCTCTGTTTTATATCTTCTCAAGGCAGCAATAAGCTTCCAAGGCACAGCCTGTATGGGCCAGGTATGCATAGGTTCTTCAGTGACAGCTCTTCCATTGAAGGATTTGCATACAGTCAGTGCTTAATGAATGCTGCAGATCTACTGAGGTCACTTGAGAACCCAGGTCTGCCTTCTGAGTGTTACCTTCTTTCTAAGAAAGATGCTAGTGGTTGTCTCAGGAAAGGAAAAAAAGTGTGAGCCCAGGGAGTTATTTTTGATGATTTAACTTTCCTTGATGTTCTTTTTCTTTGATTTAATGAATGAGTCTGGTTCCCTAAGCCAATTGTGGAAGTCAGTCAGTCATCATGAGTTCTCTCTCCCCAGTGAGGGAGTAAACTCCTTAATGACAGGGCCTTGTCGTAACTAATGGAATGAGACTAGAAGAGGTATCTCTTGAGTAAAAGTTATAATCTCCACTTTAGTCTAATACATTATCTTAAACTGAAAGGTGCAATGGGATTAAAATACCATTATTTTCCCAGATTAGAAGTATCAACCCTTTTGAAACTTTAAGGCTACAAATCCATTGCATTTATATAGTTTTGAGCAGGATCAATTTCTATAGGGACTAACAGTGGTGAATCTTGTGATTTTGTGCCTGGTTTAAGATTGCTAACAGCAACTCAGCAATTCTCCACTTCAATTTATTAATTGCTTATGGAGTTCCTATGAGGTGTAAAACACTGTGCTGAGCTTTGTGGGAGACACAAAGAAGGGGGAGAGATGGTCCCTGCACTCAAATTAACTTCCACCTATACAGGGTCTGCATTACAGGGAAGTGAAAGAGCTGAAAGTATGTGTTCATTTGCAATTATTAATGAGTGCTTTCTTTTAGTACTTGAGGGCCTAGAATCAAACTTCATGACTTCACATATCCATGCTTTATTTCTGGGTACCTTGGTACAGAGAGTTATAACTCTCTTCCTGTTTCTTCCACAATAACATTGGTCACAGTAATATTTGGCAAGTTTGCGATTTGGCAAAGGGATCTCTACAATGGCTGACAGCATCACGGTTGTTGAAAAATCATGGACTACAGAGATGACAAGAGTAAAAGGAGGGAGGAATGGTTAGGACCAGGAAGGGAGCAAATGTGGTAGGATCAAAGTACATTTTTTTGGGTTAAAAATAATTGATGTAGTCTTGATCATTTTAAGAAACTTTCTAAGGCTCTGTTGATGGTTTTCTTCCCTGTGCTCTTCCCCACCTCAAATCCATTTCATCAGGTCCCTGGTTGGAGGCTTGTGAATGCTTTCAGATTACTATTAAAAGCTATTAGATCAAGATTTCAATGGTAAATATATTCATGTCCAAAGTTATTTCAAATGTTCCCACAAAGACACAACTTCTTTAATTATGAAAGCCAAATTACTCAAGTCCCTTGAGAGAATTAATAGAAGAAGTGGTGTAGACAAACCACATTCTGAATCCATATTGCAGGCGTTTCCATTTGGATCCAGTACAGGTCGAACATCCCAAATCCTAACATCTAAAATCCTCCTAATGCTCCAAAATCCAAAACTTTCTGATTGCTGCTGCGATGCTCAAAGAGGATGCTCATTGGAGCATTTTTGCTTTTTGATTTTCGAATTTTGAATGCTCAACTGATAAGTATAATACAAATATTCCAAAATCCGAATAAATCTGAAATCCAAAACACTTCCAGTCCTAAGCATTTCAGATAAGGGATACTCAACTTGTAGTAGATCTTCCTCCTTGAGATTAATGGGCAAACAAACTGAATTCCTGCATAGTCAATGGTTAATGCTCTGTGTGTGTGTGTGTGTGTGTGTGTGTGTGTGTATAGAGGAACACACACAAAAGGAGTGTAGAATTGGTGACATGAGTGCACTATTGATGAGCCCTAACACTGCATCTGATTTAACAATGTGATGGTTGGGTATTGTGCATGGGATGAGTGTGAGGTTTTTTAAATTTTATTTTTAAAAATTTAACAAAGCATTAGGATCTGGAAAACAACACAGGACAATTTGACTAGAAAGTTTTCAGTTTGCTATTAACAGGAAACAGATTGAGTAACATATGGATAAATATGTACAAAGCCCAGTATGATTTCCTGCTCTGTCCCCCACCTGATATCTTCAGTGAGAAGACTGGGGGTTGAGTGAAGACCCTGGGAGAGCAACAGTGGTCCAGGCCCAAGTTGCCTCCCCCAACCCTTCTGAGAACTACTTGGCTGGAGACAGGGTAGAGGTTGTGCTTTCAACCTGCTCAGCCTTAAGTCTGAATTAGTATTTTAAAAAAATCTTTAAAATGGATGTTTTCAAGTATACACAAAGGTAGAGAGAGAGTAGCTTAATAACTCCCACTGTACCTATTATCCAGCTTCAACAATTGCCAAATCTTGCCAATTTAATTTCACCCATTACCATGGCCCCCTATTTTCCTGTACTATTTTTGTTTTTGTTGTTGTTAGAGATGGGGTCTGGCTTTGTCGCCCAGGCTGAAGTGCAGTGGTCCATCATAGCTCACTGCAACCTTGAAGTCCTGGGCTCAGGCAGTCCTCCCAGCCCAGCCACCCATGTAGCTGGGACTACAGGCACACGCCACCATGCCAAGCTGGGAGTTAAGTATTTTAAAGAGAATCCAAGACGTCATGTTTTGTCACTTGTCAGTGCTTCAATATTCTAACTGTTAAGAGCTTCAAAAAATGTCACATGCACTTGATGCTGTTATGACATCTAATAAAATTTCCATAATGAATAATGTTATCTAACACCCAGTTCATATTCAGTTTTGCTAATTGTCTCAAGAATGTCTTTTTACAGTTTTTTTTTAAAATGATAATTCAAATAAGCTATACTTTGTACATTTAGTTGATTCTCTTACTTTAATCTACAGTTGGCCCTCGGTAGCCACAGGTTCCAAATCAGCAGATTCCACCAACTATTGATGAAAATATTCAAAACAAAAAACCAATATAAATAACAACAATAAAAAATAATACAAATAAAAACAATTCAATATAACAATGATTTACATAGCTTTTACATTATATTAGGTGTTACAAGTAATTTGGAGATGATTTAGTTCATGGGAGGATGTATGTAGGTTTTATGCAAATACTATGCCATTTTATATAAGGTACTTGAGCATCCAGAGATGTTTGGTATCCACAGAGTGGGTCCTGGAACCAGTCTCTTTATTTGCTTTTTATTCCGTTGATTTGTTGGAGAAACTGTTATTTGTATCCCCAGTGGATTGGAAGCCAGGAGACCCACAGTCAAGGCCCAGCTCTACTAATAATTATCAGTATGATCTTGGGATGTGCAGTTGACCTTTCTGAGTGTCACTTTTCTTATATAAAATATAAGAGAGTTTGACCAGGGGGTCTGTCAGGCCCCTTCCTGAACAGCAAGGGAAACAGGACAGAAATGGCTGAGACACTTTGTATGCGCCAGATGCCCAAACTCTCAACTTCCCACAAGGTAGGTAATGTTTTTGTATTTGAGTCTGTGAAAAACAACCAACGAACCAAATCCAGTCATGTTTGGAAGAAGGCAGACACTACTCACCAGCAGTCTTCTGACTTGAGGCCTACCTCAAAGCAAAGGGAGAAAACCTGGGAGTCTGGAGAAGGGTTGTAAGCATCCTACTGAGTCGTTTTGTCCTCACCCAGGGACAGGACATGCAATGTCTGAAATTTCTTCATCCTTCTATAATTCATCAAGGTTCCAGTGGAGAAGATCCCAGGACCATAGAACACTAGCATGGAAGGGGAACTCAGCAGTAATTTACTTTAACTCCTTATATGATGAACAAACCCTTTCTATAACATTCACCAAAGCACTTCTTGACAACAGGCGTAGCCTCCCTGTGGAGGCAACTCATGGCCTCCTGAGGCAGCCTATTTCAGGCCAGGCTACCCACTAACATGCTCTTCCTTACCTGAGATTTTTCTCCCTGAAACTCCCACTGGGCCTCACTCTGCTCTATGTCTCTTGTCTTTAAGCGATAACTCTTCAAATAATTGAAGACTTAGATTATTCTTGTCTTTTCTGGCCAATGACCTTTAAATATACACACATGGTGCTGTGTTCAATTCCTGACTACTCCTGCTGCTTTCCTGTGGGTGCACCCTATTTGTCAATGCCCCTTGTAAAGTGCAGCTCCCACAACAGGATACAACACTCCAGGTGGATGATCAGCATGGAGCAGGGACTATCATTAAGGTATATGGCCTAAAATCCCTTACAGGATCTTCCTGAAACATTTCTAAGTATGTCTGTGGAAGGAAGAGGGTTTCAGAAAGCAGAAGACAGAGACATAGGGCCTCTAGAATATTAATGCTAGCATCCTTCAACTGGAGAAGTTTTTTGTAGGAAAAAAATCCTATAAGACACTGTAATTATGAATTTGGTTTCCCAAAGACGTTTATATTGGAAAGTCATCTTGAAGATGTTCTTTTAAAATGTGTGGTTATCCCAGACCTTCCTTGTCTAAATGGAATGCCTTGGACTGACCTACATATTCTCCCCGCTTGGAAATTTACCCCCCCAGTCTTCCACCACAGAAAGTTTGGATTATGTGGTTGTGATGATTTTGGATTGGTCAACTTCATGGTTTTGGGTGAAATTCTTCTGGAGTACACAATTTTCTTCTATATTGGAGAGGAATGTGGGTGGAAGCTGGAGTATTGGAGGAGCTCAGAACTGAAAGGTGGCTCTGGGAATGGCTTCAAGAAACCATGGAGTGACTGAGGCTCCAATGAAATAATGGAAGTATCCACAGACAAGCATGATGTTCTCTGAAAATATAAGAAGCACAGTATTGTGAGTTTGATCTTTTTAATGTGGTGGGACAGGTGTAACCAGCATTGCCATATGCTCTAATTCTTACATAGCTCCTACAGTGTGTCCTCTTTGCCCTACTCTAATTGCCTACTCCTAATTGCTAGCTTGGACAAGCTGCCTCAACTTTGAGCCTTGTTTTTCTTGTTGCTACAGAGATGATTTTACTACTAATGTCTAAGTCTGTCTACATGTTTCTTCCTACCCTCCCCCACTCTCGTAGATAGTTCTAGAAGGGTGTCTCCTAGGACCTGATATTCTTTATCACCTTTCTGTGGCCTCCATGTGTGGACCAGGACACCCCTTTAGGGCTCTGTTGCCCTAGAGAGTGGGGAAGGGTCAAGGTATTATTGCCCTTGATCTAAAACCCTGGAGTCAATGTCAGTCTTTACTTAGGCAGTGTGGAACTGCCAGGGTTTCCCTGGTTTGCATCCCATGTCTTCTCATCCTGCCAGCAGTGCCATGGGGCAGAAGGGATATAGAGTAACGTGACCCAAAGGAAGGTTGACATGTACTTGGGTGCACTGCCAAAGCCTGTGTCTCCCAGGAATTGGACTCACTGGGTGATATCCAGAGGTCAGAGCAACCTACAAAGTCCTCCTTTATGAGTGAATGTGGTGGTTTCTCCGGGACCAATGTAGGGAGAACTTCTGCTATGCTAGGACACTCAGTAGCTTCCAATTCAGCCAAGCCAAACCTTCATCATAAATCATCTCTGCCCCGGACATTTGTTTTTTACTCAACAAAGCCATCAGATGCTTACCTGAAATGATGCAAGGAAAGTTTTAGAGGAGCCCTGTGGACTGAGTTCTTTTTTCTCCCCATTCCTTCTCTCTGCCCCTCTGAGATTCCCATTGTTCAGGAAGGGGTTATTATGCAAACCAGGCAACCTCTCTTTCACTCAACAAAGAAACTTAGTAATCTCTGAGGCTGTGTCACCTTGCCAGCAGAAACACTGAATGGCAATAGTACTGAGAGTCAACACTAATAGCCGACACCAAATTAAACTGCCAGACTCGGTGTGATGTAGCTCTGTCACCTCTTGACACCTCTGATGTGAGTACTGGGGCTTCTGCAGGAAATTCATCAGCTGTAGTTCATGATGCATCATCTTTACGTATCTGTCCATCTACATTTGTCAGCAACAGGCAAGCCTCAAATGACTTCAGTGACTGGTATATAGATTACACCACCTCCAGACATAGTAAACAGGGTTTTAACTCTTGGGGCTTCTTCAGCTCTGCCTTCCTTCCTGAGAAGGCCTGGTTACTGGTGTTCCCATTCTCCTTGTGTTTCAGATAGTGACTGACAAAGGCTGAATAAGAAGGTCTCCTTTCTTTTCCCTACTAACCAGTATCTCAAATGTTTCCCTTCATTCCAAGTCAACTATTCTGTGAACACGCATTCTCTCTGATGTGCGTTTCATTGAATGCCATCTAAAAATGTATATTTGCTCATTAATGGCTAGATTTACCATTGTTCTGATGGGGAAGATTAGAAGTTTAGTACAGGCTCATCTTGCTAATCAAACTTGTTTGATTCCCAGTGGAGAATGTCTTTGATTTTTCCGTGCTTTCCAGGCAGATCATTTTAGTATAATACTAGCTGCTAATGGGCCAAGGGCTGGCTGGTTTTCAGAATATTTTCAGACCCTTAAAATTCTCACTGATCATTACCACCTTAGATGTTTATTTTACACGTTTATCAACACCCTCAAGCTCATGTAAGTTAAGTAGGTGCAAATGTGTTTTTTTCCTTGCATGCTTTCCTAGTGTGATTCCAAAAAGAACAGTCCCAAATATATAAAAAGTGGAGAAGGACATGGGAGTCTTCAGCTTTTGGAACCACATTACAAGCTTTAATTTGTGGCAGGGGGAGGGGAGCGAGGGGCGAGGGGCATGTAGGGTTCATTGCAAAGATATTATATTCCTCATGCATTTTTGTAGAACGAAGGCTATACTTGTTCATAAGCTATGCGTGTGTTTATTTCTGTTTTTAAGGATACTGAGCTTCTTTATGGTAAGAATGATGCTTTCTTATCTTTCTTTCCTTGATAATAGAGCACTTGATGCTGTTGCCTTAGTGACTGAGAAATGCTGCCTCATGCTGGCTCATGCAGGCCATTGGCAGGCTGCAGGCTGTGGGTAGTGCTGCCCTGCAGGGTGTTAGCATCATCTGGCAATTGCTTTTATTTGGGGCAGCCAGTCAGTTCTTCACATTCTGGGCCTCTGGCTCATAGTGTGTTTGATGACAACCCTGAGAGGACATCTCTGGTTGCTGTAGTCACCAAAGATGCCACTTCCAGTTAGTGTATTAGGCCTACTCCTGCTATACCTTCACCCCTCCCAAGCCCTTCTTGAGGGTAGGAGGGGTGAGGATATAGCAGCGGGAGGCCTAATACACTAACTGGAAGTGGCAATCCATGTCAGTTAAGTATGGAGAATGCCTGTTTAAACGTCATGAGATAGTCAATTTAGCTCTTGGGTAATCAGCGAGTGTGGTTAGAGGAGGTTGTGGGTATAGATGCAATAAGATTTTCAGAAATTGGCTGAACTTCTGGTGGGTCATGCCTATAATCCAAGCACTATGGGAGGCCGAGGCATGTGGATCACTTGAGGCCAGGAATTCGAGGCCAACATGGCGAAACCCCATCTCTACTAAAAATACAAAAATTAGCTGGGTTTGGTGGTGCATGCCTGTGATCCCAGGTACACAGGAGGCTGAGGCACAAGAATCGCTTGAATTCAGGAGGTGGAGGTTGCAATGAGCTGAGATTGTGCCACTGCACTTTGGCCTGGGTGACAGAGTGAGATCCTGTCTCAAAAAAAAAAAAAAAAAAAAAAAAAAAAAAAATTCCAAGAGTTGATATTTGATAGAGGTGAAGCTGGGAGATGGATACATGAAGTTCATCAGACATTCTCTCTGCTTTTTGTATATGTGTGAAAATTCTCCTAATACAAAGTTGAAAAAATGATCTTAAATTTCTTGAAATGTTGGTTTATGGCTCTGAATTGAAGTGACTGGATGTGACTATTGTTAATGATCTTACATTGTTTAATAGACAAACTCACATCAAGTATCTTTAGTGTTAATTTTACATGGATCTCAAAAAGGATTCAATGCAGGCTCTTTTTTTTTTTTCTTTAATCTTTAGATTTCTCTATCCACAAAACCACTGGTTTTGGTGTCGGATGTAAGCTTAGATCAGCTCCACACTGCCTAAGGGAAGCTTTACATTTGATGTACTTACCTAGGGTATTGTTTGGTACTTCAAGAAAGCCAGACTCCCTCAAACCCTCCCCCTCATCACTCTGGAATTCTCCTGACAATTGTGGCTGTGGAGAAAGGGAGGCAGTGCTCACACGACCCATCCCATCGACACGTACGGTGTTTTTACGCATGCCTCATCCTGCTTGAGTTTTATTCCTGTTCTTCAAAAGGCTCTCTCGATTCAGAATGCAAGACACCCATTACTTTTACTAAGGCTGTTCTACACATCAAGGCAGACCATGGCATGCAAAAAAGGTTTATGGCATAACAGGAAGATTAAATATCTCACACGGTTCAAATTCCAAAAGGGTTTCATGAATTTACGAATATTAAGGAGAGCATGCTTAGGATGAATTCACAGAACGCAGTGTTTGGCTGATTAATATGCAAGACTACAATCCACGATGGAAGAAAAGTGGGAACAAATTCTTGCTTTGATTGTGGTGAGGTCAAGACCCAGCATGTGGAACCAGCGGGAGAGAAAACAGAGAACAAAACGGTGGAAGAAAATGCTTAGAATCTAACTTATGACTCATATCTTAGAAATGTTTGGAAAGAGAACATTTTTGTAAAATGACAGACATCTAGCAATGGCAGAGCCATGGGAATCCCCTTTAATACGAGATGGCTCTGTTTAAATACACATGGAGATGAATATGAAACATGGAGATGGTTAGAGTAAGTCATGGGGTAAGAACAAATTGAGACCAGCCACTCAGGGCCACGTTTCAGGGGCTGTGACTTGAAGTGGCTGAGATAAATACTTAGATCACTCAACTGGGGATTATAATGGGAGTGCTGGCAACCCTCACTAATTAGGATGCTCTCAGGCAGCTCTGTAATAGCTTCGGGGAGCTGCTGTCAGTAAACAGTGTTATATTCGGGGGTTGCTGCATCGGGCGCCTCTCCACACCACAGAGACTTCACTTGCTTTGCTCCTAGCAGTCATCTTGCTCCCAGCTCTTCAACACTCCAAGGAACTCAGTGCCCTTCTCCCAGAGACGCAAAGAATTCTGAGTTTACCTGCAGTCTCCTCCGCAGGCAGAGGGTGAAAGATGACACCTGCAAACACACAACTAATTATAACCCTATTTAGTTCCTGTGGGCGAACCTCTCCGTCCATCCCTTTTGCCCTTTCCCACATTTAATTCCTATCTGGTGAGGAGGAAAGGATTATTTCTGGAAACCAGCCTTTCCCCTCCAGCTCCCCTCAGCCGCCAAACACAGACGAATCATCCTGTGGTAATTAACAATCTCGTCTTTAGGAGTACATTTTATGGTACTCTTGGTCAGGTAAATTCTAAATTAGCTCAGTTAAAATGGGTCATAAGACATAGCGCTGCCGTCCCTATTAGCTCCTGGACCTCCGCCAATGTACCGCACTATTTTGGGAGCTGGGCTTCTGGCAAAAGGAATCATTACCCAGAGATTATGTGCAGGGGGGATCTGTGTGGAGGACACGCAGTAGTGGCACCCTTCCCTCCTGGCTTCACTCGCAAGTTCTGGGGTAATACATGAAGAATTGGAAAGAATTAATTTTGGGAAGGGGAGCATATAGGGGTGCTGAGGGAGAGCTCAGTGAGGTGAGGTCGCTATCCCTGTGGTCACCCAGGCATGGGGCAAGTCTGCTGCTAGGTTTCCTTTTGAGATTCTCAATGGCCCTGAAGAGGATAGAGGGGCTTTGCGAACACCTCCAAGAGGGGTTTACTGCCCCAGGCCATGCATAGGAGGATTTAGTGGAAAGAGGTTGGGGGCCCTAGGATCTTCTTGGAAAGAAATATCTGCCTGCCTTGGGCAAGTCACTTTCCCTTCTCTGGTCCTGTTTTTTCACTTGTCAGTTGAAAGGACTGGGCAAAATGACCTCTGAGAGTCCTTTCCATCTCAAACATCTTGTGACCCTTTCTGCAAATCAGTGGAGTTGTCCTAGGGTGTTTGCCTGACTCTCTGGAGACAACCGTGGGTTTTGTTTAGGACACAGTTGCCTCTGGTTCTGAGAGCCTATCTTTTTAGGATTTCTATTTTACTGGCAACTTTTGATATTCTGAGCTCCAGGGAAACAAGGAATTCAGAACATAATCCATTGTGCTCTGAATGCAAAGAGAAGATTACTTACCTTTAGAAATATATGCAAACAAATTTTTTTGAGGATCTACAGTATGCCAAAGCAGTTTGCTAGGAGCACGTGTATGTGTACTGTGAGGATAAGGGAGGGAATAGGTTACTGCGATTAAACTAGATACCCTCTCTGTCCTTAAGAAGCTTGCAAGCTAAGGAATACTGATGTGGACTCAAAGAATTCAAGAAATATAGAGGGAGGGTTGAGTTTGAGTTGACTATGAAATGTCCAGGAGAAAAAAAAATGAAATTGGAATGAGAGAGACGAGGAGCAACTTTTAAAAACATTGTGGCGGTAGGGTCCTACCTAGATCTAAGATGGAGAACATTTGGGGCACTGGTATCACTAGGGATTCCATAGATTTATGTCCTTTGGGTATAATTTATTAAGCAAGGGAGCCTGAGAAGTGTAATTTTAAGCCTCTCAGACTCTGTGATATATGGCTGGGGAATGGGAGGATGAATGTAGGAAGGGAATTGAAACAGTGCTTCAGCAATAAGGAGTTTAAATTGGATCCACAGGGCAATGAGAAACCACTTTGGGGCACTGAAGTATGGGCTGGCATACTCACCATATCATCATAGCAAACAACTGGCACAGTCAGAAGGTGTGGAGACGTCATCAACGTTACAGTTTAATAAAATGATAAATAGCTCAGATCACAAAAGATGAGATATGCAAAACTTTGTGAAATTTTAAAGGGAGAAAAAACAAAAATCTCATCCACATTGGAATATATACAATATTTATTTAAAAACACTCATATACAGATCCAAAGACACACAGTTAAATTAAAAAGAAAAAATCCCAGCTACCATTTAAACCTCTTTCTGAGGAAAAGGGGAGACCAAATGGCTCCTTTGGGTTCCTTTATAATTATAAATACACCATTTCATAGTGTCTTTTCCCCATTTATTCTTTCCACTTGTGCGGTCACAGTTGTAGTTGCAAAGAGCAAAGTCCACTGTAGTTAGTTTAAGGAAGAAAGGAATTAATATAAAGGATATTCAAAGCAGGGAGAAAGACACTTGGGGGCAGGCTTCTAGGAGGATCACTAAACTGTAGGAACTGGCCTGATGGTTAAGCCCTGAAGCTGTTGAACAGATGCTGGGAAACCCCAATTATTGCACCTGCTGCAGCTACCAGCCCTGCTGCTAGTTTTGTGTCAGAAATACTATCCCGAACTGCCAGAAAAACTCTACCACCAAAATCTGCATGGCTCTGCCATGTCTCTCCCCAGGAACGAGAGGTGTCCCCCTCAGCGCACCTCACATATCACATACTTTCAAGACACAGTGTCACGTTTGTGTGCCTGATTAGCAGAGCCTAAATCGCAGGCCCATGTCCTCCCCGCAAGGGGACTGGGCATTTGCATTTAATTTTGGAGAGGCTGGATTCACAATGTAAGGATTTCCGCAGACAGAGGAAGTCTATTCCAAAGACAATGGGCACTGTGTATGTAGTAGATGTTACTACTCCATCCCAGGTAGCTTCTTGTTTCCAAGTATGTGAAAGAGAAGATTGTGGGCAAGGAAAGAGGACAGGAAACTTCTATTGAGAGGCTCAGTGGTAGATGTTGTGGCTGTGCCACCCATATCCATGTGATATGGTTTTGCTGTGTCCCCACCCAAATCTCATCTTGTAGTTTCCATAATCCCCACATGTGGTCTGAGGGACCTGGTGGGAGGTAATTGAATCACAGGGGTGGTTTCCCCCATCCTATTCTCATGATAGTAAGTAAGTTCTCATGAGATCTGATGGTTTGATAAGGGGTTTTCCCTTTGCTTGGATCTTATTCTTCTCCTTCCAGTCATCATGTAAAGAAAGACGTGTTTGCTTCCCCTTCCACCATGATTGTAAGTTTCCTGAGGCCTCCCCAGCCATGTGGAACTGTGAGTCAATTAAACATCTTTCCTTTATAAATTACCCAGACTCAGGTATGTGCTTATTGGAACTCACCATATTGAGGTGCTGCTGCCACTCCCAGCTGCCACTGTCTGCATAGCTTAGCCTGAGAGAGTACTCTTGGAAGCCAGAGTGGCAGTACTGGGGAAATTAACACTGCTCCTTGCAGCTGTCAATAAATTGCTGACTTGCCCCTTGGGTGGGGTACCCCAGAGGCTCCTGTTTTACACTGTGCCCCAGAGTTCTCCCTGGCTTTAAGCCCTAGTTGTCCACAGTGGTAGCTGGCTTGGTAGCAGACCCTCTAGTGGCTTCCTTCTCTTCCCTGTCTCACTTCCTCACTCACCACTGGTTTTTTCTATATTTCTCAAATACACTACCTGTGCCTTGTCTTGGATCTGCCTCAGGGGGACCCATGGTCAAGCTGACTTACTTTGCCGTAGGTGCTCTCACATTTATTATGAGTAAATTCTTTGAGCATCATCATGCAGTAGTGATTAAAGAGGAAAGCCAGGCTCACTTCCCAGCCTTGGCCTCCACACAAGGCTTCTCCCTCCCTCCCTCCCTCCCTCTGAAGTCTGTGTGGAGTGGGGCTGCTCCCTGGCAGGGCCATGCCCCCAGGTCTTCAGGCTCTGCATCAAAAGCCCTCACAGCTTCCCTTTGCTGCCCCCAGGATATTTCAGGCTGGAGAAAAATCACTCCTAGGACTATCCTTTGCACAAATTGGTGCTGAAATACTTTAAAGGGGTTCAGCTTACCTCTCTCAGAGCTCTTCTCTGCTCTTTTTGAGGTGGCAGGAGATGAAAGAGAGTGAAACAGAACATTTGTGAGCCTCTACAATGCCAAGAAATATAGGCTTTCTGCCTCCTAAGACCAGATTCCCTTGCAACAGAGGGAGGTAATTTCCAGCTTGCTCTACAAGAAGAAATAAAGCAATCATCGTTCCATCAGTTTTCTAGTGTAGAGTTCTTTCAGGTGATTTTGCATCCAGCATTGCTGGTGTCAACAGAGCCTTAGCAGGGCTGAGCTACCTGCAAACCTTTACAAAGGATCTCGGCGGGAGCACTGGCAGGAACTCTTTTCTCAGAGTCTGCATACTCTATCAAGATCAGAACATTTTGTACATGGTTTTGGAACATGGAATGGACCCCTTCAAAGCATGCTCCTATAAGAGTGGCTTGAAAACATGGAGAAAGAAGTGCTCTTTCCAAAGTTGTTCTCTCTCCAGGGCCTGGCTCTTGACTGGCTCCAGCTGCCGACGGCACTCTCACCCCTCCATCGGCAGACGGGCTTCCCACACTCCTGCCCCTTTGCTTTTTCCAGATATAAAAGTCAAACACTCTGAGTGCAGTACCTTTTCTCTGAAAACACTTGACCCACGAGTTCCACAAACACTCTGTTTTCAAGTTGTGGAGAATGGAGGCAAAGAAGAGAGAAGCGATGTCTTTGGAATTATTCGGGGCACGGAGGGAAGGAGAGCTGCCTCAGAAAACGCTCCTTTAAGAATTAGAGAGAAAGGCTTTTATGCCACTTAGTGCTTGAAAAGAAGCACTAGAAGGGGCCAGTGTGGAGGGTGCTTGAGGATGAATTCAACAAATACTGCAGAATATAAAGTTTTTATTTTCTTTCTCTAAATTATCCTTCAGAAAATAGGGAGTTGTTTTATAGCTAGTTAATGACAATTTTTTTTGAATGCCTACTATGTGCTAGGCAATATTCTAGACTAAGGGTCAGCAAACGTTTTCTGCAATGGGTCTGGCAGTAAATATTTCAGGGTTTTTGGAGCATACAGTCTATGTAACAACTGTCTGATTCTGCCATTACAGAGTAAAAGCAGCCATTGACAATAAGTGCTGGGCCTAGCTGTGTTCCAATAAAGCTTCATTTTTAAAAACTTGTCCAGATGCAGTGGCTCATGCCTGTAATCCCAGTACTTTGGGAGGTTGAGGCAGGACGATTGCTTGAGGCCAGGAGTTCGAGACCAGCCTGGACTACATAGCAAGAACTCATCTCAAAAAAAAAAAAAAAAAATTAGCTGAGTGCAGTGGTGCATACCTGCAGTCTTAGCTACTCAGGAGGCTGAGGTGGGAGGATTGTTTGGGCCCAGAAGGTTGGGACTGCAGTGAACTATGATAGCATCACTGTACTCCAGCCTGGGCTCCAGAGCGAGACCCTGTCTCAAAACAAAACAACCTTAATTTACAAATTTGGCCCACAGGTTGTAGTTTGCTAACCCTTGCCGTAGACACTGGGGGATATATTAGTTAATGAAATAAAGCTCCTGCCTTCAAGGAACCTATATTCTGATGTAAGTGCTACTTTAAAATTGGTGTCCTTACCAATAGGTACTGTGGCTTGGGACAAATGATCCAGAGACAGCATTTATCATGGATTAAAAAAAGGACTGGATGGAAATAAAGACAGTGTGCCTTGGAAATTTATGTGAAGTGACCCAGAAAGTGATCTAAAAAGACACAGATGTTAAACATGCTTGGGGGCAGTTTGAGTGAAATGACTGCGAGTAATGTGAGACTAATAAGAAAGAAATATTTCAAAATTGATATTTCTGAATTAATTTTATAGGTATAATTTAGATATGTATGTGAATGAAAATAAAATACTACTGCTCTACGTAAAAAGTTGAGTATTTTATTCACATTCCAGAAATTGTATATTTGAGTTGACCAAAATATTTTTTGGGAGAACTTCTTTTTGGAGAAGTGGGAGGCTTCCTTCTATTTTGTTCTCCAAGCTACCATCATCTCCTCACTCCTTCACCTAGCTTTCTCCCTGCTCCCACGCCTCACAGGCAAATCTTGACAAAGCTGTCAGAGTGATTATTTAAAAATGAGGCCGGGCCCAGTGGCTCACTCCTGTAATCCCAGCGCTTTGGAAGGCTGAGATGGGCAGATCATTTGAAGTCAGGAGTTCAAGACCAGCCTGACCAACATGGTGAAACCCTGTCTCTACTAAAAATACAAAAAAAATTAGCTGGGCATGGTGGCACACACCTGTAATCTCAGCTACTTGGGAGGCTGAGGCAGGAGAATTTCTTGAACCTAGGAGGTGGAGGTTGCAGTGAGCTGAGATCATGCCACTGCATTCTAGCCTGGGTGACAGAGCGAGACTCTGTCTCAAAAAAAAAGGAAGTCAGATCATGTGGCTCTCTTGCTTAGGACACACCAATGGCTTCCTACCACATTTGGAATACCATTGAACATCCTTTCCATGGCCCACAAAGGCCAGCATGCTTAGTCCTTACCTTGCTCTCCAACCCTGTTTCCCACATCTTCTCTTCTCTTCTCCTTCCCTTTGATCCAGCCTCACTTACCTCCTTCTGGTCCTTGACTCAGGGCTTTGAATTTGCTATTCCCTGCCTCTGCATGCTCTGCATGGCTCTCCCTCAGATACACATGTGGCTGGCTTCCTCAGTTCTTCCAGGCCTCTGCTTGAACGCTACCTCCTCAGACAGGCTTCCTTGCTTGTCCTATATAAGGAAGGCCCTAGTCCCTCTCCAGCCCCTTGATCTGCTTCATTTTTCTTCATAGAACTGATTACTCTCTGACTTTATTATATATATGTTTGCACATTTGCCTGTCTCCTTCACTGGAAGGTAAGCTCCATGAGGGCTTTGCCTTTTTTTTTTTATTTAATGCTGAATTCTCAGTGCCTAGAATAGTGCCTTGCATATAGTAGATAGTCAGTATATTAGTCTGTTTTCATGCTGCTGACAAAGACATACCCGAGACTGGGCAATTTACAAAAGAAAGAGAGTTAATGGACTTATAATTCCATGTGGCTTGGAAGGCCCCACATGGCAGCAGATGAGAGAAGAGAGCTTGTGGAGGGAAACTCCCATTTTTAAAACCATCAGAATCTCCTGAGACTTATTCACTATCATGAGAACAGTACAGGAAAGAGCCACCCCTATGATTCAATTACCTCCTACCAGGTTCCTCCCACGACATGTGGGAATTGTGGGAGTTACAATTCAAGGTAAGACCATATCAGTCAATCACTATCTGGTACATGACTATATGATGTCTACTGAGCACCGGTTATGTGCTGGACATTGTTCCTGCTGCTTCTGTGTATGTGCCAACTTCTTTTTTTTTTTTTTTTTTTTTTTGAGATGGAGTCTTGCTCTGTCGCCCAGGCTGGAGTATAGTGGCACAATCTTGGCTCACTGCAACCTCCGCCTCCCGGGTTCAAGCCATTCCCCTGCCTCAGCCTCCCGAGTAGCTGGGACTACAAGCACGCACCACCATGCCTGGCTAATTTTTTTTCTTTTTTGTATTTTAGTAGAGACAGGGTTTCACCGTGTTGGCCAGGCTAGTCTTGAACTCCTGACCTCGTGATCTGCCTGCCTCGGCCTCCCAAAGTGCTGGGATTACAGGCATGAGCCACCAAGCCTGGTCTGTGCCAACTTCTTTTGCGCATGTTATTCCACGTGTGATATAGAATGAATAGATCTCACTTTGGTGCAAATAGATTGCAAACATCATCTAAGTGTATACAATCAATTAATAACATTAACTTTTATTCACTTTAGAAGTCTGTATATTGCTTTACTATGGCCTTCATTTTATCTTTGGTTAAGCCCAGCCTTTCCCAGTATCTCAGAGCTGTTTAGCCTCCTTCTTTCTCCCTAAAGGGTACAAAGAAAACATACGAGTTCTCCCTTTGTTTTCTGTCTTCCATTTGCAGATCTCTTTTTTTCAGCCCTCTCTGTAGAACTGGGATTCCTTTAATACAACTTTTAGGGATTTTCTATCAGTTTGGATGCCCAGAGCATGGTGATTCCATAGTGTCCAAGCCGAGAGTTCTAGTATGACCCTTCCCTTAATCTAAGAAACCCTTTGGATGGCTAAACTATGTTTTCTAAGCAAGGACGTGTTTTTTCTAAGCAAGGAACATTTGCTGTTCCTTTTTGCTTTAAGGCTTACACATATGGCCTGAATCCACTAAATTTTACTTCACAATTTCTTTCAGTATCTATATTGAAGTGTGCTGATCTGGAACACCTACCTGAAAGCTAAGACCTTAGCTATGAATTAACATAGTCACAGTGTTTAAAATGAGCAGATAAGGTCTTCTCTACCCTGAAGAATTGCTGGCTGGGTGACCCAGCTCTTTGCAGAGGTCACACAAGGTAGAGTGACCTTTCCATTCAATGCTCCCTTTTCTCTGCTCCTGTACTCATGCCATCCTTCATCCGGCTCTTCCCACTGGCAGCTCTTCCCATCTTACCATCGACCTTTGCCTTCTCCACGTGTTCACTTTGAATGATCACATGGCTGCTCCATTGTCTTCTCATTTCCAAGTATTGTTTTGTCACCTTTTTAGGCTGTCTCAGGTATTTCATGTGGATGCTCCGTCTTCCAAATGATGTCTCATGCTCTCTGTGTGCATCGGCATTAATCTTGGTGACAATTCCAGTGTCTGTAAAGGATTTCTTTCACCCCATGGGCCAGGCCAGATTCTAACTCTGTGGCCTTCTTTTTCATACGTCTTTGAAAGCTTTCTTTCTGAGAAGCACATTATTTTGAACTCTTTTATTCCTCCTCTAGTGTGAGCTATAATTGTTTGGAATTTCCGATCCAATTTCTTTTTCAGGTACTCTCTGCAACTGGCCTACAGGTGAGGTCATTAGCTCTTTGCACACAGGCACCACTTCTTTCCTGATTTAGCTTCTAGACGATGCATTTTCAGGTTGAAGTAAAACCATTTATGCCAACTTGCTTGTCTCTGGCTTTTGCTATAATTTTCCAAAGGAATATTTGTGCCTTGTATCCTCATCATGATAGAGTGGCTTGGGTGTAAGATGAGGAGACACAACTCTTTGGATTTTAATGTTCACTTGGTCATCGCAATTATTTGCGCTTTTTGAGAAGTAATGTTTTTGGAACTGAATTATCTTCTTAGTAAAGAGAGGGCAGCTCTGGAGTCTAAGTTAATGCACCATTAGAGGGGGCTAAGCTTGCTAAATGAAGATTCTTTCCTTTTAATTTGATTGTTACCCAGGGTCTTCCTTAAAGTATATTTAATGGTTATGAATATTGTAGCAATGGATTTCTTCAGATTTATCATAAAATGGTTGATGCTCCTTGCAAAAAATTAACACATGCAGAAATTTGAAAAGAAGTAGGAATACTAACAATAAATGGCCCATCCATAATTTTACCACCAAGAGGGAAGGCATTTTTTTCTTCTAGTCTTTTTTCTCTTCTGATGACATGGTTCAGTGCAGCCATTTTTATCAAAAGTTGGCAACTCATACAGTGATCTAGGACTATAGCAAAAGCCTTGATAACTTTGCCATTACCTGTTACTTTAAATACATATTTTAATTCAAGTCACTTCTCAGCCTTGTAGATGGAGTAGATATGAACCCTGGAAGGAATCTCATTTCCCTTCCAATCTGACTACTACTAATTGATGTATGAATCTTCCATGTTTTTCCTAGAAAGTGCCATCAAGGTTCTGCTTGCTGGACTCAGACCTTTGTTCCTGTGGTTTCTTTTGCCTGGAATAAATCCTCCCCATCTCTGCAGGTTTAAATTATCCCCCTTTTCAAGCCCCTTAGACTAAAGTCTTACTTGATCCCCTCAACATTGATATTTTTGATTTACCCTTTAATTTATACATTTATTTATTCATTTGAATAGTGCAATACCCTGAGCCTAGAATACCCTATTTCTGAAATCTTGATGGTTACATTTTCTATTTCAAAGATAATAGCAGCTTTTTTATTTTTCAGAGATAGAGATCTTGTATTGTGGGAAATGGAAGGACTATTCTCTCCTCTTTATGCATGGGAGACTCACATTTCAATATGTCTTTGGTTATGCAAATGTAAAGTACAGATCCTAGTCTGGAAAGGAGAGTTTGAAACTATGAGGAAGGAGCCAAATTCAAATGGTGGAAAGTGTTGTACACTGTAGGAGTTGCCTCTCTGCAGGGATTGTTTTGGTACTGACTGGAAGACAAAGGGGAAATTTACTCTTCTAGATGCAGAGAGGGGTTGTCAGGCATTAGTCTCATGGTGGGGAACTTCTGTTCATGGAGGTGGTAAATTGGCTTTGAAACATGGTGGCATGTATGAGAGGAAACTAAGGGAGAGATACCTTCAGAGGCATAACTCTATGGACTCTGGGAGCAGTGGTCTCACACCAAGTTTTGTGGGTTCTCCCTGTGTTGTAACTCCCCTTTGTCCTCCTCAAATTTTCAGTAAGTTCTGTTGAACACCATAGTCTGCCTAAGGCTGTGTATTGGGAAATTAAGGGAGGGTCAGCATCCTCACTGGGGAAGAATTGGGACTGAGAATGCTCAGGTGGACTGGAAAAGCTGGCTAAGCCAAGTGGTGATGCACAGAGGCCTAGCATAGTAATCCAGATCTAGATGTGACAAAAGTGACAGCCAAGATGACCTCTGGGGGGCAAATACATCCCTCAGGTACTTCGAAAATACCTGGGGAGGAAAATCTGGCTAAAGACTTTGCAGGAAGTAGGATACAGTAAAACAAGGAGCCCATACCATTGTTTCTTAGCTTGTGAAGGAAAGGGTAATCCCAGGGCTAGAGAACTGAAGACTGATGGGCTGTACATGGACTCAACAAATATTTGTTGAGCACCTACTCTGTGCCTGGCACAGCGCTAGGTACTGGGGATACAAAGATATCAAAGAAATGCTCTGTCCTGATACAACTCATTATAACATGTACTGGATTTTCTTGGTGGTAGCATGGAAATACAAGGCAAATGTTGTAGTAGAGATGCATACATGACACCAATTGAGTATGAAGAATGGGGTGTCTGACTCTGCCTAAAAGTGTGGAAAAGACAAAGGAACAGCTCCAGGAGGAGGTATAAGTTGAGTGTTAAAGGGTTAATGAGAGTTTAGATAAGATGGGGGAATACATTTCAGGCCAAGAGAAGAACATGAGCTTATAGAGAGGTGTGAAAGAGCATGGGTTTGGGGCCAAGTAGAGTACCTTAGCAGAAAGGAAGGGCAGAAGGACTGGTTAGAATGGGGAACTTGGGGCAGTGTCAGGTGAGAGAAGACAAGGTTTATATGATGAACTGAAGTTTTCGGATTTTATGCACCTGGTGGGGTATGAATGTAAAAAAAAAAAACATGTCAAAGAATTACATGATCAACTATGCCTGTAAAAATAAATTATTCTGTGCCACTGTAAAGGATATGCTAGGTTGGACTCCCTAGAAACAGAGCCTGAGATGGGGATTCTTGTGAAAATGACTAATTGAAGGAGTGTTATTAGGGAAAAAAAAAGAGAGTGAGGGAAGTGGGACAGGGCACGGGCAGAAGCTGGGAAAGGATGTGATTTAAGGAAGAGTCTAGGCTCAGTTGGATCTCAAGAGGAGCTCTGAGTGTGAATTATACCACAGAGACTGTCCTTGCTGCCCCCAAGGGGAGGATGGGGTCCCAGACATCTCCAGGTAAGATGGCTCCACCAGCTGCAGACAGTCCTCCAGAAAAGGGTGTAAGTGTGAGGGGTTAGCAGCCCAAACCTGTAGTGTCTGGGGCATAAATGCATTGAAAGCATCAGCTAATAAAGGGTGCCTGGGCAGGGCTCCAAAAGCGTAGGCTATAGAGGATGAATCAGAATCATCTCACTGGAAGTGGAGGGACTATAAGGAGTTGCCAGGAAAAGCGTGATGTATGGTGATGGAGAGAAGGGGGTAGATTTAAGAGAGATCTGTGAGGTAGAATTGATGGAATTTGGTGATTAGTTTGGATACGACAGTGGTAGGGGAGAGAGGGGATTCCAGGTGCACCTCAGTTTGGGATCTGGGCGGCTGGGTGCCTATTGCCTAGGAACTGTTTTTTCATGTAGGGGTTTAGGTGAGGAATAGATTTGTGAGCAATGTTGTTGAATTTGGATTTGCTTTCCTCAAATTGGGGTTCCTTGCCAAACACCCAGGGACTGATGGTCAGAGGACAGGTAGAAATCCATTGCTGTGGCTCAGAGGAGAGAGCTGAGCTGGAGAGTTTTAGACATCATTGAAGAGTCTGGCAATCAAAGCTGAAGGGTTGACGAGATCACCCAGGGAGAGGAAGACAATATAGACCATGCTTAAGACAACTCCTGTGGTACCTTATACCCAGCAGAAGCTTAGTACATGTTGAATTGAATTGCTTATATTAATAAGGTGCTCTTTCTAGCTCCCAAACCCAGTTCCCCATCAGATGTCACTGACAAAAAAATTAGTGGGCTAAAAATGACATTGATTGTACTTTTTGAAATTGTGACATGGAGATTCATTCAATGAGAGACATCAGTAGACCCTGGGTTTCCTCTTTCTACTCCCAGCCTGAGCTTTCAGCCAGGGGTCTCACCAACCTATCCCCTCTTCTCAGGGCTGGCTATGTGGGATTCCAAAAGGGGTGTGCAGGTGTCCCAGGGACCTTCTTTCTCCAGGCACTTCTGAGTGAACCTGAGATAAGCAAGAGACGCACAAACAGACCTGTAAAAACAGCAGGGCAATACTTTTATCCACACAACACTAGGTGCCTTGCCCCTGGGGATAGTAGGAATGGAGAAATCTCCTTTATTATCAACATCTTTGTGGTCACTCACCTTGTGAATTCCCAGAGGACTTTTGGCACCACCAGGCTGTCCTATGGTAAATCAAATGGGTGTAAGGCAAAAAACATTTGGGCTTCAAATGAACTTGAGGTCCCATATTTTTGAGTTGCCAAGTAAATGTGGAAATGGCAGAAGGGAAAGGCCCTGCCAACACCACATGTTTGGGCTGTGGAGGGGACCGTGGTGACTCAAAAGCCTTCTTTTTCTAGTGTATACCAGACTGCCCCTACTCATTGCCCACCTGAGAAGTGCTGTTGCCTTTAACTTCTAATGGATCAAGTAGTGCTCCTGGAGGGGTGTAATGGGAAAACACACATTCTCGGCATGTTAAATGTTACATGGCTCCACCTCAGGGAGCTGACAGATGGTGATTTATTCCACAAAATATTGACGTGCTCTGCAGAAGTACCCTGTTATTGAGACATTTTGGCAGACCTAGTATTTCCAACTCTGTGCAGCTGAAACATTTTCCATGACATTCCTAAGCTTTGCCACTCTTCTGTGCAAAAATGGCATTTTAAGACTTTATTGAGGTGTCATTTACATATGGTAAATTTGGTGATTCTAAGCATACAGTTTGATGGACTCCCCACATCAAAACACAGAACCACTCCATTACCCTCAAAAATTTCCTTCTTTCTCTTTCACGTCAATCCCCTCCCCTGACCATCAGTCCCAGGCAACCACTGATCTTCTTTCTGTCACTACACTTCCATCTTTTTGAGAATTAAAAATGGAAAATATAAATCCCAGCACTTTGGGAGGCCAAGGTGGGCGGATCACCTGAGGTCAGGAGTTCGAGACTGGCCTGACCAACATGGCAAAACCCCGTCTCTACTAAAAGTACAAAAATTAACCGGGTGTGGTGGCAGGTGCTTGTAATCCCAGCTACTCAGGAGGCTGAGGCAGGAGAATTGCTTGAACATGGGAGGCGGAGATTGCAGTGAGCTGAGATTGCGCCTGTGCACTCCAGCCTAGGCGACAAGAGCCAGTCTCCATCTAAAAAAAAAAAAAGGCAAATATGAAGGAATAACTTATCCTCTGTTCAGTTAGGTAAAATATTAACATGATTAATCTTAAAAAAATCTACAGATGGACAGGATTTTATATGCTTATATGGATTATATCTTTCAAAAAGTAAACAGAGGGAGAATAGCTCATTCAATAGGACATGGCTTTTGGTCACCTGAGGAGCAGTTCTTCCTGTACCCCTAAAGTCAAGTAGACAACTTAGGTTATTATTAGGATAATTCAGATCAAACATATTTAGATCATTTGGCTTTTGTTGATTTTTGTGGATTTGGAATTTCTGGCTGATTAGATTTATTTGCTTAATGAAAGTCGGTGTAATAACTTGTCTTAGGGTTCTCAGGGCCTAGGGAGGGTGATTATTAACCAAATACACAAGCTGGAGATGGAAATATAGTCAGGTCCCAGCTTAGATCTTGAGGGTTGGAATGTCTCTTAGAAACAGCTGCCTGGTTGCATGGCATGGTGGCCGCAGGACCTCTCTTCCTTCCTCATTCACTTGACCCTTTGTCGTGCAATTGACTTGTCTCATTCCCACCCATTCCTGTGTCAGCCATCACCCAGGGTAGGGGGGCATGTGCATAGCAGGATAGGGGGGAAGAAGGAACAGGTAATGAGAAGGTGGCTTTCACTGCTGAGGCTCACTGTTGTGGGCCTCTCAGTTTTCATCCCTTCTCCTGGAAGTTTCTCAGGTTCCCTTTGGTTTTCCACTCCAGGGCTCTGCCCCTGCCCCAGGCTGAGCTCCTGTGGTACAATACCCAGAAAAGTTTAAATCTTGGCACTCTCTTCTCTTTGAGAATGCAGAGATTTTTACTTGTCTTAAATCTAGTGAAGGAGGGTAGGGAGGAGAAGAAAGAATGGATTTGTTATGCATGGTTTTGAGGTAGGCACTGGGCTTCATGCTTTCATATGATATCTCTAAATAAAAATAATCTCTATTTGCACTAGCAATATGAGACAAAGTAGCTACTATTTATTGAGTGCCTAGCACTGTGCTGGGTTTTGTTGCTTTTCTTTGTGGATGGTAAAACAAAACAGAAGGTCAGAAGGTGACTTGCCTGGGGTCACACAGCTGGTAAGTGATGTCTGTTTTCCATCTCTTTCTCAGTGGATCTGGTAGAGTAGAGACCTTGCTTGGAAGCTGTAGAGGGTGGCAATGGAGAGGGCCAATCTCTGGAGTCTAAGGAATTCCAGAAAGAAGGTGATCGGGATTGTCTGCCTGTTTGTGTGAGGATTTGCAGTGACAGTGCGAGGAGGCAGCTATATCTCCTCCACTTTTCGCCCCCTGTGGAACCTGTTTTTGACCCTCACATTCTCTTGACTTCTGTCTCATTCCCTATCCTGGGAGCCAGTGTTTTGGAGCTGGGGGAGGTGAATTTCCAGTCCCATGAGTTGGCAAGTGGGGAAGGGAGTTCCAATCTCACTGCTTCTGAGGACACTATGTTTCTTGGAACACAGTGGAACCCTGACTCAATTTTCCCAGGGCACCCTCCATAGATGTGGTTATTACCGGACTCTCCAGCACTCAGTGTCTGATTTCTGCTCTGTTGGCTTGCACCACGGGGGGTGTTCACACCCCACCTGGGTGTTTGCTTGTACCCTGTTGACTTCATTTGCTATAAATGCAACCTGGATCATGTGAATCCTGAAACATTTCTTACTTTGGTTCCTTTCAATGGCAGAGCTAGATTAACCCAATCTACATGGGGGTGGTGTAGAAAGAGTTACCATCTAACCTGACTCATGTCTGATCATTTCCTGAGTTTGTGAAGCACAACTGATTGCATAGCAATTCTCACCTGTGACTTGGTGCTGCATCAGACTGGGGCTTCTAACATGTTAGAATGACAGGTTGATAGAAGCTGTGTAGGCTGGAAAGCGCTTTGTCCTGCTCTCACGCTTTCCTCTGTGGTATGTCGGAGCTTAGAAATGGGGAGGAGGTAAGACAACCTGCAGAGACGCACAGCCCTGCTAACTATCCCTTCTTGCCCTCCTCTTCCCTTGTGGCACAGATTTTGGGATAATGGAAGGATGGGGGCCTGAACAGTGGAGTGTATGACATGGTTTCTGAATGCTGGGGCACTTGTATTATCTGGCCCTTATGCATTTCCATATATTGGTTTCTCTTGGTTGTAGTTTAGAGAAATTTATCACCAGACTCTTGGAGGCTTCTCTAGCACTCCCTGGGGGCAGCCACTCTTCCAAGTGACTCCTACCCTCTTTCGTTGGTGGGTTCCTGTGCTGGTGCTAGGAACTGGGTGAGGGTGAGGCAAGCAAGATAACAAGCGTGCAAAATTCAAGGGTGTACGCACTTCCAGGGACGTGCAAGTATAGAGTCGGCACTTGCTTGACCCAGAGAATGTGTTCTTTCTTAAATTTTGTATCCTTACTTGCCTCACCATAGGCCCAGCTTTGCTGGGAACTTATAAATCATAGAAATGACCCTCTGAAAAGGCACACATTTCATTGAGACAGGGAGAGGGACCATAGAACTTTACGCCTTTGACAAAGCTGGCCTGTTTCTCTTGTCATTGGCATGGAAAATAAACTGTAATCATCTGTCTCTGGTCTGATTTGAACATATTAGTTTTCCTGAGGGACATGTCAGCAGGTATAACCCACATGCCAGGGACTGGGGAGATAGCAGCAACGATGCTAATTTGAAAATACTTCTGTGGCACTTAGCAGGGTGTGATTTTAATTCATTTTTTGTCCCTTGATAATCATAAAGTGCTTTCAGCCTGTGAATATCCATTTTTGACCAGCATGCTCATACTTCATCTGGGGACCGCATTTAATGGCTGTGTTGATGATGGGGTTCACAGGGGAATTGTGTAAAGTACAGATATTTGCTTTGTGGAGAGAAACACAACTGATACTAACTCACATGGCTATTCTGTAGAGTGAGTTGTAGATCTGACTGCTTGCCTCTATGTGAATGTTGTTTGTGCACACAGAGAGCTAATATTTGCATAGCACTTTAGGTTTGTCCCAGGTTTTATTAACATTGTATCATTTAGTTCTTGAAATAATCCTGTTAAATTCATTGAAGCTGCTTAATATAATGGGAAGTACCTAAGCAATGCCATAATGTTTGAATTCTGCCTTTCCTGTTTAACTGGCTGTGTGACCTTGAATAAGTTACTCTATGGCTGAGCCTCAGTTTCCTCAACTGTAAAATGAAGATAATGATGCCCACCCTATAGGACTGTTTGGAGGATTAAGTGAGTATACACAGTGCCTGAGTGCCTGGCACAGGATACGGTACACAGTGGGAACTCAATAGGTGTTGTTTCTTTCCTTCCCCTGGCCCAAATTGGGGTTCATGCTCTTTTCACTACAGCCCTGCTGTCCTGTCTTGACAGCACTGCAGATGCGTCAGCTCTGTGACAGTGTTGGTGGATGGAGTCACAGAGGGAGAAAACTGGCCATCTCTGAGTGTTGAGGGGCTGATTGTTCTCCTGCAAGCCCGGGTATGGCAAGATGGCCCCTCTCAACTAGACACAAGCTCATCTTGCCAATAACGCAGGGTAAAGGGTGTTACCTGAGATTCTTAGATTGAGGTCCAGAGGGCTTGGGAGGAGAAGTTGGCCAGGCCAGGGCACTCCCCTGAGTTGTACCCTTGGGCACTCTCCCTCCTTCCATCTAGCTAGTGCCTGTGTCAGGCCCACCTAGAGGAGAGACAGATTGGGGTCTTATCGTTTCCTGCAGCCCCCTCATAATTCCTTGTGGTTCATCTCTCTGAGTGGACAGTCTCTATTTTTCTTTCTTCTCCCCCCACCTGTTTCTATCCATCTTCCTGCTTGCTACCTGGTATTAGGGAACTTCCAGCTACTTCCTGAGAGTCTAGGGACTTTGCACTGGTGGTTTGCCACCTACCAGAATTTATAGGAATATGAAGCTAGCTCTATGTTTCTCTTGTCTCATTGCCTCATTTGGGGCTGAGTTAGCAAATTGACAGCTGTCCAGAAAAGACACTGGAGATTCTATTCTTCAAGCCAAAGGAATGTCAAACAGTCAGAACCCTCAGCTCTGTCTCAGGACAATAAGTGTTGATTGCTTAGATTGAAAGAGCTTTTCTCATGCCTTAAGCAGACCAGTCCTGGCTCTGGGACGATTGGGCTTGGAGTCAGAGGATTGGAGTGTCTATCTTGGCTCTGCCATTTGCTAGCTTGGAACAGCCAGTTATCCTATTGAAGTCTCAGTTTTCCTGTTATGTAAAATGGGAAGGTTAACAACAGCCCAACAAGATTTTTTATGTATAAAGAAAACAAGTAGATGAAAAGGCTTTAGCATGGTAGCAGCAGAAGATATAATTATTATGGGCCATTGCCAGCTCCCTCAATCATCTTCATGCTTAAAGGGTGAATTTCAGTCAGATTACTTCCGGTCCACATTTTCCTGGATGCGGAAGTTCTTTCCTGTCTCCAGGAATTCTGATGGAATACGTAGGATCATCTATTACATTCAGCAGGAGAGTGAAAATCTGACCACGGCCACATATGTGCTTCTTACCTCTGCGGGCTGTGCCCTAAGCCAAGGCTCATATCGGGGGCTGGCCATGGGAGCCTGCCTGGAAGTGTGAACATGGCATTCTCTTGGGCTTGCAGGGTCTCTGCAATGGGGGCTGCAGAATGTGGGGCTGGAGTGGATGGACAGACTGTTAGCATAACGAGTTCAGAGAGACATTATGGGTAGTGACAATACCACTGTGAGTCTGGATTTATTCGCTGTAGGTCTGCAGCCCCACCAGCTGCCACTGAGAACCTACTAGGCAGGGCTCTGAAAGGTTTTTATTAATGAATTTGTCCAATGACTGAAGAGCTGCAGGTCATGCTATTCAAAGTGTATTGCTCCAAACTGGTAAAAGCCTAGCTGTCATGGGCAGAGAATCCAGTCAGACCTCTTCTCTCTTCTATGACATCACCTCACTCTTTCCTTCTTATCCTCTCCACTCATGCCATCATCCTCTGGAACTCTCTTCTCCCTCTCTAATGACTGCAGCTGCTCATGGCACCTCGGGGGAGGACATAGGAAGTAGCCTTCTTTGCTGCCAAATCCAACCTCTGGGTTATTTATTATTTCAGAAGATACCTTGCTATTAAAGCACTAAGGCTCATGTTTTCCCTTTTCCTTAAGGAACAAATTCCATCACAGTCAAGGCCACACAATTAGGTGTACAGAAGCAGAGCCAACGCCTGATAAGACGGACCCTTCATTTAGTGAGAGTTCTGACAGCTGCCCGTGATTGCTTCTGCAGCAGCCAGTGCAGCAGTCTGATTTGTCTCTCTCCCTTCCTTTCCCTCCCTCCCTCCCTCCTCCCCTCCCCTTCCTCCATCTCTCTATTTCTCTCTCTCCTTCCCTCAATCCCTCCCTCCGTCTTTTTTCCTACCAGCAGACATCTCTTTTAAGCATTGGAGACAACATTTTTGGAAAAATCTAAATAAATAGCAAGAGGGGATGTCCTTTTCCTTCTGTAAACATAAAATGATTTAAATAAGGGTCTTTTAAGAAGACGAAATGATAAAATAATGCAGTTTTATCCATTATATTACATCTTAAACTGCGCTTGGCGAAAACTACTAGAGTATTTGGAGAAGAAGTCACGATTTTCCTCCATAGTATTAAGTACAATCTTCAGAATACAGGGGTTATTCGTCTTTTTTTTTTTTTTTTTTTTTCATTTTTTTCCCCTCAAGAGTGTTACAGTGCTTATAGCATGGCTAAAACAGCAAAGAACTCTCTGGCTTCCTCTCCCAGGGGGCTGTTTCTAGACCCCACCTTGACCTCTACGTGATTTCCATGGCTGCTCTGAGGCCTTAATGACTGGTCATCCAGGAAAGGGTCAATCAAGTCTCATGCTGTTGTGGGGGTAAAAGGACAAGCTGGGAAGCCATTTGTATCATTTTACAGAGAAAAGGGTTAAAGATGGCAAAGTATGAGGGCTTTTTAAAGACAGCTCCAGGGAACATTAGGACATTAGGGCCTATAAGTATCTGGCCTGGCCAATGACTTGAAACCTCACTAGATACCATCCCTTGTCTCACGACAAAGCCCCGTCTGCAAGCACCCCGTTTAAAGTCATTATCCTGGGCCTTGTATTTTTCATCCACCCTTGCTCTTTGTGTCACCCTATTCCTACGCTTATGCAGCTCCTGACCTTTTCTTAGCTTTCCTTTGCATTTGTGTACCAGTCGATGGATACGGCTTCCCTGGTTTTGACCTTTGGCCCTGCTAGAACTGGGCTTGTCCTCTGGGTCTGCCTCTTGCCGGTGTTTCTAATCACAAGTGGGTCCAAGACTCTGTTAGTGTCTGTCCAGTCTGCCCTGATTTCCCTGACAGGCAGGCTGAACAGTAGTGCCTCCTTCTACTTTGTGTTTATATGTGTGTGTGTGTTTGTGTGTGGTGACAGGTGACCTGCTCATATGAAAGTCTTCAGGGGGTATTTCAACAGTGAACAATATTAGCCTGGGTGACTGCTCTTCCATATTCCAGTTCACCTTCTATTTGTGTTGTGTTTAAGCCATGCACAACACATGGGATGTGTAACTTCTAGCTCTGCCAGTATCATTTTGTCTGGCCATAGTTGCTAGGTGAGATCTAGCTACTCCGACATCAAACTCAACCCAAATCACAGTCTCCTTGAATTTTGTGCCTTCCTCTTAGGATTTCTGCAAGGGGCTCTTGATTAATCAGCGAGGTGTTTGTAAAGCTGAGATCTCTCATTGCAGACGTGACAAGCCATAATTCCTAATAACGGAGCTACCTTTCTCCAGTTGTCTCATCCTGAGTGAAGGGGCTCTGTTGTGATTTATTGCCTTGCTGCAAAAGCTTTGATAAGTGGCCACCAAATGGCTCCTCATTACTCAAAACTCCTCCAATTCTTTAAACTAAAGTCCTATCCAAACCTCACACAAACCACTTGTGTTGTGGGGGAAATGAATCAGGGACCTTCTCACTAAACTATTTTGGCATAAAAAAAATCATAAACGAGAGAGGAGAAAATCTTGTTTGCTAAAGGGCTGCTGGGTGAACTGCCTCTTGGCCTTTCGATAGCATCTTTGAAATGGAAATGGCCAGCTGCCTGACCTTCTGTTCAGTGACCCTTTTTGTACAAAGTCAAATTGCAGCCGCCTCACAGCAGCAATTCACCTATGGACACAAACAGGATTTCCATTTTTTTCTAACCTTTTTTTTTTCCTGGTGCATTTGTTACCGTGAACATTTTTTTACTAGTTACATAAAAGACATCATGCTTAAAAAAAGAGACCCTTTACATCAAAAGGATTGTAACTCATAATGATTTCAAAATACTAGGGAAGTGTCTGTCTTTAATTCTGCACTCTATCCTATTTTAAAAATGTATTGTAATGTGAAAAGGCCTGAGAAAAGACGATATTCTTGAACAGAGTATGGGGTTGTTAATGTCCCTACTCTCTTCTTGATTGGTTGAGGGGAAAAAAGTCTTGATTGTATTAAGAAGGGGGAAATAATCCCCACCTTACTGTGAACAAAAAGAGAAAAAGAAAGGCAAGTTCTGTTTATACGATTATGGTGAATCCCAGTTAATACATAAATACCTTTATGTTCTCTCTGTGGAGCAATTCTAAATTGGAATTAGGAATCTGTTCTAAAAAGGAATTAGAACCTGGCTATACTGCCCTTTCGGACCCTGTTGAAGCTTTTGACACCCCTCCCCACCCCCACCATCCTCCTGCTGGTCCCTCTTCCTTCTCTTTCTGCTCTGATCGGGCAGGGCAGAACATCTTACTGAAGGCCGAGCATCAACACATTGTTTGGCTTGGAGAGTGCTCAGGATGCGTGCCCTACAGACTCTGCTAGGTGTTCAGGTGCTGCTCTCCTTCTGATGCTGCTGCTTTGCTGGGGCTGCAGGCCAGTGTGGAGAGAGAGGCCTGCCTCCCACCCCATAGCTCACACCCCACACGTGGGTGCCTGTTCTTCACGGGATGGATGGGATTGGGCAGATGCTCACTCAGTGGCAAAGGGAAAACGACTCTTTCCTTGCCAAAGAAGCTAGAGACATGGCTCATTAAGTTTTCATGGTAATGGATATTGAGATTCTGATTCACAGAATAACCCTGCAAGGCTGCATGCAGAGAGTGAAAGGGGCAGATTCTGGGGATGGGCAATCTTAAATTTGGATCCTGGCTTGGCCACTTCCTAGTAAGCTGTATGACTGTGGATACATTATTTAATGTCTTGAAGCCTCCTTCTCGTCGTGAGTAAACTGAAGGCTAATACTGTCTCCTGGGGCTGATGTGAAGATGAGATGAAATGATGTATGGGAAATTGCTCAGCCCAGAGCTTGGTGCATAGTCAGCACTCAGCGAACATTTCTTCTTTCTCCTTCCCACTTCACAGGTGAGGAAATGAAGGAAATGGCCAGATTGGGATTTGATCCAAGATTTTCTTTTCTTTTTTTTTTTTCAGACTCCAAGTTCATGGTCTCACAGATTCTCCCTGTGTAAATGGGGATCCAATGATGTTAGTTAGTTACTCCTTATGAAATTTTCATCAAGACTTTAGTTTCAAAGAAGTGCCTTCTGATTTGTTACTGGCTAAAATCAAACAAATAATGATTATAAACATGCAGACAAAAGGAAAAAGTGAAAAAATTCTGTTCTATCACCTGCTTCTTGTGGGGACCATTTCTCTACTGTACTGGGTTCACACCCTATCAAAAAATAATTTAAAAAACCCTGGAACAAATTAAAGAACACTGAAAAATATTCCTTCTTTTCTACTAATCCTTAAGCCTATCACTTTAATCCAACACTTGATCATTTACAAATAGCAATATGCTAGTTGGATATCTAGTCTTATTGAATTCAAACCTGTTTTCATGAGTCACAATCAAAGCATATGTGATCATTTAAATTCTTTTACTAATAACGTATCATAAAAATTTTTTTTACATTGCTGTCTAGGCCTCATAATTTTAATTTTCATGGCTGTGAAATGTCACATTCATTTTTTGTTATCAAACTTACCCATTTTGGCCTTAAATTTGTGTAGGCAATGCAAGCCTAAGGAGAAGTTTAAGAATGCTTGTGTGGTGTGGTGAACACTCCAATTTGCCTTTAGTCATAACTTAAATGATAGTATATAAGTAATCCAGAGTCCCATGTAGGGGGCTGAAGAAACAAAGAATATGAAGTTTGTGCAAAACACAAACTAGAGCAGCAAGTTTAAGCTTTGGGAAGCCCCACTTAATCTTTTCCTTTGCTCTTATTTTTAATTCAGTTTCTTTTTTTAGCTGACTCCAGGCAGAATAGCAATAAAGACTCCTTGCCTACTGTGGTTCATCAGAGGTACCTAGTGTCACAAATTCTGTTTTCATCCTTATAACCCGATATCAAAGGGGCTCAAATACATTGGGCTGTTCCTGATAGAGATCTGAACTTCCAGAGGCCTCTCTGAACTAAATCTATGACCCTCGTGTGACAGGGCCATTGTTACTTGTGGAACACAATCTTTCTGATCCTATGTGAGGGAGCATGTTCCTTGCAGAAAGCAGGTAGGAGTCAAACCTTTTGTGTGCTCTTGCCCTCCATGAAAATCAAATCCTTGTGGCTACTTGAGCTTCTAAACTTCAGGCTTCATGAAGACAAATCACTTGATGAAAGTGAATTCTTATGCGGATCTTTGGAAAGTATCTTTAGAAAGCTGGAAAAAGTTTTCGAATTCCTACAAATATGATTTAATTTTCTAAACTTTATATTTCACTTGCACAGTCAAGTCCTTTGTCCAGTCCTTGGACTAACTAAGGTCCGAATTTATACCAACTTTCTCTTTGGCCTTGTGCCTGGCAGTAGGTACTGTGTGTTTGTTGAATGAGTGTGTGTTTGTTGAATGAATGAATGAAACCTGAAGTCTGAACAGAGGTTAAACTCATGGGTTTGCTAATAACACTTCCATTTACTTTCCATGAGTGATTGTAGATTTTAAAAATGTTGAAAAATGCAAGTGCTAAGAAGTTTTGGGAGTGTATAGATTTAGGTCCTTGTCTTGCAACTAACTCCCATTGTAAACTTGGACAAGTCATTTCACTTCTAAGGGCCTCAACTTTTGTATCTGTAAAATGAGGCCCGCAAAGTGTTAGTGGGTAGGGTGATTATCCAGGTGTCCTTTATCCGAGGTTAGCACCTTGTCTTTCTAGCTTGCTGCATCCCAGTATATCTCCACATGGCCAGAGAGCAGCGTTCTCTTAGGCCTAGCCTTCTACGATTCAAGGACCAATTACTTAGCATCCAGACTCTGTGCAAAAGTAGCAAGAACAAGTGTTCTCAGTGTAGGCATTTGGGTAGGTGTCAGCACTGCTGTGGATTTTATGTGTTTAAGCTGGACTCAGAAGATCCGCTGGAATTCTCTTCTCTTGGTGATCTCAGGGAGGGGGGCTTTTGGGAGTATACGTCGGTTCAAGCATTGGTTAAATATGCAAGCATGACTGATTTTGGACTTCATTATTTCATATTTAGTTTTCATTCTTGCTATTGTATATTTAACTGACTAACCCTTTTACTTGGATCTACAGATTTTCCCCCACAGAAAAACAAAATAAAAAGTATGTGGTCTTCTTTGGTGTTTATTGTCTTAGCAAATGCTACCACTATTCACCCAGAAGGCTACGCCAAAACTCCAGGAGTCATCTTTGACCTTACCCTAAATTCATCACCAAGTCCTCCTCAGTGTAGCCTTTTATATATTTCTGATTTCTCTCTGCTTCTTTCAGGCTCCAAAGTTGCCTCACTAGTCTGAGTCACCATGACTTTTTCCCTAAGCACTATAGTAGCTTCCTAACTGGTCCTCTCCTCTCCACCCTTGTCCTTACTGGTCACTGATACATTTTTGCCATAGGAGATTCAGTTGACGTGTCTTCCAGTTTGGAAATTAATCACATCTCCCATCCTGCTTGATCCTTTGTATGGTCAACCATGGCATTTTGGACAATGACCACAATTCTTAACATCTTCTAAAAGCCTTAAGTGGTGTGGCCCTTGCCTGTCAACACTGTGAGCTCCATGCTTGGTCCTCACGGATCTTCTCTGATGCTCATCTTTTCTTCTTGAGGAGAGAGAGCACTCCCATCTTTGCCCATGTCTCAGCCCAAGTTCTCTCTCTTCAGGGAAGCCTTGCCTGATTCCCCTCAATCTAAATATGTCCCCATGACCTAAGCTTTCATAGGCACATGGGCTTTTCTTCTGAAGAACAGAAGATGAAGAAACTGAGACTTAGAGGATTTAGTTAATGTGTCCAAAGTTAAACAGCTAATAAACAGTGAACCTGAGATCCAAGGTCCCAAGACCAATAATGACAGATCCAGGATTCAGAACTGTATTTGATTCTAAACTCTCTGCTGCTGACTACTATGCCAGAGATGGGAAATAGGTTTTTACCTCACATGGTAATTTTGATGAGCAGTGCTGCCTATAGTGACATGATGAAAAGGATTTCTGAGGTTGCATCCTTGCTCAGTGGAAAAGTATACCATGTTTAATTAGTGATGCCTGTCGCAGGTGAAGGACTGGAGAAGGAAGGTAGACCAGGCAGGTAATTGGCCCATGCAAATGCTATAATGCACAATGTTATAGTGCCCATTTGATTAAAAAAAATCAAGAACAGAACCTCCTTATAGGTCAGAAGCATGAGGAGCAGAACCCAGGACCCCTTAAGAAGGGATGGAGAGCCTGACCATTGGGCTCTTGAAGGATGCTATGTCAAGCAGTTGTGAAAATCACTCCCCATCATCTTTTTTTTTTTTTTTTTTTCCAGACGGAGTCTCGCTCTATACCCCAGGCCTGGAGTGCAATGGCGCAATGTCAGCTCACTGCAACCTCTGCCTCCCGGGTTCAAGTGATTCTCCTGCCTCAGCCTCCCAAGTAGCTGGGATTACAGGTGCCCATCACCACTCCCAGCTAATTTTTGTATTTTTTTAGTAGAGACAGGGTTTCGCCATGTTGGCCAGGGCGGTCTCAAACTCCTGACCTCAGGTGATCCGCCAGCCTCAGCCTCCCAAAGTGCTGGGATTACAGACATAAGCCACTGCACCTGGCCTCCCCATCTCTTTATAGGCCTCTTTACCTCCCTGCTATGAAGAAAGCTTTGATCGACATGTCAATGTGTACTCTTGTAGCAGGAAGCCAGGACTGGCAGAAGCAGATGGTAGAGATAGGAGTTCAGTCCAAACTTTCTCAAGTTCACACCCCCATGATGCCTTTTAACATAGTATATTGGAAAACTCAACTTACTTTCTGCAAAAAGATTCCAGGAAGGTGTGAAGGTGGAGGTTGGTGTGGGGTGAGGATTTTTCTCTCACATGTCAGGATCAGATGTCCAGCTTCTAGCCATGTTCTGAAGTCCACGTGGCTAACATCTCTTTGAAGATCTGGGGTTTGTCTTATACACCTCTGAAGCTGCCCTGTAGTACCCAACACAGGGCTTCACCCATTAGTTCATGGTGGTTGAATCCATTTTACTTGTGGAAGGTCCCAACTTTCCCAAGGCAAAAGGCATTGCCTTATTCTCCATCTAATGAGTTCTTTTCTGTGTCCTTGTCTGGGCACATGGTCTGGCACTGGGTTATTGTGCTGAAGGTTTAAGCAGCTTTCTTGCTACGGCAACATAGAGTTTACTTTCATCTTGGGCAGGAGAGTGCACCAGGCTTATACAAGCATACCAGCTTACCTCAACTCTCAGAAGGCATATGCAATTGGATCTATTTCCCTTCCTGTGGTCCTTGTCTCCTGATTTCCAGAAGAAAGGGACAGAGGCTGTAGCATTTCAGTATTCTGGTTTATGGTTCTGGATTCTGGGTTTCTAGTTGAGGATTCTAGCTGGTGAGTGTTTGAGTTCTTGCCTGTGACTCTTTAAATCCCTTTTGCTTCCACACTGGCATGCTGACTTCTAGTCAATATCCAGGGCAGATATTTTGATTCCATTCCAAATCTGTTTCTCCCTTAGTTTTCCTTTCTTAGTATTATCAGATCAAAAATCTGTTTTTCCTTCAAATTTCCATCAACATCTAGTCCATCAACAAACCTGTCAGTTCTACCTTCAAAACATTCTCCAATTCTGCTCCTGTCTCCCCTACCCCAACCACTGCCATCTCAGTGCTGGATTCCTTGATTTCCTAACTAGACTAACAGTAGCTTCCTCACTTATTTCTCTACTTCTACCTTCAACTGTCTCTATTTCACTTTCATACAGCTTCCAGAATGATCTTTATTAAAAAATACTTAATTTTGCCTTTCTGCACTACTCACAGAGGGGTCAAAATGGCATTGTTCTGGATTCCTGTCGTAACTTAAAGGGAAACTTTCACAATGTCTGGAGCCCTTGATGCCCTGCAAATGAAGGAGGAGGATGTCCTTGCAGCAGGAACCAACTTAGGTGGCACCAATCTTGACTTCCAGATGGAATGGTACATCTGTAAAAGGAAAAGTGATGGCATCCACATCATAAATCTGAAGAGGACCTGGGAGAAGCTTCTGCTGTCAGCTCGTGCCATTGTTGCCATTGAAAACCCTGCTGATGTCAGTGTCATATCCTCCAGGAATACTGGCCAGAGGGCCATGCTGAAGTTTGTTGCTGCCACAGGAGACACTCCAATTGCTGGCTGCTTCACTCCTGGAACTTTCACTAACCAGATCCAGGCAACCTTCTGGGAGCCACGGGTTCTTGTGGTTACTGATCCCAGGGCTGACCACCAGCCTCTCATGGAGGCATCTTATGTTAACCTACCTACCATTGCTCTGTGTAACACAGATTCTCCTTTGCGCTATGTGGACATTGCCATCCCATGCAACAACAAGGGAGCTCACTCAGTGGGTTTGATGTGGTGGATGCTGGCTTGCAAAGTTCTGCACATGTGTGGCACCATTTCCTGTGAACACCTGTGGGAGGTAATGCCTGATCTCTACTTCTACAGAGATCCTGAAGAGACTGAAAAAGAAAAGCAGGCTGCTGTTGAAAAGGCTGTGACCAAGGAGGAATTTCAGGGTGAATGGACTGCTCTAGCTCCTGAGTTCACTGCTACTCAGCCTAAGGTTGCAGGCTGGTCTGAAGGAGTGCAGGCACCCTCTGTGCCTATTCAGAGGTTCCCTACGGAAGACTGGAGTGCTCAGCCTGCCACGGAAGACTGGTCTGCAGCTCCCACTGCTCAGGCCACTGAATGGGTAGGAGCAACCACTGAATGGTCTTAAGCTGTTCTTGCACGGGCTCTTAAGCAACATGGAAATAAGGTTGATGGAAAATAAACATCAGTTTCTAAACAAAAATACTTAATTTTTAGAGAAGTTTTAGGTTCACAGCAAAATTGAGTTAAAGATACTGAAATGTTTCCATTTTACACCCCTCTCGCTTCCCATGCACAGCCTCTACCATTATAAACCTCTTTCACCAGAGCGGTACATTTGTTACAATTGCTTAACATACACTGATGCATTATAATTACCCAAAATCTATAGTTTAAATTAGAGCTCACTCTTGGTGTTGAACATTCTCTGGGCTTTGGCAAATGAATAATGTGATGTGTCCACCACTACCGTGTAATACAGAATTGTTTCACTGCCCTACAAATCTTTTGTGCCCTGCCTACTCATCTCTCCCTCCCCACAATCCCTGGCAACCACTGATCTTATTACTGTTACCATAGTTTTGCCTTTTACAGAATGTCATATGGTTGGAATCATACAACATGTAGCCTTCTCAGGTGGGCTTCTTTCTTTTAGTAATACACAATTAAGTTTCTTCTATGTCTTTTTTCTGGCTTGATAGCTCATTTCTTTTTAGTGCTGAATAATATTCCATCTATTGTCTAAATGTACCACGGTTTATTTATTCATTTACCTACTGAAAGACATCTTGGTTGCTTCCACATTTTGGCAATTATGAATAAAGCTGCTATAAACATATGTGTGCAGGTTTTTGTGTGAACATAGTTTTTCAACTCCTTTGAGTAAATCCTAAGGAATGTTATTGCTGGATCATATAATAAGAATGTGTTTAGTTTTCTAAACAACTGCAAAACTGTCTTTCAAAGTGGTCGTACCATTTTACATTCCCACTAGCAATGAATGAGAGTTTCTGATCGTTAAAAGATACAGAATGATCTTTTAAAAATGTAATACTAATGACTTAGAAATAAAGAGATCATAAAAGACTATTATGAGCAATAATACACCAACAAATTAGATAACTAGGAGAAATAGATACATTCCTAGAAACATACAACTGATCACAACTGAATCAAGAAGAAACAGAAAGTCTAATCAGAGCAGTGACAAATAAGAAGATTTACTCAGTAATGAAAAACTTTTTAATAAAGAAAAACCAGATAGCCTCACAGGTCAATTCTACCAAATATTTAAAGAAGAATTAATGCCAATTCTTTTTATTTTTTAATTTTTATTTATTTATTTAAGACTGGGTTTCACTCCGTCACCCAGGCTGAACTGCAGTGGCATGATCATACCTCACTGTAACCTCAAACTCCTGGGCTCAAGTGATCCTTCTGCCTCAGCCTCTCTAGTAGCTTGGATTACAGGTGTGAGCCACCACATTCAGCCACTAATACCAATAATTTGAAAATCCAAATAATAGAATAAAACATTCCAAATTCTTTTTATGAGGCTAGCATCACCCTGCTAGCAAAGCCAGACAAAGATGCCAGAAGAAAACTACAGGCCAATATACCCGATGAACATGGAAGCAAAAATCCTGAAAAATATTAGCATTTTCAACACAAGCAAATCAATTAATGCATATACCACATCAACAGAATGAAGAATAAAAATCACATTGTCTTCTCAATAGACGCAAAAGAAGCATCTGACAAAATTTAGCACCCTTTCATGATAAACACTATCAGCAAGTTAAGTATAAGACTGTACCTCAACATAAAAAGACCGTGTATGACAAGCCAATAGCTAACATACTCAATGATGAAAAACTGAAAGCTTTTCCTTTAAGATCAGGAACAAGACAAGGATGTCCGCTCTTGCCACTTATATGAGATATAGTACTAAAAGTTATAGCTGGAGCAATTAGACAAGAAAAGGAAATAAAAGGCATCCAAATCAGAGGAGAAGAAATAAAATTATCTTTGTTTGCAGATGGCATGATCTTATATGTAGAAAACCCTAAAGACTCCATAAAAAACTGGTAGAACTAATAAATAAATTCAGTAAAATTTCAGGGTAAAAAAAACAATATACAAAAATTATAGTATTTCTATACACTAACAATGAATTATCCAAAAAGAAATTTAAAAAGCAATCTTATTTACAAGCATAAAAATACTGAGAAATAAACATAACCAAGGAGATGAAAGAGTTGTATGAAGGAAACAATCAACAAAATAAAAAGGCAGCTTATGCAGTGGAAGAATATATTTGTAAAACATATATTTGCTAAAGAGTTAATATTCAAAATATATGAGAAATTCATACAACTCAATAGTGAAAACACAAATAATCTGATTCAAAAATCGGCAAAGGAACTGAATAGACATTTCTCCAAATAAGATATACAAATGATCAACAGGTGTATGAAAAGTTGCTCAACATCAGTAATCATCAGGGAAATGCAATAAAACCACATGAGATATCTACTTCACACCTGTTTTGCTGGCTATTATTAAAAAAAATCCAAAGGATAACAAATGTCATTAAGGATGTAGTGGAAGGGGAACACTTGTACACTGCTGGTGTCAATGTAAGTTGGTACAGCCACTATGGAAAACAGTATCCAGATTTCTCAAAAAATTCAAAATCAGAACTGCCACACGAACCTGCAATCCAACTTTTGGATATATATTCAAAGGAATTGAAATCAGGATCTTGGAAAGCTATCTGCACTCCCATGCTTATTGCAGCATTATTCACAATAGCCAAGATATGAAAACTACTTAAATGTCCATTTTTAGATAAATGGATAAAGAAAATGGTATATACATGCAATAGAATATTATTGAGACGTCAAGAAGAAGGAAACCCCACCATTTGTGACAACATAGATAAACTTGGAGGACATTATGCTAAATGAAATAAACCAAACACAGAAGGGCAAATACTTTATGATCTCACTTATATGATGAATTAAAAATAGCCAAACTCATAGAAGCAGAGCTTGGAATGGTGATTGCCAGAGGCTAGGGGGAGGAGGAAATGAAGAAGTATTAGTCAAAGGGTACAAAGTTTGGTTATACAAGATAAACGTGTCCAAGAGATCTACTGTGTAACATAGTGCATAAAGTTAGTAAGTACTGTATACTTAAAAATTTGCTTCTACCTTCTGGTAGATCTTATGTTAAATGTTCTCATCACAAAGAAATCCTAATAAATAAAGAGGGCAGAAGGAAACTTTTGGAGGTGACGGATAGATTTACAGAAGAGATTTTGGTGGTAGTTTCAGGCGTATATAATTATCTCCAAACTGATCAGGCTATATATATTAAGTATGTACAGATTTTGATATGACAATCATTTTAATCAAGTGGTTTTAAAAAAGTAATACAGTCATGTCACTCTTGTATGTAAGATTCTGCAAACGGCTTCCTATCACACTTAGTATGAAATGAAGTCTATCATATGACCCTAAAAATATGGACTTTTCTATGTCTTTAAACTCTCTTACACCCTCATTCACTACACTCCAATGACACCAGTCTTCTGTCAGTCACTTAAGCGCGCTAAATTCATTCTTGCCTCAGGACTTTTGCACTTGCTACTCCCTCTTCCTGATGTCTGATGTAAAATAACATGCCAACCCCACCATCTCTTTACTCTTTCTTATTGTTCCTCATGGCACTCACCTCTACTTGAAATGACAGCATATACTAACCTGTTTACTTTCTTTCTTATTAGAATGCAAACTCCACAAGGGTAGAGACTGACAATTTCCCCAGGGTCTAGTATGGTGCTGGCATACAATATTTATTGAGTTCATAAGTGGATGGTTTTGCAACCCACATATCATTTTCCTCCTGGAGGGTAATTTGCTCATCTAGGAAATGAGAGGTTGAACTGGATGACATCTCAGGACCTGTTTGGTTCTGAAAACTCTGGGAGCATATGAGGAACTGGCAATTTGTTTTATTTTTTAATTTAACGTTTAAGTTCAGGGCTACAAGAGCAGGTTTGTTATGCAGGTAAACTTTTGTCATGGGGATTTGTTGTACAGATTATTTTGTCACCCTGGTATTAAGCGTAGTGCCTATTAATTATTTTTTCTGATCAATTTGATAGTGAACAAAAGGAGCCTAACTGCATTATGAGAACAGAAAGAATATTTTAATAACCATTCCCCCTTTCTCCCTGTATAATGGCTTTTTCTTTATTAATTTGATTAAAATGTCTTTAAAGTCCAATTGTGTTTCCAGCACGGGGATAAGAAAAACTCTGAGACTAAAAGCAGAGTTTAAGTACTGATGCTGAAGTGATGCAGAATTAAGAAAAGACAGTTGTGAACTGGAATTAGTCTGGAGAGTTTTACAAAGGAGTCAGGTCAACTTTGGGTCTTGAAGGCAGGGTAGGTTTTACATTTGATCTGAGAGTAGGTAAATAGCCATTAATGGTTCTTAAGAAGGGAGTGGTGTGCTAGAAATATAGTATCTGGGAAATTATCTGTAGATGCCCTACCAGAATTGAGATCCTTGACCAGACTTCGAACTACTTAGGGTATAGAGATGTGCTTTTTACACTTTGCATTGAAGCATAGTTTCTAGCATATAGTAGGTCCTAAAAGATTATTCACTGGATGAGATTGGGGAGGATGTTGAATCTGGAAGGGTTATGAGGTAGAAACCCAATGAGGATTGCTTGTTTCACTGGCTTCCACATATTGCCATGCCATGCTGTGATGTGGACAGCTCCAGGATCCTCATTGGCTGGGGAGGATGCTGGAGGTGAGATGGGTCCACATTTCAAATCCTGTAGTTGCAGCTTAGACTGGAATGCAGAGCACCCTGCATTCTTTGAGGGCTTGATGTGATGGAACATGGCCTTGAAGCCAACAGACATGCCCAGCACACAAACTTACTCACATGTTAACCCCCTATCCCGAGTTCATAATTACAACATAATTCAATCTGAAGTTTTCTCCCATAAGGAATTAGTATTCTATTTAGTAGCCACCCAGATTCTAAACAGTGAAAGCTAAACATCAAGAGCTTGATTGAATGACCCACCTGGAATTGTTTATACTTCATTAATGCTTTTCATAAATCATGAGTTTGACAGGTTACTGGCATGGACTTTCCAAATCTCATAATTGTGTTTTGTTTTTCCCTTGCTTCATCAGTTTCCTTTCACAGGCTGACAGCTTAGAAAATGTTACTAGAACTACCAGCTACTGCAGTGACCACTTCTGGTGTGAGCACCTACTGTATTCCCAGAACAGCTGTAGAGGTCTGAGGCTTGGACTGTATGTAGTCTCGGCTTGGCCATATATTAGCTGGGAGTCCTAGGCAGATCTCTGCCATCAGATCTGTAAAAAAAAAAAAAAAAAAAAAAGATAAAATATGTGATGGTAGTTATTTCATAAGACTGTTAAGAATGACATGAGATAATGTAGGTAAAGAATCTGGTGCACTGTCATGCGGTAAGTGCTGAATAAAGCTAGTGATTGTAGTTCTTCTATTGGTAAACCTCAAGAAGATGAGCATCCAGAGGCTGAAGTGATTGCAAATGACCAGCACCTAAATTATAGGAGGACAGCTATTATCTTTAAGTCTGTCTATAATAGGTGAGTTTGAGAAAATAAGATCGTGCATCAATCTAGATCATTATCTGGATTCTTTATCTGACTCGATCATGAAGCCAACCCAAGATTATGGGCTTTAATGGAGGTGTGTAGAGCAGTGGTATTTCCTACCACTAGATTATAATCTCTATAAAAGGTTTATTTTTGCATTCTCAGAACCTAGAATAGTGGCACTCAACACATCAACAGGCTTTTAATAACTCTTTGTTTAAAGGATGAATGGATAGAGAAACAAGGCAAAAGAGAAGGTAATTCCATCATTTATATAATGCTTTTCTATACATATAAGATATAAATATATACTTTACTATATATATATATTTATATACTTATCTATATATGCATATATTTTCTGATTATAAAAGTAACATATACTTTTTGTAAAAAATTAAATGATACCAAAATATATAAAGAAAAAAAAGTCCCTGGAATTCCACCTTCAGAGTTAACTATTGTTATTGAGTTTGGTATCTGTTTTTCTTGATTTAAAAATTGTCTATGCTAATGTATAGGCACTTAACAAAAATGGGCTCATACTCGTTTTTAAATTTAGCTGTATCTTAAGGCCCTTTGTCATCTCACTTCATGTAGATCTACATTTCTAAGGATTGCACAGTTTCTATCATGTGAGTTCATCATGCATTATCTATCCATTCTCCTCTTGATGGAATTTATATTTGTTATAACTTTTTTCACTACACTAATATAATATTTCAAGAAATGTTCATGTACATATATTTGCCTTCTTGGGAAAATAGTTCTATTGGAAAAATCCCTAATAGTGGAATTGCTAAATGAAAAAAATGTGCACATTAAAAATTTCGATGTTATGCTTTGCTTTTACAACTTCTTTGGAATTTGAAAACATTGTTTGTGCCAGCCCTGCAGTGCCCCTACACAGACAACACGATTAGCTCTTTACTTTAGTGCTCTTTCATTTAAACAATAAAAAATGGTACTGAAGGTGGGTTCATGAGATGTTTGTGGATTGCAACTGAAGGTAGTTCTTTTATCTGGCAGCTCAATCTCTCTGACAAAGTAGACAGCTTTATGGGGTGGATACATATGGAGGCATGAGGAAGGAAGAGATGCCCACTTAGGCATCAAAATAAATAAATAAACAAGATGATGAATGAAAGAGCAAATATTTCCCCTATGTGCTCAGCCAAGATGTGGTGACAGGTTTGGACAGCGTGCCAGTATCAGAGTTGGGAAATGGAAAAAGCACGCTCCATTTGTGGGGCAATATCATTATGAATGGAGCCATATCCCCCTCAGCATCCTTTTCCTATGTGCCCCTAACCCTCAGCCCAAGATTGTAAAGTTTTATGTCTGGGAGGATAAACACTTCTGCAAAATAATTACAAAACTGAACAATGGAGACTTCCTTAGTGCAGCGGAGATGGAGGAAGGGCTGGAATCGGGATGGCTTTGTGGTGCTGGCAGGGATTTTCAGGGTGATTTAGTGTGGATTGATCTGCAGTTTATTCTGCAGCCATTGTTTGTAATGTGCTTTACCAGCTCATGTACCCTGAGCCTTAATTGTTCTAAATTAAACTATAGGGACCAGACAGCACACATTTCAATCAGAACGACAAAATATTGCACCAAATCCCACAGGGATACATCAGCCCCTGCTAGGATGGGCTTGTACTCAAGGGAAGAGGGAAAAAAGTGCTCAGGAGAGCATTGGATAAAATTGAATAGGTTCTGTTCTATTTGTATACAAGATAAAACCCAATTGTGCTACCTCAATCTGTGTGTATGTGTATTTGAATAATCAAAGACAATACAATTGTTTGCAATGTGATATTTATCTAAATATTAAGGAAATGTAACCCTGAGTTGAATTGCTCTGTATTTTGTTCATTAGCCTTGAGTTTTACAAATAAGTTGAAATGATACCTGACTTGGGCAATGTTCTGATTTGGCTGGAAAAGCTGCAGGGAATTCTCATGGCTTGTTTAAATACACAGAAGCCCAGTTTCTTCTGGTAAGAGGTTGCTCATTAAAAAAAATTATTCCTTGTCAGGATTTACTATTTTAAGTCAATATGGAGCCTGGGAAATGACCCAAAGCCTGGACAAACAATATAGGCCATGGCATTTCTTATTGACTGTAAGAGAGTGACATAATTTTTCACTTTATCCTCTTCTCAAAATGTCAAAAGAATCATAACTTTTTACATATTACATTCTGTCTCAATTCTGTCTCAATAGCACACACGCAAATATCCAAATGTATATCTAGGCAGCTATACATAGCCAGGAGGGGACCCAAATCAAGAAGTTAAGAGAAAAGAGATTGTGTAAGATCTGAGGAGAACACAAAAATGAATCCAAGCCACTTCTGGGTCACAGAAGTAGCTAATTCTACTCCCCCTATACCCTGCAAACCCAAAGATAACCACTATTAATTTTCCACAGCCTTCCTCTAGCATGTATGTGTTTTATGTAAATGGGATTATACTTTGCATGTTGTCTTGTTCCTTGCTTTTAAGACTTAACAGCATCATTTTCCAACTTAACATACCCATAAGCCCCTTTTCCAGAAGTAACTCTGATGTATTCTTTCTAATAGTTATGTAATATTCCACTCAGTGGATGGCTGATAATTGATATTGCCCTCTATTGATGAGCATTTGGGTTATTTATAACTTTTACTACTATAATTGTTTTATAATTTTATAAACGTTTATTTACAGGATAAATTCTAGCAGTGGTATTAACTGTCAAAAGATGATCACAACATTACATTTCATTCCCCCATCCAGTTATGCTTGTACTACTTATTAAATATACTCTACTTTTTCCACTGGGGGTGAAAAAAAAAGATGCTCACAATTATTATGCTAGATATTTTCAAATAAGTGTACACCAATTTATACATGCCTGGTAAAAATACATGAGAGTTCTTTTTTGCCCACAAAGTCACGTAATTGGAAAAACGGATGCATTTAGGGTGAAATGGAGACTTAAATATCTATATTTACTTTAATATCTTTCTTAGTCATACCTAACCACTGTAATCACTGGTCCTTCCTCTATCATCTATGACCTTCTGTCTTAGGTTTGCCTCAAGCTAATGTCTTCATTACTTTTAAGACTGTATTTTTATATTACCAATAATGGTATCCTCTAAGGTGTTGGACTTAGCTAGTTTCCCTTTGCAGTGTGACCCAGAAGTGGCTTGGATTCATTTTTGGGTTCTCCCCAGATCTTACACCGTCTCTTTTCTCTTAAGTTCTTGATTCGGGTCCCCTCCTGGCTATGTATAGCTCCCTAGGTGAAATCTGTGCCATCCCCTGGAATTCAAGTTGCCATTCACATATCTTCCCACATATCTAAGGGCATTTTGTTCTGTTGATCAACTTCTAATTTTCTTCAGCAAGCACTGATTAATAGCCTATTATGTGCTAGGCACAGTATCCCTGTCTGTGGAGGATCATACACCATTTGGGGATACAAACCTGCAAATATTCCTGTGGATGCAGGAAAAGAGAGAGGCGTTTGCAAGATCTTTTGGGACAAGAAAAGGAAAAATACTTAACTGTGCTCAACCAGGCCAGGGAAGCCTCTCAAAGGAGGTAACAACTGAACTAAGGCTTAACGGGTTACAATGTGTTTATACTCAGTGATTTCACTTCAGTTACATCCTAAAAAAAAGTCTTGAACATGCACACAATAAGACAAGTACACGAATGTTCATTACAGCATTTTTTATAATGTAAAATTTCTCAATATTGACAATAGGAAAATGGATAAATGGGGTATAGTCAGATTACAGAGTCATAATTAGCCCTTAAAATAAATGAACCAGATGTATATGTATCAATATAGATAAATCCTGAAAACATCATGTTAAGTGAAAAACCACACTGCAGAAGAATAAACACAGTATAACATATGCCTTTATATAAACAGAAAATAACACCATGGGTTTGGGAATCTATGCATGCAGAATAAAAGAAAGAAGTTGCTGATAGCAAGAATAAACCCCAGCGTCAGGATAGTGATAATCTGGGGTGAGAGAGGCTGAAGGAGAATGGAATTAGGGAGGAGGAAAAAGAGGTTCTTAATAGTTCCTGTAATGTTTTATTTCCCTAAAAATGATGAAATAAAATATGGCAAAATATTCACATTCATTAGATATGAGTGGTGGGTACATTGCTGTACTTCAAACATACAGAGAATAATACCATTTATTATTCTCTATGCTTGAAGGATTTAACGAAAAATGAACGGGAGTTCTTTAGGTGGATAAACCTGGGTCCTATGTATTTGTTTGAGGGGGCAGTGTGTGGCATTGTGTATTAATTTGAGCAGCACCCTGGGAAAGTTTTTAAATGTGGAGAGAGGGAACATCTCTTTGGGTGACATTCAGTGGCTTTAAGCTTTGTCTTAGGGATTCTGAGCTAGTACAGGGTCTTCACTGCTAGAGTGGGAGGAGAGCATTTAGCAGGTTAAATGTGACTGTATTTGTTCGCATATTCATGTTCAAAGACACCCTTTGAGCAAATATTCTGGGCCTGAAAAAGAGTTTGAAAACATGTGATTTATGCAACCCCTTGCCTAGGGTGGTTGTTTTCATCTTTCATCTTTTTACTTTGCAGAAATAGACTCCACTAAGGCCACCAAGGGTAGGCTTGCACTGGAGGGAATGGTCGCCTCTCTTGCCTTCCTTCTGATCTCTTTCCAGCTTTGACAACTTCTGTTCTCTCTGCATATTCTTTGGTCTCTGAGGTCTCATCTCAAAGTGTCATCAGTGTCTCTGATTTTCACAATTGTAGGATTCCTTTACTTTGCACTCTGGACTCAGCTTGCTTTCCTTTATAGCGGGAAACACAGAATCACCCTCCGCTTCTTGCCATCCTTTCTCTAGAGCTGTCTGCCTCTGTCTGTTTTCTCTGATCTGCAGACTGATCACCTTGCCTCTGGCCTTTCCCTTTACAAACACTCTTGGAAAATAGTTTTCCTCTGGTACCTTTTTCAGCACATGACCACCATCCCAAAACTGAACAATTAAAATACACCCTTAAAATACAATTTCTTTTAAAACATTACCTTTACTAGACCTACTTGTCTACATAATTTCTCCTTCTTTCCTTGATCCTTCATTTCATTCCTTCTCTCAACAACCTTGCTGCCTCCTTTATCTAATATCCAGTAATCTGGCCCATTCAACAGGCAGGTTTTTGCATAGTGTTGACTAAGCCTTCTGTATCTATTGAGGCTGCTAAGCTATACTCCAATATTTGTTACATAATATCCCTACATACAGAAGATATTGAATTAGCAATTTAATTAAATTATCATTTGCAGTTGGCCATTGTACCATTGTGTGCCTTTTGTCCATGTAAATGCAGTCTATTGAAATTGTAATCTTTTTAGTGCGGAAATAGTGGCAGACATGTTTTCACAGTGCCATTTGCTTGTGGGGCTTTAATGAATAGTCCCAAATCGTGGAAATAAGTGTTGTATGTGAAATTTGTAGACCAGCAAAGTTTCACTGCTCTCAGTGAATCCTAAGAATCAGCAAACTCTAGGACAAATTTCTTTTTTAAAAACATTTTTAAAATTTTTATTTTTTGTGGGTATATAATAGGTATATATATTTATGGGGTACATGAGATATTTTGATAAAGGCATATAATGTGTAACAGTCACTTCAGGGTAAATGGGTTATGCATCACCTCAAGGAATTATCCTTTGTGTTATAAAAAGATCTGATTATACTCATTTAGTTATTTAAAAATGTACAATTAAATTACTATCGACTATAGTCACCCTGTTGTGCCATTAAATGCTATATCTTACTCATTTTTTCTAACTATTTTTGTACTGATTAACCATTCCCACTTCTCCACCCACTGTCCCCCCACCCCCAGCACTAGCCTTCCCAGTCTCTGGTAACCATCATTCTACTCTCTATCTCCATGAATTTAATTGTTTTAATTTTTGGCTCCTGCAAATAAGTGAGAACATGAGAAGTTTGTCTTTCTGTGCTTGGCTTATTTCACATATCATAATGACTTCCAGTTCTATCCATGTGTTGCAAATGACAGAATCTTATTCTCTTTTATGGTTGAATAGTACTTCATTGTATATCTGTACCATGCTTTTTAAATCTATTCGTCTGTTGATGGACACTTAGGTGGCTTCCAAATCTCGGGTATTGTGAATAGTGCTACAATAAACATGGGAGTGCAGCTATCTCTTTGATGTACTGATTTCCTTTCTGTTGGGTATATACCTAGCAGTGGGATTGCTGAATCATATGGTAGCTCTGTTTTTAGTCTTTTGAGGAACCTCTGAATTGTTCTCCACGGTGGTTGTTCTAATTTACTTTCCCACCAACAGTGTATGAAGGTTTCCTTTTCTCCATATTCTTGCCAGCATTTGTTATCACCTGTCTTTCGGGTAAAAGCCATTTTAACAAGGGTGAGAAGATATCTCATTGTAGTTTTGGCTTGCATTTCTCTGATGATCAATAATGTAGAGCATCTTTTCATGTACCTATTTACCATTTGTATATCTTCTTTTGAGAAATGTCTATTCAGATTTTTGCTCATTTAAAAATCAAATTATTAGATTTTTTCCTATAGAGCTATTTGAACTCCTTACATATTCTAGGTTATTAATCCCTTGTTAGTTTGAAAATATTTTCTCCTGTGCTGAGGGTCGTCTTTTTACTTTTTTGATTGTTTCCTTTAGTGTGCAGAAGGTATTTAACTTGATGTGATCCCATTTGTTTATTTTTGCTTTGGTTGTCTGTACCTGTGGGGAATACCCACATTCTCAAGAAATCTTTGCCTAGTCCAATGTCCTGGAGAGCCTCCTCAATGTTTTCTTGTAGTAGTTTCATTGTTTGAGGATTTAGACTTAAGCCTTTAATCCATTTTGATTTGACTTTTGTATATGACAAGACAGGAGTCTAGTTTCATTCTTCTGCATATAGATATCTATTCATAGTTTTCCCAGGACCATTTGTTGAAGAGGCCATCCTTTCCCCAATGTATGTTCTTCACATCTTTGTCAAAAATGAGTTCACTGTAATTGTATGGATTTGTTTCTGGGTTCTCTATGCTGTTCAGTTGGTCAATGTGTCTGTTTTTATGCCAATATCATGTTGTCTTGGTTACTATAGCTCTGTAATATAACTATACTAGTTTTGCTCTTTTTGCTCAAGATTTCTTTGGCTATTATGGCTGTTTTGTGGTTCCATATAAATTTTAGATATTTTTTCCATTTCTGCGAAGAATGTTATTGGTATTTTGATAGGGATTGCATTGAAACTGTAGATTGCTTTGGGTAGTATGATTATTTTAACAATATTCCTTCTTCCAATCCATAAACATGGAATACCTTTTCATTTTTTTGTGTCCTCTTCAATTTCTTTCATAAATGTTTTATAGCTTTTATGGTAGGGATCTTTTACTTCTTTGGTTAATTCCTAAGTAATTTTATATTATTTGTAGCTATTATATTAATAAACAGGGATTTTTAAAAATTTCTTTTTCAGATCGTTCACTATTGGCATACAGAAATGCTACTGACTTTTGTATGTTGATTTTGTATCCTGCAACTTTATTGAATTTTTTAATCAGTTCTAATAGTTTTTTTGATAGAGTCTTGAGGTTTTTGTTTCAATTTTCCAAATATAAGATCATACCATTTGCAAACAAGGATAATTTGACTTCTTCTTTTTCAGTTTGGATGCTCTTTATCTCTCTTGTCTAATTGCTCTAGCTATGACTTTCAGTACTATGTTGAATAATAGTGGTGAAAGTGGGCATCTTTGTCTTGTTTCAGATCTTAGAGGAAAGGCTCCCAGTTTTCTCCATTTTTTTGCCACTAGCTGCTGGCTGTCATATATGTCTTTTATTACGTTGAGGTATGTTCCTTCTATACCCAGTTTTTTTAGGCTTTTTTTTTTATCATGAAGTGTTGTTGAATTTTATTAAATGTTTTTTCATCATCAATTGAAATGATCGTATGGTTTTTGTCCTTCATTCTGTTGATGTGATGTATCACATTTGATTGCTTTTTGTATGTTGAACCATCCTTGCATTCCTGGGATAAATCATACTTGGTCATGATGAATGATCTTTTTAGGGTGTTGCTGAATTCTGTTTGCTAGTATTTTGTTGGGGATTTTTGCATCAATGTTCATCAGGGATATTGGGGTGTGGCTTTCTTGTTTGATGTGTCTTTGTCTGGTCTTGGTATCAGGGTAAAACTGGCCTAACAGAATGAGTTTGGAAGCATTCCCTCCTCTGTTTTTCAAAATAGTTTGAGTAGGATTGTTATTAAGTCCTCTGTAAATGTTTGGTAAAATTCAGCAGTGAAGCCACTGGGTCCTGAACTTTCCTTTACAGGGAGACTTTTTATTACAGCTTTGATCTCATTACTTGTTATTGAGCTGCTCAGGTTTTAGTTTTCTTCATGGTTTAATCTAGGTAGGTTGTATATGTCTAGGAATTTATCCATTTCTTCTAGGTTTTCTAATATATTGGTGTATAGTTGCTTTTCATAGCCTCTAATGATCCTTTTAATTTCTGTGGTATCAGTTGTAATGTCTTCCTTTCTATCTCTGATTTTATCTATTTGGGTCTTCTCTCTTTTTTTTTCTTAGTCTGGCTAAAGGTTTGTGAATTTTGTTTTTCTTTTCAAAAACCAACTTTTTATTTCGTTGATCTTTTGTATTATTTTCTTTGTTCCAATTTTATTTATTTCTGCTCTGATCTTTATTATTTCTTTCTTCTACTAATTTTGCGTTTGGTTTGCTCTTGTTTTGCCAGTTCTTTAAGATGCATTTTTAGCTTGTTTATTTGAAGCTTTACCACTTTTTCTGATGCAGGCACTTATAGCTATACATGTCCCTCTGCTTTCAAGGTATCTCATGGATTTTGGTATGTTGCGTTTTCATTATCATTCATTTCAAGGAATCTTTTAATTTCCTTCTTAATTTCTTCATTGGCCCACTGGTCATTCAGGAGCATATTGTTTAATTTCTATGTGTTTGTATAGCTTTCAAAATTTATCTTGTTATTGATTTCTAGTTTTATTCCATCATGGTCAGAGAAGATTGGGGCAAATTTATTTACAGTGGAAATTATGAATGTAAAGTTCCCTTGGCATTGGAGCTGTTTGACCTTATTTCTCCAACTTGAAGCAAGTAAATGTTACTTGGGTTACTTTTAGAAATTTCCAAGCTTTTAGAATTTCCTCATTTAAATCACTGAGGCTACAAAGTATGCATTATGTATGTTTTCATGTTTATTGACTATAACACATGGTGTCTTGACTGCCTAGAATAAATCCCTCATTGACAGGACTGTTTGTCTGGATTAGTAAATTAGGGAATCACCAAACTAACATGGATTTTATCAGGTACCATGTTGAACAAACTTTAAGGCTAGTATGAATTTCTTAGATGTCTTGGTGGTTAAAAAGTTTGTCTATAGGCATACTGTTGTGGCAGTCATGCACATATAAATCCCTCCCTTCTACCCTTCTTCCCTCATTACCTTTCTTTATTCTTATTAAGCAAATAGGTAGAGTTGGGTAGCCTACTCATCCTTTTTTTCATGCCGGTTTTAAGTGGCTGCCTGGCCTAGCTCAAAAAAAGTATGTTATGGGTATAAGAACCTTGATTATAAATTTATTGTTAGTGGATTTGGAAGCCATCTACACATGTAATTCTACTTGACTATATGGAAATAGAGAATGTTTCAGTAATTTCAAATCTATGGCACCAAACACACCTCTCCTCTGCTCACCATTTTATTAAGGTATAATTTATAAATAGAAAATCCATCTTTTTAAGTGTATGGTTCTACAAGTTTTGACAAATGCATACAGTGATGTTACCAACCCTACAATCAAGATATAAAACAGTGTCACATTCCAGAAAATTCCCTTATGCCACTTTAGAGTCAACCCCTCCTCCCACCTTCAGACTCTGGTAAGCAGTGATTTGTTGTTTGACCCCACAGTTTTGCCTTCTCAAGAATGTCATGTAATTGGAATCATACAGTATGCAGTCTTTTGAGTTTGGCTTCTTTCATTTAGCATATTGCATTTGAGATTCATTCATGTTGCTAAGTATATCAGTAGATCTTTCCTTTTTATTACTCTATAGTGTTCCATTGTATGATATATCAGTGTGTCTATCCATTCAGAAGTTGAATTCCCAGTTTATGGTAATTATAAATAAAGCAGCTAAATATATGTTCAAAGATGGTCGAATAGGAACAGCTCCAGTCTGCAGCTCCCAGCGAGATCGACGCAGAAGACAGGTGATTTCTGCATTTCCAACTAAGGTACCTGGTTCATCTCATTGAGACTGGTTGGACAGTAGGTGCAGCCCACGGAGTGCGAGCTGGAGCAGGGCAGGGCATTGCCTCACCCTGGAAGTGCAAAGGGTCAGGGTATTTCCCTTTCCTAGTGAAGGGAAGCCATGAGAGACTGTACCAGGAGGAACGGTACACACCTACCCAAATACTGTGCTTCTCCCATGATCTTCACAACTGGCAGACCAGGAGATTCCCTCTGGTTCCTGGCTCACTGGGTCCCATGCCCACAGAGCCCAGCAAGCTAAGATCTATTGGCTTGAAATTCTTGCTGCTAGTGCAGCAGTCTTAGATAGACCTGGGACACTGGAGCTTGGTGGAGGGAGGGGCGGCTGCCATTGGTGAGGCTTGAGTAGGCAGTTTTATGCCCACAGTGTAAATAAAGCTGCCGGGAAGATTGAACTGGGTAGAGCCCACTGCAACTCAGCAAGGCAGACTGCCTCTCTAGATTCCACTTCTGTGGGCAGGGCATATCTGAACAAAAGGCAGCAGCCCTAGCCAGGGAGTTTATAGATAAAACCCTCATCTCCCTGGGACAGATCACCTGGGGAAAGGGGCAGCTGTGGGCACAGCTTCTGCAGACTTAAATGTCCCTGCCTGACAACTCTGAAGAGAGCAGTGGTTGTCCCAGCATGGCGTTTGAGCTCTGATAATGGACAGGCTACATCCTCAAGTGGGTCCCTGACCCCCCTGTAGACTGACTGGGAGACACCTTCCAGTAGGGGCCAACAGACACCTCATACAGGAGAGCTTTGGCTGGCATCTGGTGGGTGCCCCTCTGGGATGAAGCTTCCAGAGGAAGGATCAGGCAGCAATATTTGCTGTTCTGCAGCCTCAGCTGGTGATACCCAGGCAAACAGGGTCTGGAGTGAACCTCCAGCAAACTCCAACAGATCTGCAGCTAGGGGGGCCTGACTGTTAGAAGGGAAACTAACAAACAGAAAGGAATAGCATCAACATCAACAAAAAGGACATCCCCATCAAAACCCCATCTGTAGGTCACCAACATCAAAGACGAAGGTAGATAAAAACCATAAAGATGGGGAGAAACAAGAGTAGAAAAGCAGAAAATTCCAAAAACCAGAACGCCTCTTGTCCTCTGAAGGATCACAACTCGTTGCTAGCAAGGGAACAAAACTGGACGGAGAATGAGTTTGATGAGTTGACAGAAGTAGGGTTCAGAAGGTGGGTAATAACAAACTCCTCTGAGCTAAAGGAGTATGTTCTAACCCATTGCAAGGAAGCTAAAAACCTTGAGAAAAGGTTAGAGGAATGGCTAACTAGAATAACCAGTGTAGAGAAGAAAATAAATGACCTGATGGAGCTGAAAAACACAGCACGAGAACTTCATGAAGCATACACAAGCTTCAATAGCTGATTTGATTAAGCGAAAGAAAGGATATCAGTGATTGAAGATCAAATTAATGAAATAAAGTGAGAAGACAAGATTAGAGAAAAGAGAGTGAAAAGAAAAGAACAAAGCCTCCAAGAAATATGGGACTATGTGAAAAGACCAAATCTACATTTGATTGGTGTACCAGAAAGTGATGGAGAGAATGGAACCAAGTTAGAAAACACTCTTCAGGATATTATCCAGGAGAACTTCCCCAACCTAGCAGGGCAGGCCAACATTCAAATTCAGGAGATACAGAGAACACCACAAAGATATTCCTCGAGAAGAGCAACCCCAAGACACAAATTGTCAGATTCACCAAGGTTGAATTGAAGGAAAAAATGTTAAGGGCAGCCAGAGAGAAAGGTCAGGTTACCCACAAAGGGAAGCCCATCAGACTAACAGCAGATCTCTTGGCAGAAACCTTACAAGCTAGAAGAGAGTAGGGGCCAATATTCAACATTCCTAAAGAAAAGAATTTTCAACCCAGAATTTCATATCCAGCCAAACTAAGCTTCACTAAGCTTCATAAGTGAAGGATAAATAAAATCCTTTATAGACAAACAAATGCCGAGAGATTTTGTCACCACCAGGCCTGCCTTACAAGAACTCTTGAAGGAAGCACTAAACATGGAAAGGAACAATCGGTACCAGCCACTCTAAAAGCATGCCGAATTGTAAAGACCATCGGTGCTAGGAGGAAACTGCATCAACTAACAGTCAAAATAACCAGCTAACATCATAATGACAGGATCAAATTCACACATAACAATATCAACCTTAACACATAACAATATCAACCTTTAATGTAAATGGGCTAAATGCCCCAATTAAAAGACACAGACTGGCAAATTGGATAGAGTCAAGATCCATCAGTGTGCTGTATTCAGGAGACCCATCTCACGTGCAGAGACACACATAGGCTCAAAATAAAGGGATGGAGGAAGATCTACCAAGCAAATGGAAAGCAAAAAAAAGCAGAGATTGCAATTCTAAAATTGACAACATAATTGGAAGTAAAACACTCCTCAGGAAATGTAAACGAACAGAAATCGCAGCAAACTGTCTCTCAGATCAAATTAGAACTCAGGATTACTAATCTCACTCAAAACTGCACAACTACATGGAAACTGAACAACCTGCTCTTGAATGACTACTGGGTAAGTAACGAAATGAAGGCAGAAATAAAGATGTTATTTGAAACCAATAAGAACAAAGACACAACATACCAGAATCTCTGGGACACATTTAAAGCAGGGGGTAGAGGGAAATTTATAGCACTAAATGCCAACAAGGGAAAGCAGGAAAGATCTAAAATCGACACCCTAACATCACAATTAAAAGAACTAGAGAAGCAAGCGCAAACAAATTCAAAAGCTAGCAGAAGGCAAGAAATAACTAAGATCAGAGGAGAAATGAAGGAGATAGAAAAACAAAAAACCCTTCAAAAAATCAATGAATCCAGGAGCTGGTTTTTTGAAAAGATCAACAAAATTAATAGACCACTAGCAAGACTAATAAAGAAGAAAAGAGAGGAGAATCAAATAGATGCAATAAAAAATGAAAAAGGGGATATCACCACCGATGCCACAGAAATATAAACTACCATCAGAGAATACTATAAACACCTCTATGCAAATAAACTAGAAAATCTATAAGAAATGGATAAATTCCTGGACACACACCCTCCCAAGACTAAACCAGGAAGAAGTTGAATCTCTGAATAGACCAATAAGAGGTTCTGAAATTGAGGCAATAATTAATAGCCTACCGACCAAAAAAAAGTCCAGGACTAGATGGATTCAGAGCTGAATTCTACCAGAGGTACAAAGAAGAACTGGTACCATTTCTTCTCAAACTATTCCAATCAAAAGAAAAAGAGGGAATCCTCCCTAACTCATTTTGTTAGGCCAGCATCATCCTGATAACAAAGCCTGGCAGAGACACAACAAAAAAAAGAGAATTTTAGGCCAATATCCCTGATGAACATCGATGCAAAAATTCTGAATGAAATACTGGCAAACCGAATCTAGCAGCACATCAAAAAGCTTATCCACCACGATAAAGTCTGCTTCATCCCTGGGATGCAAGGCTGGTTCAACATATGAAAATCAATAAACATAATCCAGCATAGAAACAGAACCAACGACAAAAACCTCATGATTATCTCAATAGATGCAGAAAAGGCCTTTGACAAAATTCAACAGCCCTTCATGCTGAAAACTCTCAATAAACTAGGTATTGATGGAATGTATCTCAAAATAATAAGAGCTATTTATGACAAACCCACAGCCAATGTCATACTGAATGGGCAAAAACTGGACGCATTCCCTTTGAAAACCAGCACAAGACAAGGATGCCCACTCTCACCACTCCTATTCAACATAGTATTGGAAGTTCTGGCCAGGGCAATCAGGCAAGAGAAAGAAATAAAGAGTATTCAATTAGGAAAAGAGGAAGTCAAATTGTCTCTGTTTGCAGATGACATGATTGTATATTTAGAAAACCCCATAGTCTCAGCCCAAAATCTCCCTAAGCTGATAAGGAACTTCAGCAAATTCTCAGGATACAAAAATCAATGTACAAAAATCACAAGCATTCTTATACACCAACAACAGACAAACAGAGAGCCAAATCATGAGTGAACTCCCATTCACAATTGCTTCAAAGAGAATAAAATACCTAGGAATCCAACTTACAAAGGATGTGAAGGACATTTTCAAGGAGAACTACAAACCACTGCTCAAGGAAATAAAAGAGGATACAAACAAATGGAAGAACATTCCATGCTCATGGATAGGAAGAATCAATATAGTGAAAATGGCCATACTGCCCAAAGTAATTTATAGATTCAATACTATCCCCATCAAACTACCATTGACTTTCTTCACAGAATTGGAGAAAACTACTTTAAATTTCACATGGAACCCAAAAAGAGTCCATATAGCCAAGACAATCCTAAGCTAAAAGAACAAAGCTGGAGGCATCACACTACCTGACTTCAAACTAACTACAAGATTACTGTAACCAAAACAGCATGGTACTGGTACCAAAACAGAGATATAGATCAATGGAACAGAACAGAGGCCTCAGAAATAACACCACACATCTACAACGATCTGATCTTTGACAAACCTGACAATAACAAGCAATGGGGAAAGGATTCCCTATTTAATAAATGGTGCTGGGAAAACTGGCTAGCCATACGTAGAAAGCTGAAACTGGATCCCTTCCTTACACCTTATACAAAAATCAATTCAAGATGGATTAAAGATTTAAACGTTAGACCTAAAACCATAAAAACCCTAGAAGAAAACCTAGGCATTACCATTCAGGACATAGGCATGGGCAAGGACTTCATGTCCAAAACACCAAAAGCAATGGCAACAAAAGACAAAATTGACAAATGGGATCTAATTAAACTAAAGAGCTTCTGCACAGCAAAAGAAACTACCATCAGAGTGAACAGGCAACCTACAGAATGGGAGAAAATTTTCACAACCTACTCATCTGACAAAGGGCTAATATCCAGAATCTACAATGAACTCAAACAAATTTACAAGAAAAAAACAAACAACCCCATCAAAAAGTGGGCAAAGGACATGAACAGACACTTCTCAAAAGAAGACATTTATGCAGCCAAAAAACACATGAAAAAATGCTCATTATCACTGGCCATCAGAGAAATGCAAATCAAAACCACAATGAGATACCATCTCACACCAGTTAGAATGGCAATCATTAAAAAGTCAGGAAACAAGAGGTGCTGGAGAGGATGTGGAGAAATAGGAACACTTTTACACTGTTGGTGGGACTGTAAAATAGTTCAACCATTGTGGAAGTCAGTGTGGCGATTCCTCAGGGATCTAGAACTGGAAATACCATTTGACCCAGCCATCCCATTACTGGGTATATACCCAAAGGACTATAAATCATGCTGCTATAAAGACACATGCACACGTATGTTTACTGCGGCATTATTCACAATAGCAAAGACTTGGAACCAACCCAAATGTCCAACAATGATAGACTGGATTAAGAAAATGTGGCACATATACACCATGGAATACTATGCAGCCATAAAAAATGATGAGTTCATGTCCTTTGTAGGGACATGGATGAAATTGGAAATCATCATTCTCAGTAAACTATCGCAAGAACAAAAAACCAAACACCGCATATTCTCACTCATAGGTGGGAATTGAACAATGAGATCACATGGACACAGGAAGGGGAATATCACACTCTGGGGACTGTGGTGGGGTCGGGGGAGGGGGGAGGGATAGCATTGGGAGATATACCTAATGCTAGATGACGAGTTAGTGGGTGCAGCGCACCAGCATGGCACATGTATACATATGTAGCTAACCTGCACAATGTGCACATGTACCCTAAAACTTAAAGTATAATTAAAAAAAAGAAAATGTGGCACATATAAACCATGGAATATTATGCAGCCATAAAAAAGGATGAGTTCATGTCCTTTCCAGGGACATGGATGAAGCTGGAAACCATCGTTCTCAGCAAAATATCACAAGGACAGAAAACCAAACACCGCATGTTCTCACTCACAAGTGGGAGTTGAACAATGAGAACACATGGACACAGGGAGGGGAATGTCACACACCAGGGTCTGTTGGAGGGTGGGATGCTGGGGAAGGGATAGCATTCAGAGAAATACCTAATGTAAATGATGAGTTGATGGGTGCAGCAAACCAACATGGCACATGTATACCTATGTAACGAACCTGCATGTTGTGCACATGTACCCCAGAACTTAAAGTATAATAAAAAAAATAAACAAAGCAGCTATAACTATTCAAGTACAGGTTTTTGAGTGACTACATATTATGATATCAAATGGATAGATGAAATGGAGTTGAATTGCTAAGTCATATGGTAAGGTAAGGTATGTTTAACTTTATAAGAAACTGCCAAACTGGTTTCCAAAATGGTTGCTTCCTTTTGCATTTGTACCAGCAATGTATGAGTTCCAGTTATTCTGAATCCTTACCAGTACTTGGCATTATCAATTAGAATTCTTTTCTTTTCTTTTTCTTTTTAGTTATTCTGATAGGCATGTAATGGTATTTCATTGTGATTTTATTTGCATCTCCCTTATGACTAATGATGCTGAGCATCTTTAATGTGCTTATTTGCTACCCATATTTTTTTTGGCTTATTGTTTAAACCTTTTTATTGACGTTTTATTTTAATTGCTTTCTTATTGCTGTTGTTTGATACTTTTATATGTGCTGTATACAAGTCCTAGATCAGATATGTAATTTGCAAGTATTTTCTCCCAGTCTGTGACTTGTTTCATTCTCACCACGTATCTTTAGAAGAATCAAAATACTTGATTTTTAATATGTTCAGTTTATCAATCTTTTTATCTTATGGATTGTGCTTTTGGTGTTGTATCTAAGAAATCTTAGCCTAACCCAAGTTCACAAAGATCTTCTCTCTTGTTTTTTTCCCCAGAAGTTTTATAGTTTTAGGTCCATATTTAGGCCTGATTAATTTTGAATTAATTTTTATACGGGGTGTAAATGTGGATTGTGGTTTACATTTTGTGTATGAGTATCCAAACTGTCCAGCACCATTTGTCAAAAAGATTACTTTTTCTCCATTGTATTGCCTTTGCATCATTGTTAATAATCAATTGCCCATATATTTGTAGATTCTTAATTCTGTTCCAGTGATCTATGTGTTTATCCTTCCATCAGTACTACACTACCTTGATTACTATAGCTTTATCATATATCTTAAAATCAGGTAGTGTGAGTCTTCCAACATTATGCTCTTTTTTGTTTTTCAAAATTATTTTGTCCATTCTAGTTCCTTTGTCTTTCCATTTAAATTTTAGAACTAGCTTGCCAATTTTTACCAAATACCCTACTGAGATTTTTATTGAATGTGTGTTGAATCTAGAGATCAGTTTGAGAAGAATTAACATCTTAACAATATTATGATTTTTAAATCCATAAATACAGTATATCTCTCCATTTATTTAAGTCTCTTTTTATTTCTTTTATCAGTGCTCTGCAGTTTTCAGTGTACAGATCTTGCACAGATTTTTGAGATGTATACTTAAGTATTTCATGTTTTTGGTGCTATTTGAAGTGATATTGCGTCTAAAATTTTGATTTTTAATGGCTCTTTAATATTTTACAGAAATCAATAGCTTTTTTTTGTATACTGATCTTGCTCAACTCACTTATTAGTTCTAGTAGCTTTATTTTTTAATTTAAAAATTTTAAAAAGATTTTTTAGGGCAATTTTGAGTTCACAGCAAAATTGAGTGAAAGGCACCTGAAAGAATCAACAACAAAAAAACCTCCTAGAAGTAATATGATTACAGCAAAATTGCAGACTGCAAGGTTAAAGATGTGTATAAAAGTCAAATGCTTTTCTATATTCAGCAATGAACAAGTGAAATGTGGAATAAAAAACCACAATATCATTTACACGACCACCCGCAAAATGAAGTACTTAGGTTTAAATCTAACAAAATATGTGCAAGATCTGTTTGAGGAAAATGACAAAACGCTAATAAAGAAATAAAAGAAGAACTAAATAAATAAAGAAATATTTCATGTTCATGGATAGGAAGACTCATTATTGTCAAGATGTCAGTTATTCCCAACTCGATCTATAGATTAAGTACAGTCCTAATCAAAATTCTAGCAAGTCACTTTATGGATATTGACAAACTGATTCTAAAGTTTATATGGAGATGCAGAAGGCCTAGAATAGTGAAATCAGTATTGAAGGAGAAAAACAAAGTTTGAAGACCAACACTACCCAACTTCAAGACTTACTGTAAAGGTACAGTAATCAGGACAGTGTGATACTTACTTAATAGTAAGATACAAAACTATAAAAATCCTAGGAAATAACATAAGAGAAAAACTAGATGATCTTGGGTATGGTGATGTCATTTTAGATAAAACACCAAAGGCATGATTCATGAAATAAATAATTGACAAGCTAAAATTTATTAAAATCAAAAACTTATACTCTGTGAAGGAGAATGTTAAGAGAATGAGAAAACAAGCAGTAGACTGGGAGAAAATATATGTAAAAGATAAATTTGATAAAATACTGTTATCCAGAATATACAAATAATTTTTAAAACTCAACATTAAAAAACCAAACAACTCAATTAAAAAATGAGCCAAATAACTTGACAGACACCTCCCCAAAGAAGATATACAGATGGCTATTAAGCAAGTAAAAAGGTGCTCCATATCATACGTCATTTGGAAAATACAGATTAAAATAACCATAAAATGCCACCACATGCCTACTAGGATGGCCAAAATTCAGAACACTTATAGCACCAATGCTGGCAAGGATTCATTGCTGAACTCTCATTTGTTGATTAATTCCTGGTGGGAATGCAAAAATGGCACAGCTATTTTGGAAGATAGTTCGGCAGTTTCTTACAAAACTAAGCGTACTCTTACCATATGATCCAGCAATTATGCTTGGTATTTGCTGAAAGGAGCTGAAAACTTACATCCACACAAAAACCTGCACACAGATGTTTATAGCAGCATTATTTATAATTATCAAAACTTGTAAGCAACCAAAATGTCTAATAGCTTTCTGGCAGATTCTTTGGGGTTCATCTACATTGACAATCATGTTGTCTGTGAGGAGAGAGTTTTATTTTTCCCTTTTGTAATATGTATGTTTTTATTTCTTTCTCTTGTTTTGTTATACTGGCTAGGATTCCAGTATGATATTAAATATGAATAGCGAGAATTGACAATCTTGCTTTAGTCTCAATCTTAATTTAGTCATTTACCATTAAGTATGATGTTAGCTGTAGAGTTTTTTTTAAGATACCATTTATCAGGTTGTAGAAGTTCTCTTCTATTTCTGGTTTTCTTAGTTTTTTTTTTTTTAAATCAGGAACGGGTGTTGGATTTTTTTAAAGGTTTTTTTCTGTATCTAATGAGATGAGTGCATGGTTTTCCTTCTTTGATTTGTTGACATGATAAATTACATTGACTGATTTTCAAATGTTGAATCAGCTTTCCATTCCCTGAGATACATTCTATTTGGTCATGATCTATTCCTCTTTTTACATATTGATAAATTCAATTTGATAGAATGTTGTTGAGAATTTTGGTATCTATTTTACTGAGGAATACTGGTTGGTAGTCCTTTCCTGCTGAATTCCCCATCTGTTCATGTATGCTGTCCACCTTTTACACTTGAGCCTTTAAAACATTAAATGTAATTATTTAGAATTTCATATCAGATAGTTCCAATATCTGGGTCATATCTGAACCAATTCTGTTAGTGGCTTTTTCTTGCTTAAGTTTCTCATAAACGTTTTTCTGGTTTTTTTTTTTCCTTTCTGGTTCTTCATGTGTCTCATAATTTTTGTGTGAAAGCTGGGTATCTTTAGGACATTAAAGGCCTGAGAAAATATATGAATGGCCACAATGGGCACCCTCTTTTATTTTCAGACCTTTAATGTGTGTTTGTGTGTGTGTGTATGCATGTGTTAGTGAGCTAGTTGAATCAGGAATCAGGAGTTGATCAGGGTTTTGTGGTTGCTATGGTTACTCTCAGTGAACCATAGTCTTCAAATTCCTGTAGCATTAATTTGCATTTAGGTGGGGCTAGGCTTCTGGAGTTTTTTTCCCTGTGCTTTCTGTTTATCCTCAGCTTTAGGCTTTCCCTGTGAATCTTTACTTCAGAGAGTTTCTCTTCATGTTCTTGCTTCTCTGCTGTTGTTTGCTACTTGATTCTCGCTAGCCTGGTGTTGGGGAGGTGGAATGGGTAATGTTTTCTGCTTTCATGGTTTGTCCACAGTCTCAGCCAGTCTGAACCTTGTAGGTGAGGCCTTTGGAGTAGGCCTAGGCCTTTCAATGTTAGGGGTTTCTAATGGCTTGGGCTTGCAATATTTTCTTCCTGTCTCCCAGAGATACACGTTTTTTCCTTCCTTTCTTCCAGCTGCAGTGGGTATTCACCTGTGCTGGAGAGTGACTGAGCTTGTTGCCCTTTCTCCAGCAGCTTAAAGTTTTTGCTTCATTGGCAAAATATGGGAAAAGACTCTGGGCAGGACTTCATGCCTTTCTTGCAGTGGCAACTGCTCCCCTTTTCCAGGTCTCCACCACTGAGAGTGGTTTCTCTGGTTTCCCACTCCACTTCCATTCATTTTTGTGAGCACCCTGTGAGGTCTGTGAAGAACTTGTGGTTGGTGTTGACTTCCTTTGTGTCTGTAGCTTCCACGAGTTCTGTGGTTGCTTACTCTCAGCCTTTAGCAATTTGTTAAAAATTTTAGGTGAATTCTTCTTACCAGCTTATATAATACTCAATGTCTGTTCCAGGTAAATCAGTGGTCATGTCCTGTTTCTTCTCGGAGGCACTTGTCTTACCTTAGACTTCAGGCTACCAATTTGCCCTGCAACCTCAGCTCTCTCATGGGTTCAATAAAAATTATAACTCGAGTTATTCTAAACAATACAGTTTGAAATAATTTGATTTTAATAATATAAATAATTATGACTCAAATTATTGAACAATATCTGGAATTACCCTCATTGTAAGGGGATGGGGAAATGTTTCCCCCAGCTTTCTACATCTTAAGTGTAAATTGGAATTCAGTACATATTATTGATGAAACTACATGCCCCATTCTACATAGCACCAAATATAGAACCAATTTTTTTTTTGAGACGGAGTCTCGCTCTGTTGCCATGCTGGAGTGTAGTGGTGCAATCTCAGCTCACTGCAACCTCCGCCTCCAGGGTTCAAGCAATTCTCCTGTCTCAGTCTCCTGAGTAGCTGGGACTACAGGCGCACACCACCATGCCTGGCTAATTTTTGTATTTTTAGTAGAGATGGGGTTTCACCATGTTGTCCAGGCTGATCTCGAACTCCTGAGCTCAGGCAATCCACCTGCCTCAGCCTCTCAAAGTGCTGGGATTACAGGCATGAGCCACAAGCCACCACGCCTGGCCTGCACCAAATGTTTTTAAGAATTTTATGGCCATCTTTTTAAGGTCAAAATTCAACCAATCAACAAATATGGATTAAAGAGCAAGTTTGTGTCTATTAAGGTATCAGGTGGTAGGTTTTAACCTGGAAGCCATTTCCATTGGATTGGAAGTAGTTGCCTGAAATGCTGTGTTGAAAAGATTGTGAGACAAATTTGACTTTTGTACCTAATTGATGAGGTCTGCCATGAGCACAGAGTGGCTGAGAAGGAGCTCTCATGGCATACTTTAGCTTTTCTTGATTAGTCTCTAAGGCAATGGGGAAAGTATGGGAGAAGGGGGTGAGAAGTTTCTTAATCAAAGGAATTTGTTGTCTAGTTGGAGAGGAGTTACATGAGCTGGTAGAACAGTTGGAGGCAGTATGCAATAAAAGTTTAAACTGCACAGGTATTGCAAGGTGATAGATTTGGGGAAGGGAGAGATCCTTGTGGGATTCAGTGATCTTGGAAAGCATGTTCACCCAGGAAGAGAGCTCAGAAGCCCTGCCATAGCCAAGAGAGTGAGGTCAGTTCTGAGACTACTGAGTTCTGCGTGATGGTGCATCTTACAAGTAGAAATGTTCTATGTAGGGGGAAAGACCACAGGAGGAATGCTGGGCTGACATCATCATCAGACAATTGATAATGAAAAGCAATGAGACGACATGAGCTGACTGAGGGAGCAAGTGTATATAAAGGAGAAGGAAAAAGTGAGAACTTGGGTTGGCAGAGTGGGGAGTGATACTCTTAGGAAGCGGAGGAGGAATTGCTGGTGAAGGAGGCAAAGCTATGATGACTGCACAACAGCTGATATCTCAGACACCTACTCATACTTCAAGCCCAAGACAATCCTTCTCTCTGTTGTGGCTTTTCAGATCTTCCTTGGGCAGAATACATTGTTTTCTCCCCTTGGTTCCCCAGCCCTTTGTTCAAACTATGTATGGCACTTATTACATTATATTATAGTTAGTGGTGTGTGTGTGTGTGTGTGTGTGTCTGTGTGTGTGTCTGTGTCAGTGTGTGTGTATTGAACTGTTATTTTGTAAGTCATTTTTGGCTTTGGGCTGTGTCTTATTCACCACTTTTCACCATTGAATCACATTTTTTTGGCACACCATCTATGCTTAAGTAATGCTTGTGAAATTGAATTAAAAATGACATCTGACAAGGGTCAAGTGAAAACGTTTTGGGTTTGACAAGAAGGGAGTGAATGCACTTTCAAGGGAGCAGTTTCAGGACAGTGATAGAGACTGTTCTGAAGTTCTGGTTTTGTTCTAGTTCAATTGTTTTAGGAACCATAGAGATGTGGTTACTGCTTTGAATCATATCAACTCAACCTTTCCACTAAAGCAAAAAATGTTCACATCTATATTGAAAGTGCAGCAATTAAAAATACTAATGGCTTGCAAATTTCTCTTTAATAAAATCCCAGAGAACATAAGATTTTTTGATATGTTATGAGCAATTAGGAAAAATATTTGCAAATGAATACTAATGCATAATTGTGGAAGAAGAGAATGTGCCCTGCTGGTTAGGGTTAAGTGAGATACGGTACAAAGATTAAAATGGTTTCTAGAGGTAATTTAAACCCAAGAATTTTCTCTACTTTATGATGATTTAACCTAAGATAATAGTGTAGTCAGAGGAAACAGAGAGCAACTTTTCAGAACTCCTTCAGCTTCTCACTACACAACAACAAAATGCCACCAGGTAAAGCATTTCTTCTCCTGTATAAAACTAATTCTTCTACCGTTTCCTGGTTTCTGTCCCTGTCGCCTCCTCAGGGACTCACTCTAGTGGTTATTCTCTTTCTTGTGCCTGCAATCTCTCTAGCTTTGTTGGCTTTTTTCTCTCAAGTTCCAGCACACTCATGTTTCTCCCACCTCTAAAACAAAAGCCCAACCGTCTTGGTCTTCAGCTTTCCTCCGTATCTTGTCTTTCTTTGGTCCCCCATCCAGTCAGATTCCTAGAAGTGCTCTAGACGCAATGCCTTCACTTTTTTAAAGCAAGAGAGCTAAGGAGCAGAAGATCTCATCTATTTAGGTGATTTACTTGAGTGAAGACAAGTTACTGGATTAAATAAACCTCTCAGGGATGTTTAAACTTTACAACCTAATATATTTATAAAATTCAATGAGCTATTTGGATAGAAAATGGTTTTTAGGAACAAATCCCAACTTAGGTAGCAACAAGTAGTCATACATATTAAAATATAAAATTTCTAAAAATCAAAACCTTCCTGTTGTTTTGATTTTCTAGTTAGAACATTACACCTAAATTAGGCATTCAGAAGAGACACACCTAATTCAACTGGAAATCATTCTCTAGACATAAAGAGGTGTAACAGAAGTGTTGCTGTTTTAAGACATTTGCAATTACACAATTAAATTAAAGAACTTGAAAAATGGAAGCTCTTATAAGTTAATTGGTGTTGATGGTAGAAGTGTACACAAGGAAAGACATAGAATTTGCATTTGCCAAATTATAGGGTGAAGGTAAGAGGAAGAAGTGAAAGCTGTTTGCTTGGACCACTTTCCAACAAAAACATGTATATGCTTTTTGAGCTTTAAAGAACATCACTTTGTGTTTTTCAGGACCAGAAGTGCTGCCGCCAGGACATGGTCCCAGGAGAGAGCTCCCACGCAGAATATTAGAATTACAGGTGAATTACATGCTGAAACTGGTAGGGCTCTTAACTCATGGTTTCCACTGCATCATCTTCTTTGAGATTTGCTGGGATTCGCTTTCACTTTTCCATGTCTATTAGGAATTTTACCGAAAATAATTTCTCTACTTTTTGCCCAAGTGGTTCAGAAAAATACAACTGGGCTCTTCTCAGAAAATACTTGACTGCTTTTGCTAAAATGTTTCCTGGACTGTAAGATCAGAGCCATTGTGTACAGCTGTGCAGGTTGTACACTGAACATGGCCAAGAAGGTTGAACAACTCCATGATCTAACTACAAAGATCATGTAATTAATACAACACGGTAGCTCAGCAAACGGTGTGCAGTGAAGATTCAAATGGCAGATAGGCTTCTTCGGGGTGGCCTGCTATATATAAGTGTAAAACAAAGTTCAGATCATGATAACTGCTAATAAGATTTTAATTGTCATGTAGAAGTGTTTCAAGAACCCATTATCAACTTGAGGTGGGTGTTCCTTATTAGCTCAAATGAGGAGGACAGGGAATTATCTTCAAAGTCTGACTTTAAATGAGCTGCCAGGTGTCATGGCCATCACCATTTCTTTAGTGATCATTTATTGTGTGCCAAATCCTGTGTTAGGCACGCTGAGATTTCTCACTGCAGTGACACTGTACTAAACCTGTAACAAGTTTGATTGCTTTAAGAACTGGAAAACTGTAGTAGAAGAATGACCAGAAAAATACAAGAATTAGAGTACACTAACTCACGACTGTAATCCTAGCACTTTGGGAGGCCAAAGCAGGAGGATCACTTGAGGCCAGGCGTTTGAGACCAGTCTGGGTTAGGCCGAACTCAAATGCTTGAGAGTTTGACTCCATCTCTACAAAAAAAAAAAAAAAAAAAAAAAAAAGAAAGAAAGAAAAAAGAAAAAAAAAAGTTAGCTGAGTGTGATGGCACATGCCTGTAGTCTTAGCTACTTGGAAGGCTAAGGCAGAAAGATCACTTGAGCCCCGGCATTTGAGGCTGCAGAGAGCTATGATCACACAACTACACTCCAGAGTGAGACCTTATCTCTAAAAACAAAAAAGAAAAAATAAGGAATTATATTAAGATGTAAGAATTGAATTTGAAATAGCTTCATTTATATAAATGGCAATTAGTTTCTTAAGGATTATAATTTCTATTTATCTTTTCCACATGTTCTGAAAAGGCATTAAGCTGCAGTGTAATGCTTTCTATTATCAGTAGGTGCCAAGTTGCTGAGTGAAGTAAAGCGAGCTTCTGTTCCTGTGGATACAGAGGGATGGCTGTGTGACCTCTGGAAGTCCCTTTGGTTAAGCGCTAAGGCTTAATGATTCTTTGGCTCAGGACCAAAGTCACATAATGTTCAGACCATAAGCCTCCAATGTTAGCTTTAAATTTAGCACAGACTTATGTAGTCATTATCATCCTTTCTTTGAGGTCTTAAAGTGCGGGCAATCTTTTTACCTGAGTTATAAGCTAGGAGCTCATGAAGCCCAGTTTAGTATTAGAAAAAGTAAGGCCATCAAATTATTGTGAGGTATCAAATATTTTGTGTGTTGGGCAGTTATCTTTAATACAGAAGAAGCTCAGTTTTCTAAATAGTTAAGCTAATTTTTGAAAGATTTCTTTTTTCTCTGTTGATAGTTCTTGAGTTTAGACTTTGAAGCTGGAGAAAACTGAGTTTGCTTTCTGACTCCACCGCTCATCAGCTTTGTGATGATGATAATAACAAGAATTATAATAATGGCTGACATTTCTAATGAGCTTTTGTGCCAGGACCCGGGATAAGTGTTTCATGTATTATTTAATTTATTGCGCATGATGACCATAAGGTGGGTCCTTTAATTATTCCCATTTTATAGATCAGAAAAAGTAGGCTTACAGCCCACACATAATATGCTACACTGATCCCTGGTTAGAGTACTCTTGCTTCAGTACTTCTGGGTAAGATACAGCTTAAAGCCAAATAGCAGAGCAGTTAAAAGCTCAGACTTTGGATCCAGATTGCCTGGATGGAAATCTTGTCTTAGTTACTTACTAGCTGGGAAAGTTACTTAAATGTTTTGTGCTTCACTTTCCTTATCTGTAAAATGTGGCTAATCAGCATAATAATTTTACCTCTTAAGATAACTGAGAGATTTAACTGAAGTTAAAGTTGTGAAGTGCCAATAATCTAGTATATGAGACGTGTCCAATAAATATTAGCCACTGGTAAAATAGCACTCGGTAAGGCTGAAGAAGATAGCTTCTGGAATTAGCTCCCAGTAGTTTCAAGTGGACTTGGACATTTATTATACTAAACAGTGAATGATTGGTATTGGATGGGTCTGAATTGATGTGGAGGGGTAAAAGTGCACTGTACCCCTGAAGTGGGAGGTGAAAGAAAGCTAAATATCCTTCCTCTTCTATTATCAAAAAGACAAAAACCAACAAATGCAGAGAAAAGGGACTCGGACACCGTTGGTGGGAATGTAAACTAGTATAGCTACTGTGGAGAACGGTATGGAGGTCTTTCAGAAAACTATGAATACAAGTACCATATGATGCAGCAATACCACCACTGGGAACTTATCCAAAGGAAAGGAAATCAGTATATTAGAGAGATAACAGGACCCCCATGTTTATTGCAGTGCTATTTACAATAGCCAGTATATGGAATCAACCTAGGTGTCCAGCAACAGATGAATGAATAAATGAAAATGTGGCATATATACACCATGGAATACTATTCAGCTATAAAAAGTATGAAATCTTGCCATCTGTGGCAACATGGATGGAACTAGAGGACATTATGCTAAGTGAAATAAGCCAGGAACAGACAGTTAAGCACCACATATTTTCACTCATATGTGAAAACTGAAAATGTTGATCTCATAGAAGTAAAAAGTAGAACAGAGGCTACTGGAGGCTGGGAAGGGTAGGGAGAAGGGAGGTTTGGGAGAGATTTGTTAAAGGATACAAAATTACAGCTAGATAGGAAAAGTTCTCGTGTTCCATACCACAGAAGGATGACTATAGTTAACAGTGATATATTACATATTTTCAAATAGCTAGAAGGAGGATATTGAATATTCCCAACACAAAGAAACGACTGATGTTTGAGATGATGGATATACTAATTACCTTAAACTGATCACCATTCATTTTCTGTATCAAAACATCGCTGTGTGCCTCATAAATATGTAAAATTATTATCTGTCAATTAAAAAAAATTTTGGCCTGTTTTTTCTGTTACTGTCCCTCTTGTTCAGGATATCATTTGTCTATTTGCTTGAACTCTCCCTGGGTTGGGTCCATAGGCACCTTGCTCCTGGAAACTGGGGCTTATAGAGGGTGGTCAGGAGAAGGTGTGAGGATGTGAGCAATTGCTTTCCAGGACAGTGTGCTATGGTCATAAGGGTGGAAGGATGAAGTGAGAATCACTCTGTGTCTTCATGAATGGATTCACATTTATTCATTGATAGGGAACGGCCTCAATCACAGTATCTTCTATTCTTTATGAATTGACTTTGTCTTCCAAAGCTTAGAAAGTAGATCTGTCTGGAACGAGAATGCTTTTTTTGCAGGGCCAGGGGAAGTTTGTGGGAGGGAGGGAGTGCATTTCCCTTTCCAGGAAGACCCTGGGCTGCCACTCTTCTTTCCTAGGAGCCTTTTTTGAGGCTCTCCTCTACTCCACGGATCAGGCATTGAAGACTGTCTGCATAGTCGTTTGGCTACTTTGTTTTGGAAAGGAAAGGGACTAATGTGTGCCACCTTTTGTGTCTCTGGAGATAGGAGAGAGGATAAAGACAACATAACCTGGGGGTAAAAAGATACCATTCACAGATTTCAGGATACTTTCTAAGGATGGCCTGGATCCTTCTTTTGTGCATTGATGGGGACCTCTAATAAACTGCAGTCCATTAGAGGTGGCTGCTCAAATGCAGAGTATAGAGCAGGGCTTCTCTACCTCCACATGACTGCCATTTTGGGCAGGATGATTCTTTGTGGTGGGTGTGAGGGACTGTCTTGTGCATTGTGGGATGTTTACCAGCATCTCTGGCCTCGACCCACTAGATGCCAATAGCATTTCCCTTGGTTGTGACAACCAAAAATGCCTCTCCAGACATTGTCAAATATCCCTGGAGGTCTGGGTGAGGGGCAAAATTGCCCCTGCTGCTGAGAATCCCTGGCATGGAGGGAGCAGCAATCCTTGATTACTTGCTCTGAGGTTTCAATGGCTTAGCATGAAATGGGCTAACTGCCTCAGTCTGAACCTGAGAACACATCCAACAAGTTTGTTCATTCAACAGTATTTATTGAGATATTCTACTTTTGGCAAATATATGTTGGTCTCAGTCTAAGCATGTGCATATAAAAATATGTGTGTGTAATGTATGGTGCTCTCTGGGAAGTACCTCATATTCTCAAGGGTAACAGGGGACTACAACTAGAGCTGTCCTACCTGCCTCTTCGGGCTTTGGATTAAATGTGGAAATGTGCCTGATGGAACTTTGCAAACACAAGAACAAACTATGCACAGGTGTTATGCATTGAAGTCAGGGATTGCATCATGGATGCATTCTCTTCAGTTCTGGGTACCACATGGGCAGGTGCCAAGTCTTACCACTTCAGCAAATGCTGATTATGGTGACTTTGCAAGAAAAATAGGACATGATCTTCTTGTAACTTATGACTCCCTACCTTTGCTCCCAGAGCACCTGCCTTCCCAGCCTTGGAGTAAGAATTGGGATATATATAGCAGTTCTCTCTGACAGTGGCTGTAAGCTTCACTGGTCCATGGTGGCTGGTGTGGCTAGGGACTACGATTGCTGACTAGGATTGAGCCTGTGGGTATAAATGAAGGCTCTGGTTGTGGTAGGCACTGTATGCTGCACAGGACCAGATCTGACCTGGGAAGCATCAGTCAAGGGGGCTGCTGCCTGAACTGCATCTAGGGGGAACGTAATTCCAGGGGAGGTGGGGAGGTGGCAGCTAGATGTGGAGGGAGCTGGAAGGTAAGTACAAAATTGTGCTCAGGGTAAGCACAGAGCCACACAATTTAACCATCCATTTGGGTCTAGTAGCTGTGGCAGCTGTGGCAATATTATTCCAAGTTCAGAAAAACAGAGCTTGAGGAAGAGCCAGGCAGAGTGGAGGAGCAAGAAGCTTCTGGCTGGTTTTAGTGAATAGGGACAGAAATCCAAAATGTCTCTTGCAGGGTGCTGCCTGCCTGAGTGTGTCTAGAGGCCTAGAGATGGGCCAGAAAGTCTGGAATAGGAATGGGAGCTGGAGGAAATTTTCTGCTCTGACTATTTTTTTCTTATTTTATTTCTTCTTCTAAAAAAAAAAAAACAGGATACATGTTCAGAATGTGCAGGTTTGTTACATAGGTATACGTGTGCATGGTGATTTGCTTCATGTATTGACCTGTCCTCTAAGTTCCCTCCCCTCAATCCCCACCCCCAACAGGCTCTGGCGTGTGTTTTTCCCCTCTCTGTGTCCATGTGTTCTCAATGTTCAACTCCCACTTACAAGTGAGAACATGCGGTATTTGGTTTTTCTGTTCCTGTGTTACTTTGCTGAGAATGATGGCTTCCAGCTTCATTCATGTTCCTGCAAAGGACATGATCCCATTCTTTTCATGGCTGCATAGTATTCCATGGTGTATATGTACCACATTTTCTTTATCCAATCTATCACTGATGGGCATTTTCGTTGGTTCCAAGTCTTTGCTATTGTAAATAGTGATATAATAAACAAACATGGGCATGTGTCTTTATAGTGCTGTGACTTTTTGATAGTAATACTTAGGGATGAGGCCCTTTATATTCATTCATTCAATCAGTCATTCAACAAACGTTTGAGTGTCTACTCTGTATGAAGCTCAGAGCTGGGAGCCACAGCAGATACAAAGAGGGAAAAGATATAGATGGAGCAGCTGGAAGTCTAGAAAGGAAGGAGCAGCATACCCACAAATCATGACCGTAGGACACAGCAAGTGTCAGGAGTGTCTGGAGGAGGGAGACAAAATACATAAGGCATGGAAGTGGCTCACAATGGGATTAGTAATATTTTTTATTTTTGTCTATTTATTATTTAATTATTTTTTAGAAATAAGGTCTTGTTCAACCACTTAGGCTGGAGTGCAGTAGTACAATCATAGCTCACTGCAGCCTAGACCTCCCAGGCTCAAAAAATCCTCTTGCCTCAGCCTTCTGAGTAGCTAGGACTGCAGGTGGATGCCGCCATACCTAGCTAATTTTTATTTTTTTTGTAGAGATGGGGGTCTCCCTATGTTGCCCAGGCTGGTCTTGAACTCCTGGGCTCAAGCCACCCTCCTGCCTTGGCCTCCCGAAGTGCTGGAACTACAGACATGAGCCACCACGCCCAGCCAGGATTAGTGATTAGTTAAAGTACTTATTGCCTGGGAAAAGCCCAGGAAGATGGACAGTGGGTGAAGGTAGTTAGGTTAACCTACTGAAGCTCAGATCTTGTTCTTGTTTCATTTCTTAAGATAGACGGAGTTTCATGGTTTGAGGGTCCGATTGCTCATAGGTTTTGGTGGTTGGTTATGGCCCTCCAGAAAGCACTGGCTTTCAACAGCCATGGACGGCTTATTGTACGTCTTTTTCAAAGGCCACTTTCTTCCTGGTGGATGTTTTCATCACGGGCATCCCATTCAGGGAAGCCTCTAAAGTGTAGAGGGTGTGGACAGCCTGGGGTTTTTACAGAGACCGACCTGGGTATATTTGAGGATTTTTGTCCCAGCTTACTCCAGTGACACATACTTTCCACACGAACTGCCCAAGAATTGGATTAAACCCTTTCTCTTAGCCCCATTCCTGATAGCATTGGTCTAGACTTCCCCTGCAATCTCTCCACAAAATAACAAAAATATTGACAAAAATAATGGAAACGATGGCAATTAACCTGCCTCTAACCCCTCCCTGCCTTAGGTTGTCACTGCAGCAGATAAAACCTATTTTATGGGAGACCAAACCACTGCCACAATTCCTAAAGTAAAGTTTATTTGCACAGAAAAGGAAAGGCAACTTTTTATTTGTCACCCTGCTGAGAAGAAATATGATTCCTGTCCTCTCACTTCACATTAGCTTTCCTTTTCCCCGCATGTTTTCATCCTATGGTGTCTGATCATTTTACAGAAAGGAGGATTTCTGCTTTTGACCTTACCTCTTGCTCTTGTAACATTCCAATTTTTAGATGGTCAGTCACCATTTGCCAGTTTTTGGGGGTGGGGGTGGGAACATGTTTCGAAGCTTAAGCATACAAGGCTCTTGCCCATTTTTCAAAAAGCGTGCTGGGTAGCTGGTTTCCATGTGATAGTGGCTCCTCGGGAAAGCTATTCTTTCATGCAGCAGCAGCGCTGGCATTGATCAGTGGGAAAGTTCAAGGCGGCAACTCATCAAGCATGCCTTCAATACCAGATTCCAGACAAGGTCTGCAATAAATAAGAGCAGTAACAAAGAATCATATTTCCTTCTTGCACAGAAAATCAGCAATGACATAGTTCTAAATTTCAGGGTTCGGGGATGGTGTCTTCTCCCTGCACTGCAAGTTGAAAGCAGAATGGCTTTTTCCTTTGAGAAGTGACATCCACGTGCATTTTAGCTGTTCTTTCCATAGAAACAGAGTCAAAATATAATTTTGAATATGTGGGTTGACTGGGGATTTTTCAGCTTGTGTATTGATTATTGCTTGAGTTGTTCAAATAGAACCTGTATTGTTAAAAACATGTTTTGAACATATTTTCCCACATTTGTTTTAATTGACTTATCTCCCTTTCTCCTCTAATCCTTTTCCCCCAGTAATAATGTCGAGATTTTCATGTGAACATACAAAAATAACAAAATTTTGCTTTAAGTAGATAGGTGAAAATTTTTTTAAAATGGCAGTGTGATAAAAAAATATACACCCTATGAGTCCCTCACAGATTATTGCTATTGATTTCTTTCCTTGAAACGTGGAAATGTTACCAGATGGGGTGTTAGGAGTAGGTGTGTGGGTGCAAATGCAGTTTATTGCTTGTTGACTAAAAATCAGTGAAAACCTTCACTATTTGTGTGCTTGCATTGCATGCAAAGATGAATTTTAATACCAAACCAGTCCTTATACAAAGCTTCTTGCTATGCAATGTCACATTTTTGGGTCAAATTTATATGTGAAGGAAATAAGCTTTATGACAGACTCAAAACGCAACGATTTCAAGTGCTTGCTCTCTCTGGTTTACTGAAACACTATCGTTTTATGTTAATGCGATCAATGAAATTTACTTATCACAATCAGATTTCTACTGTGTTTTCTCTCTTCCCCACACCCTCCCTGGGCTGCTCCTTAGAGCTTCCTCTGGTCTCCCTCTCAGGGCAGTGTTAATCAAATTGCTGCAGGTTTTCGGAAGCCAGGTGCCTGTGCAGCGCATGGCCACTGGGCCTGACCCCTCAGGGACGCACCCATTAGGAAAAAAGAGGCTGACCTTCTGTCACTTTCCTTCTCCTCCCTTTTAATGATTCCTTCTCTATCCTTTTGAGAAGATCTTTCCAGCCCTTTGACCCCTGTTAGAAGAGGAAGGCTTAAACAGCTAAAACTACCCTCAATATCGAGGCTTGGCAAGGAAAGCTCCAGAGGCCTTTTAGGAAATGCCAAAAGACAGGAGCCTCAGTTTTCAGTGCATTTAGAAGGCAGATCCCAATGCAACACCATTTCCTTCCTCATTTATTTTATAGAAACAGCCAGTTTGTGTTGGCGGGGGTGGGGGGGCGGGGGGGGGGAGCTGGGGGAGCCCCTCCTCCCACCGTCACTTGTCAGCGCCACCAGAATCCCCACGTTCCGGAGAGGCTGACTTTTAATGATAGTCCTTGGACTGTGTGAGAGCTATTGTGCTTTTTGAAAAAGAGCAAGGAGAATGTGTGTCTGGGGTGGGTCGCTAGGCTGCTGCTTTGTGAGCGCCAGACCCGGCTTTAGTTTTCATGGATAAACAACCAGCACTGGGTAGGTCGTGCCCCACCTTGAAATGGTGGGGTGCAGAGTGCTGGATCTCTGCAGGGAGGACAGTTGACAGCCTCTAGTGCCTACCTGTGCTCTCTGTATGACCTTGATTCATAACAACTCAAATGACAGCTAACACTAATATAGGGTGCTCACGTGGGAGCCATTGTTCTGCATAATATGAAATGATAAGATTTGATATGTATACTCAATAATTTAACACACACTACAACTCTGAAGTAGGTACTAGGAAATTGAGGTGAAGGAAAAGAGGTGTAGTTTTACCATGATAAGAAACTTTGTATTAGAAGTTTAGCTGTGCCAGTTACTTGCTCTTTGACGTGAGTAAATTGCTTAATCTTTCTGAGCCTAAATGCTCTCATTTGTAAAAAGGGGATTGTTAATTATGCCCCAAAGGGTTTCCATGAGAATTAAATGGGGCACTGTAGCATCCTAGGACCAAGGATCTCCACCTCCTTTCCATTCTGTCATCTCACCTCCGACCCTTCTCCGGGGACTCATCTTTCTGAGATACTGATGGGAGACAGCAAAAATGGGGTGCTTTTTAGGCACTCTGCACAGAGAAAGGGGGTAATTCTAAAAGGAGTGGCTGACATTCCTCTGTCCAGGAGAAGCTATAGATAATCTCTTATCTGTGTCACAGAACAGAATCCAAGCCTAGTTGCATCAGTCAATTATAGTTGAATTGGGAGTGGCTAAAAGGATTAGGAATTGGACTTCACATTAGAAGGTATTTGCTGCCATCTCCTCTGTAGGAAAAGGAAGAATAAAAGCAGGGTTTAAAGGTTCATGTTCTTGCTCAGATTAATCAAGTAGCCCCTTCCCCTCTTGATTTTATCTTGGAGATGCACATACATGTGTTCACACACAGGATGTGCTCACATGTTTTCTACACTTGTGATAGATTTAGAAGTAATGGTATTTAAAGAGCTTAAAAATATTTTTCCCTGGTTACAAAAGTAATGCTTGTTTATTGTATAGACAAGTATTTGTTTGGACATATAGAAAACTATAAAGATATTAATGTCTTCACCCAGGACACAGAGATAACCACTAAATGCATATTGGTGACTCCAAGTTTTTTCTGTATGCACACACACATACACACACACACACACACACACACACACACTTTAGCTTGTAGCCTACTTACAAATTTTGTTGTTTTTCTTTTAACTTTTATTTTAAGTTCAGGGATACATGTACAGGGTTGTTACATAGGTAAACTTGTGTCCTGGTGGTTTGTTGTACAGATTATTTCACCACTCAGGTATTGTCACTTTCCACCCCAAAACCTAATGGCATAGAACAACAGAATCATGTTTTCATTGTCTGTCATGGTTCTGGAAGTTAACTAGGCTCAGCTAAGTAGTTCTTGCTCAGAGCCTTTCATGCAGTTGCAGTCAGGTGGTAGCTTGGGCTGGTTATCTGAAGGCTGCTTACTCACAAGTCTGCCGTGTAGATCCCGCACTCTATACCCCACCATTTCAAGGTGGGGCACGACACACCCAGTGCTGGTTGTTTGTCCATGAAAACTAAAGGCAGGTCTGGCGCTCACAAAGCAGCAGGCTAGCGACCCATTAGTTATTTTTCTTGATCCCCTCTCTCCTCCCAACCTCCACTGTCTGACAGGCCCCAATGTCTGTTGTTCGCCTCTATGTGTTAATGTGTTCTCATTTAGCTCCCACTTATAAGTGAGAACATGCAGGATTTGGTTTTCTGTACTTTTGAACTAGGTATTATATTCTGAGCATTTCTCTTTATCATTAATGTATTGGTTACCTATTGATGCTCAATAAACCACCCCGAAACCTAATGGCATAGAACAATAGAATCATGGTTTCATTGTCTGTCATGGTTCTGGAAGTTAACTAGGCTCAGCTAAGTAGTTCTTGCTCAGAGCCTTTCATGCAGTTGCAATCAGGTGGTAGCTTGGGCTGGTTATCTGAAGGTTGCTTACTCACAGGTCTGCTGTCTAGTCTGGAAAAGCTTAAACAGCAGAAAGTTGGAACAGCTAAGCTTTTGGACATTTCTTTCTGTGATGTGCTCTCTCCTGCATGGTGGCTTCAGGATGGCCATGTTCCTTACATGACAGCCCAGGTCCAAAAGTGCATGTCTGTAAAGAAAGGCCAGGCTGATGCCAACTCACCTTTTATGTGGTGACCTAGTCTTGGAAGTCACATAGCGTTTCCTTACCACATGCTGTTCACCAAGGCAGTCTCAAAAGCCCACCCAGTTTCAAGGGGAGACATATGTCTCCCTTTGAGACATGGACCTCTCAAGTACTGTGTTAGTTTCCTATCACTGATCTAACATATTACTACAAATTTAAAGCAACAGGGATTTATTATCTTACAGTTTTGAAGGTTAGAAATCTGAAATGGGTTTTACTGGGCCAAATCAAAGTGTTGGCAGGGCTGCCTCCTCTGGAGGCTTGAGAGAGGAATCCATTTCCTTGCTTTTCCAGCTTCTAGAGGCTGCCCTCAGTTCTTGGCTTGTGGCCTCATTCTCCCATCTTTAAGGCCAGCAGCCTTGCATCTTCAAACGTCTCTCTAAATATGAGCTATTAGTTAGCCTGCTACAAATGGGAAATGGCAAGGCTTTGGAAGGGCACATGGGCCAGAAATGTTGCTGCAGTCATTTTTGCAAAGTACAGTCTGCCATAATTAAATATATTCAATGATTGCATAGTATGACTGTCACCATTTGCTTAGCCTTCCTTTATTGTTAATTTTAGGTGTTTCCAATATAAATAACACTATAGGTGTTTCCATTTAGGGTGTTTCAAACATAAAGAACACTATAGTAAACAAACATTGCTATAAATAAATATTTTTGCAAATCCCCAATTATTTCCTTAGAATAAATTAATAAGGATATTATTATATAAAAATATGAATACTTATAGATTGCTAAATCACCCTCCAGAAAGGCAACATTAGTTTTTCAGTAACATTGTATAAAAATATTTATTTTGCTATACCATCATTGATATTGAGTATAATTATTAAAAAACCTTACAGGCTGAATAGGCAGAAAACACCATCTTTTTTTGTAGCTTTATTGAGGTGTTAATTGATATACAAAACTGGATATATATTTAATGTATACAATTTTATGAATTTGAATATGTGCATATACCTGGGCTATCATCACCGTAATCAAGGTAGTAAACATATCTGTCATCTCCAAAAGTTACTTTGTGTCCCAATACTTTTTTGTGATATGAGCAAGAATTTAACATGAGCTCTACCTCTTAGCAAATTTTTAAGTGCACAACATTATATTGTTAACTGCAGGCACTATGTCGTACAGTAGATATCTAGAATTTATTTATTTTGTACAACTGTAACTTTGTACCAATTGAATGACTTCCCATTTCACCTTCACCCTATTCCCTGGAAACCATCACTCTATTTTCAGCTTCTATAAGTTTGACTATTTTAGATACCTCATATAAGTGGAATCATGCAGTATTTGTCCTTCTGTAATAGACTTATCTCACTTTGCATAATGTTTTCCAGGTCTATCCATGTGGCTGCAAATGGTAGGACTTCCTCCCTTTTTAAGGCTGAATAATATTTCATTATATGTGTATACTACATTTTCTTTATCCATTTGTCTGTTGGTGAACATTAGAGTTGTTTTCACACCTTGGGTATTCTGAATAATGTTGCAGTGAACATGGGATTGCAGATATCTCTTTGATATACTGATTTCATTTCGTTTGGATACATACACAGAAGTGGGATTGCTGGATCATACGGTAGTTCTATAGTGGTTGCACCATTTTCCATTCCCTCTGACAAAGTACAAGGATTCCAATTTTTCCACATTCTTGCCAACACTTGTTATCTTTTGTTTTTTTGATAATAGCCATCTTAACATGTGTGCAGTGATATCTCATTGTGGTTTTGATTTCCATTTCCCTGATAATTAATGGTGTTGACACTTTTCCATGTATCTATTGGACATTTGTATGTCTTCTTTGGAGAAATATTTATTCAAGTCAATTTCCTACTTTTTAGTTAGGTTATTATTATTATTTTGCTATTGAGTTGTAGGAGGAGTTCTTTATGTATTTTGAGAATTACCCCTTATTAGGTATATGTATTTTCTCCCATTCCATGGGTTGCCTTTTCACTTAGTTTATTTATTGATTAATTTATTTTTACTGGGAAGAAGAGTTTTAGTTTGCTGTTGTGCCCATTTGTCTGTTTTTGCTTTTGTTGTCTGTGTTTTTGGTATCATTTTCAAAAAATCATTGCCAAGACCAATTTCATGAAGCTTTTCCTGTATTTTTTCTTCTAAAAGTTTTATCGTTTCAGGTTTACATTTAAGTCTTTAACCTATTTTGAGTTGATTGTTGTGTATAGTACAAGTTAAGGAGGGATCCAATTTCATCCTTTTGCCTCTGGGATACAGTTATTCCATCACCATTTGTTAAAGAGTCATTTTCCTCCGTCATGTATTTTTTATTGAACATCAGTTGACAGTATATGCATGGATTTATTTCTGGACTCTCTATTCTGTTTCATTGGTCTGTATGTCTGTATTTATGCCAGTACCCTGCTGTTTGAATTACTGTAGCTTTGTAATATGTCTTTAAGTCCGGAAATATGATGCCTCCAGCTTTGATTATGTTGGTTATTCTGGGCCTTTTGTTTTTTCATATGAATTTTAGGATTTTCTTTTTCTGTTTCTGTAAGAAATGCCATTGGGATTCTCTTGGGAATATAATTGAATCTGTAGATTGCTTTGGATGTTTTTACAATATTAATTCTTCCAATCTATGAACATGAGATTTTTTTTCCATTTCTTTGTCTCTTTTTAAATTTCTTTCATCAATGTATTATAGTTTTCAGTGTACAAGTGTTTCACATCCTTGGTTAAGTTTATTTCTATGTATTTCATTCTTTTAAATGCCATTATAAATGAGACTTTTCTTAATTTTCTTTTGGGTCATTTGTTAGTATGTAAAAATGCAGTTGATTTTTTAAAATCTCAACTTTGTATCCTGCAGCATTACCGAATTCATTTATTAGTTCTAAGAATTTTTCTGTGGAGCCTTTAGGGTTTGCTATATATAGGATCATGTCATCTATAGACAGAGACAATTTTACATCCTTCCTTCCAATTTGGAGGCTTTTAATTTCTTTTTCTTGCCTAATTACTCTGGCTAGGACTTTTAATACTATGTTGAGCAGAAGTAAGAGATGATAGCCTGGGCTTATTCCTGATCTTAGAGGAAAAGCTTTTAGTTTATGGGCTTTTTATATATAGCTTTTATTATAGGAGATACATTCCTTCAATACCTAGTTTGTTGAGTGTTTTTTATCATAAAAAGGTGTTGAATTTTTTCAAATGCTTTTCCTGCATTTATTCAGATGATTGTGTGATTTTTAAAAATCATTCATTATGTTAATGTTGTATATCACATTGATTGATTTGTGTATGCAGAGCTATCCTTGCACCCCAGGGATAAATCTCGCTTGATTATGTTGTATGATCTTTTCTGTGTGCCGTTGAATTTGGTTTGCTAGTATTTTGTTGGGGACCCATCTTGCTTATGTGTGCACATCCTTGATTATTGCTGAAGTTAAACATTTTTTATTATTTATTCATTTTTTGTTTATTGACTATTATTTTTTCTTATTTTTTTCTACAGGGTACTGATATATTTCTTATTTATTTATAGGAACTCTTTATATATAAAATGCATTAAAGCTTTTCATCATTTGGTATAAATGATAGTTATGAAGTTTTATATTTTGAAAGAAAACATCTTTTTCAATGGTGTTTATTTCTTTCTTTTTATGATTAAATATTTTTTCCTTCACATAAGTCAGGTAAATATTTACCTATAATTTTTTCTTGTTGCTTTAAAATTTAACTTTAGACTTCTAGTTATGTAAGTCATATATTTTTATACATATATACCTTATTTTTTTTTTTTACCTAACAGTGTAAACAAATGGATGAGGAAAGAGAGGAGTATAAGCAGTTGATTGGATTTTAGTAGAAATAAATTGACATTCTATTTACTGTCCATCTGATTCAGTCAATTCCCAATTATCTATGGTAAATGAGAGCTAGGAAGAACAAGGGTAAAATATACATCTGTTGATAATCTCTCAACTATATTTCAGGACATGTCTGTGCTCAGAAACATTCTAATGGCATTACATTGAGGGCAGAGCACTTTGGTGTTTCTCCATGGTCACGTCACAGAGATCAGTGATCTTATTGTCTATTTGGATGACCTTGTTTCCATGACAGAGAAAGTCCTCTCATATGGCATAAAAATGAGCTGCTTTTCTCCAGAGGAGTTATGGCTGATGGTGTCTCAGGTGTATATCTTGGCTTGGAGGCCATAATTTCTAACCATTCCTTATTCCTATGGGTAACTTATTCCTATGGGTAAAGCCCTGTCTCTGTGGGAAGTCCTTTAAGAATAAGCCCAGGCACACCACATTGCACTAGAAAGGGTCACTGGAATTGTAGGCTTAACGTATCAAAAATGAACAAAGGTATTACCTCTTCCTGAGAGGATGAAACAGAACAGGTTCAGATCACTGAGGAATATGGTGGGAACAAGGGAACACAGAGTGATTATAGGGTGGTCCAGAAGAGACAGGTGGGCAGGTGCCTGTATTGGTAGGAGTATCCTGCAGGCTGGGTCAGGCCAAAGACAGTGCTACGGTGCAATAAAGCAAACAAAGAAAAAAGATATTACATGCGGAGTGTCCACAGCTTCCCTCCCCTTCATCACCTTCATCATCATCAATTTTGCCAGTTTCTTCTTGGTCCTTTATTATGCAGAACAAGCATAATGGGTGAATACCTATTTTTGAAGGCACCCTAAATGCCAGGCACTTTGCTGGGGAAACAGCAGTGAGCAAAACAGACAACATCCCCCCACCTTAATGTATCTTGCACTCCACCGAGGGGAGATAAAAGGTAAACAAAGAAATAAAATGGATAGCATGTCAGATGCAAATACATGCTACAATTATAGAGAAGGCAGGGAAGGAGGACAGGGAGTAGCAAGTGTGGGATGGGAACATGCTGTTTTCCCTGGCATGGGCTGAAAAGGCCTCACAGCAAAGGTGGCATTTGCATAAAGGCCTGAAGGAGGAACAAGAACGAACCAAGTGGGTATCCAGGTGAAGAGCATTTTAGGGCAGTGCGAGCAACAAGGACCATGAGGCCAACAGCATCTGGCTCATTGAATAGATCCTAGGGCATTGATAGAACAAAAGGATGGAGTGCAGGGAAAGATCAGAAGAAGGGAATCCATGGAGGCTGGATTCCAGAGAATTGTGTGGGGAGTTTAGAGGAAGAGAGAAGAAAGAAATGTTAGAGACAAGTGGGTTAAGGAGAAATGATGGTAAAAGGGATTTTAAAAAGCTTTGCTGTGTCTTATGAGTAAAGTCTTTGAGTGACTTCAGGAAATATTTAAATTGCTTCAAGCAAGACTAGACTGCAAGGTAGCTGAGCACAATATGGGCAGTATGAAGTAATCGAAGAATTTATTATGAGATAATTTTTGGACCAGCAGAGATTGTGGTCAGGAGAGCTGAGGATGTGTATATTTGTAAGGATGAGAGTGTGGTGGTAGGACAGACTGTATGAAAACTGTAGTAGGGAGGGTCAATTCTGGGGTAGAAAATGCTGGCTGGCTTAAGAAGTTATTCCAGTATGGGCTACATGTCAGAATGGTCTTGTGGTGCTTGGTCTTAGCTGATGGACACTTTTATAGTTAAACATTTTTTCATGATTTTCTTTTTTTGTTGTTCATTGAGTAGTCATGATCTTACTGATCTTTTTCTATCGGGTACTTATGTATTTCTTATTGATTTGCATGAACTATTTATATTTAAGATGTGATAAAGCTTTTATTTATCATTTGGCACAAATAATAATACCAAATAGTATCAGGCAACTTAAAGGTGCTGAGCTGTCTGGTGGTGGAGGAGGGATTGGGGGGTAGAGGAGGTCTTGGTGGGGGTTAGGTCTGGCAGTGTGGGATTAGATGGCAAGGTGTGCAGAAGGGAACATGCCTTCCAAAGGACCTGGAAGGTCATTGGCACAGCCTGTAAAACTTGATTTCACTGAACCAATTTTCATCAAGCATTGACAGATGCCTGTCTGGGATGACAAATCCTACCACAGTACCTAGTGCATTGTGGGCGCTCAGTAAATATATATTTTTTTCAATGGGTGAAATCAACATGTATTTGATAGACTAGCTTCTATCTGTTTTTTCCACCACTGGGCACCCCAACCCCCAACCCCTGTATTAGTTTATAACTATGTCCCTTCAATCCATTGCTGCCTTTTGCCACTATGACAATGTTTCCCTATGTTTTCCCTTCCATTAACTAGAGGGCAGCAGAATGGAAAGAATATGAACTTTGGAAAAAATATAAGCTTGGGTTCACATCGTAGCTCTGCAGTTTGGGTGAGTGATCTGTTTTCCTAACTGTAAAATAGAGATAATAATATCCCTGTGGTTAGTTTGATTATAGTTAAGCAAATATTCACTCTCCTCCCCACCTTCCCACACTGGAGAAGTAAATCTTTCCACCCTGTTGATGTTGGGCTTGGCCCTATAACTTGCTTTGGCCTCATGGTGGGTGAGATGTCCTTCCCTGCTTGCACTTGAATCTTGGGCTTAGTTGTGTGATTTGCTTTGACAAAGACTTAAAGAAAAGGCTTAAAGTGTCTTGCTGGAGTTGTGCTTGTCTTCTCGTGCTTCCAATTTTTCGATGAGAATAATAAGTCTGGGTAGCTACTGTGTCCAAGGAGGATGGAGAGAGGCGGAGCAGACCTGAATCCAACTTGCAGCTGAGTCCAGCCAAGCCATTGCTAACCTGCTGATTTATGAGTGAGAAATAAAAATGCTTATTGTTGAATGCCATTGAGTTTTAGGGTGGTTTATTATACAGAATTATTAAACATAACTGACAGATACAATGCCCTGTTCCTTTAGGTTACTCAGTATTAAGTATCCTGCAAGAAGAATACCTAATCCTAAGTAAAGCATTCTGTCTGCTTCCAATTTATCTCAAGGAAAGACTAATTTTTGTTTTACAGCTACAGATAAACTTGTATGATTTGGACCCTTTCCCTCAAATGCTCCTACAATTGAAGATTAGACAATAGCTACGTCTGGTATTTCTATGGCTACCAAGGATATCAAGTTCCATGAAATTTGGCTTACCAAATCCTAAAAGCCTTATCAAAATATTTTCTTTAAAGCTTCTTCTCTCTCCAGATTAATTCCTTATTGGCAAACAATGACTGTACTGTCTGTCTTCTGGTGAGGAGCGTGCTCCCAGGAACTAGATGGCTACAGCTCTTTCTGATATAAACCATTCCAAAATTATTCAGAAAGGGCCTTCCTGGAATATATAATTATGGAATATGGTGAAGATAACTTAAAAACAAGGTTTAGGAGCAGATATCTAAAATTGTTGTCATTTGCCTGCAATGATGCAGTGGGAACTGTGAAGGTTATAGTCTTCCTATCTGGACAATCCCCTCAATGATTTTTTTTCCCCCAGCTACTGCCATTTCCTCTTCCCAGCCTCTAGAGCCGGGAGCACAAGTTGTACAATTACTACCTTTGTAATACTCATATACAGCCCCATTAGCACTTTTTAATGGATGTGCTATACCTGGCAGATTTCTGTTTTCAAGTTTATATTCTTGTCAGCTGAGGCTTCCATAAAAACATCAGAGACTGGGTGGCTTAAACAAGAGAAATTTTTTTTCTCACGGTTCTGGAGGCTGGAAGTCCAAGACCAAGGTGTCAACAGGCTTTGTTCTAGTGAAGTATCTCTTCCTGGCTTGCAGATGGGTGCCTTCTCGCTGTCCTCACAAAGCCCTTCCTCTGTAAGGGTGTGGAGAGAGATTGCTCTTTGGTGTCTCTCCTTATTAGGACACTGATTCTATCAGATCAGGGCCCCACCCTTATGGCCTCATTTTAACTTAATTACCTCCCTAAAGGTCCCATCGTGAAATATAGTCATATTTGGGGTTAGGGCTTTAACATAGAAAGTTTAGGGGTCACAATTCAGTCTATAGCAATATCCAAGAACAGGAAATAGTTAACAAAAAAAAAGAGGACACAGAAGTCAGGGGATGTGGAGTCTTGTGTGGCTTCATGTGCAGTGGCTGCATATGGCTTAGTGTGAGGAATTGTAAAAAGAGGCAGGAAAGGGAAAGGGGTGGTCCCTGCAACACCCGCCAGACTAGCTATGATTTAAAATCTGACTTGGAAGAAAACCATCAGGCATGTCAGTAAGGCTGCCTCTAACCTGTCAAAATTATATGTTTACAGCTCTCTAAAGAGGCTATGAGTTAGACCAGGCAAATGCTGAATGATGGTTCAGCTAGTAACCATTATGGTAGCCATCTGCTTTGTTAGCCATGGCATTTGGCTAATAGAGCATGGGAAACCAAGCAAGAAGGAGCCTTGAGGATGGAGGCAAGAATGGAAAATTCCCTTGATTTCCTAATGTTTTGCTTTGTGATTTTTATTTACTCTTGCCTCGTATATTAATGTACATGTCTCAGTCTTAGAAAGGGCATTTTTAGTCCCCTGGCACTGGTCAAGTCCTCCTGTAGCACTGCATTCTTACAACTAGTTTTCACTTATATTGATGGTAGTGAGATGATTGCTCATGACGCTAGCTGTTTAATGTCTAACTCATCTTCATAAATGTGAGCTCCACAAGGGCAGGTCAATGTGTGTCATTCACTATTCTATCCTCAGTGCTTGCATAATATTGTCCTAGAGGCGGTATTCAGAAACATGTGTTGAATGAATGAACAAATGAAGGAATGAGGAGGAGTAGCCTATTTCCTTCCTCAACATGTGCTTGTGAGTTAATGCATAGAATAGATTGTTAAACCCCACTCTGAAAATCCTTTCTCCACCTTCCTCCATACCAGCATTCCATTTCTAGAAAGCTTAAATTGTTATGAGGTCTGGATGTTTGCCTGGTCTGCCCCTTCGAGGGAAGGCCGATCTGAATATTGATGCATTGCTCTTAGAAATCACTTGCCCTAAATGTACTAAAGGCTTTGTTAGAATGGAAAGAGTATAGGCAGTTGAGCTGGAAGACCTCTGTTGGAATTTATTTTTGTCACTTGGTGTATGTATGAACTTGGACAAGTTAAGCAATCTGTTTCCTTATCTGAGCATGAGTTTGCTATCAGGATAAATGCAATAGCATAGTGAATAGTGCTTTGAGAGCAGTGAAGTCCTTGCAGAAATGTTTGTTATTTTAAGTGGAAGTGGTATAAGTACCTCCTTTCATTGACTAGAACAGGTGTGGGAAGCTCTTATACCAACACCATTATATACTCTTTTTTTTTACTCTCATTAAACTTTTTAAATGGGTCTCAAAATTCTGTGACAAATTTTTGGCCAAGTTGTTTCCATTAAAAAGTACTGATTTTAAAAACTAATAACTTAAAAACTGTCACTCGCAAAAAAGAAAGCCAAAGTGGTCCACAAAACATTCTCCTTTCCTTCTGAATGTTTTACGATGCATCGTTGTCATTAACCAGTCTTTTACTACTAAACTTAAGTGCCCAATTGAAACAAACAGTTATGAGACCATTCTTCCACCACTGATTAAGACTGGGGTGGCAGGTATTAGGGATAATATTCATTTAGCCTTCTGAGCTTTCTAGGCAGACTTGGCTACCTTGCCAGCTCCAGCAGCCTTCTTGTCCACTGCTTTGATGACACCCATGACAACTGTCTGTCTCATATCATGAACAGCAAAGCGATCCAGAGGTGGATAGTCTGAGAAGCTCTTAACACACATGGGCTTTACAGGAACCATGTCAACGATGGCAGCATCACCAGACTTCAAGAATTTAGGGCCATCTTCCAGCTTTTTACCAGAATGGCGATCAATCTTTTCTTCAGCTCAGCAAACTTGCATGCAAGGTGAGCCATGTGGCAATCCAGTACAGGGACGTAGCCAGGGCTGATTAGGCCTGGACGGTTCAGGATAATCATCTGAGCAGTGAAGCCAGCTGCTTCCATTGGTGGGTCATTTTTGCTGTCACCAGCAAAGTTGCCACGACAAAGATCCTTGACAGACACATTCTTGACATTGAAGCCCACATTGTCCCCAGGAAGAGCTTCACTCAAATCTTCATGGTGCCTTTTGACAGATTTTACTTCAGTTGTAATGTTGACTGGAGCAAAGATGACCACCATACCAGGTTTGAGAACACCAGTCTCCACTTGGCCAATAGGAACAGTACCAATACCATCAATTTTGTAGACATCCTGGAGAAGCAGGGCTTGTCAGTTGGACGAGTTGGTGGTAGGATGCAGTCCAGAGCCTCAAGCAGCGTAGGTCCAATGGCGCTGCAGTAGTTACAGGTGAATTTCCATCCCTTGAACCAAGGCATGTTAGCACTTGGCTCCAGCATGTTGCCACCATTCCAATCAGAAATTGGCACAAATGCTACTGTGCCAGGGTTGTAGCCAATTTTCTTAGTGTAAGTGCTGACCTCCTTAAAGATTTCCTCGTATCTCTACTGGCTGTAGTGTGGCTCCGTGGAATTCATTTTGTTAACACCAACAATTAGTTCTTTCACACCCAGTGTGTAAGCCAGAAGGGCAGGCTTTCAGGTCTGCTCATTCTTGGAGATACCAGCCTCAAACTCACCAACACCAGCAGCAACTATCAGGACAGCACAGTCAGCCTGAGATGTCCCTGTAATCATATTTTTGATGAAGTCTCTGTGTCCTGGGACATCAGTGATAGTCACATAGTACCTGCTGGTCTCAAATTTCCACAAGGAGATATGAATGGTGATACCATGTTCACGCTCAGCTTTCAGTTTATCCAAGACCCAGGCATACTTGAAGGAGCCCTTTCCCATCTCAGCAGCCTCCTTCTCAAATTTTCAATGGTTCTTTTGTCAATGCCACTGCATTTGTAGATCAGATGGCCAGCAGTGGTGGACTTGCCCGAACCTATGCGTCCAATGATGACAATGTTGATATAAGTCTTTTCCTCTCCCATTTTGGCTTTTAGGGGTAGTTTTCATGACACCTGTGTTCTGGTGGCAAACCCATTGTGAAAAAGCACTATATACTTTTTACATGGTTTTATTGTATCAGCTAAAGGGCTGCTGATCTACAAATCTCATGAAACTGCCTAATTTGGCCCAGTTTTCAATGACAATAGTGAAACATACTGAATAATGTGGAAAATACATCAATGAAGAATCACACAGATGAATGGAAGTCATTAACTCAATTAAGATGGCCTGCTCTGAGACTATGGTACCACAGCAGTCTAGCTGGATGTATTAATGGCAAAATAAATATTTTCTGCATCTGAAATCTACTGATATCTGTTGTTTTACTAAATATATGATTTTATTTGGGGCTGATCAGAAGGTTTGATTCTTCCTTCTGTAGTAGTGGAATGTCTAATTTAGGAGTTTTGTGCAATGGAACATTCATGAGCTTTGAAGTTACAACTGTGAAGTTTGATCGCTGCTTTTGTGACCCATCAGCGGCCTACTCTCCTTGAGTCTCAGTTTCCTTATCTTTTAAAAGCAGAGAATGATTCTTATCTTTTAGGGATCATTGAAGATCAGATGAGATACACCAGTGCAGAGCTCAGCAAATGATAATTTCCTTCCTTCTCTCCCTTCCTTCCTTTCTTTGTTTCCTTTTCTTTCTTTCTTCTTTCTTTCTTTGTTTCTTTCTTTCTTTCTTTCTTTCTATCTTTCTTTCTTTCTTTCTTTCTTTCTTTCTTTCTTTCTTTCTTTCTTTCTTTCTTTCTTTGTTTCTTTCTTTCTTTCTTTGTTTCTTTCTTTCTTTCTTTCTTTCTTTCTTTCTTTCTCTCTCTCTCTCTCTCTCTTTCTTTCTTTCTTTCCTTTTTGAGACAGGGTCTCACTCCGTTTCTTTCTTTGTGAAGTGCTACAGGTTGTAAAACATTCCCTGAAGTCTCTCAAGTCTATTTTAGGTTTAGCGTATTTAGGACTGGAGTGTGAATTTATTCTGACTCTACTCTATTTCTCTGTTACTCTGTATTGTTGATGAACCAAAAAAATTGCTTTCTGAAGAATGCTTGTTTGAGTTCTGGGGCTAAACAATGAAATATTTCTACTTGTTCAGCAAGGAGTGGAGCCAGAAGGCTAATGTGTGGAAATAAGTGCCCCATGAATGATTCTTATAATTTAGACCAATTAGTGTTCTATGATTATTGTGAAACTGGCAGAATGCAGCACTCAAAAATCACTAGACAGATTAGAGAAGCACAGGCAGGAACGGGACAGAAAGGGGTTAGTGAGAGTTCATGAATGAATAGGAAGTAGATATATTTAATGCATTTAGGTGCCAAAATCCAACAGTAAAAATACATTCTGCAAAAATTCTTTCTAAAGGTGAGGCATTTAGTCAATGGGGTAAAAATGGTCCTTATGCTTTTAATTAGCTTTGATTCTTGCAAATTTTACTATTAGCCTTGAGCAGATCTAAGGAGGTAGACCTTTGAAGTTGCTGTTGAGTTTCTTCTGTTGATGGTGTTGAATTAGAATTCAGGAGGAGCCAATGAAAATAACATGCAAACATTATGGCCATTTATTATCATTATAAAATGTGATAATGTCATTGCTGACTTACAAAGATGATGACCTGAAAGGCCGTGACATTATGACATTACATTTTATCAATAATGAAAAATTGCTGCCTTTGCATGGTGTTTGGTGAGCTCAGGCGACCATAGAAGGAGGCTGTAAGCCTTTTTGTTTATTCTAGACTGAAAACGGAAACAAATCAGCAGTTAGAGATTCATTAGGTCGCCAAAAGAAAAAATGGCATCTTGTCTTACCCTATCCATAGGGAAAGGCGGAGGACCTCACTGACCCAAGGGGTTTAATATTCATTAGCGAGAGGCTTGCTTGCAAGTCACTTAAATGGTGCTGAAGTCTGCCTTAATAACAGGTTTTAAGGCTTGAGGGAAAATGTGCTGCCCAAAGAAGCTATGATGTGTGAGCATCAACAGACAGTGTGCCTTTTTGGGAAGGGACCTGACAGGTGGGCTGTCATTCCACGAATAGGGCACAGCTGATGTTAAGGTGTCAATTAGCTTATTAGCTTGTTGTTCTTAGATGGGAACTAGGAAATAACTTTCATGACTGCTGAAACTATTCATGCACTATTCTTCAACATTTAGAGGACACAATGGAGGTGAAAGAGTCATCCAAGATCATTCTAAACCTCATGTAGCACAGCCATGCTTTTCTGACCATAAGCAGTCATAAATCCGGTACCTGTGGATGAGCTAAAAAAACCTTGAGCCCAAATGCCACGCTGAAAGGTCCACAAAAGCTGTGGCTTTTAAAGCCCCCCTAATAACTCAGGCAGAGATTGAGGCTTTTGTGAGTCTTAGAAAAGATAATTTTCACAAAATATGAGGAAGGGGCAATGTGGTACCTCATCTATCCTGTTTTTTCCCCTTGCATTTATTCTATCAGCTGTAAAGAGTGGGCAACATATATAAAATTCCGAGTCTAGGTCCTAATATAAAAACTTGAAAGGATTGTAAAATCTTTAGATTTGAGGTGTAAAATAGATTTTCTTCCCTTTTCTCTTCTATGCAGGTGTTATGGCAGACACATAAAATACCTATTTATTTGTAGCATTTTATTTCCCTTTCACCTTATGCTTCTGCTTAGGTTTGGGGGAGTTCATGTCAATTTCAGTTTCTTTGGAGGGCAATAAATTGGCCAACCTGGGTTTTGGCTCACGCAAAGGGAACATTTCCATCTACCTCCTCTGGTGCAGTTCCTGAGGTGGATGCATGCGTGTGTGTGTGCACACATGCCCGTGGGCATTGCCCTCTGCCCAGCCTTGAGTACTGTTTTGGAGGTCGTGTTTCTGAGCAGCAGAATACTCTCCCTGTCCTGGTGTTTATCTGACTGCCTACCTCCCTGAGGGAGCTCCAGCTCAGCCTTCCAGCTGAGGCTTGCCCAGTCTGAGTCTGCAGTGCCAGTCACTCTGACCTTTCACTGGTGGACAGCTCTTCTCAAGGCCTCTTGGCTGCGTTGACTCCCACCCATCCTACAAATCTCAGCTGAAGCCTCACCTTGAGCTACTGTAAGAATCACTGCTAGAAATAAACCTTGGGTAGCGCCCTGACCAATCCTCAAACACCTAGGGAAACCCAGAAATTCTTTCCGTGACCTAACAAGAAGCAGTGGTTCTCAAAGTGTGGTCTCTAGATCAGCAGCATCAGCGTTACTTGGGAACTTGCTAGAAAAGCAAAATCAGAAACTCTGATTTAGGGCCCAGCAATCTGTGTTTGAACAGTCACTCCAGGTCATTCCGACGCAAGCTCTAGTTTGAGAGCCACTAGCTGCAGGAAATGTTTGAAGTTTTTTCTTGCCCTCACAGCATTAATGGGGGCAACTCTTAAGTAACATCTATGCATTAAAAATAAATACGTTTCATTTTCTTATTGTTCAATTATGGTTTTCATGTCCTTTTCTTCTAAAAATTCCTGGAAGCAGGGGTAAGGCAGCATTCAGTCTGGCTTGCTTGTTTTGTTTTACTTCAACCAGGTAGGGCCTTGTACAAAGAGAAATGGTTATTTGATATAACATAATTCAAAGAGCCACAAGAGTATCTCTCCTTTCTCGCAGAAAGGTGCTGCCTGATGTTCGATCTTTGACTACGAATCCCCCTGGTTTAAGATAGCATTAGATGAAAAATATCCCTGGGAGGGGTAACATGTTAACCTATCAGTGAAGTATACTTTTATTAAGAATGGGTTTGAGGCAAACCCCTGGTATTCCAGGATTTACTATTCTAAGCTTCGATGATTTGCAAGTAATCTCAAAGATTTATGACATTTAGAAAGTGTACCTTTTGCTGTGGAAACCAATCATATCCCTGGTGGGTGAGCCTAAGAGACGACCCAGAATCTTTATCTTAAGGCAGCTTAAAAAAATCTTTGTCATTTTGCTGTTAAAAAAAAGGAGAGAGTATAAAACGGCATAGGCCTAACGGGGTTGTTATGAGGATTAAATAAATTAATCCATGTGCTCCATTTTACATAGGACCAGATAAGTACATCATATATGTGAGATATGATGATGACAATTGTCTCCTTGTCCCTTTAGAATTAACTCTTGTTATAGTTTACTACTGTCTTATTTGAGAAAATAGAATTTTCAAATTAGCTATTAGATGTATACATTTAAAGAGTCCAGGCTTTGAGGTGGACCCAGATCTTCTCAAAATCCACTGTGGATTCTGACTGGCTGCTAGTTTGAATGGGCAGGTGGCGGACAGGGCAGTCTGGGTACCTGGGGAGTGGGGGAGGCGTGAGGAGTTGCCAGAAGGGAGGGGCAGTACTGAAATAGGCAGTGAAACGAAGGGAGTGTTTGTGCTGAAGAGAAATTTTGCCAGAGTGAGGTAGTATTCCCATTTTTTCCAGGAAGAGCTCAAGTGGTCATTTTCCATGTTATCAGCAAATAGCATTTTGGTAGAAGGCAGCGTCAGATGAGAGGTTTGCGTGAAACCAAGCACAAAGTCCGGAATTACAGGCTGACATTTTTGAAGTAGGGGCCCAAACAATAAATTTTTCTGCACAATGTAGTTAAACACCCGGCTTGCACGGATGTCTTTTTAATAGCCACAGAATTCTTTTAGTGATGCTTAAGGATGGCTTCCTTCCTGGTGGGAGTAGAATCCCAGGATGTCTGCCAAGATGTATTACTTAATGTTCTCTGTTTCTCAAAGGTTCAGTAAGCAAAAGGGGTTATTCTGAGCAAGCTGCTGGGACGATGACAGGAACAAACACCTCGATGTATAAATTTGAGACCTTTAACCTCTTAGCTGTCAAATTTCAATATTTCTGGTCACGATGTTAAATGCACTCCAGTATCTGTTTCAGAGAACTCTGATGGAAAAATAAAAGTTTGCTTTATATTTACACACTGTTAGTAAGTTGTTAAAAGAAGAATAAAGCAAGGTGACTGCTAGCCATATTTTGTATTCACGGCTTTACAGCTTTGGCATAATAAACCAGAACCTGTGTTTTCTCTGTAACTTACAATGCATGCCCCAAATGACTTAGTGTTATTGCCAGCTCTGTATCCCCTACCTTTTAAGAATGATAAACACAGCATATTGACGGTAAAGTTTAAAACCAGGGTTATGAAGGAGGTAGGGAAATAGGGGCTAAAACAGGACTTTTAAGATCTTCCCATTTAAAACCAAATGTGTGGGTGTACATGAAGGACACAGTATGAGTCTGCATAGTTTATCTCTCATTCCTTCTTACAAACATGTGTATAATAACCTAATGCATACTACTGGGATGGAAAATAGGGACTTCATATTCTGTTACATGGAGGCACTATTACCTTTTGACAGTAGTGGTGTGTTTTGTTTTGCCCTGTGCAATTCTGTAGACACATCTTCCATCATAATGACCTTTCTGACAGCGGATGGGTGGGGAAAAAATGGTTTGAGAAAACCATTTTCCTTTCATGCAGCAAGCAATAATTACTTGAAGTGTGTGACAACGATGGAGTGGGCAGGCTTACCCAAGGACCCATATTGGAAACTTCCTTTGATTCTAGCTCTCCTTTTATTCTTTGTCAATACCCTTGTGCAGAATAGAATGTTTAAATTTTCTTTTTAGAAATCTGTGATGCTTGGGAACTCTTTGATTCCGCAGATATTTCACATATCTTTCAGGGATTCTCTAAACCAGACTGACTTGGGTCCAGGCAAGCTCTGTGTATATCCATTGTATGTGTTTCTCTGCCCCGGTGGGCACTGCAGCCACAGCACCATGGAAAGGGCCACCGTGGGCCACTGCAGAGAGAGTGGACAGTGACAAAGGAAGCTGTGCTTCCTGTCAGGACATGCATCAGAGGATTTGAGGAACATGAGTAATGACCATGTGCTGCCTGGGCCCAGGGAACTGAAGATTCCGCATCCATGCATAGTGGAACACTTGCCTATTGGCATAGAAAGGTTCCGTTTCATTATGGAAGTCCATTTTGAATACTGGTAAATTAAACTTTTAGAGCAAAAATCAATATAAAAATATGTCCAAATCTGTGACAGTGGAAATCACCCATGCACATCCTGTATCTCATAGAGAGAACAGTGATGGGGACAAGGTCTGAGGAAGTATCCTTCTTTTGCAGTGCTCATGTTCTCTTTTGAATGTAAACAGTAGTTCCTGATAAGGATATTGAATTAGTTCATTTTCACGCTTCTGATAAAGACATACCCAAGACTGGGTAATTTGTAAAGAAAAAGAGGCTTAGTGGACTCACGGTTCCACATGGCTGGGGAGTCCTCAAAATCATGGTGGAAGGCAAAAGGAAAGTCTTACAAGGTGGCAGGCAAGAGAGAGAATGAGAACCAAGCGAAAGGGGTTTCCCCTTATAAAACCATCATATCTCGTGAGACTTATTTACTACCACCAGAACAGTATGGGGGAAACTGCCGCCATCATTCAATTATCTCCCACTGGGCCTCTCCCACAACACGTGGGAATTATGGAAACTACAAATCAAGATGAGATTTGGGTGGGGACACAGCAAAACCATATCAGATATCATGAGATTAAAGCATGTCCTCTCTTTTCTAACCCATGAAATACTTTTTAGTCAGCACTGCAGTCTGCTTGGTGTGTAACTTCTACCACACAAACGACTTGCCATTCACAATAGTCCATGATACCTTCTCTTCTTATATTAATGTTTCATGGGGACACATTGATAAGACTGAAAACTTCTTGATGGCACAGCCTGCTTATGGTGTCATAAACAGAGCTTCATGTTTCTGTGGATCTCCCAAAGGACTCCTGTCACCTTTTGCTTCAACCCCTGCCTCTGGTTGTCTCTCTGTCCCCACTCAGTGTTTTGCATCCTGAAGCTTCTGTCTTCTATTAGGCTCACATTGCTCCACCCGGCAATACAAGTGCTGTTGCCGAAAGCACTATCAACAGAAGATATTACAAATCAGAGACTTGGACTGATGGTTTTGAGGAATCTAAGGAGAGGAGCATCGCCGCATGGACAAGTATAAGCATTAAGTAAATATGGCCAGTATTACTGACCTGGAATTCTCCAGTATTCTTCACACCAGGAACCTCTCTTTGGCCATTTTTTCTTTCAGCCCCTGCCTACTGCTAGACAACTTCCCATTCGGGTCACTCATCTCCTCACTCCTCTTTTCCCAGGTCCAGGGCTCTCCATCCCCCTGTCTCTTGGGATGCTCCAGACAAATTGGAAAGGAAAAACTCAGTTACTTTGTTAAGTAGAGCAAATTAGCCCTTATTGTCTCCCAATAAGCCTCAGTCAATAAATGTGGACATAAACATTTTCAATACTTGTGGAGGTGATATTTTGAGGCAGGAGAGCATTGTGGTAGAGACCCTGTTCCACTAAGCTGAAAGCTCCTCCTGCCTCTTCAATATCTAAACTATTCCAGCTGAATTTCTCACCTCACTATTTTACTTAGTCAAAGATTTAGGAGTTGCAGCAAAGTGACACTGGACTATCCTGTGAGTTTTTTCTCTTTATGCATGAAGTTTAGCAAAGAAGGGAGTAAGAAGGCATGCTTTCTGAGTTGAAAGGATAAGGAGGAGGTAGACCATTTGACAAGAAGGGATTATTCTGACTTCTAATATATGTGTACATGACCATGAATATACCATGGAATCTCTCTTATCCAACTTCCATTTAACCTACTTCTCTATTCCATCTAAAAAACATACTGACTGGGCTCAAGGCCCAGCATTGAACACCCACAGTCAGGAGGCTACTATCTGGCACCCAGGACACGTGTTACCAGGTGAGTTGATGCTTACAAAACCAGTTGGGTTTGTTCCCAAACTGTTTATGACACTTGTACTTGCTATTGTAATTACATAATTTAATTAAATATTACATAAATTGAGGAAACATGAATATAAAAATGAAAGAAAATTGGTTCTGCTGAAACTAATTTGAATTTTCTGAAAAGGCTGGATAAAATCAAGTCTCTAGAATTTTTGCTATTATATAAGATATGGATGAGATAACTGTAAATAATTGGGAAAAGCTACAAAAGTCTACAAATTAGATGCTTTATCAGTACTTCTAAGTTTTCATTCTGCTTTAAAGAAATGGAAACTGAGAGTTGTTGAGGCATTATATGGGCCTAGTGTACATAAACAAGACTTTACAGAACCCCAATTAGAGGGCCCACACTTAGGCCTTGGCTTTATTTACATCAAAAGATTAACAAATGAATATATGGTTGCGTATGTTTTAAGATGAAATAGCAAAATTTAAGGTAAGAATCTGTTACTATTTTTATTTTATTTCTAACCAACTCTTTCAAATAGTCAATCCACTATGGGGTTACTGTAATGCTGAAAGGGCTTCAACTCTACGTGCACATACATAGAACATTAAATACCAGATATGGGTAGAACCTTGGTGCGCACTTGGCATTAACCCTCAGACCATCTCACCAGAGTATCAGTGGGATTTTTAGACAGGAATATCCAGAGAACTTGTCTTTGTTCTTCTGCTTATGTGTCTTAATGTCTCAGGCTGACCCTGGCCTTGCTCTGCTCCAGATGCCTTTAGCTACATCCCTGGCCCACGTTAAACTGGCCACTCTTGTATCAGAGCTAGCACACCAGTGATGGAGAACACTGAAGTGACTATATTGAAAATTACTCCAAATTTAATCTTTAAGGGACAGACTTTAGGCTTATGCTACACAGGCTTATAAACTGCATTCTTAGCCTCCAAGCTATTTGTGTGCTTAATTGCTACCTGTGAAATCCATACAAATGTAAGAAGTGTGACTTTCCTTGGATGTTAACAAAGAGTTGTTGGTAAATCTCTTCAAGGACTGGGGATGAGGGACTTTATAGATTTTCTTTTATTTCATTAGATGTTTTTTGGGGGGGCAGGTATGATGTGGTTGTTTATTGTGTTTTAAAATTCTTTTTAATATTCATTTTTCCATATGTTATTGGCATACAGGTTCTATTTGGTTACATGAGTAAGTTCTTTAGTGGTGATTTGTGAGATTTTGGTGCACCCAACACCCAAGCAGTATACACTGTACCATATTTGTAGTCCCTCGCCCCCTCCCACTCTTCCCCCCAAGTCCCCAGTGTTCATTGTATCATTCTTGATTAGAAAAGGAAAAGGAAGTATTGAGGAAGAAACTCTGATGGGTGCTTGGGGTAAAGAGGAGACCTCCAGGAGCCTGCTGAAGGCAGCTCAACTGTTTCACATGAGAAGAGAGGAATAGGCTGTTTGTCGCTCTAGGGAGAAAATGGAATAAGAGAAAGGAAGCGGGTGGAGGCCATGAGAGACTGGCTGGTAGGCCGCAAGTTCTCTGATGTGACCCCTTCCTCTGACCCCACCCCAGAATCTCCAGTAAGAAGAACTCACTAAATGCTTGACTTTGAGTGAATTTTGTGTGTATGCGTACACTGGCTTTATGAAAACTTATTTCTGGGCTGAGATTGGCAGTGAAATTTACACAAAGAAAGAACTGAGGAAGCATGTGCTGCTGGTGCATGGAGGCAGTGATGCTTGGCAGAAAGCCATGGGAACTCCAGAAGGCCACAGGGAGAACTCAGGACACCAGGAGGCATGGAACTGAGGTTGGCTCAAGTGTAACTTGCTTTCTGAGGGACAGGGGCATTCTTAGGCACCTGGTATAGAGATGAGCATATACTGACTACTACAGAGATATATATTTTTTAAAGAATAAGTCTTTGGGTGAATGGAGAAAGCTGTCTGGGTCACAGTCCCTCTGTGCTTCAAGTTAGACCTATTATCAGTTAGAAGGCAAATGAATGAAGTTTCAAGGTACGGTTCTAGGGACTGGTGCCAACCTGGTGGAGGAGCCAGTGGTGCCAGCGCAATCTCTCTACCCTCTAAAGGTGTTGTCATCTCCTTGGACTGTTAAGCCAAGGTCAACATGTCCCCAGGGCAGCCTGTCTGGCTGTTCCAGGCACCTTGAAGCACTTCACCAAGTTTTAGATGATAATTTTTCAAATATATATAAAATTGGGATTAGTGTTGGCTTTTCTACATTTAGCAGAATGGCCCAACTTTCTTGATGACTCTTCCCTATTGGCTGGTAAGAAGTGAAGTTAGCACTTTTATTGAAGAACTGACTTCAATTAGCCAAAGTTGAGACATTGTCACCTAGGAGAAGCCTTTTCTAAGGCCATTGAGTGACAGACACTCCAAAGTAGATTCAGGGGTCATAGAGTACTGGGGCTGCAAAGATACTTAGGCGAGGTTTCCTCTTCTGTGCTCCCTGCAGTTTTTGTTCTTATTTCTTTATTGCAATCATCACATCATATTATATGTAATTATCAGAGCCATTTGTCTCAATTTATTGGAAGCCCGTTGAGAACAGTGACCAAATTGTATTCATCTTTTTAATCATCAGTACTTTGGACAGGGGCTTAGACTATGAAACATGCTTATTAAAATGTAGTGGAACGAATAAATGGATAGATGGACATGACCTTATTTTCAGATGAGGACACTAGAACTTTCCCAAGGACACAGAGCGAGTTGGTGGCAGAGTTAGAACCAGAAAACTTCCGATTTTAGCATCTTTCTTATATTTCTCCTTTCAAGAAATTTGCTTGGGTTGGGGTCCATGCCTTCCATGTGCACTGAGTAGCACCTAGTATAATTTAGGATGTTTCTGAAGAGGTAGGACCACTTGTTGCCTAGGCAACTGGAGAAATGTAGGAAGGTGACAATTGTCTGTTGGCAACAATGGCCTCAGCCAAGAATCTGAAAAGTGGCTCTCTTTGCTCATCCCTGAACAACAGCCTTGAGGGAGAAGTGTGTTAAGAGATAAAATGCAGCCAGGCACAGTGGCTCATGCCTGTCATTTCAGAACGTTGGGAGACTGAGGTGGAAGGATTGCTTGAGGCCAGGAGTTTGAGACCAGCCTGGGCAACACAGCACAACCCTGTCTCTAAAACTAAAAATTAAAAAAAAAAGTTACCCAGGCGTGGTGGCACATGGCTGTAGTTCCAGCTACTCAGAATTGAGGCAAGAGGATTGCTTGAGCCTGGAAGTTCAAGGTTACAGTGAGCAATGACTGTATCACTGCACTGAAGCCTGGGTGAGAGAGTAAGACCCTGTCTCTAAAAAATAAAAAATAAAAAGGAAGTTAAATGCTTCTCTAAAGCCGTGAAAATTTCACTCCTTCTCTAAAGCAGTGCAAACTCTGGAACCATTTTTTGACATAGAGAGAGAAATTCCAATGGGGTGAAAGGCAAGGGAGGCAAGAGGCTCTCTTGCCCATGTCTGTCCCACTGGCAGGCTCTGAGGTTGCTGTCAAGGCTGGTTGTCTGAGCTCTTCTAGGTGGGCACCTTGTCCCCCTTATAAGCCATTTTCTCCACAGCAGCCAGAATCATCCATTCAAAACGCAAGTCCAATGTTGTTACACCTCTGTTCAAAACACTGCAATGGCTTGCTCAGCATAAAAGCCAGGGTTTGACAATGGTCCACAAAGCCCTACGTGATCTAGAGGGCAGCCCTGCCTTTACACTGACAATCTCTTCTTCCTGGTGTACTGTTTCCCCAGTTAGATGCATGGTTTTCTTCCTCACTTCCTTTAAGGCTCTACTCAAATATTTCCTTCTCAGATTCTTCCTGGATCACCTTATTTAAAATAGCAGCTGCTCAGTCTGACCACCTTGTTATTCTCTATCTTACTGTATTTTATTTTTATTTAATTCTCTATCTATCTATCTATCTATCTATCTATCTATCCATCCATCCATCTATCTGTCTATCCATCCATCTATCTATCTGGTAGCTTTTCCCACTAGAGTGAAGTTTTATAAGAACAGAGGTTTTTGTCTCTCTTGCCGTGTTGCTAGCACCTGGAACAGTGCCTGATCCACAGCAGTACTTAATGAGTATTTGTTGAATTAATTGAATGATTTAGATTATGTGGGTTCAGGGAATGCAAAATAATTCAATACAGCCGATATTAGTCCATTTTGCTTTGCTGTAAAGGAATATCTGAGGCTGGGTAATTTATAAAGAAAGGAGGTTTATTTGGCTCACCATTCTGCAGGCTGTACTAGAAGCATGATGCCAGCATCTGCATCTGGTGAGGGCTTCAGGGAGCATCCAGTCATGGCATAAAGGGAAGGGGAGCTGGCATATCACATGTGAGAGAGATGCCAAGAGAAAGATACCAGTCTGTTTTAAACAACCAGCTCTTTTGTGAACTTACAGAGCAAGAACTCACCCATTACCATGGGGAGGGCAGCAAGTCATTCATGAAGGATCTGCCTCAATGATCCAAACACATCCCACCAGGCCCCACCTCCAACACTGGGGATCACATTTCAACATGAGATCTGGAGGGGACAAACATCCAAACTATATCAGAGCCTAAGTTTAACATTCATAGTAGGGTACATCTGTGGCAGAGTGCAGCATTAGAAAGTGTAGCTCTCTGCCTACCTCTTAAACTGGCTCCCCTCTGAATATGAGTGAGTGGCATTGAGTAGACTGCTGCATAATTATTGTTGGGTTAAGGCCTCTGTGCAGTCAGTTTTAGAGGTGGATGTCACTGAAAGCAAAGTTGAATGTCAGCTTACCCTTAGTCTTCATAGACCAGCAGCATCTGCAGAAGATGGATGATTTACCTTCTTTTTTATTATAATTTTTTTGTATGTTTTTTGGTCGTTCTGGTACAAAGTGTCAAGTAGCAAATACCACTGCTGACAATTTTCCTATACACTGCATACCAAGATGGGTGGTTGATGGAGAGGACCTGAAGCCCCAGGGATAGCCTGGAGGGAGTGGAAACAAAAGCTGGATGGAAGCAGGTTTGTGAAGAGAAAGTTACTTCACCTCTCTGCCATTCATACCTGATGGAGCTGTAGATGGGAAGGAATTGCCCAAATTCTGTCCTCCTTTCTCATTCCCTGTCTGGTTGTAGTAGACGGTTGCTCAGTTCTTTGCTGGTGGCTTCCACAGCTGTCAGGCCACGTGGCTCATTAAGTGGCTGTAAAAGCTGTTGAGGATCCTTTGGAAGAGAGGGTGGGAAGACTCTGGCAGCTACAGTGCACCCACACCTTACTAGCTTATCCAGACAGACTGAGCTACGGTTTGGGGTCAGACACAAGGAGGCTTCCCTAGCATCATTACACAGGGATAACTGGTGAGTAGGTGCAGGCATTCTCATTGTCCCTTTTGCTTCCATCCCTAAAACCTCTCAAGAGTCTAGTCTTGATATTTATACAAACCTAGTTTCTAGAGCTTTGTTGAGTTCATTATACTGTCACCCATCAGTTAAATTTGGTCTTCATATGAAAACAGGGGGATATTATTAAAGGGTAGCTGAATCAGTATCTTTACACCGTATACATAAGCAGCCAAAAGTCCTATCGTCCAAATTTATTTTAGCAAACCATGAGTCTTCAGTACTTTATGACCACAACATTGGGATGATATATCCCAATCATTGAGGTAATTAAATTAATCCATGAGTTTTTGTTTTATTTACTTATTATATGTGTCTAATACTGTAGTAGGAACTTAGTAAACTTAGTATCCATGAGTATCCTCATTCGGCAAAGAGGTTCTTAGAGCTTCATGAAACTTGCTGTATCCACCTCTGTAATAAGGTTAACTGACATAAGGTTAACCTCTGTCCCTTTGTATAACTGAGAGAATACATGCACCCACATTTGTGCCTTTGTTCTTACCACTTCTTTTTGCAGAGAATGCACTTTCTCTCTCTTTTTCTCTGGCCTCCAACAGAGATATACAAACAGTCATTAAAATTGAATGTTTTTCAAGAGCTAGGTCAAAAACTTCCTCCTCTTGAAAGCTTTTCCCAGCATTTCAAGTTGGTTATCTGAATGAAGATACTAGGACTGGCCCCTCCTCAAGGCCTGCAGGTAATTTAACTATGTGACAAGTTAAAACCTTCAACACACTCTTGGGTGATGACCAAGGCAGGTGTTACCTGTTAGGGTTGTCGCCTGGCCCTACAGGTCAGGCCAATAGGGTTCAAAGTCAGCTGAGTTGTTGGGCATGTAGAGAGACCCAGGGATTCCCATGAGAATGTAGCTTCTTGGAGGTATTCTTAGTACTTCCACACAGAACCGTAATCTTTTGAGCTCTGATAACATTTTGTGTCTCTATCATAAGACATTTCAGCTTCAGGTTAATCTCTTCCCTAGTGGATCAAGACCTCCTTGAGAAGAGGCATAGTTTCTAATGTTCTTCTTCTTTATAGTGTTTTATACATAGTGCACACTCAATGTTTGTCACAATGTGCGTAAATATGGTTGGGATCCAGTGGTCTGCTGAGGTCCCATGGTGTCCCTCTTAGATGGCTGAACACATCTTATGGCCTGGGCTGTGTTAAAAAGACCTGGAAGTGCTAGAGCCATTGTGGAGTTGATTCTGGGTACAGTGCTGAGGCAAGCTTGCGAGGGATGATATTATCTTCCTTTTTAGAAGTCCAGCTTCGGAGGTTGTACCTTTGAGTTTGAAACTGGATTCTGAATAGGAAATGGGGGCCCATCAAGAGTGAAAAAAAATCAATGATCTAATCAAGACTTAGACTCAGGACCATGAAATCAAGATTGGTTCCAAATATAACCTCCAGGCACCTTTAATGAGGTAGTTCCAATATTTTGGACAGATTTAAAGAGACCTTCTATAATAGCTAGAAAAGAATGTTCCATTTCTTTGATGACCCTGGACACCAACTCACTGAAGTTCAGATCTTCCGGGGCCCTTGCTGTTCTCAAATCAGAATTCATCACTTCTTCTGTTCTTCCATACCACTTTGCAGCTCTGTTACAGCCTGCTGTATTTTGCTCCACCTCAATATTCATTTTAGCTCCTGTAATTGTCCCACTTATATGAAGTACTGGAGGAGGACTCAGTCCAACATGGGAAGAAATGACTTAGCCAAGGTCAGGAAGCATCTCAGACCAGAACTCACAGGTCCTTAATTTTGATTCTAGTTTTCTTCTTCTTTTTTTCTGATATGGACTTCCTTGATGCGCTTATTGACTCTGGGTGCTGTTCCCAAGGGTCTTAGGGTTTTAGGTAACGCACGTATAATTCTTTGACTTGTGGCTTTGGATAAACTTCTGGGGTCATGTGTTGAAAGAGGAAGAACAGAGGAGAAACAATGCCTCTTCCTTGGTAATCCCAAATGCCTAAAAAATAAAGGTAAATGACTGAGAAGTCAAATCCTAACTTTGTACAATTCTTGTTTATTTAATTAAAAGTCAGCTATTGAATACCTTACAAATAGGAATGCACTTCGTTAAAAGAACTTGCTGATTTTTCAATGCAGCAAAAGTGGTGTAATATTACATTTGTTGTTTTTATCTGCATCCTGAATAAAATATTTCTTCATGCTTAAGTAGGTTCTGCCCATAGATTTTCAGAGAGGCCTGCTTCTCTGAAAAGGGCTGTTATTTTGTGTGTGGGCTTTGCCCTGTTGATGAACATCTTGTATTCTGTGTTCAACTTTAGAGCAGAATGTATATATTTGTTTTTTGAAGATCTCCCTGGGACAGAATTGCTTCCTGAGCATATGCATTTAGCTGAAAAGATAAATGTGTGGTCAGAGGCCCTTGCCCACCTCTGATTAAGAGTTTTTGTTAATGGTGCTCCAGGTAAGGGTCCTGTGTGCTTCACGAGCTCTTATCACTACTTAAAAACTAACAGTAGTAGTTGTCCATATGGAAAAGGCAGGCTTTGTTGATGAGTACGTTTGAATGAAGATGCATGTTTATCACCCTCTCTCTTTCCCCTTCCTCCTTTAATGGCTCATTGAGGTGTATTAGCCCAGCTCTTCAAGACCACCAATAAAGTTATTCTGGACTCTTCTCTCACCGTGGGCTCCTCTGAACCTTTCTGTGCTTTTCTATGGGCTCGTATAATTGGATCAGACACATTGCAAAGACCTCTTGTCTTTTTTTTTTTTCTGAAATGCAAAATATGTTCATACTCAGATACCTGCCTACATGTATGGGTTGATTAAGCAGCAAACTGGGAGTATGACTGACAGACCACAGGGAGCAAAGCCTACTCCAACACCCCGTTTGGATGCATCAGGTCAGAGCACTCCAGGTAGAATTTGTGGGCTCTCGAATGCACTAAAGATACTCAGGACATCTTCTTTTCCTTCCCCAGTCTCTTTCCAGAGGTGAAATTATACTCAGAGGTAAGATTATAATAGGAAAGTCTTTGGAGAAAGGCCCTCAAAACAATCATTCAGAAGGTTAAACTAAAGTAAGTAGTTCTGAATTCTAATTACTATGATAATAAAACATTTATGAAGTGACTACTTGCTCATGTCAATGTGCTGTGTTATATGTCTTCTAGAAAGACTGCCCGGATCCTTGGAATTTCACATAGCCCATTGCCCTCCTTTCCCCTTCCAGAAAATATCTTTACTCCTTATTATTACAAAGTCGTGATACCATCTTCTTTTATTCTCATAGGTATCGAAACTCTTTGTTGAGACTTGTTTGGTGGTTTGTGTCTGACTTGAATTATTAATTCCTGCAAAGAAAGTTTACCTTAGGACCTCAACTCTGTATTTTAGCAAGAGAATAGATTTAGCTTCCTTGAACTGATGCTTTCTCATGCTGCAGGGCAAGTGCAAATTTGATGGCAAATTACTGAACTATCAGAAAACAAGTTTCTTTGGGAACATTTATCATCACTTCTTTCCCTTGATACAGTCCTAATTCTCTGTATACCTATTGAATTGGAGGCCTGTATTTAACAGCATGTTTCAGATATGTTATGGGGCCTAATGCATTAAGTGTCACGAACAAAAGTTGAAACTAGGCATATACTCATCTGTACAAACAAGGCCTTAAGACCAAGCCCCTGTCTTTTTGGATGTTGCATAGTACTAAAAATTATGACCAAAAAGTAACATTTAATGTGCTCTCTATTAAATACTGGGAGCCAAGTACTGCTCTATGCGCTTTCAATTTGCTAATATCATTTACTCCTCACCACAACTTTATGGTTTAGATGCTATTATTAGCATCCTTCAAGAGAAAGTAAATTGAGATTGATGAAGGTCAATGCCTTGCCCAAAGTTACCCAGACCACGAGTGATGATGCCAGGATTGCAGCCTTGACTGGCTCCAGAGCCCTTGCTCTCAACCACTAGTCAACATAACTCTAGTTTTGCTAGTGTCATTGAAATTACATTATCTATTTCACAGAAATAAAATATGCAAGGGCTGCTTGAAAGTTCTAGATTGGACAGTACAGCATGATGCTTTAAGAGTTCTAGCTTTGGCCCATCTCTACTAAAAATACAAAAAAAAAAAAATTAGCTGGGTGTGGTGGCTGGTGCCTGTCGTCCCAGCTACTGGGGAGGCTGAGGCAGAAGAATGGTGTGAACCCAGGAGGCGGAGCTTGCAGTGAGCCGAGATCGCGCCACTGCCCTCCAGCCTGGGCGACAGAGTGAGACTCCGTCTCCAAAAATAAATAAATAAATAAATAAATAAATAAATAAATAAATAAAATAAAAAATAAGAGTTCTAGCTTTGGGGTCAGGCCAGGTTGATTCCTGTCCTGCCTCTTAGGAGCTAGATGATCTTGGCTAAGTTATGCAAACTCTCTGAGCCTTCATCTGGGAATTGGGAAAAAAATAATAGCACCTGTCTCACAGGGTGTTGCTGAGGTTTAAATGAGGTAATGCATAATGCACACAAACCATTTAGCACACAAGCCCTCACAAAGTAAGTGCTCACTAAATAGTAATTATTATTATTACTAATAGAGCCCTTGGCTTGGAAAGTGAAGATTTAACATTGGGAACAGGACTGAACTCTAAGCTGCCTGTGTAACCTAGGTGGTAGGAAAGGGACATTAGCTTCCTGGCCCCCAGGAAAGCCAAGACTTTCTCAGCAAAAAGCCAAGACAGCCTAAAGGAGAGTTTACAACTGTGGTTCTCAATGCTGGATCCACATAGAATCATGTTGGGAACTTTTAAAACTCTCGATGCCTGGGATCTCTAGGGCTGGGACCATGGCACCAGTATCTGTCAAAGCTTCCCAAGTGAATCCAGTGTGCAAAGTTGAGAGCTATTTCCAGTGACTGAATGATGATTCCAGATGCTCTCTTTCAGAAACAATGTACCCCACACACATGGGGAATGTAGGACTTAGGACAAACATGGGGAATGAGGCCAAACAGGGCTGAAAGTAATAACAATTATAGCTGTTTTAGGTACTCCAAATATAACCTCCAGGAACTTTTAGTCAGGTAGTCCAAATCTCTTGCAAAGATTTTATCCAGTGATACCACTTAGCGATGCTGTGCTCTGGATGGGGAATTCAAATAAAAATAGCTAGATTATTAGTCCCGTTCTATGTTTCCAAGTTTGAATGTATTTTATGACATCTTGGGGCCTCAGTTTCTCTAGTAAAATGAGAATAATAATGCCTGGGCTGCCTAAGCAAGTATTAGCCAAGTTTACTGGGTTTCTACAATGGGGAGGGGATATTTACACTCATCTGGTATCTACTTCCTAGATTCTGCCCCAGGAAGAAGTAGCTAATAAAATGATTGATCCGAGTCTAGGGTTTTTATTGAGCCATGTTTTCTCTGGAGGAGGGAGTTACTGTGTTACAGAGGCAGAAATCTAAGCTTCATCTATTCTTTACTACTTCCTGCTCCCCCGCAGGAAGCACTTAGGTATAGGCTGTGCCTCTGTGAGCCTCTCTGTAGTCCTGACGTCTCTAGTTGACAGGCAGTAACTTAAGCTGGGGGTGCACAGTGTATCCCAACTTTGAGTACTCTGTTTTCCATGTAGCTACTGTTTGTGTCATAGCTTTCCCTGGAGGGAACCAGGGAGGTGGGGTTAATAATAGGATTATCCAAGTGGATAAAGAAAATGTGGTACATATACACCATGGAATACCATGCAGCCATGAAGAAGAATAAGTTCATGTCCTTTTCAGGGACATGGATGAAACTGGAAGCCATCATTCTCAGCAAACTAACACAGGAACAGAAAACCAAACACTTCATGTTCTCACTTATAAGTGGGAATTTAACAATGAGAACACATGGACACAGGGAGGGGAACATCATACACCGGGGCTTGTTAGGGGGTGGGGGCAAGGGGAGGGAGAGCATTAGGACAAATACCTACGCATGTGGGGCTTAAAGCCTAGATGATGGATTGATAGGTGCAGCAAACCACCACGGCACATGTATACCTATGTAACAAACCTGCACATTCTGCACATGTATCCCAGAACTTAAAGTAAAATTAAAAAAAAAAAAAAGGATTATCCTACACCAGCTTGGAACCTATGATATTATTGTACTAGGAGGTGCTTTCTCTCTCTCTATCCCTCTCTCTTGCGTGAGCACATGCATGCTCTCTCTCTCTCTCTTTCTCTCCCTCTCTCTCTGTGTGTGTAGGGGGATAAATATGAAAGAAACAGAGTTTAACAGAGACGAGAAGGCAGGCACAAAAATATTCGTAGTAGAATGTAGGAAGTGATGACAAAACCAGGGGACCAATTAGAGCTTTTAGACTCCAAATCTTCCACTTTCATCAGGCTCAGACAGTATCCCTGTGGCCACAGATGCCTCAAAACTGCCCGGTTTTGTCTCAAACATGGTGCCCTGGAAGGCATCTATTCTGGAGGAACTCTCTGTTAGTGCAGCCTGAGTCTCTTTGTGGAAAGCAGGTTATATGGGAAGGCTCTTGCACATGTAGGAGCATTGTAATGAACAGCCAAAAGAAATAGATTCCCAGACTAAAGATTTCTACAAGGGCCAGATAAGGAATAGAACCGAGTGAAGAGGGTCAGGTGGGGACTGTGTTGTCTTGGGGTGTGCGTGGCCCTATGGATGGGCAGCCACTCCTCCAGCTGTTTGCTGCTGTGTTAGAACATTGAGACCAGGGTAGTCAGATTGTCCACTTTCTCAAGAGAGGCCAGACTTTTATATTTCTTTGTGGTATTCTTTATTTCTAAATGTTTCCAACTGATTCCAGTTTTATGGTACAGACTTCTATACCCATTGATCCGTTGAAGTCTTCCTGTTCTAATGGCTTTTGAAAAGTTTTACCACCTTTTGGCCACCTCCCTTTTTTGGTGAGTGTATAAATGACATTTTTTTTACCCTTACACACACTACATAAGTGTGTTAAAAGAAGTGATATTGTTACATTATGGTTTTAGGCAAAAAAATACTTACTCATGTATCCAACAGCAGATTCAGTCAAAAATATTATAAAGAGAGAATTTGAATTGCATGCTATGTTTGGATAAACTCAAATGTTTTGCTTGTTTATGAATGTCAAGTACCAGAGATGAAGAGGTAGCAGCTTCTCATGACTCTGCAATTGCATGTGTGTGCTATTTCCACATTTTGAAGCACTGTCCTGTTTAGCTTTTATTTTGCCCTGAGGGTGTTTTTCTGTTTATAACTTTATTTTCAAGTGTAGTTTGAGTGCAAAAATAACCATGAGTCCCCAGAAGGTTGAAAAATTGATGAAGAAAATGATGCAGAAAGAAGAAAAAAATGAGTACCATAAATTTTAATCACATTGCATTTTATGTGCAAAACTATATTTATGGACTTTAAAGTTGTTGTTTATTACCTATACATTTATTTTCATTGTTCAATTGGTATAACTTTTTTATAATCTGAGAAAACAGTTTAAGTATCTTGGTTTGGGATGAAATACCTCATAATTTTTCCCATTCAACTGAATGGAAATATTTTTCATTTAATGGTTTTTCTCTTTGCAGACAGTTTTTCAGGAATGAATGGAAGTCCCTCATGAGGGATCAATGTGTTTACCTGTGGGCCAACACAAAGCATGTCTGTGAACTGCATTTGGCCAGCAGGATGCTAGTTTGTGAAATTCAGTGAAGAAATGGCCTCAAAAGTACTGTAAAAATGTTAAAGTGCTGAATGAGAATAAAAGGTCATTATTTTAGCCCCCTTAAGGTCCAGGGAGGGGGTTGTCAGTGGTTATATTCCTTAGGGTCAAGCTGTTTTTCATCCTCATCCCTTTGCCCATGGATTTTCCATCCCTGCCCTCCATAATGCACAGGGACTGGAATCAAATTTGGACTTTCTGTTCATTTCCTGGTGAGGTCAGTCAGCTTCACGAGCCTCTTGGTCAAGCCAGGAACCTGGACATAGGCTTGTTAATTGCCTGGGTACTGTGTGGCAGTGGAAAGGATGGTGACTTGGGAGTCAAGAGGCCAGGGATGGGCTTTGGCTTTGCTGCAGATTCATGATGTGACTTTGAGCTTTGCTGTACTCAACAAATATTTACTATTATTATCATAGTCACTAGCAGTATTTTCATGGCCTTAGGCTAGACTAGAAGACCACAATGTTCTTTTCCAATTCTAATTTTCTGTGGGTCTAGAAACAATCCTATAAACATGCATATATGTTTTCATAGAAGCAGTGCCCTCCAAAGTCGGGCATACTGTTCTTACCACCAGCATCTGTTTATTCATCTATTGATTCGTTCTTTCAACATATATTTATCAGGAGCCTACAGAGTGCCAGGCATTGTTCTAGTCACTGAGGGTTGAGGAATTAGCAAGCAGACAAAATCCTTGCCTTCACGAAGCTTACATTCTTGTGGTTCCATCAGAGATCATATTTCCTCCTTGTTTAATACATTTGACTACCTGGATAAATAAACTCTGATACTTCATAGGGAACCATATAAATGTTAAGGAAATAAGGCATTCTCAATGGCATAAAAGAATCGAAAGGAAGTATTTTGAAAGTTCAACGTGACCCTATTTGAGCTTGCAAGGGAGGGTGATTGGAAGGTCTGAGACATCACCTTTGTGAATTGGTCTGCGCTCTGATAGTGTTTATAAGATGCCACCATTCACAGATGGACCACTAGCATCAGGCCCAAGCAGTATTTTCACATCCAGCCATGTGGTGGCAGACAGAGGAGTCAGGCTGGCGAATAAAACAGTCATGCACGTAACCACATCTGAAGTTGAAACTGGTCATATCACAGAGAAATCAGTAGTGTCTCATTTATGGCCAGTTATATCTTTTCCTTCTCTCTATGTCCGTTCTCTCTCTTTCAGGGAAGCTTGGCAAAACATCTTTCCTTGGTGAAAATAGTCCTTCTTTACTCTTGCCTTGAAGGTGCCCTAAGTTACCTTGGGGGCTTTGCCTTTGAAGTATTTTGGGAGCATTTATCTCCTAGTCCTTGTAGTTCATCTTCTTTCTCCTCTTCTTCTTTTTTTCTTCCTTCCCCTTCTCTTTGCTCTTCCTACTTTTTCTTTCTTCTTTCTCTTTTGTTTATCTCTTCCTGCTTCCCTTCTACTTTGTTCTTCTCTTTCTCCTCCTTCAATTAAATAGAAAATCATTACAAGGATCTGTGATAAATTAATGTCTTCATGGGGATGTAAAGGATAACTTTTCTAAAGACCTCCAGGAAAGCAAAGGCTGCCTTGACATAAAGGGACCTGGGCATCACATCGGCTTTTCTAAATATGAAAAGACCACAGCTGCCTTGAAAAAGAGCTGATAAATGCACCTGTGTTGCTTTAAACAAAGCCAATACCCATTTGAAGCTAAGAAAGGTAAATGCCTCCTAGCCCCTAGAAATCGACAATCATGAGGGCAAAACTGGTCACAGCTGTTGGGGCTGTCTTAATGGCCCATTGTCAAAGGGCCAGACAGCAACAAGAACAACAGCAGCAGCAGCAACAACAACAACCACAACGACAACAATGAAATCACTCAGATTGTCAGGAATTTGAGCAAAAGCTGTAATCGAGAAATGGCAGCCACTTAGTCAAGATCTCTTGGGTGAGATACAATTGAATTTCATCTTTTCTTCTCTCACTGTGGACGTACTATTGCCTTAACAAAGTCTCTCTATAATTTCACTGAGGCCCTCTACCAGAAATGCCCTGGTTAAAGTTATTCCTGCATTTACAGTAAGAATGCTGCTGAGAACATTGTGACTACATCTTGCAGTGCCTCCTATAGAAGTTTCATGTGAAAATTTTCTTTCTTCTTGTTAAGTGCTTTGTGCTTCTTTTAAATAACTATTTTTAGGCACGCTATGTTTTTGATCTATTAGAGAAACAAGCACTATCCATGTTTATGTTTTTTCTTTGGCTTCTAGGATGCTCAGAGCCAAATTTGAGCCTCACCTGTAACAACAACTGTGCGGATCTTCATGGTTTGCATATTTTTTTTGTGTGTGTTTATAACAATATTTATTAAGCATTTGCTATATGACAGATATTGTATCAGTGTGATACATGCATTTTGTCTTTATTTATTTATTTATTTTTTAAATTTTATTATTATTATTTTACTTTAAGTTTTAGGGTACATATGCACAATGTGCAGGTTAGTTACATATGTATACATGTGCCATGCTGGTGTGCTGCACCCATTAACTCGTCATCTAGCATTAGGTATATCTCCTAAAGCTATCCCTCCCCCCTCCCCCCACCCCACAACAGTCCCCAGAGTGTGATGTTCCCCTTCCTGTGTCCATGTGTTCTCATTGTTCAGTTCCCACCTATGAGTGAAAATATGCGGTGTTTGGTTTTTTGTTCTTGCGATAGTTTACTGAGAATGATGATTTCCGATTTCATCCATGTCCTTACAAAGGACATGAACTCATCATTTTTTTATGGCTGCATAGTATTCCCTCCCCATTCTCGGTCTTGCTTTCTCCTCTTATTTGAATTTTAGGTCTGGTCTGAAATTCTTTAACCTTCTTCTTCCCTCATACACGCTGCTATGTTTTCATAAGGGACAGCCTTAAATTTTTTGTGAAATTCCTGTCTTTCCATCCACACTAGTATTATCTGAGCTCAAGTCTCAAGTTCTCATTTCTCTCATAATGGTTTCTGTAGCAGCCTCATATTTGAGCTCCCAGCCTCCTGCCTCATCTTCCCTCCATCTATTCTGCTGCAGTTCCCTACATGGAGCTCAAATAGAAGCATGGTGTGCCCATGCTTGAAACCCTGCCAGGAATCCCTCCTCCCCATCTCTGTGGGCAGACCAAACCATCTATGATCTTCCCTTCCTCAGGACTCTAGTCTTAATATAATCTCCCTTTCATATATGCCATACTTCTATACATTTTGTTGAATGAATAATATATTAATGTAATCATTATAATTTTCACAGCACTAATTTTTATTTACAGTAGCATGGGAATTTGGCAAATTGGTAATAAAGATGAGTACCACGTCCATCTACCTGCAATGAAAGGAAGAAAAGATGGGATTCAAGAATGGGAAGATTGTCAATCTGCTGAAGCCAACTGGTATCAGTCCAGCAATGTAGTCATATCTAGAAGTGAATTTACTACCTTTCAAATCTGGTAACCTAGTATTTTCTAGCTCCGCATCCCAAACTCTTCCACTCTCTCAAAACAGGAGGGAACTAAGAGCATAAATGGCCCCCTACCAACCTAATTTTTTTGATCCCAGCTTCTTCCCTAAACCTCCCTGTCACTTTCTTTCGGGTAGATGCAAGATAGGTTTTACATATTATAGTCCAGGTAGAGTTAAACTTTTTCATATTCTCTGAATTAAGCCCCTAGTGAAATATGACTGACAGGTGATATGGAGGTGTATGGAAGATGCTGTGCTGTATGAGTGTAGACTTTTGGGGAAGAATGTGGGGATTAGTTTTGGCCATGTTGTAAACTATGTCATCGTGAGTGATTTAGGTCTTAGACTTGTGGATAAAATAAGAATGTTACATTGGATTGCCTCAAACTATCCTTCCAGCTCTGATTCTAAATATAATGTTCTTGGAATTAGCAAAGATATCAGATGTCCTTATTCATACATTCATTAGGAAATATTTATTGAACACCTTTGTATGCCAAACATTGTGCAGCCTATGGGATGCAGAGAAGACCCAGAGTTCAAGAAAAAAAATATTTCACCATGAGAGATTGCAGTTTAATTAGGGAGTTACAGAAATGTCCACAGCGCAAGGTGGAAATAGATTGACACCATCAGAGACATGCAGGTCATAGAGATGTGGTGTCAGGGTGAGGGAACCTCAGATATAATTTGGACTCTGCCTCTCAAAATGTGCCCATGAACCAGAAGCTTCAGCCTCACCTGGGTGGAATTTTAAGCCCTGCTTTATACTCACTGAATCAGAATCTGCATTTAAATCAGATGCCCAGGTGATTCATATTCCCATGAAAACTTGAGATGCACGGATCAGTACAACTCCCTCATTTTGCAGGTGAGAAAATAAGCCCTGAAGGATGAAATGACTTGCCTGGTTTGAGTAGAGAGTTAGGACTTAAACCCAGAGCCCCTGATTTTTGGTGGGGTATATCCACACTGTGTCACCACTTATTATGAGGTGCTATGGGATTTCAGAGAAAAGCAGTGAATGGAAACTATCCTTAGTTCACTTACAGCATGTGCCAATAAACTTAAACTTTGAAACTCAAGCCAGGTTGTGGGATCCAGCCTGTTGTACATAGGTCAGATTGTTTTAACTACTGTGTCTCACTAAAAAATCAATGTTGTTTCTCATCCCAACACTCTAAAATGCAGAAATGTTGGCAATCACCAAAGAGGAGAGGAAGCTTCCTGTTCCTGCAAAATAAATTCCCCAACTAGGCTTAATGCTTGATCATAAAATCCATCACCACCAATGGGGAAAAAAATCCAAAGACCTCCAAGCACACACCCTACTGAGAGAGGGTCATGAGAGGCATGTTCCTGCATGTGCAGCCTGTGGAATGGATTCCCTAAAATGATCCTGTAGGCTAAATGGAAGGCATGAAAGCGAAATGAGATTCCAGTTTCTCAGTGAGCTTTTCTATGTTCTAACGTGTGGAAATAGTTTTATCCAGCAATGGTAGAGAATTCACAGGGTTAATGACTAAAGAATGGAGTTCTTGTAATCAATATAGTCCTCTGGCTTTATTGATTAGAATCACCTGCTTATTTTGCAGCTAAGGTTTTTTTTTTTTTTTTTTTTTTTTTTTTTATCCCATTCAAAACAAAGACACCCTAGGGGACCATTAAGTAAATAGGCATTTAAGACTTTTTTCATTGCTAAGAATGTAGTTAATTATTATTAGTGCCTAAAAGTCTCAATTTAGACAGAACACCTGAATGAACATGCTACCGAAATGGTAGTGACATGATTCCTATGAAGGGATGCCAATTTTCAGTTTAGTGAAAAAATGCTGCTTCCTCCTTAGAGTTGTGAGGAGGGTTGTGACTACACATTTAACTCCTGAAAAAAAAAAAAAAAGGCTTGGCAGAGCCCTTCTTTAAAGGAACTAAGGTGGAGTAGTTTTTCCAAATATCGCATGTTCCTGGTGGACGCCATTTTTGTACACACAGGCTATTCACTCCTGAGCCTGTCTAAAGAAATAGATTGACCGTATGGAAACCCGTTAAAGATATCAGGTCAATTTTATTTTATTTTAACAACACATTCATTGTTTTGCTTCAGGAAAACAAATCAAATGCAGACTTATGGTATTCACTGAGTAACATGCTTCTGCTTGTTAGGAAAAATGCTCAGGATTTAATACCACTTAATAATCTGTTTCTTTTCTTTTTGTTTGAAAATTACACAAATCAACCAGCATACATATCTTCACTGAGCACCTATTATGGGTAAGAAGTTGTGCTTAGTGCTTTTGAAACATGATGATAATACTTAGAGCTTATTAGTGTTTTAACATTTACAAAATATTTGATCCTTTTTATATTTGATTCTTATTTTTATATTTGAGCCTCTTGGGGCTCACAGGGCAGGGGACTACTTCCCACATTTTACAGATAAATATGTAAATTTAACAAAGTTCTATAAGGAATCTGAACAGCTCTATGGCAAAAAATACCAAATAATCTGATTGAAAAATGGGCAAAGGACCCGAGTAGGCATTTCTCAAAAGAAGACATACAAATGGCCAACAGGTATATACAAAATGCTCAACATCCCTAATCATTAGGGACATGCAAACCAAAACCACAATGGGATATCATCTTACTCTAGTTAGAATGGCTATTATCAAACAGACAAAAAACCCCACAAAAACCCAGAACACACCAAATGCTGGCAAGGATGCAGAGAAAAGGAACACTCATACACTGTTGGTGGGAGCATAAAGTGGTATAGCCACCATGAACAACAGTATAGAGGCTCCTCAAAAAAAGTAAATAAATAAAAATAGAACTACCATATCATCCAGCAATCCCACTGGGTATTTATCCAAAAGAAAGGAAATCACTATATCAAAGACTTATCTACACTTCCATGTTTATTGAAGCATTATTCACAATAGCCAAGATATGGAACCAATGTAAGTGTCCATTAACAGACGAATGGAAGAAAACGTGGTGTATATACACAGTGGACTACTATTCAGCCATAAAAAATGAAATCCTGTCATTTGCAGCAACATGCATGGAACTGAATGTCCTTATGTTAAGCGAAATAAGCTAGGTACAGAAAGACAAATATTGTATGTTTTCACTTATATGCAGGAGGTAAAAATGTGAATCTCATGGAGGCAGAGGGTAGAATGGTGGTTACCAGGAGCTGGGAAGGGATTGGAGTAGGAGGGATCAAGATATGTTGGTTAAGGTGTACAAAAATACAGTTAGTTGGAAGAAATTATATTATTCAATAGTACAGTAGGGAAGTTATAATTAACAATAACGTTGTATATTTCAAAATAACTAGAAGAGAAAAATTGTAATGTTCCCAAAGCAAAGAAAAATAAGTGTTTTTGAGGTGATGAGTATCTTAAATGCCCTGACTTGATCACTACACATTATATAAAGGTCTGAAAATATATGTACCCCCAAATTAAGTACAACTATTATATATCAATTTAAAAAAGTGCTGTGAAACATAGAGTGGCCATATGGCCCAGAAATTCCACTTCTAAGTACATGCCCAAGAAAACTGAAAACATCCTTGTTCACACAAAAACTGATACATGCCTGCATGCTCATAGAAGCATTATCTATAATAGCCCAACAGTGGAAATGAGCCAAATGACCATCAATGGATGAATGGGTAAATAAATTGTGGTATATGTGTACAATGGGATAATATTTAATAAGGAATAAAGTACTGATACATGCTTTAACATGGATGAACCTTGAAAAGATTATGCTATGTAAAAGAAGCCATACCAGAAAACCACACTTTGTATGATTACATTTATATGAAATGTTCAGAATAGGCAAATCCATAGAGACAGAAAGCAGATAGGTTAGTGATTGCCAGGGGCTGGGAGGGGGAATATGGGAAGTGACTGTTAATAGGTATGGAATTTCTTTTTAGGGGTGATGAAAATGTTTTAGAATTAGGTAGTGGTGATCATTGCACAACCTTGTGAATATACAAAAGCCATTGAATTTTGTACTTTAAAAATGAATTGCATGGTATATTAAGTCTATCTCAATTAAAAATAAAAAAAGTTTTTACCAGTGACTCACTCATGGCAGAAATGGGTATGCTTTTTGAATTCCAAGCCAATGTTCAGATTCAGGTTCAATGTTGGTCCAAGCTTCAATGTCAGGTTCAGGTTTTCTGGTGTCTGACTAATGAACATTTCCTGAATTAAAATGAGGGTATAGTCCTTATCCTCAGGGAACTTGCATATATGAACAAGAAAAGATAAAATGCTGGGTAATAAAGAGTACATTAGAATGAGTGATATGAATGAAGAGTCTTCAAAACCAGCTCTCAAAGTGAGATTTGTGGGATTCAGTGGGTCTGTGTTGTATTCCTGGGACTCTATACTTTTAAAAAGAACTTTAGATGTGGAGGAGACTCATCTGTATCCTGTTGTCTTCTTCTCACCACTTGGGAAAGCTATACTCCCCCAGTCACTTCCAGTTGGGTGCATTGTGTGACTGGTTCTGGCTAGTGGGTCAAGAATGGGAATTACATATGTCACTTCTGGGTTGAAGCATTTAATTGACAGTGCCAGATCATTCAGCATTTTCTTCCATTACTGTGTCAGTCATGGAGGTCCATATATTCCACATAGTTCAGGTATGGAATGGTAGAGTCTTCATTGGCCTGGGTCTCTGAATCATTGCATGAAACAAAATGGTGCTGGTAAGTTTCCCAGACTTGCAGTGGGCTTTGCATTAGTAACAGACTGTGCTGTGTTAAAGCATTGAAATATTGGAGTGTTCGTTGCTGTAGTATAACCTAGCTTATCCTTAACCAGGGGATTCTGATGATCAACCAAATTTGCAAATCAGTGGTAGAAATAACAAATTCTAAAAATTGGGGAATAAGAAAAATCAGGAAAAGCTTAATAAATGAATTTTAGCTGGGCCTTGGGTGATAGTTAAGACTGGGATAGGGAGGAGTAAATAGGAAATTTTGGATGGGAGACATTTATGAATGATATTAAGGAAACACCAAAATAATAGTTCATCTAATTTTTTCCCTCGAAGATGAATTAGGGCTTTTATTTTTTAATATGGTGAGTGGGCAGATGCTTCAACTCCTTATTTTCTAGCTGGTTATACTGGAATAACAACCCATATATAGTATCATGCAATGAATCTTTCAACAAACATTGAATCATTTCAGTGTTTCATTTGTTCTGATGGACAATTGTTCTGAATTCTCCCTGTGGCGGGAATGTAAGCACACGTTTGGTGGAATTAGAAAAGGTTAGCTGATGCAAGACTTGAAAGCCAGGCTGAAGTTCTCCTCCTCTACCACACTGAGAAGAAAAACCAGCATGTTTTCATTGGATATTAATATCCAGGTGATGCATTATTATTTTCATCTTTGAAACAGTAAGCTCTGCTGCCAGCACGCTCTCATTCCACCCAATTGTTCTTGTCCTATTTCTGTGTATTGTTAGCTTCCCTCCCCACATACTCTAACCTTTTAGGATATGAGATCAGTGAGGGGGAGGAAATAGGAACTAATACTTACCCAGTACTAGGTGTGTACCGCACACATGCTTGACCTCTTCTTACCTAATCCCTGAAAAGCACTGTTTTCCCCATTTTTGTGGATGAGAAGGCTGAAGCTAGTAATTAAGGGGCTTGTTCAGAACTAGATAATTAGAAAGTGTGGAGCCAGGACTCCAACTGAGGCCTATATGGTTCTGATGTCCTTTGTATGATACCACAGTGCCCTCAGTGGGCTGCGAGTACTGCAGTTTATTAATCTGTCTTCCTTTGCGCCAAATTACATAGGCTATAGGCTATTTAACTGGAAAGAAAGGGTTCTAGATGTAAATCTTCCCATCTCTCACAATGTATGTGCAATCTTCCTCAAACCAGTCTTATTCTATATAGCAAGAAATTCCTAAAGGAAAGGGGATGCTAGTAAAGCTTGAGTCTGATAATTTCTGAAACTGCTTTTTCATTAAGAGTAAATAAATGAATATGAGACATTCAAACATTAACAAAAAGGCTCTTGCCCTATTTTAGGTCTTGAAGAATTGAGTAATTATGGCACTCTCGTAAGTATACAGAGGATGACTTAGGTGGATCATCAATAGTTTATATCTGGTTGAAAATTTTGGGGCAACAAAAAGTCAGACCAAACAATCTATGTCATACCCCGGGGATCATTCATTTGTTTGCTCATTCCACAAATATTTATGAAGTGCCAAAAATGTGCTAGGCCTGGTTGTACGTGCTACTGATACAGTAAGTAGCTAATAAGGCAAAGTCCTGGCTTTCCTGGCATTTATAGCCTGTTGGGATCAGACAATAAACAAGAAAAAAGTTATTGTCATATGTAGTAGACAGAATCATGGCCCCTAAAGATGTCCACATCCTAATTCCTGGTACTTGTGAATATGTAACCTTACATGGCAAGAGAGATTTGGCAAATGTGATTAAACTAAGGACCTTGAGATGGTGGAGATTATCGAGGATTTTCCCGGTGGACTCAATCTAATCAGAGAGATCCTTAAAGGCAAGAATGTTTCTTGGCTGTGGTTGGAGGGAGATATGACTATGGAAGAATGGTCTGAGAAAGTGAATGTTGCTGGCATTGAAGTTGGAGGAAGGGAGTCATGCACTAAAGAATGTGGATGGGCTCTAGCAGCTGGAAAAAGCCTAGAAAAAGATTCTCCCCTAAGGTCTCCAGAAAGGAACACAGCCCCTGCAGACCTTGATTTTAGCCCAGTGAGACCCGTATCAGACTGCTGAACTACAGAGCTATAAGATCATAAATTTGTGTTGTTTTAAGCCACTAAGAGTGTGGTAATTGTTACAGCAGCCATAGAAAATTAATACATCATACTAATGTATTTTATAAGAGTCATAATTACTCTGAAGAAGGTAATAACAGGAGAAGGAGATAGCTGGCAAGTCTTTGTGGGATGGTGTATTTTCCCCCTCTGATATTGTGTTCAGGGAGGGCAACTTGGAGGAGATGGTAATCAGCAGAAACCTGAATGAGAAGGTGGAAATCTGGAAAGACAGTGTTGGAGGCAGAGGAAATGCCACAGCAGTCATGAGGGAGCTGCCCAGCGTTTTATGCTTGTGATTTAATGCCAAAAGGACTTGGTATGAGTTTATCAGAAACAAGACATTTGTTCGTTCGTTCGTTCATTCATTCATTCATTCATTCATTCAGTATTTTGTTCATTAATCATTTATTCATTCAACAGATGTTTATTGAGTGGCTCTAATGTGCCAGGCGCTATTTCAGGTATTCAGAATATCACAGTAAACAAATCATTTCCACACTAGTCTGTCCCTCAAGGCTTGGTTTCACCTGTATGTAGAATTCTTGATTCCAGAAGAAGGCACCAGATGCTCTTTTCTTTTCTTTTCTTTCTTTTTTTTTTGAGACAGAGTCTCACTCACACTGTCACCTAGTCTGGAGTGCAGTGGCGTGATCTCGGCTCATTGCAACCTCCGGCCTCCCGAGTTCAAGCGATTCTCCTGCCTCAGCCTCAGCTGAGATTACAGGCACCTGCCACCAGGCCCAGCTAATTTTTTTGGATTTTTAGTAGAGACAGAGTTTCACTATATCGGTCAGGCTGGTCTTGAACTCCTGACCTCGTGATCCACCCACCTTGACCTCCCAAAGTGTTGGAATTACAGGTAGAGCCACTACGCCCAGCCCAGATGCTCTTCTATTAAATGTTCTCCTTTGATCCTGGGGAGATCATTGAGACTGTTAAGGTTCATATGAATCTACCCAAAGTGGGTGTGTTTGCCCTTCTAGATACTGGGTAGTGTCTGGGAAGTTCTTAACTCTGAAAATTTCTAAAAGGGACCAGTGCAAGAATAATCTTGTGCAATTAAAAAATTTAAATCCATCTTGTTCCAAAACAGTTACTGTATTGTCATAATAATATTAATAACAATCCATCACACACTTTTAATGTTTTGCATTGGTTTTTGGCACCTAATATGCCAGCATGATTCATCCCTTAGATGACTTGAAGTTTCCTGTAAAGTCGGAAAATACTTTATCTGTGCAGCCTTAGACACACACACACAAAATGAGTATTTCATTCAAACCTTTTGATCCACGCAAATATTTTTTACTTGCCAAATCCCTGAAGTTTTTTTCTTCCTGTTATAGTTAAATTTACTAATTTAGTCAGTGAGAAAGATAAGCAAGAATGTATTGGCGAAGTCACCTATCTCTTCAAACAGCTGATGTTCTCGCAAATCAGAATTGATTTGAATTAAGGTGAATGATAAACGTGCACTGTCAGACCACTCCTGGGAGTCGACAGGGTGAGTTTTCAGGGTGAATTTTCTTTGTCCTCCTGGCCTCAGGCTGACTCTAGGTCTGTCTTTCTCTCCTTACCAAAGCTGACTTTATCTCTCTCTACCTCATTCCCTTCATCCCATTTCCAGCCCCGGCCATTGAGGTGGATGAAAGCTGAGCCTTGCTGCGCCAACTTGAGTCTCGTTCACCCTGAGCAGTCACAGATGGGTCTTGTCTTTTCAGATGCTCCACGAGGCCATTGTCACAATTCCAAGAGCCTGCTGGGTGAGTCTCGGTCTGTGGGGAAACACTTGCAGGGACGTGGACCCCTGAGATTCTGAAATGTGGGCGAGCAACTCTCCACATGTGGAAGTGTTGGCGGGACCCATTCATAGATTCCTGCTGTGTTGAGCAGCAGAAATCGCAAGATATATGGTCTTTTCTTTCACACACTCCCACCCCGCAGCCTGGAATGTTCCCCCTCCCAGCACTAACATTTTTGAATGTTCTGCTGAGCAGCTCTGGGTCATTCTAGGAAGTGAATACAAGAGAATACTCACCTTGAAATCAAGGAACACATTCCCTTGACTCCTGTGGACTCTTCCTCCTCCTTTGCAGATTGCTTCAAGTTCCTTTGCCCCTTGGTCCTATTCTTCCTTCAAATCTCATCTCAGAAATGCCTGGGAAGCCTTTTCTGGCCCATGCCTCTCACTCCAGATGCAAACTGTACCTTAGGCCTCCACATCCTTGGGCACGTCCTCTATCATGGCCCCCACTGGCTGAATCTTGAATTTTTGCTGCATTTGTCTCCCCAGGGATCTCCAGGAAGGCAGAGATCCAGACCCTGACATGTCCTGGGTGCTTAGAAAATGCTTGTTGAATGCACATTCCTCAGGGCCAAAGGTAGAACTGAGCAGAGTATATCCTGGCTTAAGTGATTATAATATATACTTTACATAAATTACCTAAGAATAGTAGAGTCTGGAATTAAGAACGGTGCTAAATTGACATATGTACCTTGTGTGAGTAATGGCTTTTATAATTGACTAGATCATCTAAAAAACAGAAGAAGTACATGTTATACATATTAGCATTTTATAAGCATGTAATTTAAGCTTATAATTCTACGTCAGTCATTGGAATTATGTTATATGTAGAAAATCAAACAGATGTTCAAAGGGGTGACCTGTCACTGTCCAAATTCAGAAAAATGGTAAAGGCTGTTCAAAACCAGCTTATGTGTCAATAAACATTGAAAGAGATATTCTTTTGATATTTAAAAACCAAACAAAATAAAGAGGCCATTCTTCCTAGAGGACAATTTGAGACAGAGTCAGTCAGAAGCAAAGATGAAAAGTCTTGCTTCCTTCTTTATTCCCAGTTGGTACAGAGAGAAGATACTAGGCATTTCTGACTTACGGAATTTCTCCTCTCCCATGGGTTCCTGCATTCATGTTTTCCAAAGCCCAAGGAATTATAGAGGTTTTTCCAGGACCTAAAAGAGAGCCTGACTGCCTGACTGATTAGGACATTCGTTGACCGGTGGACTCACATTGATAAAGCACCTATTATGTGCCAGCCACCTGGGATAAATCTAAAATAACATAAAGTTTCTTCTCTCTAAAACTTAAATGTCTAAAAGATGTTGATTGGGTCAAGAAAAAACCTTAAATGTCATAGAGAGGTGTCTAGTCTTTAAGATCACCAGAAACCACAGATGATACTTGGTATCTCTACGTACCTTTAATAGTCAAACTTAATGGCTATACTTGTAATATTTTCAGGTTTTGGGGACCTGGATTTAATGTTCAGGTAGATTAAAATAATGTGGGTTATTTTTTGTGCATTCTAGGAAACTTCAATTTGCTTTTAAAAGATACACTACTTTAATATTTTTTTTTTGGAATTAGGCAGAATGGAAAACAAATAAATATACACATGAGTTTTGAATGGTCCCAAACTTGGATATAGAGAATAAGCCATTTGGCAGATAGATCTGCTTAAGTGCAAACCATTTCTGCATACTAATTATACGTATAATCAGATATGCATGAAAAGGTACACACACAGATAGTTATTATTGATCATGGATTAAAGGGCCTGAGAGCTGGAAAGGACCTAAGTTCATGCATCCCACCTCCTTCATTTGTAAAACTCACCACTACAAGTAATAATAATAATAATCATAAACTAGCAGTCATTTTCAGCACCTTATGTGATGTCCACCAGGCTATAGTCTCCACAAAGGCAGGAGTCAGCTTTATTTACCGTTATATGCTTAGTGTCTACCTTGGTGCCTACCCATAGTTAGCACTCAGCCACTCACAAGGCACAAATGAATGACATGTGCCAGGCTCTGTACCAGTCACTTCCCATACATCACTCCACTGAACCACCAAAACCGCCCATAGTCAGTATTACAATCTTTATTTTGCAGATGAAGTAACAAAGCCAGGAGAGGTACAGTAATGTGTTCAGGCTAATGGCTTGTTGTTAATGGAAAAGAGCAAAGATGAAAATTCAGATCTCCTGACCTCCTGCTCTAGGAGTCTTTCCATTGACTATCTTACCGTCTCTGTGAGCATGTACTCTGGTGTGTGCTAAAGATCAAACTTGGATTAATGTCTATAAACAAGGTATGATTATCACCAAATTAATTAGTGAAGGTCATATTTACACTTCACCAAGTGTCAACTGGAGTTATTTGAAAGAAGATTGCCTCAATTTATTGCAGTCAGTCATTGTTGCCCCTCCATAATAGGCAGCGAGCTTGAATTTCACAAATCTATGTGAATTGCTATCTTGCATTTCTTAGAAGAGACTGAGCCTCAGTCAGTATTTTTATAGTAGGACAGTTCTGTGGAAGACTCTGGGTGTTACTTAAGCTAATAAATGACTATCCTTCAAAACAGAATTACAGGCAATAACCTAATTAATGAAGGTGGTAACAGAGACTCTTTGTTTACAATGTCCCCATTGCCCAAGTTTGGTCACTGGCTGGACTATCTGTGTCCCCAGTGATTTACGAATCCAAAGGAAAGTGGAGAAAACATAAAATTTATTTTTCCACAATTTGAGGCATGAGCTTCTCTAGCATTTCAGAGCCCTACATTTCTGTGATGGGCTTTGATTCAATCCAGCCTGAATGAAAGACATTTCATCACCCCAGAATGCATTTCTTTATTTGCCTTGGATCTATGATTCTGTCAGTATTGAGAGAAAAGAAAAATCAATGCTGCACTATAAACCTCGGGCCGCCTCTGGCCAACGTGGTCAGCATGGTGTGAGCAAAGGAAATGGCAGGGGAAAAAATTGACCGCTCAGCAAGAGTGTGGCCAGTAACGGACACAGCTCAGGGCTAATAACAGCTTGCAATTACACATGGAAAGCCATAGCGTGTAGGGCATTCAGTGCGAGGGGGATGTAATACAATTTATTGAACCACCGGTTAGAGTTCTGCAGCTTCTCAATAAAAAAAGAGCGTTAGGCCTGTACTCCTTAAAACACAGACTTACATAGTGCCGACAGGTGAAGGAGACTTGGAAAACTGGAAAGACTTGTCTTAGCTGGAGAGCAATCAGAAGATGACTATAGCCTATTTGCATTTAAAATTATGCATCTAAACCGGGCGCAGTGGCTCACGCCTGTAATCCCAGCACTTTGGGAGGCAGAGGCAGGCAGATCACTTGAGGCCAGGAGCTCAAGACTAGCCTGGACAACATGGTGAAACAACGTTTCTACAAAAAAACAAAAAACAAGAAACAAAAAACGAAAATCCCAGCTACTCGGGAGACTGAGGCACAAGAATCACTTGAACCTGGGAGGCGGAGATTGCAGTGAGCTGAGATAGTGCCACTGCACTCCAGCCTGGGTGACAGAACACGACTGTATTTTTTTTTAAATTAGGTATCTATCTATATATTAATCAATCAGATTTGGTGCACACATAGAGTTTTGGCATCTACTTATTCTGTCTCTCTCTCCATAAAATTCCAGTTTAGGGATCTGTGTCTGACCATATCTAAAACCAAGTTAACAGTAATAAACAAACAAATATACAGATGCTGAATATATACATTTTGTGGTAAAACATGCAGAAACTATCCACGCTTGGTACTTCACTAGCAGCTTTGCTGATGCATTCTGCCCTGGTCATCCACTTTCTTAGCTCCCCAGTGAAGAGTCTCTTTTCTTCTGGTCTTTAACAAATAAGGAGTCAGAGAAACAGAAGTAAGAGTGATTAGCATGTTCTGACTAGCCTTTCAAGTCCTCTAAAGATGTCAGAAGAACATGGCTGTGAACACTGAACCTGCTAGTTCCTACCTTAGATGGGACTCATCTTCACTGGGTCGTGAATTCTCTTGCTGGAGAAGTTCCTCTCTGCGTGTAAAAAGATTTTCAGGGTGACTACTTCTCACTAGTTTTTCTATTTTTGCTGTTCTGCAGATAACCCTGTGAGTGTGTCCAGAAACCTCAAAATCATTTTTGGAGACACTGCAGCAGATTTGGTTTTTCTCAGAGCACTTCTGCAGCTGCTGAATGCTTGCAGGCACAGGGGTCTCCTGCTTTTCAGACTTTTCCACTACTCCCTTTTCTGTAAGTAGAAATTGTTGTGAACCAGGTGGAGCAAAGACATACTAGCTAATTGAAATTTTTATGTAAATGATTTTTGTGCACTCATACTGCCAGGGGAGATTTTAGGTAAAAAACACTGAGCAGATCTCAGGCCTTCTGTTGCTGGGTGGTAAAGGAGGTCTTTGTGGCCACGGGAGGGCTGTTTGCTTGGTGATGAGGTAAGCACCCTTTAAACTTTCTTGCTCTTGTGATCTAGCATTTAAATTGATGCCAAATCTGGGAGGGGTAGAATAGTGCTCCAGTAATTACTCGGGGAAGGGTTGGGTCCTTTGAGCTTGGCAAATGTATTTATTACTTAGTTTGGCACATTTACCCAAGGCACAATATTGGCTTGGGCAAGCAGCAGGATTTCAGCACTGGGGTGGAGGGTGAGCACCAGTGAGTTGGCAGAGAGCCATCTTTGAACTCCACATTTGCTCTGGGTGACTAAAGGCCATATGAAATTAATGGAACCAAACTAGGTGACCTGTGAGCTCTCTGTCCCCCTTACGGCAAAGTCAAATGTGGATGGGAAGAGGGCAGAGGGGAGGGAAGTGGAGCTCGCCTTCCCTGTCCCAGAAAGTAGCTGAGCTAGGTTCCTATTGTCCAGTGACACACACAGCCACTCCTCGCTCTCCCCTCCTCAAAAGGAACAAGACCCTTCCTTTCCTTGATTCTGTCCAGTACAATCAGTCTCACCCACCCACCCATACCCTTCTCTTCTAATTTCTCTCTTCTCTGCGGCACAAGACTCGTGGGGGTGTGCACACACACATGCACACATGCACACCCTCACACACAGCCGCTGACCTGGAGGTGTTAGCCACTCTGCAGCTGCTGTTCTTCTCACATTAATCTATAGGAATCAATGGACATTTCATTAGAGTAATCAAGTGCGGATGCATCCTGCATTTATATTCTGTCCCCCCACCCCGCTGCTTTCACAGACTAATTGGTCCTAAAGCCAAGAGTACATGGATATTTTTCCCTACAGATGAATGTCAAGAACAGTTTTTTACTGCTGGTTGAAATACCTATCAATACGGCGTCTGTATAAAAGCCTTTGCCCATCAAAGCCGCAGAGCTGTTGATAATACATTATGCACTCTTGGTTCTAATGCATCTCACTTCCTTTTTTACACCTTACTGCACATCCATGCGCCATTTATGTTTGTCTCATTCAAAGAATTAACCAGCTTTGGGCTGCCTTTGTTTTAATGTTTAGCCCCAGAAGCAATTTTTCCCTCTTTGTGTGTGCTGTCGACCATTACAGGGTGGCTTGCAGTAAGGAGCCAGAAAGGGAAAGTGGCCTGGTGTTCGTTTGGGGGCTGCCTTTTTCAACTCTGTTCTTCCTTTCTCACCATTAAATACACTTTTTCTTTCCAGAATTACGTGCCAGGTGAAGGGTACAGAGAACATCTTTGTTCTGAGTAGACTTTTTTGTGACTGTGGTTGATAAAGCAGACAGACAGAAGAGGTTCCTGTTTCCCTCCTCGGTAAACGTGTGGCCAGGCATGGTAATGGTCTGAGGCTGATGGGAACAGAAAGGTCAAATGGATGAAAAAGCGTCGGCTTTAAAATACGTGTACAACTAGAGGCGGTGACCAAGCTGAGGACTGTGGCCTAGGATAATGACCGCAGGCTCTGTTCATCCCTGACCCCATCCCAACCGTGTCTGCCTGTGGCACAGCCAGGAAAACACTGGGAAAATTAAAGATGGGAATAGGCTCTTGGAGAAATTTGCAGACTTTGCTGACTTCTAGAAAGTGGGGAGATGTTGGATTAGCAGATGAACTATTTTCTAAAGGGTTTTTTTTTTTTTCTAGCAGGGAAGTTGAAGGAAGAGGTGTGGGTGTTCAGATAACAAGCTGGGTTGTCCCTGGGAGTAAATGGAAGGCCAGTGAGGGGAGTGTCAGGGTCAGTCATCTTTACTGCTATGTAGGGAATTGAGAGTAGAAGAAAAAGCCAGAGGGCTGAGTTCTAGTGAATGCCTTTGTTCCACTTAATCATTGTTCTCACTTAACTCTGCTTTCTCTGCAAGGCAAATTTGTGTAACTCGGGAAGGTCATGACTGCCTATTGCATTCTTGCTTTCACAATGAGAGGTCACACGGTACTGTTTCCAGTCATTACAGTAGTAAGCCAAGGAATGTATGATTGATTCCCCTGCAGGGTAGACTCGGAAGTACCTGGGCTTTATCCATGTGTGGCCTTGGGCAAGTCACGGTGTCATCTTGAGCCTCTGTTTCCTCATCTGTAAAACAGTAATAATGTTAATATCCACCCTGAAGACTGTTGCAAAGATTGGAGTTCAAATATTCAGAGCTGTTTTATGAAATGAGAAATACTACATGAATATAAAGCATTATGATTATGATTATAATATAAAGTTTTCCATTGACAATGCAAATATGCTCTTAATAAACATGTATTTATTGTATACCAAGTGCCATATGCCATGCTAGACACCTTTCGATCCACTCTCTTGTTTAATCCTCGCTGGAGCCCTGTACATCACCCACATTTTGCAAATGAGAGGTGAAGTCATCCACCTCCCACCATTTGCCTTCCAATTCTGTGACCCCTCAGGTGCCTCTTCACCACATGCTGGGGTAGTTGCTCCCCACCCTTCCCATCCCTTCTTTGCATGTGGAACCTGGCGGCTGCTGGGGAGGAGGTGCTGTTGATGGACCCACTGGTGAACCCTCGGTCTACAGTGGGATCTCTGCTGTATGCATGTCTGCTCTGGGGGTGGGGTCAGCAGAAGACATATTCTCGTCATCCCAAATGGAAGCTCAAAATCTGCTATTAAGGAAGTTGTGTGCAATAGATGATGGTTAAGTTGGCTATCATGGGCAGCCCTGGTAATTTTTACTAGCAATGCTGTGTCCTTGGGAAATGCAAGTCCAAATCACTTTTCGAGGCCCATCCAGATTGTAATTTGAAGTCTGCACATGCTTTAAATTAAAAGCAAAGAGTGGTTCAGATGGCTAGGGTTGTGGGCTTTCAATTACCACCATGGTTGAGATCAAGAAACTAGCAAGTTTCCAGAAAGCTTTGTTTTTGAGTTTTGGACCCAACAATGCCCTTTGGGTTTGTTTTCAAAGTTATTTGCTATACTATTACAGCATTTGTGGGCTCTACTGATTAGAGCTGGGGCTTTCTTGGGGTCAACACAAAACTGCCTTAGCCATCTGTCCCTCAGATGAGCAAATGTGTATGTCTCTCCTGACATAGCTGCGCATCTTGGGCCTTCTCTTATGCCTTCTTGCGCTGCTCTCATTTCCCAGTCCCTGCAGACTTGGGCCCAGTATTAAGAGCTATGCACAAAGCTACTTCTGCAGATTCTGCAGATCTCATCCTGCCTCCAGCAGAAGGCTATGGTTTGCAGGAGTAGAGGAAAATACTTCTCACTGACTTGATCTTAGTAGGATTGTGAAAATGACAGTGAAGACCAGAAGTGACCTTCTGGTGTGTAAAATCTCAAGCCTTGGATATTCATGGATGTCAGATCCATGGATTAATAAAGAAACAAGGTCTTTGGTGGTCTGTGTCCCAAACTTTCTGAAGTTGATATCTCTGAAGGTAACCAAATTCTCCCTTACCTCATGACACTGGTGGCACCATATAAAGAAGATTCCTAGGTGAAAGATCATGGGGCTGCCCACATGACAGTAGTGATACAGTAGAAACCGAATGGCTTACAGAGTTGGTCAGACAATCATGTGGATCCCTGAACCAGTGGTTCCAAGTGAGATGTGTAATTTTGGGGTGATTATAGATCATAACAAATCCTCACTTTATGCATGAGTAAAATGAAGATAATAATTGTACTTATCTTACGTGGTGTTGTGAGGATTGAGCAAGATTGTATATTGAAGTATTAGCATTGTGTCCAGAATACTGCCTCAGTAAATATTGCCCCTTATTATTATTATTTGTAAGTTTGTATTAAGATTAAATGAGTTACTATGTAAAGCACCTGGAATATCTCCTTGCACACAATAGGCCCTTCTTAACTATTGGGAGTCCCTTACCCCCACCCCAAAAGAAAAGAATGTTAAAAATTCTTACATCTATTTCTGCATGACGTTTCTCCTCCAAATCCTTGTGGTTTGCCCAAGAGGGAAACACAAGACAATTCCTCATATTCACTGACATCTTCTGAGACAGATTTCCCTCCCTGAACTTTATTTTAATGTCTGTGCATTTAGCAATCTTGTTGCACTGTGTACATTACTGAGACAGTTTCTTTGAGGGAAATTGAAGCCAGGGGAAGATTCTGGGAATTGCACAGTGCTTGGTCGCAAGAATTCCAAGGGGCTTTCTACTTCGTTTTACTAGCAAACATCATTGGAACTCAGCTGATTCCTGAAGGCTGTGGGGTTTGTCTAATTTTCTTCAGGAATTGGACTGAAAGTTGCTATGAAATTCTCAATTCAGTGTCTGGCCTGTTCTCCTACGTGCACTGCTAGCATCTTGACTTAGTAATGTGGTGATTCATTTATTCACTAACTCTCTTGAGCAACTATTGTCTGCTGCTATTCAGAAACAAATTCCAATTTGTTACCATGAATATTGGGGAGGAGATGAAAATATGGGAAGATATTTGGAGGATAAAATGTGAGGGGGAAACTCCAGTTCTGGGGGCTCAGAGAGCAAGACAATAAGGTGGAGAGGGTGGCAGCTGGGTGGGGAGCAGGAAAGGGATTTTGCAGGAAGAAATTCTGCAAAGGAGCTATTACAGAGGAGGCAGCAGAGCAGAGAGGCGAAGAGGTGGGAGACAGGAGCACGCCAAATTGCTGGTTGCCAGTGTAAGGGGAAGAAATTGACAATGCAGAGAGCCAAGCCACGTGAGCAGCACCTTCTCCTGTACTTGACCCTATACTGAGCACACATAGTTATTGCTGCCCATGTTACAGGTCTTCTCTGAGCCCTCCATCTTTGCTCCTTATAGTAATAAGCAAAGATAACTTCTAAATGTTAGATCTATTCTTAAACAAGATCACAAATCCTTATAGCAGAAGCTGTTGGTGTCCTGCTCACACCCCCTCCACACTCATGTTCTCAAAAGGCTGATGGCTTCCTACTGCAAGTGTCTGAGGCTGTCTGTGCCTGCAGGAGTGTGCTTTGCTGCCACATAGGAAGGCCAGGAGTGCTGGAGGTTAATATCTTGCTTGTATAGCCCTTGGTCAATGAAGAATGGGAGCTGCTGAACATATATCCCAGCATCCTCACCTTGTATGATGTTCTGGCCCTGAGGAATTTCTCACTATCTCTCAGAAGTCCGCAGTGGGGCTGAGCCCCAGTTACCCTCAGCAGCAGTCTGTTCACTGATGCCGTCTATACACCATTCATCTCCTTCCTGTTTCACTTTCCCTCTCCTCTACCACTGCTTCCTGACTTCTCCCGCCAAATAAACTACTTGTACTCCAATCTTTGTCTTGGGATGTTTTTGGTAACACCAAACAGAAAATAACCCCTATCTTCAAACTTTTGTTCATTCATTCGTTCATTCATTCTTTTGTTCTTGTTTATTGACATCTCACTATGCCAGGCTCTGTGCTACCTGCTGAACTGGGAAAGTTTCGCTTTTTCCTTCTTGTATCCATCCCCCACCTCCATCATCATCACTACTGCCCCACAGGTCCTGGAAGAGAGCCCAGCTCACAGGAAGTGCTCAATAAACACCTGCTAAGTGAAAAGAAATAAATGCCTCTGTGGAAGAGCCCTGCAGACCTTCTGAATTCTGAATTCAGGATTACAGGACTTCAGAATTAGTCGTGTTGTTTTCCCACTGTGTGACCTTGAACAAGATGCTTTGCCTATGTGGATGTCATTTTGCTCATTGAAAAAAAAAAAGAGATGGGGTTTGAATTACATGATTTCTAAAGTTTCATTCAGGTAGGAGTCATGTGTACAGTCATGGAGTATACATGGCCTTTCTCAAATATGTGTGTCGTTGTCCTCTTGAATAGAAATTCTAGTATGTGCTTGTGGCTCTGGCTGAACTCAGATCCTTTATTCTGCAGCAAAATCTATTATAGCAAAGGAAGTAGAAAACATAATCCAATAACATTTGGTTTGTAATCTGAATATTCATATGGCTTTCCTGTGGTGTTACAAATTTCAGTTTTTCTGATTAGGATCATGAACTGGAAGTTCATATAAGCTGAATGCATCACTGGAGCCTCTCTTGCCAGGAAGAATGAAAACAAATCCTGGCTAAAATCCCAGCCATGTTTTTTTATTCTTTGTCCCTAGCAAAGGTGACTGTGGAACAACGAGATGGATTGATGTCCTGGAAAGTGATGAGGGAGATCGGGGCCCAGCTTCACACATCGCAGCCAATGTCCTCCACTCTGACCTGGAGGGCACCACCTTGCAGTGTGAGGGGCCTCAGGCGCCACATCCATTAACTCCTTGGCTTCTCGTTTGAAACTGACAATGAGGTGACATGGGCAACTGTCCACATGGAACAGGACAGAGACCATCAACTCATTCCACATGGGCTACCAGACAGCACCTAGAGGTAATAACATTCTGTCAATAGTGACCTGGGTTGGATTCAAATCAGTGATTTAGGGGTGAAAGGCTCTGGATTCTATTATGAAGTGCCCTTAGCTATCTAAGGGCTGAAAAACCATTCCTTTACCACAGTTAATGATAGAATCTAAAAAGTCAGTCTAGTTTTTTTCCTTCTATTCTCCTTTAAAAATTGAATACAACTTTGGATGATCTAGGAATGACTCAGCCAGTAGAACATGGTGGAGAATATTAGTGAATATGCTTCAATTCAACTAAGTATACTGTGTGGATGTCCATAACACACATCCACATTGCTTTTTTCCTTCCTTTTTCCCCTTCTTCCTTCTTTCCTGCTTTTCTTCCTTAGCATAGAGTTTTCTGAACTGAATATAGGTACAGGTTGTTATTAGAATCAACTTTTTTTAAATTAAGGCCAAATTAATGACTCTCCAACAAGACAAACCTCTGTTTTCAGGGGCTTACTATAGGCTCACCAAGAATAAGGTGACTATTCCATATAGTCAGGCTAATAGAAGAGACAGTACTTCCATGTCGGGGTCCCAAAGATGTTTGGCTCAACCCAGGGTGGGAGAGTTAGACAAACCCTAAACCTGTGGGGTGAAAGCAAAGAGACCATTCCCCACATCTGTGTGTTTATACCATTAGCTAGAATGAAATGTGTGCTTTTCAAACAAAATGCTTCCTAAAGGTCATGGGGTCCATTTTTCTTCCACCAGTTTGCTTTTCTTTCTTCTACTCTGCCTGTTTGAATCTTAACCTTGTAACTAATGACATGGTCTTGGAAATAAATGAACAATTCAGCTAGGACTACTTGGAAATTAAGATAAGATAACTAGAAAAGCTGTGGTTCTCTCTTAGAGACCAGAAACTAGAATGGCGATAATATTTTAAACTGTTCATTAGGGCTTTGTATCTCTTTGTTCTTCAACTGTACAATCCCTTTAATACGAAGATTTGAAAGTCTTTCTGAGACAGGCTTCCACTGCCTTCTGCAAGGTGCTGTGCGGTAAATAGATGGTAATAAACACCCTTACTTTTCTGATGAATTTGATGGAGTTGGGGTGAAAGCTTGCTCTCACTCTCAGCTCTTCATCCTCCTTATTTCTCCAGGATCATGTTTTCATAGGGCTCCCTGATCAAATACTATGCTCAAGATAATTTCTAAGTCAGCCCTCTTTGTGGCTGAAAACCTTCAGCCATGAGGGAATAGTCCTGGGGGCACAGCACTGAGCAGAGAAATTAGCAGCCTCCAACAGGGAAGGATGTTTAGGGGTGTCAGAAAGGCTCATATGATCCTACATCCATCCATGATCAAGGCCTGAAATTCTGTGTAGAACTTCATCCTTTAATATTAATCCCTATTACAATATAGCTGAACCCAAGAGGACTGTCATATATTTTAGTGTGAATGGTCTAACAGGACACAACTGAGGGAGTGGGAATGGGGGTGGGGAAGGAGTAGACAACGAATGAAGGAACTCATCTGGACACCAGCTGAAAAGAGGGGGCAGAGGATAAAATCTCTGGAAACCTCTTTGGCCAAAGAGAAATGTTACCTACTTTGCAGTTTTGCCCAAATAGGCTTAAGGTCAATTGGCCCTGGCCTCATGGTCTGGCACACTAGTGTTTTATGGTTCTCAAGCTACTGCATAGGTACTTGTGGAACACTCCACTGGGTTTCTCTGTCTACTGATTTAACCTAGTTAACAAAGTATTTTACATGTGAAATGCTTGGCTAAAACAGCTCTGTCTGCAAATGTGTAAAGATATTTCAAAGAGCTGAGAAAGACTGAACAGCAGCACTCAGAGAAGCCCTTGAATAATAAAGCATGGCTGTTATTTTGGCAGAGACTGGAGAGAAGGCATTTGTGGTTGGAAGCTGTTTGTAGATGGGAATCCACGGAGGCCATTTGTGTAAGACAAACCTAGAGTGGGGTGCATACCCTTTCCATCCTTTGCTCACTCTCCCTTTCCCTCATTTATATAGTGTGCATAATTCACAAAGCATACACATTCATTATTTTATCTGAGCTACATAGCTTCTGTATAGAAAAATCTGGAGAGATTTAAGAAACAAATAAACATTCCTTCTTGCTTTGTTCATCCCACAAAGAGACCTGATCTATCTGTTCAGAGCCAAATGGATGTAATTAGGTGAAGAATCGCTTTCTCTGTATCTGAGCAAATATGTTTTGCAGTGCACCAATTTCTCAAGGGCAGTGGGCTGGGACGGCCAGTGACTGCTGGGGGATGGCTGCTGACCTTCAGGCCAGGCCGACTTTAATTTGCAGAACACTGCTGGTCCCAGGAGGCTCTTCAGGCCAGGCCACACAATCAACCTGAACCAGCAGCCTGCTGCTGCCCAGCTGCACCCACCACCCTGCAGGACATGAAGATGTAGCTAACTAGACATAGCTGCTGCACAGACTTTGGAATTATGAATTGAGAAATTAAGCATCATCAGAATTCAGCCCTTTATACAGCAACCAAGAAGCCTTGTTGTCTCAGTGGTGCCTCTTTCCAACTGCATTATTTAACAGGAGAGTCTCTGTAGATGTTGCATCTACATTCCAAGTTTTGATTTCATATCCTGTGTGCTTATTTCAAAAAGTGATGCTTAAAGGGAACATGGCAATTAGATCTAAATTATGTGAATGGCCTGAAAAAGAAATACTGGCTTAAAGCAATGATGTTTATCTGGGGTCGCAAAATTTTTGGATATGGGAGACTCCTGCCATCTCTAGATGAGAAAGGAACTGAAATGTTTCCTAGCTGATCTGATTATCACAGTCAACTTAATGACCTGGTCGGGCTGCCACATGATCAGTCCAGTTGATTGCTGCGTAATCGATCGAAATGATAAAAAAAAAAAAAAAGCAGACTGAGTGGGCAGAGACGAATTCAGTTATGGCACCCAGACACTGCCTTTGTGTGTACACTTCCGTGTGTGTGTGTGTGTGTGTGTGTGTGTGTGTTTGCTTGCATGTGAAAAAGTGTGTGTATTCTGGTGCTAAAATGTTCTCAACTCAGAAAAATGAAAGACAGACAGCAATTGAAGACAGTTAAAGCTTGTGTGCCAATTTAAGCCACATAATATTCAGAGAACCTAAATGTCAGGGATAAAAAACTGTAATTGTTGCTATTACATATGGGCAATTGGATTAAATGTCAATAAAATGGTAACCACCACATGTTGTTAGATGGGAATTTGAGGAATAAAATTATCTTGAATGCATACTACGCATAGAAAACAACAGGAATGTAAATGTAAATAAAAGGGCAGTGTATTATTTTTGGATGGGCTGGGTCTCAAACTCAGAAAAAATGATGATATCCTTTGTATCCTTGGTAGTTTATACTTGACTTCCTATAGTATTTATTTATGACACTAAAAAACCCCAAAAACCAAAAACCAAAAACTGTTTATATGTCTGGCTTCCTACTAGATGTTGAGAGTAATTGGGGCCAACAGCAGTGTCTTCTTTTTATTCTTTATAATGATAATAATAGTTAACAGAGCACCTGCTATTGCTAGGCACTCTTCTACAGATAACCCATTTGACTTTCATAACCCTAAGGGATAGACACTATTATTAAGTCCATTACACAGATGAGGAAAATAAGGCACAGAGAGGTTGAACAACTTGCTCAAGATCACAGAGCTTGTTCATGGTAGATCCAGGATTCAGGTGCAGGCAGTCTGGCTCTAGAGTGTTTTGAAACACTCTACTGTCTTATTCTTTGCAATACTTACACTATAAATGGTATGTGCTCCATAATGTTACTGAATGAAGGTGTCAGCCAGTAAAGCTCAGCTTATGCCTTTACAACTATAAACATCAACATATAGGAAGAGTTAAGCAATCTGGTTTTCAGTCTCAGAGTGTGCTCACCTCTAGGGTTATGTGGACAGTCTATGGAGGCCAGAATAACAATTCTGCGGGTATAAACTCATAACACTTGCCTTAAAGGTGTTTAATAAGTAACGGTTACTTTTCTGCTGCTTCTTGTCTTTTTAAATTTGTACTCCACTTTTTAGAGATTTGATGTAGTTTGTAAAACATATACAATAAAATAAAATTAAAAATTAAAATTACACCAAATATGAATACAATAGAATATAAAGAGGAAGGGGAAGGGCACAAACAGGCAGATCTTAGAGTTCTACTAAAATATCATACTTGCCCACTGAAGTTGATACTGAGCTTTCTAGTAGCCAAGGCAAAGAGATATGAGTTACATGTTCACATTGCCTATGAGAGAAAGTACTGAGGGTGGGGAAGGAGGAATACACTTGTTCCTCAGAGAAAACAAAGCTTTTTCTTACTCTGTGTCTTAAAGATAGTTCTCATCCGTATTAACATATGAAGACTATGCAGTGATTAAATAGATAATGTCCTCAATAACTTTATGAAAAAAAGTAATATACTTCAGAAACTTGTTTTCTATAGCATGTCTTTATTTAAGCCAAGGGGAAAGGCCATAGCACAATTCAGTGAATGCAATTCTGTGACAGGCTACGAAGGTAAGAAAGGCAAATTTTAGATAGTGTGGTTTGATCCCAAGATGCAGTCCTGAATAGTTAGATTAATGGTTAAGTGCTCTGTTAATCCAGTAGAGGTGGCACAGTACTAAAAGAGAAGTAAGCCCAATGTCTTATAATTTCGCTTGTCCTAGAGATTTAGTGATTGGACGTTCACAGTTATATGCTTTGGCGGGAGCCTGGTGTGCATGTATTGTGAGTTGCTGATTAAGGAATAATTCTAATGCTTAAAGTTCAGCTGAGCAGACGGTAGATCTATCTCTTCTGTGAACATTAGCTTATTCAAATGCTCACATAACTGGGCAGTCTTCAAATTCTACATGGAGTGCTGTGATGATGATGATTTAGCCAAGAATCTAATTGGAAAGATAAATTACCTATGGACTCTCATTTTGAGTTTACATTGACATATTCACTCTCCCTTTTCAAACAAACATTTTTTGGCCCTTATTTTCAGTGACTATCTTTTCAGGAACAAACACAATTTAAAATGTTTAAAATTTATTTATTTATTTTTCATGTGATTTATAATTGACACATAATAATTGTATATGTTTATAGGGCACAGTGTGACATTTCAATGCATGTGGACATTGTATAATGATCAAATCAGGGCAGCTAGCATGTCCATCACCTCAAACCTTTATCACCTTTTTGTGGTGATAACTTTTAAGATCTTTTTAGAAGCTATTTTGAAATATACAGTACATTGTTATTAGCTATAGTCACTCCACTATGTCATAAACACCAGATATTATCCCTTTGTTGGATGCATGGTTGCAAATATTTTCTCTCATTCTGTAGGTTGTCTCTTAACTCTGTTGATTGTTTCCTTTGTTGTGCAGAAGCTTTTTTGTTTGATGTAATCCCATTTGTCTGTTTTTGCTTTTGTTACCTGTGCTTTGAGGTCCTATCCAAAAACCCTTGCCCAGACCAGTGTAATGAAGCATTTCCCCTGTGTTTTCCTCCAGTTGTTTTATAGTTTTGTGTATTATACTTAGGTCTTTAATGCAAAGGTTTGAGTTGTTTTTGTATAAGATGAGAGATTCTTCTGCATGTGGATATCTAGTTTTCCCAGCATCATTTATTGAAAAGATTGTCTTTTCCACAATATGTGTCCTTGGCACTTTGTTGAAAATAGGTTGGCTGTAAATGCATGGATTTATTTTGGAGTTCCCTATCCTGTTCCATTGGTCTATGTGTCCATGTCTGTTTTAATGCCAGTATCATCCTGTCTTGGTTACTATAGATTTGTGTGTGTGTATGTGTGTGTGTGTATATATATATATATAGACATATATGTATATGTAAATGTATATACATATATAAAGTATATGTAAATGTATATGCAAATATATAAATGTATATGTAAATGTATATACATATATAAATAACATATTTATGTAAATATATATAACATATATTATATAAATGTATATTTATATATTATATATAAATATATGCATTTCTTTTGAGACAGGGCCTTGCTCTGTTGCCTAGGCTGGACAACAGTAGTGCAATCATGGCTCACTGCGGCCTCGACCTCCCAGGCTCAAGTGATACTCCCGCCTCAGCCTCCTGAGTAGATGGGACTGCAGGTGTGTGACACCACATTCAGCTAATATTTTTGTGTATCTTTTGTAGAGATAGGGTTTTGCCATGTTTCCCAGGCTGGCCACAAACTCCTGGGCTCAAGCAATCTGCCTATCTCAACCTCCCAAAGTGCTGGGATTACAGGCCACTGTGAGCCACTGTGCCTAGCCTGTAGTGTATTTTGAAGTCAGGTAGTGTGATGCCTCCAGCTTTGTTCTTTTTGCTCAAGATTTCTATGGCTATTTGGGATCTTCTGTAGTTCCACAAAAATTTTAGAATTGATGTTTCTATTTCTGTGAGGAATGTCGTTAGTATTTTGACAGGGATTGTGTTGAATCTGTAGATTGCTCTGAGTAGTATGGACATTTTAATGATGTTAATTCCTCTAATCCATGAACACAGGATATCTTTCCATTTTTTTGTGTCTTCTTCAATTTCTTTTTTTTAATTTTAAGAAGTTAGTATTTACTCTGATACCAAAACCAGACAAAGAGAGCACACACAAAGAAGGAGAAAACTGCCAACCAATATTCACCATAAAGATGCAAAATCCTTAACAAAATATTAGCAGATAGAATTAGTCAGTATATAAGAATTACACAACATAATGAAGTGGGGTTTATTTCAAGGATGCATAGCTGATTTTTTTCTTTCAGTTTTTATTTTAAATTCAGGGATACTTGCAGTACAGGTTTGTTACATAGGTAATCTTGTGTCATGGGGATTTGTTGTACAGATTATTTTGTCACCAAGGTATTAAGCTGAGCACCCATTAGTTATTTTTCCTGATTTCCTGCCTCCTCCCACCCTTCACCCTCTTCTAGGCCCCAGTGTGTGTTGTTTCCTTCTATGTGTTCATATATTCTCATCACTTAGTTCCCACTTATAAGTGAGAACATGCAGTATTTGGTTTTATGTTGCTGCATTAGTTTGCTAAGGATAATGGCCCCCAGCTCCATCCATGTCTCTGCAAAGTGATGTGATGTCATTCTTTTATATGGCTGCATAGTATTCCGTGGTGTATATGTACCACGTTTTCTTTATCCAGTCTGCCATTGATGGGCATTAGGTTCCATGCCTTTGCTATTATGAATAGTGCTGCAAGGAACATATGCGTGCATGGGTCTTTATGATAGAACAATTTATATTCCTCTGGGTATTTACCCAGTGATATGGTTTGACTCTGTGTCTCCACCCAAATCTCATCTCAAATTGTAATCCCTACATGTTGAGGGAGGGACCTGGTGGGAGGTGATTGGATCATGGAGGCGCTTTCCCCCATGCTGTTCTTGTGCTAGTGATGGAGTTCTCATGAGATGTGGTGGTTTTAAAAGTGGCAGTTTCCCATGTGTTCTCTCTCTCCTGCTGCCTTGTGAAGAAGGTACTTGCTTCTGCTTTACCTTCTTCCATGACTGAAAATTTCCTGAGGCCTCCCCACCCATGGAAAACTGTGAGTTAATTAAACCTCTTTCATTTATGAAATATTCAGTCTCAGGTATTTCTTCATAGCAGTGTGAAAATGGACTAATGCACCCAGTAATGAGATTGATGGGTTGAATGGTATTTCTGTTTTTAGGTCTCGAGGCCTCAATTATCACACGGTCTTCTGCAATGGCTGAACTAATTTACACTCCCACAAACAGTGTATAAGCATTCCTTTTTCTCCACAACCTCTATAGCATCTGTTATTTTTTGACTTTTTAATAATAGCCATTCTGCCTGGTATGAGATGGCATCTCATTGTGGTTTTGATTTGCATTTCTCTAATGATCAGTAATGTTGAGTTTTATTTCACATACTTCTTAGCTGTATGTATGTCTTCTTTTGAGAAGTGCCTGTTCATGTCCTTTGACACTTTTTAATGGGGTTGTTTTTTCTTGTAAATTTGTTTAATTTCCTTATAGATCTTGGATATTAGACCTTTGTTGGATGCATACTTTGTAAACATTTTCTCTCATTCTGTAGGTTGTCTGTTTGCTCTGTTGATAGTTTCTTTTGCTGTGCAGAAGCTCTTTAGTTTAATTAGATCCCAATTTGTCAATTTTTGTTTTTATTGCAATTACTTTTGGTCTTTATCATGAAATCTTTGCCCATGCCTATTTCCTGAATGGTATTGCTTAGATTCCCTTTCAGAGTTTTTATAGTTTAGGGTTTAACATTTAAGTCTTTAATCCATCTTGAGTTAATTTTTGTGTATGTTGTAAGGAAGGGGTCTAGTTACAATCTTCTGCATATTGCTAGCTAGTTATCCCAGCACGATTTATTGAATAGGGGATCCTTTCCCTATTGTTTGTTTTTGTCAGGTTTGTTAAAGATCAGATAGTTGTAGGTGTGCAGTCTTATTTCTGGGTTCTCTATTCTGTTCCATTGATCTATGTGTCAGTTCTTATACTAGTACTATGCTGTTTTGGATACCATAACCCTGTAGATTTGTTTGAAGTCAGATAGCATGATGCCTTCAGCTTTGTCCTTTTTGCTTAGAATTGCCTTGACTATTCAGGCTCTTTTTTGGTTCCATATGAATTTTGAAATAGTTTTTTCTAGTCCTGTGAAGAATGTCAGTGGTAGTTTAATGGGAATAGCATTGAATCTATAAATTGCTTTCTTCAGCAGGGCCATTTTTATGATACTTATTCTTTCTATCCATGAGGATGGAATATTTTTCCATTTGTTTGTGTCATCTCTGATTTCCTGGAGCAGTGGTTTGTAGTTCCTATAGAGATTTTTCACCTCCCTAGTTAGCTGTATTCCTAGGTATTTTATTCTTTTTGTGGCAATTATAAATGGGAGTTTGTTCATGATTTGGCTCTTGGCTTGGCTGTTATTGGTGTATAGGAATGCTGGTGATTTTTGCACATTGATTTTATATCCTGAGACTTTGCTGAAGTTGCTTATCAGCTTAAGAAGCTCTTGGGCTGAGCTGATGAGTTTTTCTAGATATAGGATTATGCCATCATCAAACAGGGTAGTTTGACTTCCTCTTTTCCTATTTGAATGCCCTTTATTTCTTTCTCTTGCCTGATTGCCCTGGCCAGAACTTCCAATACTATGTTGAATAAGAGTGGTGAGATAGGGCATCCTTCTCTTGTGCTGGTTTTCAAGGGGAATGATTCCAGCTTTTGCCCTTTCAGTATGATGTTGGCTGTGGGTTTGTCGTAGATGGGTCTTACTATTTTTAGGTATGTTTCTTCAGTACCTAGTTTATTGAGTTTTTATCATGAAGGGATGTTGAATTTCACTGAAAGCCCTTTCTGAATCTATTGAGATAGTCATGTGGTTTTTGTCTTTAGTTCTGTTTATGTGAGGAATCCCATTTATGGATTTGTATATGTTGAACCATCCTTGCATCCTGGGATGAAGCCTACTTGATTGTGGTGGATAAGCTTTTTGATGTGCTGCTTGATTTGGTTTGCCAGTATTTGGTTGAGGATTTTTGCATCAATATTTATCAAGAATATTGGCCTGAAGTTTTCTTTCTTTATTGTATCTCTGCCAGGTTTTAGTATCTAGATGATGCTGGCCTCATAGAATGAGTTAGGGAGGAGTCCTTTATTTTCATTTGTTTTGGAATAGTTTCAGTAGAAATGGCACCAACACTTATTTGTGTATCTGGTAGATTTATCTGTGAATCCATCTGGTCCTGGGCTTTTTTTGGTTGGTAGGCTATTTATTATTGCCTCAATTTCAGAAATAATTATTGGTCTGTTCAGGGCATCAATTTTTTCCTGGTTCAGTCTTGGGAAGGTGTGTGTTTCCAGGAATTTATCCATTTCTTCTATTTTTTTTAGTTTAGGTGTTCATAATATTCTCTGATGGTTGTTTTGTATTTCTTTGGGGTCAGTGGTAATATCTCCTTTATCATTTCTGATTGTATTTATTTGAATCTTCTATTTCTTCTTTATTAGTCAAGGTAGCGGTCTATTTTATTAAGTTTTTCAAAAAATAAGCTCCTGGATTTGTTAATCTTTTGAATGGCTTTTCACATCTCTATCTCCTTCAGTTTAGCTCTGATCTTGGTTATCTCTTGTCTTCTTCTGGCTTTGGGATTTGTTTACTCTTGGTTCTTTTAATTGTGATGTTAGGTGGTTTAGTTGAAATTTTTCTAGTTTTCGATGTGGGCATTTAGTGCTATAAATTTCCCTCTTAACACTACCTTAGCTGTGTCCCAGAGATTCTGATATGTTGTATCTTTGTTCTCATTAGTTACAGAGAACTTCTTGATTTCTGCCTTAATTTCATTATTTACCCAAAAGTCATTCAGGAGCAGGTTATTCAATTTCCATGTAATTATATGGTTTTGAGTGAGTTTCTTAATCTTGAGTTCTAATTTGATTCTGCTGTGGTCCAAGAGGCTGTTTTGATTTCAGTTCTTTTGCATTTGCTGAGGAATGTTTTACTTCCGATTATGTGATCGATCTTAGAGTAAGTGCCATATGGAAATAAAAAGAATGTATAGTCTACTGTTTTTTGGTGGAAAGTTCTGTAGTATTTATCAGGTTTGTTTGATCCAGTGCTAAGTTCAGGTCCTGAATATCTTTGTTAATTTTCTGTCTCAATGATCTAATATTGTCACTGGGCTGTTAAAGTCTCCCACTATTACTATATGGAAGTCTAAGTCTCTTTGAAGGCCTCTAAGAACTTGCTTTATGAATCTGGGTGCTCCTGAGTTGGGTACATATATAGTTAGTATAGTTAGGTCTTCTTGTTGAATTGAACCCTTTACCATTATGTAATGCCCTTCTTTGTCTTCTTTGATTTTTGTTGATTTAAAGTCTGCTTTGTCAGAAACTGGGATTGCAACCCCTGCTTTTTTCTGTTTTCCATTTGCTTGGTAGATTTTCCTTCATCCCTTTATTTTGAGCCTATGTGTGTCATTGCATGTGAGATGGGTCTCTTGAATACAGCATACCAATGGTTCCTGGTTCTTTATCCAGCTTGCCACTCTGTCTTTTAATTAAGGCACTTAACTCATTTACGTTTAAGGTTAGTATTGATATGTCTGGATTTGATCCTGTCATCCTGATGTTAGCTGGTTAGTTTGAAGACTTGTTTATGTGGTTTCTTTATAGTGTCACTGGTCTGTATACTTCATTGTGTTTTTGTAGTTAGCTGGTAACAATCTTTCCTTTTCACATTATTGGTATCTTCAGCAGGTCTTGTAAGGCAGGTCTGGTGGTAACAAATTCCCTCAGCATTTGCTTGTCTGATAAGAATCTTATTTCTCCTTCACTTATGAAGCTTAGTTTGGTTGCATATGAAATTCTGGGTTGGAAATTATTTTCTTTAAGAATATTGAATATTTGCACCCTATCTTTTCTGTATTGTAGGGTTTCTGCTGAGACATCTGCTGTTAGTCTGATGGGCTTCCCTTTATAGGTGACCTGGACTTTCTCTCTGTCTGCTTTTAACATTTTTTCCTCCATTTCAACCTTAGAGAATCTGATGATTATGTGTCTTGGGGTTGATCTTCTCATGGAGTATATTACTGGGGTTCTCTGCATTTCCTGAATTTGAATGTTGGCCTGATTTGCTAGGTTGGGGAAATTCTCAATGATGATATCCTGAAATATGTTTTCCAAATTCCCCATCTTTCTGAGGTACACCAATCAGTCATAGATTCAGATTATTTTCATCATCCCAAATTTCTTGAAGCTTTTGTTCATTCTTTTTCATTCTTTTTTTTCTATTCTTGTCTGCCTATCTTATTTCAGAAAACCAGTCTTCAAGCTCTGAGATTCGTTCCTCTGCTTAGTCTATTTTGCTATTAATACTTGTGATTGCATTATGAAATTCTTGTAGTGTGTTTTTCAGCTCTGTCAGGTCAGTGACATTTTTCTCTATACTGACTATTTTGTCTGTCAGCTCCTGCAATGTTTTATCATGATTTTTAGCTTCCTTGCTTTGGGTTACAACATACTCTTGTAGCTCAATGGACTTTGTACCTATTCGTATTCTGAATTATACTTTTATCATTTCAGCCATCTCAGCCTCAGCCTGGTTCCAAATTCTTGTTTTGATAATAGCCATTTTTTTTCCACAATGAGATACTATCTTACTCCAGTTTAAGTGGCTATTACAAAAAAGACAGAAGTAACACATTTTGTGTGTTTTCAGAATCTCTATTTCATCATTTTTGCTCTGATTTTTCTTTCCTCCCTTCTACTAGTTTTGGGTTAATTCGTTCTTGCTTTTTTAATTTCTTGAGATGTAACATTAGAGTATTTGTTTGTGATCTTTCTACTTTTTGATGTAGGCATTTATTGTTATAAACTACCCTCATAGAATGCTTTTGCTGTAGGTTTTGGTATGGTGTGGGTTGCAAAGATTTAACTTAAGCCTTATGTTTTCCAGGGTCCTGGATTAAGCAAATGTATCTGAATAAATAGTCTGTGGTGGGGTGAGAGTGGAATGAGGAGAGATGGTTATGGGCTTGGAGCTAGTTACTAATAAAATATGAACTGTATTCAAACAGCCATTGATTCTCTCTATAAGGAACTGCTGGGGCATAATTGGGCCCACCTGTCAATCATTTTGCACATATCCGGTTTGTTAGTTCTAAGTTGAAACCAGTTAAAATCTAGTTCCAAGGAAAAGTAAGTTACATCAGTTTGGTTCTTTTTATAGGAATGACACTTGTATTCTCTATGATAAATCTTTTGCTTGTGCATAATGATTTCAGTCCTCTTCAGAGCAGATCTGGCTATTCCTTGGGGGATCCATAGGCATGAGTTTTATTTTATTTTATTTTATTTTGCATTTTATCCTAAATATTTGACTGCATTTAATTCCAGATCATGATATATCTTTCCTAGGCCTACAGGCATATCTATATTGCTTTCCTAAGAACTTTGAAAGTCCCATATAAAATGAGATGAAACTTTAGGCTACTGACTCAGAGTTTCCTGGAAGACATGCATGTTTCCCACACTCAGGAAGGCCAAAATAAAAGAGATCTCTGCAGAAAGTCACTTAGACTGTCACCAGATAAGACAGTTTCTTCTATATCAATGCATTTTCATGTGCTAACATGTCTAATTAATGTAGGGAATGGCGAGATTGGCTAAATAAATAATTAACTTTGAGGGTAATTATTGAAACAAAAGCACAGTTAGTAAATGGATAATTACTATCTTTTGCTGTGGCCATTAGCTGGCCATATCCTAAAATCTAGATACAAATGACCGTGGTCTTTCTTATTGTAGAAGACATGCTTTTTTTTTTTTTTATGTCAAATTCAAAGGAAAGAAACTTGCAATACAGAGAATTCAGGAAGGTAATATAGAGTGATACATTTTACTAAGATTGTTGAAAGTGTAGGGCTTGAAGTCAACAAAGCTGAATTGGAACCCAAGTGCCACTATTTATTAGCTGTATATCCTTGGATGTATTAATGTTTCTGACTGCATCATCATCTGTCAAGTTAGGATAATTATGTGTGAGGAAAATTTGTGAGGACTAAATGAGATAATGTATGTAATGTGTCCAGTATAACAAATGACATGTAGTAGGCACCCCAAAACTGATGGCAAATGTTATTTCTCATGGCATATTTAAAAGGCACAGTCATATCTCTCACTTGATCTATACTGCATTAAAAGTGCTGAACAGCTATATGAAAAGAATCACCCCCCACCCAACCCTAAATGATTTAATTATTGCTCACTGAACCAGCTCATCTACCTAGATCATTGTCCTGGCTGCCTTGCTCCTGTGACCTGTTGCAGCCTTGAATGTCCTCTGCTGCTAGTCTTACCATGTTTCTTGGATCTGGCAAGTTACATAAGTCTATCCTTTTTTACTGCTGGAAACATCTTACCTTTTGGCTTCTTTTGCTTACTTTCAGCAATCTACCTGCACGGTTCCTCAGTTTCATCACTGCTCCTACCCCTTCCACCCACCTGACATTCATCTCTCCTATGTAAATAATTGGGTAAAGTGTGAAGGGGATATCTCCATGAGTTTTTGTACCTAGTTTCTATACCACTAAATTAGAGAAGTTCACCTTCACAAATGTGGGAGTGGGGAGACTGTATTACCTCTGCCTTATAGGTGTTTGTAAAATTGGTTTAGATTCTGAAAATGATGTTCTCATGGGAAAGTGGATAGCCAGAGAGAATCCTAAAACATTTGTGCTGGAAATTTTCATTTACCTCTCCCCACACCCCTAGATCAACTCTTCACTTTTCTTCAACCTACATTTTACTCCAAAAGGCTGACCTCCATGGGCTGCATCCATCAAGCTCTCTTGCCCTGTGGCTTCTGGTTGAATTTGGCCACTGAAAGATACTAGCAGGAGATAAGAGGGTAGGAGAGAAGGAGCAAGGTTGGAGTATTATTACTCTGCTCCCTCTTTGTTTAGGCCACAGTTTGACAGTCCTTGCTTTTCTCTGTCTCAGGCCACAGCTCCTGTGGAAGCATGGAGACATTCCAAAGCCACAGCTATTGCTCCCATTCTGGAAATGGTGCCTCTTCCTTGATCCTTCAGATCTTGGGGTATTAATAGTCTATCCCCTGGGTGCTTTACCCTGGGTACTGATGGTTTCCCTTAAGTTATCCTGACTCTTGAAAATAGTCCTATTACTAAACTCTTTCAGTTTCTGTGCTTTGATTGATAGAGAAAGGAGTAGTGATTCTCTCAGCAAGGTCAGAGCACCTAAGTGCTCCAGACACAGGGAATATGGGACTTCTGGATATTCCAGGGCAATCAAGAATGAGGAGTTGAGGGAGGGTTTATAAACTGTCCATCAGCTGAACCTTGGCAGGTATAGTTTTGATGGTCAAAGTGCATCCATTGAAGCCTAGATCTTACCAAACAACTGGTTTGGTGGTGAGAACTTCTTGAAATAAATGTTGTGATCTAGTGAAAAAACTGGCTTGATTGCCTAACTGTTCAGTCTTAACTCTAGCCAGAGGAACAGGCCATAGTTACTGGTGTTAGTTTGCATTTGGAGGTGGTATAGTGAAGTCTTCTCAGTGACTGAATTTAGCAAATGACAGTTCATAGTCTTTGAGAGGAAGAGTGAATTCTTGCTCAATAACAGGTTTATGTTTTTTAAAAAATGAATTATTAAATCAGATTCCTATTTTGTTTTTATGGCATTAAAATATTTTTAAATTCATAAAGGAATTCTGAAGAGCCTTCAAAGGGTAGGTAGTCAAAATTTCCTCAGCACTTTGTATGGCTCTGCCAAAGTCTATCCAAATAGACCAATTAAAAAATATTAATTTAAAGCAATGTTTTAGGATGTCATTGACACATTTAGAGTCTCTTGTAATGGAATGTGGATAACTGAAGCCATTATTTGGGTAACTAAAAATATGATTTTTAGGAATTATCCAGGAAATATAATTAAAATAATATTTTTGATTTGAATTTTAAAAATGTTCCATTTAACCACGAAACACTGCTCAAATAAATCAGAGATGACACAAACAAATGCAAAAACATTCCATGCTCATGAATAGGAAGAATCAAAATAGTTAAAATGGCCATATTGCCCAAAGGGATTTATAGATTCAATGCTATTTATATTAAACTACCAAGGACATTCTTCACAGAAGTAGAAGAAGCTGTTTTAAAATTCATATGAAACAAACAAACAAACAAAAGCCTGAATATCCAAGACAATCCTAAGCAAGAGGAACAAAGCTGGAGGCATCATGTTACTTGACTTCAAACTACACTACCGGGCTACAGTAACCAAAACAACATGGTTCTGGTACAAGAACTGATGCATAGACCAATGGAACAGAACAGAGAACCCAGAAATAAGGCCGCATACCTACAACTATCTGATCTTCAGCAAATCTGACAAAAACAAGCAATGGGGAAAGGACTCTCTATGTAATAAATGGTGCTGTGATAACTGGCTAGCTGTATGCAAAAGATTAAAACTGGACCCCTTCCTTACACTACATACAAAAATTAACTCAAGATGGACTAAAGACTTAAATATAAAATGCAAAACCATAAAAGTCCTGGAAGACAATATAGGCAATACCATTCAGGACATAAAGTACGGGCAAAGATTTAATGACAAAGATGCCAAAAGCAATTGCAACAAAGGCAAACATTGACAAATGGGATCTAATTAAGCTAAAGAGCTTCCGTACAGCAAAAGAAACTATTAGCAAAGTAAACGGACAACCTACAGCATGGGAGAAAATTTTTGCAAACTATGCATCTGACAAAGGTCTAATATCTAGCATTTATAAGGAACTTAAACAAATTTACAAGAAAAAAGACAAATAACCTCATTAAGAAGTGGGCAAAGGACATTAACAAGCACTTCTCAAAAGAAGACATACATGCAGCTAACACACATGAAGAAAAGCTCAACACCACTCATCACTAGACAAATAAAATCAAAACCACAATGAGGTACCATCTCACACCAGTCAGAATGGCTATTATTAAAACGTCAAAAAATAACAGATGCTGGTGAGGTTGTGAAGAAAAAGGAATGCTTATACACTGTTGGTGGGACTGTAAACTAGTTCAATCATTGTGGAAGATACTGTGGCAATTCCTAAAAGACCTAAAAACAGAAATACCGTTTGACCCAGCAATCCATTACTGGGTATATACCCAAGGGAATATAAATTATTCTATCACAAAGACACATGCATGGATATGTTCATTGCATCACTATTCACAATAGCAAAGACATGGAACCAACCTAAATGCCCATCAGTGATAGACTGGATAAAGAAAAGGTGGTACATATACACCACGGAATACTATACAGCCATAAAAAAGAATGACAACATGTCCTTTGTGGGAACATGAGTGGAGCTGGAGTTAGGCTTAGCAAACTGACACAGGAACAAAAAATCAAATGCCACATGTTCTTACTTCTAAGTGGGAGATAAATGATGAGAATAGTCGAACACATAGAAGGAAACAACATACAATGGGGCCTAGAAGAGGGTGGAGGGTGGGAGGAGGGAGAGGATCAGGAAAAATAACTAATGAGTACTAGGCTTAATGCCTGGGTGATGAAATAATCTGTACAACAAACCCCCATGACATAAATTTACCTATGTAACAAACCTACACACGTATCCCTGAACTTAAAATAAAAGTTAAATTAAAAAATAAATGAAATGTTCCATTCAACTAGTAACAGAGTGTCATAAATAATTAGGTCCTTTGAAAGTGGTATGATATTTATAACTTAACATTTCATCATTCTAGCCTAAAAGAGCATGAAGATGGCTTCTTGTACTGAACTGAAGTATAATATATATGTATATATAATAGTTGTTATAAATATAAATATGTATATGAGTAATACATCTCTCAGGCACAATGCTAAACTTTTTATGTGCAGTTATCTTAAGCCCAACAATTCTATAAAATAGTTATCATTTCCAGTTTACAGAAAAGGAAACTGGAACTCCAGTAACTTGCCCAAGGCCTTACAGCTGTAAATGACAGAGCCATGACTGAGCCCAAGTCAGCCAAACTCAAAAGTGTTTATGCTTAACAATGGAGCAAGAATGTTTGTATGAAGAGGATTAAAATTGACAGTCAAGTCCTTGGGAAATTTTTCTAAAATCTATTTTATGTTTCTCATAAAGATGTTTTTCATGAAGTCTTCTCTAATTCATAAAGTATAATATTTTGATTAGGATGACTGGAAGGATAGTTCAGATAAGGATACTTGTCCTTATGTTTAATGTATTTTTCATCATTACTCCATTCTAAAAATGAAAAAAAAAAAAGAACTTTGAGAGAAAGCAGGGAAAACAATCAAGTGAAATTTAACACTTCTGATGTATTTTGCATCCAGGCACCTGGGCTGTCTGAAAAATGCATTCTGATGTGAGAAAGAAATTCAACTTACAGCTGAGTTTATAGAAGGTCTGTATTTTTTACATGTCCTTTTTCTTCGGCCACAACAGCAAGTCTGTTTTAAGGGGTCAGCTACATCTTAAACTCTCAAAGTATAGGGTAAGTTGTGGTTTCTCTAGAATTTCCATCGCTGTGACTGATGCATAAAATAACCCATCACGTGTAGTCTTGTGTCACCAGTGTGCAGGGGGAAAGCCAGATGCCATAGATGTGGTTGTCATGGAAACCAGCAGTTGCTCTTGCAAAGGTTTTCAAGTCAATACAAAGTTTCTGTTAAAGTACATGCAATTCTGCAGGTGGAGACGTGATCATAAAGCTTTGGCTTCTCTCTTTGTCCCACAAAATAAGAGCATGAAGTTCTTTTCCTTGCTCACAACTTTCAATAGAAAGAAAGATGCCACGAGAAACCTATAATCCTGGGAAACACGTATATATTTAAAACACGTTTAGGAACAAATGGTATACATGTAAAGTCAGCATCATGGCTAGCAGATAAAAATATTTTTGAAGGAAGGATTCTGGAAGTGGCAGTGGAAAAGACTGACTTTATTCTTTTCCCATTTTATAGACCCATCTCATCTTTGCCTTCAAAAAGATATCAGTGGATGGAAAAGATGAACACATTTGTAACCTGGGATCCTCTAAGAGGCTCTTCAGGGACCTGGTTAGGAGCAAATGGATCTGGTCCCTTTCATCTACTTTGACTTCTCTTGTTCTGTTGTGAGTGTGAGGGGTTGTGAATGTACTAATAGCAAGAGGGCAAGGTTCTCAGAGACACAAGAAATAAGCTGCATCTAAATGCAAATACACTTAGGGCTGGAGTGACATCTAAAAAGCTACCTTGGATAATAGAAACCTTTCATAGAAGGTTTCCAGGCAAAATACACAATAGGGGAAGAAACATATTACTTGTTTTCTTTTTAAAAATCCTCTTAAGAATTTGTGATCAGCCTCCATTTTAGTTCTGAAGTGGTCAGAGCCTCATGAAAGCGGAGAGGAAAGAGCAGTTAGTCTCTTGACTCCTGGCCTAAAGCTGACCACTATTTTCTCTTCAGATGGCCAGGTGGACAGAACCCTGGACTGGGAGGAGATGGAGGACTCAGTTTGCAGGCTCATATCTGATTCCTTATGGCTGTACTTGGACTGGCCTCTTTCCTTTTAAAAAAAACCTAGAGTATTCATTGGCTATTTTTTTTTCTTTTTCTTTGTCTTTTCTTCTTTTCTTTCTTTTTTTTTTTTTTTTTTTTTTTTTTTTTTTTTTTTTTTTTGAGATGGAGTCTTGCTCTGTCACCCAGGCTAGAGTGCAGTGGCACGATCTTGGCTCACTGCAACCTCCACCTCCCAGGTTCAAGTGATTTTTCTGCCTCAGCCTCCCAAGTAGCTGGGACTACAGCCATGTGCCACCATGCCTGGCTAATTTTTTGCATTTTTAGTAGAGATGGGGTTTCACCGTGTTAGGCAAGATGGCCTCGATCTCCTGACCTCATGATCTGCCTGCCTTGGCCTCCCAAAGTGCTGGGATTACAGGTGTGAGCCACCGCACCTGGCCTTCATTGGCTATTTCAATATGGATGTGGGGATACGCCCGTTTAATTGTAGAGAGTCTGTTTCTAAATGATATTGAAAATGTGATAGATGTGTCATGGCTGAGGGAAGGACATCTTTTCTCCACACTTTCACCTTCTCAGGATATGAATGGATGGTAGGACCTAGGAGGTTGGAGGTGTGAGTTGGGCTGTTGCCTCAATTAAAGGAGGCAGCAATATCACCCTGACAAATGAGTGTTTTGGAACTTGTCCTTAAACCTGTCCTCTTTTCTCTATGCCCACTGTCACTGTGTCACCCAGGCCACCATCATCTCTTGCTTGGGTTGCAGCAATAACCTCCTAGGTCATCCCCCGATCCCACTTTTCTCCTCCAAACATTTTTTTTTTTTTAATTGGAGCCAAAGCAACCAAACTTAAAACTAATAAATGCCTTCTCACTGCATTTAGGAAAAAGCTCGGGACCTTCACCGGGCCCTCTAGGCTTTACAATTACTCACCCCTCTGACCTGGCTCTCATGGCTTCCTCCCTGTTTTTGTACTATTCAGCCATCAAGGACTTCTCTGTTTCCCAAACAGAACCATACTCTCTCAGTTTGTGGACCTCAGGGACTCCCAGCTCCCTCTGTCTAGAATGACCTTTCTGCCTTTTTAATCCCCACTCTCCTTCTGGTACCACTTAATCTAGTCGACTTCTACTGATCTTTAGGTGTTTAGTTTAAATGGTAAGCCCTTATTAAGGACTACTCTCCAGGCTAGGTTGGGTCTGGCTGAGTGTCTACAGCACTTTTAAATTCTTTTGGACTTCTCAGTCCACACAGTGTGAAGTCCACACTTCACAGCTGAAGTGGGACTAATTTAAAGTGTATTTTTCCCGGTAGACAGAAAGTTTTTGAGTACAGGTACCATGTCTTGTTTACTTGGAACCTGGTACATCATGAGGTGCTTAACAAATGTTTGCAGACTCTATGACTGGCTGACCATGGAGGCAACATCTGTGATGTTTTGTTGCTGATCTGTGAATCAGCCACCAGGTTGGTTTTCCTCCTCTTTAATCCTTCTCTGGGTATAATGTGTACCCTGATTTTGGGACTTGGCCGGGGCACAATTATACATACGGCAAAGTCAACTTGATGAGCCATCAGAAGGTATACTGGCTTCCCTGTATACCATTTTGCATTGTAGATTTCTGTATCACCAGAAAAACTAGACAACAAGCAAAAGATGCAGTCAAACTTGCTATCTGGAATAGAGTAGGAAAAAAATACACTCCCTTTAATTTACTGCATTTGTTCCTTTAAAAAAATCCATGAATTCAGGCAATCCAGTTCGTGTAGACCCAGTGAGACAGGGATCAATATCTGGTTTTTCAGAGATGAGACTGCATATACTACAGATTCAAAACTAAAAATCCATATAGTCTGCTACAATTCAAGGCAGCCACTGCAGGGCTGTGGGTCACAAAAAGAGCATTCTCCCTGCACCAGTGGCTTGGTTCTTCCTGGGAATGAAAAATGGAAGAGAAGGTGGCCTATTCTTGTTTTCTCTTGGGAAATTGAAGAAAAAGGAAGTTACCTGCAAAACAGGGTTTATTAATCTCAGCCTGAATATGCTCATTTTAGACAAATTGGGAAGAACAGAAATGTATAAAGGAACAGGAAAAAATTTGGTATTATGAAACTATTACTCATAGGCCATTCCTGTTAAACTGTTGGCATACATTCCTTTAATATATTGCACAGTGTTTTACATGGTTGAATTTATACTAGGTCATATTATGGTTTTCCTTAATTATATAAAGTAAGCATTTCTCTCTACACTTAGCCAATCTGAGTTTTAATAGCTGTAAACATTTTTATCGTTTAGGTGTGCCATAAATTTACTCAATCATTCATCTTTTATTGGAACTGTAGGATGTGTCCTGTTTTTTTCACTATCATAAATACAACTGAAATGAATATATAAAATGTGTAGACATTTTGGTCTATAGTTCTGATTACTTCAGTGGGATACATTCCTAGAAATGTTATGGCTGATTTAAAAATATATGAACAATTTTTGAAGGCTCTTGATACACATAAACAAAATGGACTCTAATTTACATTCCATCATTTTTGGGGACTATTTTTGATATTCAGTTTTCCTATCCAGAACACACATATCCATTTATTTAAAAAATTGTCAGTGAAGTTTTATAATGTTCTTCTTATAGGCATATTTTCCTGTAAAATTTTTTTCTATATATTCAACATTTTCCCTGATTTGTGAATGGAATTAAAATTTTTTTTTCTTTTCTAACTGTGAAGCATTGCACATTTATTTTGCTTTTCACTGTAGATTACTTATTGGAAAAGGTTGATAGAGAAGAAAAGGAGGCCTATGGAAATATGCATTGATAAATGGAGCCTCCCTGAAAATTAAGATGGATCTTTCCTCCCACAACACCAAAAACGGGAGAAGTCAGTGGATATTTGACAGCAGAGGGTAGACAGCCAGTCAGGATGCTTGAAAAGGATAGGTGAATCCATGACCAACATCTCTTAGGAACTGACAAAGTAAAAAAGCAGAACCTGAGTGGTGGGAGGATTTATCTCTGGGGAAAAGGAAGGTTCATTTTATCTTGAGGCTGCAGGGAAAGATGGGTGCAAAGATAGATGGGGGAAAAGTTGGTGAGGAAGTGTGCACTGGGTAACCCCAATCCCAGCAAACTAGATCAGTGGCTGAAGGGGTGGAGGAGATTCTGGGACTGAGAGTGAGAGAAAAGTGGAGAATAACCACCATGGGCACTGTGAGGGGAATATCATCACCAAGATCCCCTCACTTCAGCTTCCTAAAGCTTGAATAAAATTGGAGCCTTCCCAGTGCCATCTATTGCTGTGGGTTTACCCCAAAGCCAGCTACAACACAACTGATTTTAATGAAAACAGAACATGGAAGCTGAACAGAAGCCCACATTTAAATGCTACCAGGAATCTGGAGAGAAATAAAAAAAATTCATGCAGTCGTATGAATGCTTTAAATTAGCAGGGGTTAGGCAAGTTGAGCATAACCTGAATTTATCATTTTTCTTTTCTTATGGGGCTATTGGCAGGCAAAAGATGCTTTTTAAATTTCTCCCTGATCATGGGTCTTTCTGAACCTCAAAAATCTTTTAATAAAGTAATATCTGATTAGTGTAAGAGGCTCTCATTGTCTGTGGTGAGTGCCAGTATGCAGTACCTCAATATTTAATCTGTATGGTAACTGGCAATGCTTTATTCATGCTCACCAGTGAGGTTATGAGGATATTGTTAATTGCATAATTTTCTCTTTGTTCAAATATGCACACTTCCGTTTGTTTCAGACTTGGAAAAGAACTTGTTCTTTTTTTCTTTTCTTTCCCTTTCTTATCTTTTTCTTTCTTTATTCTAGCTTTTCCATTTAGGCTCATGTCTAAGAATTAAAATCTAGGGTCCATTAGGCGTCATTTATCTGTGAGATGAATTCTATATTCCATCTATTGATTCTATTGTGGGTGAACATTTAGGGGTTTAGGTAAGCACTAGCTGGTTCCCTAAATAGGACTTACATTATTCCTTTAATACAGAATGAAAACGGAGGGAAATACCTTCATTTGAACAGCTTGGGAGAAAATGCTTTATATATTAAGAGCCGTTGTATGTAATACATGTAGTTTTCTGATAAGTGAAATGAAAATAAGTATTCTCCATGATATTGATCCAATGGAATACACTTAATAATTCCAAGCCCATTTGCCTTTAAATGATGCCTTCTGGGATGTAGATATTTTTCAAACCAGGGATATTTTGTGATTGCAAATAGCAAGTAGATATCTTTTTTGTAGTGAATTTGCCAGAAATGATGAAAAAGTTGTTAAGGGAAGATTGTGGCTCCATTATAGCCCTGAAAAGAATCTTGACAGCCTCTGTCCCTGGTAATATCTGCATCTCAAGGTGTCTTATTTGTATGGATACCTATTATTAGTAAGCTATTTACTAACCAGCCATTTAAAATTGCAAAACCCACTGGTCTTTGCTCAGTTCTTACTGTTAGTTTCTCTATGCATTTGGCTTAAAGCATTTTTCCCATGCTACTTTGACATTGAACTATCTAAATTTACTCCTCCTTTTCTAATCATTTCTTCTTTGTCTCCTTTGATGGTTTCTTCTGTTCTCTAAATGTGAGTGTTCCTCAAGGAATGGGGTGGTATTCTGTCTTTTCCCTTCTTAGTTCTCTGCCTTGGAGAGCTTCTTCATTCTCTTGGTCTCTATCAACATCTCTATTTAGATGCTGATTTCAGAGCTCTCATTTCATAACTCTTGGGAATTTCCATTTGGATTTTCCACCACACCTCAAGCTTCACTTATCTAAAAGCTGTTGTCTTCTATTCCAAAACGGCGTTCCTGCCTATGTTTCTCTTTTATATACCGTCCTTTCGCTCACTTAAATGTCAATCTTGCAGCCACCTTTGGCTTCTCCTTTTCCATAGTCCTTCCATATCTGGCCAGCCACTATTTGTTTTCATTACGCCTCCAAAAATTCTCTATAATCGCTACCAATCTTTTACTCTTCACTCCAACTACCTCTCAAAATTGGCTCTTAAGATCTCATATTTGGATTGTTGCAGTAGTTATACATAATTTACTGAGATAACTTTTTTCTTACTGCTACACGATTTTATCTTTCCCCCATAACAAGATGGCAACCTAGTTTTTCTGTTCTATGCCTCTGGAACTTTTGTGAAGGGGAGTGAATATGGCAAAAAAATATGTCTCCAGACAGCCTCTACCCAACATATTGTTTGCAAAAGCATAAGCTCCTCAAGGAGAATTATTTTGGATCATTCTCGAGGGGAAGTAGGAGGTGAATGATTGAATTTGGGAGGCAGAAGTGGGCCAAGCTAAAGAGGTGGGAAGTTCTTTAGAGAATTCTTTTTGAGACAAGGAAGGGTGTAAGATTTGGTAAGTTCTTTATAGTCAGTAACATTACTGTTCTCCCTTTCGGTGGGGTTACTGGGACTTCTGATGGGTGAGGCTGAGTGATCAATGGGCCAAACTTTAAGAGCTATTGCCTTAGGACCAGCAGTCACTAAAAGGTCCCGCTACCCTTGGTTGCTTATCCTCTAGGAAGCATGCAGCCTTAGACAATGAGCTCATCAGTTGTAACAGTGCACTCTGAAAACTGGAGAGTCCTTCCCTAAATGCTTTGTGTAGGGCATAGTGTGCCCTAGGATTCTGGCTTGACTTCAGGGAGGGAGGATTATCTCAGGTATAAGTTCAGCTGTTGTAATACAGAGACTCTCAATTACAGAGACGCAAACAAGTTAAAAGTTTTTTTCTCTCTCTGTAACAATCTGGAAGTAAGCTAGCGGCCCACCTCTGATAATCAGCCTTGCACCTAAGTCATTTAGGAATCCATGTTTCTTCCATATTAGTATCTTGCCTTCCGCTAGAACAGGATTTTAAAATCTTCTGCCATGACCTTCCTGGATAATCTGGTAAAGTGTGTGGACTCTGTCCCAGAAAAATAGTTTTAAATACATTAAAAAATACATAGGATGATAACAAAGGAAGTAAATAAGAATAAAATACAATTATCACAAAATTTAAAAGACAAATTTGTGATATAATTATCCTTCTTTGTTAATTGTGGTGTGTCTAATAAGTACCACATCTACTGGTGTGTCTAATAGGTACCATAGTTTCGAAATAGTGATGAGCATAAATCATTATTTCATGTAGTATGATATGAAAATAACTATAATTTCTGATAGTGACAAGGCCACAGATATTGTGATTACTGTTGTGGTTTGTTGCCTACATTTATAATTAAAGAAAATGCTGAACTTCAATGAGAGATTGCTAAAAATAAAGACAGAATTTTTCCAATCTAGGTTTCTGGACGCTCTGAATTCTGTTCATGGATGTTCTGCAGATCTGTCAACCCCAGGCTAAGGACCCTGTACTGGAGTATTGAAGCTGGCACACCTCCATGTCCATGTTCCAGTTCTAAGATAGAAGTCCATGGCAAGCAATCTTGTCTTTAGGGAGTTGAAATCACGCCTATAATTTCTTTTTACATCCCATTGGCTTGAACCTAGTCCTATGGCCACATCTTGCTTTAAGAGAAACTGAGTGAGGGGATTTGTAATCAGGTGGCCAGGAGCCCAGCTAAAACTGGGGTTTAGGCCAGGTGCAGTGGCTCATGCCTATAATCCCAGCACTTTGGGAGGCCGAGGCGGGCAGATAATCTGAGGTCAGGAGTTTGAGACCAGCCTGGCCAATATGGTGAAACCCCGTCTTTACTGAAAATACAAAAGAAAAATAGCTGGGCCAGGTGGCGGGCACCTGTAATCCTAGCTACTGGGGAGGCTGAAGCAGGAGAATTGCTTGAACTTGAGAGGAGGAGGTTGCAGTGAGCTGAGATCATGCCATTGCACTCCAGCCTGGGCAACAAGAGAGAAACTCAAAAAACGAACAAACAAAAAAAACCCCAAAACTGAGGGGTTTAATTCCTGAATAGAAGAGGATAAGAAAATACTTAGCCCCCACTCTAGAAATATAGGACTCCCAAAAGTATAATTGAAATCCCATTTCCTACCAGCCAGGCTCAAAAGAGATTGTGTGATTTAGAGAAGATTATTGTGAGGATTAACTAGAGTGTGTTCAAGTGGTTGGTAAGGAGTAAGTGCTCAATAAATATTCACTAAAGATGTCTTGCATGTGACCAGGGTCTGTTAGAGGCATAATAAACTATGGGAGATAATGTATTGAAATTCCTGTGATAAAAGGGGTAAAATATTTATATTTTAATTCATTCATTCATTTGTTTATTCAACAAATATTTATTGAGCTTGAATTATATGCCAGATACTGTTCTAGTTGCTGGAGAAATAACAGTAAACAATATTACGTCCATGCTGTCGGGAATATTTCATTCTACTCAGGAGAAACAGAACAATAAATAAGCAAACAAATAATATGTTAGGAGGCAAAGGATATAAAAAGAGATGTGGTAAAGGTTATGGTAGAAATGCTATGGCAGGCAGAATTCTAAGATGAGCCCCTGTTCCTGGTCACACCCTTTTTATTATCACTCCTCTCACTGCCCTCCACCTTGAGTGTGAAGGGGACCTGAGAATATAATAGAAGGCCACTCTTATGATTAGCTTATATTATATGGCAAAGGTGAATGGATTTTGAAGACGTAATTAAGGCCTCAAATCAGTAGATTTTGAGATAATTAGAAGGGGTATTATCCTAGATAGGCCTGACTTAATCTGGTCAAACCTCTTAAAAGAGGAACTAGGCCCTACTTGAAATTAAAGAGAAATTCCCCTGCTGGCCTTGAAGAAGCAAATAGCTGTATTGTAAACTGCTTATGGAAGGAACCATATTGCAAGGACCTGAGGGTAGACTCTAAGAGCTGACAGCAACTCTCAGCTTTCAGCTAGCAAAAGACCAGGGGTCTAAGTTATATGACCACAGGAAACAAATTTCTCCAAAACCATGAATGGGTTTGCAAGTGGATTCTTTTTCAGCTAAGTCTTCTGATGAAAATGCAACCCAGCCACCATCTTGATTACATCCTTGAGAGACTTTGAGCAGAGAACCCAGCTAAGCTGTGCTGGCCCACAGAAACTGAAAACATAAATGCATATTGTTTTAAGGCACTAAGTTGTTGGTAATTTGTTATATGACACAGAAAACTAATACAGATGCTATTTTAAATAGGATGGCCAGAAAAGGTCTCTCTGATAAGGACCTCAACTGGAGACTTGAAGAAAATGAGGAGAAAGCCATAAGGACATCTAGGGGAAAGAGCAGAAACATGGTCATTCTTGTTGGGTGTGATGAATGGTCCAGGGATGGGCAAGAGTGGAAAAGAAGGCACCGGTTTAACTGAGAGAAGATGGATGCTTGGACAAGGATGTGGTGGAAGAGGGCACCAGATTATGGACATATTTCAAAGGAAGAACCAACACACTTTGCTAAAGGATTAGATTTAGAGTATGAGAAGAAGTTTCAAATGAAAGCTCTGGAATGCAGTTGCCACTTACTGTAATGGGAAGAGTGGGGTAGGGGTGAGCTGGGGTGGGGAGAAGCAGGCCTCAGGGAGAAATAAAGAGTTTGGGTTTTGGGTATGTCAAGTTTGAGATGTCATCCAAGTGAATTTGTCAAAAGGGCAGTTGTAAAATAAGTCTGGAGTTCAGGAGAGAGGCTGGGGATGGAAATGAAAATAGAAAGTACCAGCATATCAATACTATTTAAACTATGAGACTGGAAGATAACCCAAGGTAGAAAAATAATAGAATATTGGGCCTGAAAGTTACCTTAACAGATTGTCATTTTATATATGAAGAACTCTGTTCAAAGAGGTGTATTAGTCCATTTTCATGCTGCTGATAAAGACATACCAGAGACTGAGAAGAAAAAGAGGTTTAATTGGACTTACAGTTCCACATGGCTGGGGAGGCCTCAGAATCATGGCAAGAGGCAAAAGGCACTACTTACTTGGTGTTGGCAAGAGAAAAGGGAGGAAGAAGCAAAAGCAGAAACCCCTGATAAACCCATCAGATCTCTGGAGACTTATTCATTATCACAAGAATAGCACGGGGAAGACTGGCCCCCATGATTCAATTACCTCTCCCCAGGTCCCTCCTGAAACACATGGGAATTCTGGGAGATACAGTTTAAGTTGAGATTTGGGTGGGGACACAGACAAACCATATCATTCCACCCCTGGAATGTCCTCACATTTCAAAACCAGTCATGCCTTCCCAACAGTTCCCCAGAGTCTTAACTCATTTCAGCATTAACTCAAAAGTCCGCAGTCCAACATCTCTGAGACAAGGCAAGTCCCTACCACCTATGGGCCTGTAAAATCAAAAGCAAGTTAGTTACTTCCTAGATACAATGGAGGTTCAGGCATCGGGTAAATACAGCCATTCTAACTAGGAGAAATTGGCCAAAACCAAGGGGCCACAGGCCCCATGCAAGTCTGAAATCCAGCCAGGCAGTCCAATTTTAAAGCTCCAAAATGATCTCCTTTGACTTCAGAAGGCCTTATATCCACGTCATGCTGACACAAGAGGTGGGTTCACATGCTCTTGGGCAGCTCCACCTCTGTGGCTTTGCAGGGTACACCCTCCCTACCAGCTGCATTCATGGGCTGGCATTGAATGTCTGCAGCTTTTCCAGGCACATGGTGCAAGCTGTTGGTTGATCTAGCATTCTGGGGTCTGGAGGACGGTGGCCCTCTTCTCACAGCTCCACTAGGCAGCACCCCACTAGGGACTCTGTGTGGGGGATCCAACCCCACATTTCCCTTCTGCACTGCCCTAGCAGAGGTTCTCCATGAGGGCCCTTCCCCTGCAGCAAACTTTTTTCTAGGCATCCAGGCATTTCCATACATCTTCTGAAATAAAGGCAGAGGTTCCCAAACCTCAATTCTTTACTTCTGTGCACCTGCGGGCTCAAAACCACATGGAAGCTGCCAAGGCTTGGGGCTTCCATCCTCTAAAGCTACAGCCAGAGCTGTATGGTTGGCCCCTTTCAGCCATGGCTGGAGTGGCTGGGACACAGGGCATGAAGTCCCTAGGCTGCACACAGCACGGGGAACCTGGGCCTGGCCCACCAAACCATTTTTCCCTCTTGGGCCTCCCTGCCTATGATGGTGGTGATGGTGGGGCTTCTGTGAAGGACTCACACATGGCCTGGAGACATTTTCCCCATTGTTTTGGGGACTGACATTAGGCTTCTTGCTACTTATGCAAATTTCTGCAGCCGGCTTGAATTTCTCCCAGAAAGTGATTTTTCTTTTCTATCACATAGTCAGACTGAAAATTTTCCAAACTTTTATGCTCTGCTTCCCTTATAAAACTGAATGCCTTTAACAGTACCCAAGTCACCTCTTGAATGCTTTGCTGCTTAGAAATTTCTTCCACCAGATACCGTAAATCATCTTTCACAAGTTCAAAATTCCACAAATCTCTAGGGCAGGGGCAAAATGCCACCAGTCTCTTTGCCAAAACACAACAAGAGTCACCTTTACTCCATTTCGCAACAAGTTCCTCATTTCCACCCAAGACCACCTCAGCCTGGAATTCATTGTCCATATAGCTATCAGGCTTTTGGTCAAAGCCATTCAACAAGCCTCTAGGAAGTTTCAAACTTTCCCACATTTTCCTGTCTTCTGAGCCCTCCAAACTCTTCCAATCTCTGCCTGTTACCCATTCCAAAGTTGCTTCCACATTTTCGGGTATCTTTTCAGCAATGCCCCACTCTACTGGTACCAATTTACTGTATTAGTCCGTTTTCACACTGCTGATCAAGACATACCTGAGACTGGAAAGAAAAAGGGGTTGAATTGGACTTACAGTTCCACATGGCTGGGGAGGCCTCAGAATCATGGTAAGAGGCAAAAGGCACTTCTTACGTGGCAACAGCAAGAGAAAAATGGAGAAGAAGCAAAAGTGGAAATGCCTGATAAACCCATCAGATCTCATGAGTCTTATTCACTATCATGAGAATAGCAAGGGAAAGACCAGTCCCCCATGATTCAATTACCTCTCCCTAGGTCCCTCCTGCAACACATGGGAATTCTGAGAGATACCGTTCAAGCTGAGATTTGGGTGGGAACACAGACAAACCATATCAAGAGGTAAAGTGACATCAGGCATGTACCTAAGGGCACAGGCATAGTTGTTAGCAGAGCTTAACTAAAACCAAGGCTTTTTGATTCCCATCTCAGAAATTATTCTTTCCAAGGATTACAGGTTTGTTTTTTTTGGTTTTGCTTTCCTAGAGTATTTCCCACACTTAGGAAAGTATCTGACAAAGTCAACAACAAGGCAAGGCTCTTTTTCTTTCATGGGGTTGCAAGTCTCAGGTACAGATTTCTGAGACATCTTCACTTCCTTAGGTGTCACCCCACCAGATGTTGATGAGATTTGATGGCTTTGTGAGGCCAGGGCTCATGTAACAAATGCAATGTATGCTGTGATGCCTATAAACCTCACCTCATCAAATTAATAATGAAAAGCCTCCCATCAAAGCCCTCCTTGTGCTCAATAGCCTGTGGCACATTTGGACTCATCAATAGATGTTCAACAATATTACAACTTGTTTAAATCTTGGTAAAGTAGTGTTATGTACTATTGTTATTGACTTCTCTTTTCTAATTACCACCCAAAGGTGACAGATGATATAGCTCTAATGACCACATTCTTGGAGTGAGTGGCTTTGAGTCTCAACTCATTGTGTCTTAGCTGTTCTGAGGAAGGAGACATCCCCCCTCGCAACCAACTGGTGAAACTGGCCATCATATTGGAGCCCAGACAATGTTTGAGGCCCTTAACACGGGTATCTCTGTGACTGGTTTGAGACCAGAAGTTTTGGAATCTGTGTGAATGTGCAGTATGGTCATTGCAGGAATTCTAAGGCATGTGATGCTAACTGCGGCCAGCTTCTGTAACAGTCCACAGCCCAAGTTGGAAGAAAACATACTTTTCTCTGTTTTTTTTTTTTTTTCCTATAACTCAATTTCTCTTTTGAGCCATCATTTTGCTGTGTTAGCAGAAACATAGTCCTCCACCCCTTTCTTGTGATGGAGTCTAAGTTTGTTGGGGGCGGGGACATGGTTTTTTGGTAACCAGGCATAGCAGGGTTGCCTGTAGACTACAACATTGTTCAATAAGTTTATCTCCTAAGATACCCATTTTTTTGGTCTGGTCCTCTGACACTGGTCCCCACCTAGCTGCCCATGAGATTTTCCTCTTTTTAAAATTTTTATTTATTTATTTATTTTAGAGACAGATTTGCTCTTTTGGGTGGGGTGGAGTGCGGTGGCCTGATCATAACTCACTGCAGCCTTGAACTCCTGGACTCAAGTGATTTTTCCCATCTCAGCTTCCGAGTAGTTGAGACTACAGGTCCATGACACTGTGCCTGGCTAATTGAAAAATTTTTGGATGGGAGGAGATGGTATCTTGCTTTGTTGACCAGGCTGGTCTTGAAGTCCTGGCCTCAAGTGATCCTCCTGCCTTAGCCTACTAAAGTGCTGGGATTACGGGCATGAGCCACTGTGCCCAGCTGTCTTTCCTTTCATGGCTTCTGCAAGCCTAGTGGCTCTCCTACCCACCAGGAGAGAAGAATTACCATGCTACTCCCATGCAATGGTAATTCCACTTTTTCTTGCCGTATAGGAACATGGAGATCTCTTTGAAGCTTCCTTGGGTACTGGCTGTCTGGACTCACTGTGCTTCCTGCCCTTTCTGCTACCTGAGCTCTACCCTGGTTTCTACTAAAAAACATTAAATTTCAACACTTTGGGAGCCCCCACACTCCTTAAATCTCACTTCTCTCCAACATTTTAAAAATTCATGCCTAGAGTCCTTTTCAGCTCTCTAGAAGTTTAGGTTTTTGGAGTTCAGAGGTAGGTAGACTCCTTTTTACAAAATTTATTCACAGACAATAAGCATAGAGCACTTTAGCAGCTGAATTTTGTGGAAGAAATGATGGGACAAAAAAATGGAAAAATACCAGGAGATGGAAAAGTGATTTGCTAATACAAAACAATCACACCAAAACATGATAGTAAGAAGTTAGTTAGACTTCCTTTCACCCTTCCAGGTCCCAGAACAGCATTTTAATAATTGGGCACTAGTTCCTGTCCATGTTTGTAGGAATCATGGTCGGTCACTTAGAAGCAGATAAAAATATTTCAAGGAGATAGTGCCTCTTGAGAATCTTCTCTAGTTTCTTCATTGTGTATTTATTATTTGGTAATGACCGAACAGATAAAGTAATAGCTCTCTCTCCCGAATTCCCATTGTGCTTTATTTTCTCTTAACTTCCCTTGTGAAAGACTTGAGTTGTTGAAGGGTAAGATCTGTTTCTGACTTATGTCTCTGTATCCAGCATAATGTATGCTACATAACAGGTACTTAGTATGTTTTTTGATGATGAATTACTAGGGTCCCAAGAAAGAAAATTCAGAAATTAAATTCATTGGTATAAAAGGCTATGACTTTAATTGTGTCATTCATTCAATTATTTAATTTATTTTTTCATCAAATATTTGTGGAACACCTATAATATTTTGGTACCTGTGCTCAATCCTTTAGATAAAAAGATTAGCAAGAAACATACAATCTTTGAGGGGTTCATGCTCTTGGAATTGACCTGTATCTTAACTGACCTGATTAACTGTGTAGAATTCATTATGTATATGTACCACGGTTTAACAAACATCTTATGGACACTTAGGTTGCTTCTAATCTTTAGTTATTGCAAATAATGCTAATATGAATAATCATGCATAAGTATCATTTGATTCAAGTGCATGTATATATGCAGGATAACTTGCCAAATTGCCCTTCATAGGCTACTTTAATCAGTAATATATGAGAATTCACATCTGCTTTTAAATGTCTCAACCTTGGTTTCTGCTACTCATTATTCTAGGGTCTTCCTTAATTTGTTTATCCTAAGATTCAGGGACATATTCTCCTTTCATTTTCAGGACATACATTTGTAATAAAAGAAACCCAAAATTCTATGGATTGGGCACCATTTCCCAAAGTGTGTTCTGTGGAACACTAGTCCTGCAAGATGTTATAGAGTCACATGGTCATATAAATACTATATATTATGTCTGTTTCTTATAGAGTAACAATGCACTTTAGAACAATAAAGAAACTTGCTTAACTGCATTTAATCTTGGTGTTTCCAAAACGTATTTGGGCATCACTTTAAAAACACTTATTAATATTTCTTATAGCATGAACAGACATACATATGCAGATACACGTATGTGTACACACACATGAAAACTTTGAGAAATTTTGGAAGGAATATTTATGCCCTACCCAAAAACTTCAGATATTTTCATAAAGGACCCTCCTTCAAAAAGATTCCCCCAACCCAGTACTATGAAAAAACATGCCAAACAGTTTAGGAAACAGTTGGATTCAAACACCCAGACTATGTGGTATTTACTTCTGAACAATTATTTTTGTGATCAGGGATGTAGCCCCACATGTGTCATTTTATTTTATTTTTTGAATACTTTATTAATTTTTTTAAACTCTTATTTTAGATTCAGGGAGTACATGTGCAGTTGTATGATGCTGAAGTTTGGAATATAAATGATTTCATCACTCAGGTACTGAGCATAGTACCCAATAGTCAGTTTTTCAACCCTTTTCCCTCCCCACCTTCCCACTCTACTAGTCCACAGTTTCTTTTGTTGTCATCTTTATGCCCAGATGTGCCCAATGTTTAGTTCTCACTTGTAGGTGAGAACATGCAGTATTTGGTTTTCTGTTTCTGCTTTAATTTGCTTAGGATAATGGCCTTCACAAAGAACATGATTTCATTCTTTCTTATGGTGCGTAGTATTCCATGGTGTAGATGTACAACACTTTCTTTATCCAATCCAATGTTGATGGACACCTGGGTTGATTGCATGTCTTTGTTATTGTGAATAATGCTGCAATGAATAGATGAATGCATATGTCTTTTTGGTAGAAGGATTTTTTCCTTTTGGACATATACCCAGTAATGGGAATGGTAAGTCTGATAGCAGTTTTGTTTTAAGCTCGTTGAGAAATCTCCAAACTGCTTTCCACAGTGGCTGAACTAATTAGCATTCCCACCATCAGCGCATATATTCCCTTTTCTCTATAGCTTTACCAGCATCTGTTATTTTTTGATTTTTTAAAAATAATAGCCATTCTTACTGGTGTGAGATTGGATCTCATTGTGGTTTTGATTTGCATTTCTCTGTTGATTAGTGATGTGGAGACTTTTTTCGTATGTTGGCTGCTTGTATGTCTTCTTTTGAGAAGTTCCTGCTTATGACTTTTGCCCATTTCAATGGGGTTCTTTGGTTTTTGCTTGTTGATTTCTCTAAGTTCTTGTGGATTCTGGATATTAGACCTTTTTTGGATGTGTAGTTTGCAAATATTTTCCCCATTCTGTAGGTTGTCTGTTTACTCCGTTGATAGTTTCTCTTGCTGTGCAGAAGATCTTTCATTTAATTAGGTCTCACTTGTCAATTTTTGTTTTTGTTGCAATTACTTTTGAGGACTTAGCCATAAAATGTTTGCCAAGGACAATGTACAGAATAGCATTTCCTAGGTTTTCCTGCTAGGACTATTATAGTTTGAGGTCTTATATTTAAGTGTTTAGTCCATCCCAAGTTAATTTTTGTATATGGTGAAAGATAGGTGTCCAGTTTCATTCTTCTTTCTGCATATGGCTAGCCAGCTATACTGGCGCCATTTATTGAATGGGGAGACCTTTCCTGTTGCTTATTTTTGTCAACTTTGGTGAAGATTAGATGGCTGTAGGTGTGCAGCTTTCTTTCTGTGTTCTCTATTTGGTTCTATTGGTTTGTGTATCTATTTTTGTGCCAATACCATGCTGTTTTCTTTTCTGTAGCTTTACAGAATGGTTTGACATTGGATAACGTAATGCCTCCAGCTTTGTTCCTCTGGCTTAGGATTGCTTTGGCTATTTGGGCTCTTTTTTTGGTTTCATATGAATTTCAGAATAGTTTTTTCTGGTTTTATGGAAAATAATATTCATAGTTTGATAGGAATAGCATTGAATCTGTAGGTTGCTTTGGGCAGTATGGCTATTTTAACAATATTGATTTTTCCAGTCCACAAGGATGGAATATTTTCCCATTTGTTCATATCCTCTATGGTTTCTTTCAGCAGTATGTTGTAGGTCTCCTTGTAGGGACATTTCACCTCCTTGGTTGGATATTCCTAGGTATTTTATTTTTTGTGTTGTTATCATAAATGGAATTGTGTTCTTGATTTGGCTCTCAGCTTGAATGTTATTGGTGTATAGAAATGCCACTGATGGGTGGGTGTGGTGGCTCATGCCTGTAACCCCAGCACTTTAGGAGGCCAAGGCAGGCAGATCACTTGAGGTCCGGAGTTCAAGACCAGCCTGGCAAACATGGTGAAACCCCATCTCTACTAAAATACAAAATTTAGCTGGGTGTGGTGGTGGGCGCCTGTAATCCCAGCTAGTTGGGAGGATGAAGCAGGGAGAATTGCTTGAACCCGGGAGGCAGAGGTAGAAGAGAGCCCAGATTGTGCCACTGCACTCCAGCCTGGGTGACAGAGTGAGACTCCATCTCAAAAACCAAAACAAAACAAAAACCAAAACACAAAATGCTACTGATTTTTTTTACATTGGTTTTGTATCCTGAAACTTTTACTGAAGTTGTTTATCAGTTCTGCAAGCCTTTGGCAGAGTCTTCAGGGTTTTCTAGGTATGGAATTATATTGTCTACAAAGAGAGAGTTTGACTTCTTTTCTTATTTGGATGCTTTTCACTTCTTTATCTTGCCTGAATACTCTGGCTAACACTTCTAGTACTATGTTGCATTGGAGTGGTGAGAATGAACGTCTTTGTCTTGTTCCAGTTCTCAAAGGGAATGCTTCTAGTTTTTGTCCATTTGGTATGACATTTTTTTGGATGTGGGTTTGTCATAGAAGACTCCTATTATTTTGAGGTATGCTCCTTTGATGCCTAGTTTGTTGAGGGTTTTTATCATGAAATGATGTTGCATTTTATTGAATGCTATTTCCACATCTATGGAGATGATCCTGTGGTTTTTGTTTTTAATTCTGTTTATGTGGCAAATCACATTTATTGATTTGCATATGTTGAATTAATCTTGCATCCCAGGAAGGCTGTTTGATCATGGTGAATTAACTTTTTGCTGTACCATTGGATTTGGTTCCCTAGTATTTTGTTGAGGATTTTTGTGTCTATGTTCATCAGGGACATTGATGGTAGTTTCCTTTCATTGTATCTTTGCCAGGTTTTGGTATCAGGGTGATGCTGGCTTTGTAGAATGAGTTAGGGAGGAGTCCTTTCTCCTTGGTATTTTGGAATAGTTTCAGAAGAATTGGTACCAGCTCTTCTTTGCACATTTGGTAGAATTTGGCTGTTAATCCTTTTGGTCTGGGATTTTATTTTTTTGGTTGGTAGGTTTTTAATTACTGATTCAATTTTTGAACTTGATATTTGGCTGTTTAGGGTTTCAATTTCCTCTTTATTCAATCATAGGAGGTTGTGTGTTTCCAGGAATTTATTCATTTATTCTAGATTTTCTAGTTTGTGTGCACAGAGACGTTCATATTAGTTTTTCAGTGAACCAACTTTTGGTTTTGTTGATCCTTCGTATGAATTTTTGGGTCTCAATTTTGTTCAGTGCTGCTCTGATTTTAGTTATTTCTTTTCTTCTGCTAACTTTGGGGTTAGTTTGCTCTTTATTTTTTAGTTCCTCTAGGTGTGATGTTAGACCATTAATTTGAAATCGTTCTAACTTTTTAAGGTAAGCATTTAGTGCTATAAACTTTCCTCTTAACACTCTTTTTGCTGTAGCCTAGAGATTTTGGTATATCTGTGTTATCATTAATTTCAAGGTATTTTTAAATTTCTGCCTATATTTTATTGTTTACTCAAAATTCATTTAGCAGAAAGTTGTTTAATTTTCATGTAATTGTGTGGTTTTGAGACATCTTCTTGGTATTGAATTCTATTTTTTCTTCCACTGTGGTCCAAGAGCATGGTTGGTATGTTTTTATTTTTAAATATATATTGAGACTTGTTTTATGGATAAACATGTGGTTGATCTTGGGTTATGTTTTGTGTGAAAATGAGAAGAATATATATCCTGTGATTGATGGGTGGAGTATTCTGTAGATGTCTATTAGGTCTAGTTGGTCAAGTGTCTAATTCAAGTCCAGAATTTCTTTGTTGGTTTTCTGCCTTGATGGTCTGTCTAACACTGGCAGTGGGATGTTGAAGTCCCCCACATTATTGTGTGGTTTTCCGAGTCTTTTAGTAAGTCTAGAATCTGGGTGCTCCAATGTTGGGTGTGTATATATTTAGGATAGTTTTCTCCCTCACTCGAGAGCAGGCATTCCAGTCTCTGGTCTGATATTAAAATGCCTGACGTTCATGCTGCCAGGTCACCAAAGAATGGCTGACTTTGTATGTGCCTGGGCTAAAAATGGTGTCCTGTTCTCCGTCCTGGGTCTGGGAAAATGTCTGCAGCTTTTTCTTGTGTCTTTCCCTTACATTGTCTCCAAGCCTTTCCCCAAATTAGCTCCCACACTTATGGGAAACAAAGTGCTCTCCCTCAGCCTGGGTTGCTCTGATCCCCAGTGGAAATGTGAGTCATAGAGGGAGGCTACTTGCCTCTCTGAGGTACTCAGGCTTCACTCACTTTTATCAGCTAAATGTCACAGGAGCTGTTTGCTGGCGTTCTCCTCCCCAGTATCTGTGGTGCCCATCATGATTCTGGTGGATTCCCATTTTCCTTCTTGAAGTAAAGCTCCAGAGTTTATCTTTATGCACTATCTTGCTGTTTCCAAGTGGCTGAGGCATTCTAATACCTTTTATCTGCATCTGGGAGGGAGAAAAAAACCCTGTCATCATTTTAAATTTTCTTGAATCCAACTGCCTTTTCAACCAACATTTAGTTTTTAATAGTTTCACCTTGTATGTTCTCCTTCATAGGTTTAAGTTCCATTATTTCAGAGGATGACTGTCTTGTTATTTTTCCTTTTCATAGATGCTGGCTTTCTATGTTATATGAAACTTGATTTAAGTTTATGTTTATTCCACCTCTATTTTAAAAAGGATCTCAGTCCTTTGTAGGAGAAAATAAACTTGCTCAATTTCTTCTGTTATCTGACTCTCTGTCCAGATATTCATCCTTTACTTTATCCATCAACAGACATTTATTGAACACAGGTGCTAGGAATTGAGCTAAATGTCACAGGAGACACAAGGTTGAATATACATGGTTTCTGACCTACTTCAGCTGGCATTTTAGCTAAGGAAAATGGATCTGTCTGGCTGAGGCTTAGTGTGGGAAGAGGGCAGGGCTGCTGTGTGTGGTCACACAGAGAGCCTACATAACTTGAGGGGGTAGCTTCGACATAGGTAGGATATATGGTAGCTTCTTATGGAGTAGTGCCCGGTACTAAGGATCTGTACTAGTACACCATTTTAGCACTTTCCTGTTGGGGTTTTTGGCTTAGCTCCAGGAAATCATTTGTAAGTAGAGTTAGAGCGGGAGAAATAGTTTCTGGTCTGAACAACAGAATCTTACATGTAAAGATGGTTGCCATTTATTAAAGTAACTCTGAGCTAGTGAGATGTGCTGGCTATATACCCAGCTTTGAAATGTGACTCAGGATGTTGAATCTTAGCTGTGACTTGGCTCCACACATGAACCATTTGGATAGTGCACCTGGAAGTACAAAATCTTGTTCTGGACTGAAATCAGCTCACTCATTGAAATAAAAAAAATCATAGCCAGAAATCAATAACAAAAATGAAACTATAAAATTCACAAACCTTTGGAAAATGAAGACATATACTTCTAAACAATAACCCATGGCTCAATGAAGAAATCATGATGGAAATTTTAAAATACTTTCAACTGAATGATTTTGGAAATGTTACATATCAAAACTTGTGAAATATAGTAAAAAGCTTTGCTTATAGGGAAATTTATAGCTTTAAGTACATAAGTTAGGAAAAATGGGAGGTTGAAATTAATGAGCTAGGCATCCGTCTTAAGAAGTTGGGAAATAACAGCAAATCAAACCAAAGAAAGCAGAAGAAATGTCATAATGAATGTTAGAGTAGAAAATAATGAAGTTGAAAACAAAAAATAAATGTACAATACATCAATATAGGCAAAAGTTGGTTTTAGAAGAAGCTATTAAAACTGAGAAGTTTCTGGTGAGGCCAAGAGAGGGAGACACACAAACTCACACACACATGCACACACACACACACACAGAAAGAGAGAGAAAGAGAGAGAAACAGAGAGGAATCAATGTCAAGAATAAAAAAGTGATTATCTCAGGTCCTAGATATTGAAATGATAAGAAACTATTATGAATAACTTTATAGCAAAACTTTACAAAATTTAGGGGAAATGAACACATTCTTAAAGAAGTACAATTTTATTAAAAGACATCTGAAGAAAGAGAAAATCTGAATAGTCTTTTAACTGTTAAGAAAATTGAATCTGAAATTAAAGCTTTTCCTACAAACAAAACTCTAGATCAGATCAGATAAGAAATTATATCAGACATTTAGGACCAAAATAACTATCATGTTACACAAAAGAATATTCCAGACACATTTTATATCAAGTATAAAGCCTATCTCACTTATAGGCATAGAGGTATTAAAAAAACCTAATAAAAATGTTACAAATCAAATGTGATTGCTTTAGCCTTTGAAATCAGTGAAATTAACTTAGAGTAAACGAGAAAAAATCGACCATTTCAATAAGTTCAGAAATTGCATTGAATAAAATTTAACATTGGTTCATAATAAGAATTTTTTAGTAAACTGGGAATACAGGAAGATTTTCCTAATGGTAAAAGATATCTATAAAAAGTCTACTATAATTTTATACTTAATGGTTAAATGCTCTTCTTTGGAGATTAGAAATAACAGAAAGATCCTCAGTATCACCACTTCTCTTCAACATTATACTGGAAATGCTATCCAGTGCAAAGAGGCAGAAAAACCAAAAGAAAAAAGGTATATAGATTGGAAGGGAGAAATAAAAGGATTACAAAAAATGATATGATTTTATGAAAAAATTCAAAAGAATGTACAGATAACATTAGTAATACATGACTTTAGTTAATGCATGACTTATAGTATTACTGGTCAATATTGAAATATAAACTGTGAACTTATATACCTGTAATAAACAGCTATGAAATGAATAAAAATACGATTTACAATAGCGTAAAAATATAAATTATCTAGAAACAAATCTAAAACATGATGTTGATATGGTTTGGCTGTATCCACCCCCAAACCTCAATTTGAATTTTATCACCCAGAATTCTTATGTATTGTGGGAGGGACCCAGGAGGAGGTAATTGAATCATGGGAACCAGTCTTTCCCATGCTATTCTCATGATAGTGAATAAGTCTCAAGAGACCTGATGGGCTTATCAGGGGTTTCCGCTTTTGCTTCTTCCTCATTTTCTCTTGCTGCTGCCATGTAAGAAGTAACTTTCACCTCCCGCCATGACTCTGAGGGCTCCCCAGCCACGTGAACTGTAAGTCCAATTAAACCTCTTTTCCTTCCCAGTCTCAGATATGTCTTTATCAGCAGCATGAAAACGGGTTAATGCAGATGTGTAAGACATCTATGCAGAAAACCACAAAGCATACCATAAAACTAAGAATAATATATAAATAACTGGAAGAAAAAATGTATATAGATTTGAAGATTTAATATAAGAAAGATGTTAATGCCGTTCAATCTTACCTTTTCAGTTCAATCCCAATAAACATCCTCATCCCAATAAAAAGCTCATTTTTTTTTTTTGGTGGAAACAACCTGATTCTAAAATTTAAATGAAAATTCAGAGGGTCAAGAATAATTAAGGCATTCTTGAAAAAGGGCAAGTCAGAAGATGATAAGATATAAGCAAATAAAAGTGTGGGCTATAATAGAAAGTTCAGAAATTGACCACAGATAGATGAACATTAAATTTATGACAAAGGTGGCACACCAAAATGGTTGGGAAAGCTCAGGCTTATCAATAAATTATGCTAGGAAAAATGAGTAAAAACATGGAAAACAAGAAACTTGACCCCTTCATCACTCCATAAAAAAAATCAATTCCAGGTAGATGTAAATGTGAGAGGCAAGACAGTAACAGCCTAGAAGATAACTTAGGAGAATATCTTTGTGGTCCAACGTGGAAAAAACACTAACTATAAAAAAAGGGCAAATATGACTACATTAACATTAAGAATTTCTTTTTATCAAAAGAAAGTGAAAAGGCAAAACAGAAAGAAGGAAAGTATTTGCAAGAAATATTACATATTTGAAATCTACTTACAAAGTCTTTGTATTCAAAATGTGAAAAATAAAAAGGAAAAATTAAGAGAAATAACCTATAAGCAAGAGATTTGAATAGGTACTCCCCAAAATATAGAATTCAAATGGCCTAAACATACATGAAAATTTGCCTAACTTCTTTAATAATTAAAATTAAAACCATAAGAAGATACTATTTGCCATCTTCATGAATTGCTATGCTTAATGGGACTGACAAATGCCTAGTGTTGAAGATGTAGAACTAGGTGAACTCACATTCATTGATGTGTAAACTGGTACAACTACTTTGGAAAACAGTAAGGTATTATCTACTAAGGACAGACAAAGATACATGTATTCTTTGACTTAGCAATTACAGTCTTAGATTTATACCCCGCATAAATGGGAACTCATATGTACCAGGAGACATATACGAGAATGTTCATAAAAACATTATTTTAATGGTTGACACAACCCAAATGTCTTATCTAGAATGGATGTATAAATTATGGTATACTCATATAATGAAATACTATACAGCCATGAAAATGAATAAACTACATGTAAGTGCAACAACATGAATTCCTCTTACAAGTACAATGTTGAACAAATGAAGGATTTGAAAGCATATCTGCATTATGACTCTGTTAATGAAGAGTATGAAGAGCAGGCAAGAGTAGGCTGTGGTGTTTGGTGAAGCATTTTTGGAAGTGAGAGTTGGTAAGAAGGTATTGTCATGGAAACCAGGACAGAGGTTGTCTTAGGGGACTATAAAGATTGGTGATTAGGATGAGGCTTTTGAGATTCTGGAAACATTCTGTTTCTTGGCCAAGGAAGTGGGATGTGTATTAGTCAGGGTTCTCTAGAGAGACAGGGCTAATAGAATAGATGTATATACGGAAGGGAGTTTCTTAAGGAGTATTGACTCACATGATCACAAAGTGAAGTTCCACAATAGGCTCTCAGCGAGCTGAGGAGCAAGGAAGCCAGTCTGAATCCCAAAACCTAAAAAGCAGGGAAGCCAACAGTGCAGTTTTCAGTCTGTGGCCAAAGGCCCTAGAGCCCCGGCAAACCACCGGTGTAAGTCCAAGAGTCCAAAAGCTGAAGAGCTTGGAGTCTGATATTTGAGGGCAGGAAGCATCCAGCACAGGAGAAAGATGAAGTCTGGAAGACTCAGCCAGTCTAGTTCTTCCATGTTTCTCTGCCTGCTTTTATCCTAGCTGTGCTGGCAGCTGATTAGATGGTGCCCACCCAGATTGAGGGTGGGTCTACCTCTTCCAGTCCACTGACTCAAATGCTTTGGCAACACCTTCACAGACACACCCAGAAACAATACCTTGTATCCTTCAATCCAGTCAAGTTGACACTCAATATTAACCATCACAGGATGTCACTGTGATAATTGAGAAGTACAGTTTTTTTAATTTTTAATTTTTATGGGTACATAGTAGGTATATATATTTATGGAGTACATGAGATATTTTGATACAGGCATGCAATGACTAATAATGACATCATGGAAAATGGGGTATCTATCCCCTCAAGCATTTATCCTTTGTGTTACAAATAATCCAATTATACTCTCAGTTATTTTAGAATGTATAATTAAATTATTATTCACTATAATCACACTGCTGTGCTATCAAATACTAGGTCTTATTCACTCTTCCTGTTTTTTTTGTACCCAGTAGCCATCCTCACCTCCCCCTGCACTCCCCACTACCCTTCTTGGTTTCTGGTAACCATCCTTCTACTCTCTATTTACATGAGTTCAATTGTTTCGATTTTTAGATCACATAAATAAGTGAGAACATGCAATGTTTGTCTTTCTGTGGTTGGTTTATTTAAAAAAAATAATGATTTCCAGCTCCATCCATGTTGTTGAAAATGACAGGATTTCCTTCTTTCTTATAGATTAATAGAACTCCATTTTGTATATGTACCACATTTTCTTTATCCATTTATCTGTTGATGGACACTTAGGTTGCTTCCAAATCTTGGCGACTATGAACAGTGCTGCAATAAATAGTGGAGTGCAGATATCTCTTTGATATACTGATTTCCTTTCTTTTGGGTATATATCTAGCAGTAGAACTGCTGGATCATATGATAGCTCTATTTTTAGGTTTTTTTTTTTTTTTTTTTTTGAGAAAGCTCCATACTGTTCTCCATAGTGGTTGGAGTAATTTACATTCCCATCAACAGTATATGAGGGTTCTCTTCTTTTCTGTATCCTCTCCAGCATTTGTTATTTCCTGTCTTTTATTTATAAGCCATTTTAGCTGGGGTGAGATGATATCTCATATTAGTTTTGATTTGCATTTCTCTGATGGTAGATGATGTTCAGCATCTTTTCATGTACCTGCTTGTCATTTGTATGTCTTATCTTGAGAAATGTCTATTTAGATCTTTTGCCTATCTTTTGATTGGATTATTAGATTTTTTTTCTATAGAGTTGTTTGAGCTACTTATAAATTCTGGTTATTAATCCCTTGTCATATGGGGTGTTTGCAAATATTTTCTTGCATTTGGTGGGTTATCTCTTCACTTTGTTGCTTGCTTGCTGTGTAGAAGCTTTTTAATTTGATGTGATCCCATTTGTCCATTTTTGCTTTGGTTGCCTGTACTTCTGGGGTATTACTCAAGAAATTTTTGCCCAGACCAATGTCCTTTACAGCTTCTCCAAAGTTTTCTTTTAGTAGTTTCATAGTTTGAGATCTTAGATTTAAAGACCTTTTAGATTGAAAGGCTCTTTTTTGATTTCCATTGGCGTAGAATATCTTTTTCAATCCCTTTATTTTCAGTGCATGTGTTCTTTTTTTTTTTAAATAGGTGAAGTATATTTCTTGTAGGCAACATATCATTGGGTCTCGTTTTTTTCCATCAGTTTAGCCACTCTGTGTCTTTTGATTGGAGAGTTTTGTCCATTTACATTCAATGTTATTGATAAGTAAGGACTTACGCCATTTTGTTATTTATTTTCTGCTTGTTTTGTGGTCCTTTCTTCTTTTTTTCTTTTTCCTGTATTGCTTTTAATGAAGGTGATTTTCTCTGGTGGTATGACTTAATTTCTTGCTTTTTAATTTTTGTACTTTTTTGTGTGTTTTTTGATTTGAGGTTACTGTGAGGCTTGCAAATACTATCCTATAACCCATTATTTTAAACTTATGACAACTTAACACTGATCACATAAACAAACATTCAAAAAGAAAAATAATAAAAACTCTATACTTTAACTTCATCCTCACTTTTTAAACTTTTTGTTGCTTTTCCTTATGTCATATTTTACTGTCTATGTCTTGAAAAGTTGTTGTTATTTTTGATTTGTTTTTTGTGATAGTGCTTTTCTGTGTGCAAATAGTTGTTAAAATTTGCTGTTGCTGTGGGGAGGATGAACGGTGTGGGCTTCTGTTCTGCCATCTTGCCCCACCTCCTGAGATGTGCATTTTAAAATTTTGTGCACTTTCCTTAAAATGATTTAAAAAGAAAAGAAAAATATACATATGCATATCTTTGACCAAAATTTCCACTTTGATTTATGTTATAATACAATCATATATCAGTGAAGTGATGCATTTATAGGATATTGCAACACTGAAATGTAAAAAGATTAGAAGCTACTGAAATGTTCTTTAATAGAGACCAGTTAAATAATTTATGAATAATCCATACAATAAAATATGAAACAGCTGTTAAAAAAGTGAATGACACAGTGCAATGTATACTTATCTGAAAGTCTTTCAATATTAAGTGAACAAAAAAACAGAGTTCAGAATAGTATGGATATACAAAATTTATGTATATGGAAAATGTGTGGCCTATTTCTAAAGTGAATAATAGTAATTTCCTTTGGCTAAAGAACTATGTGACTAGAAGAAAGGAAGAGAAGAAGAATTTTTCAATGAACTTCAAGAGGTGTTTTTGAATTTTTTGCCATAGATATATATTACTTTATTTGAAACTCTTTCAAATAGAAGAAAATACTAAAAAAAAAAAAACCAGAATTACCCCACCAGTCAGATATTTCCCTAAGCGTTTAACATATAAAATACAGGAATTGGTGTTATAGCAATTTTACAGATGTAGACAGTGAGGTTAGAAGGCTAAAAAACTTGCCTAAGATCATTCAGCTAATAAAGAGTGAAGCTGAAATTCAAACCCAAGTCTATATGAAAGGAGATTCAGCCTATTTGAAGAGACACAGCAAGAGAAAGAGAGAGAGAGAGAGAGAGAGAGAGAGAGCGCTTCCTGGCCTTCCTTAGCTCAGTGTGGAGCCATTTTGAAAATCTGCAATACGCCAATGATACCAATGATGCCTCATGTCAAAATTGCATTAAAAGTCATTATGTGTTGTTACAGTTCTTTTGATTCCATTAAAGTCACCCAGTGGTAACTGCCAAGTGAAACAAAATAAAAAGTAGAGATAGAAGCTTAGGAATTAAGGTTTCCTGCAGAAAATTCTAACATATAATAGTATTCACCTCTTTTAAGCTAGCCACCGCTAATTTAGGCCCATTTGTTGGGAAGTGCTTTGATTATATTTTATTTTATGGAGACATAATCTTCTTAATGTTGTAACAATTTCATCTCTTTGATGAAACTTACTATGATTTATTCTATAACTTTATACCCTCATTTTAAACATTTATCAGGGTCTATCTCCCACATCTTCCATGTTCAATGGGTATCAAACAAATCCTAGGCAGTCTGTTTCTAAATGTTACTTGGCTATTCCCCACTTTCTGCATCCCCATTGCCACTCTTCTAATCCAAGCCTTTTGGACCTTTAGCTTTAACTACTGCATTAACATCCTCAATAGGCTTCTTTTTCACTCAATCATTTACCATTCATTCATTTCTTCACTCTCTGTCTTTTGAGCACTTACTATCAACAAGATCTTGGGTAAACAGTGAGAAATAAAGCATAGTCCCCTTTCACAAGGAACTTATGGTTTACTGAAGAAAAACAACCATAAAAGCAGAAAATTACACCACAATATGAAAAGTGCTTTAATAGTAGTATGTACAAGATGTTATGGGAGCCCAAAGGGAGAAATGGAGGATATGCAGTGGAAAGTCATTGGAGGCTTCTCAGAGGAGGTGATGTCTGAATGAAATCTGTGAGGAGTAAGAGTTTTTCACTGGATGTGCAAGAAGAGCAATTGAGAGAGAAGAAATAACTTGAGTCAACTCAGGGAGACATGAAATCACCTTCTCTCCCTTCCCTATCTATGAGTTACAGCACGTAGTCACTTAAGTTATTTTTAATAAAGAGAAATTGGACATGCAGTCTGCTGATAAAACCTTTAATGACGCTCCAATTTCTTCAGAACCAAGAAGAAATTACTTGGTGTCAAAGAACCCTTTCCAGTTTTCCTTCTTACAACTTCCTTGAGATTTGGCAACACCAATTTGGTTAAGTTGGGAATTCTATTTCTTAGAAACCCTTCTTTGTAGGGTTCCCAGTTAGATGTCTGAAGGAAGAACTTGAATGAAATTCGGGAGGTGGGAGAGAAGCAGCAGTTGTTAATTTGGAAGTTTGTCCCAGTCAGATACAGAACCTGATGGGTTCTAGCTGATCATGGCTCTCCTCTTCTCTGTGTCTAACACATCTTCCCAAATGCTGCTCTGCTGACCAGTAGTGGTCTCAAGCCCACTACAAGACTCTTGACTATGAGTGTGCAGAGGTTGTGATCTTTAGAGACCATAGCTTCCTCTAGTCCTGTCCACAAGCTCTTCCTTTGTGGTTTCACTTTGGTGGCTAGATAAATTGGTTTCTTGGATTTCACTGCAAGCTTCAACTTTTCTTCCCTTGCTAGTGCTCTAGGTAGACTGGTTAATGACTTCTCCTCTGATATCCTGACCTTCACTTCCCCAGCTCCTCCCACAGTTGTGTAAGGTCTAATTCCTAAAATAAATCCCTGATTCCTGTAATACTTATGGTGGCTATAAACCCTGATTGATACAGGGAGGTTTCTTTAACAGGTCATGAACATTGATTAGAATGCTCCCTTCCTCTGCTCTCCATTTTTAGCATGGCAAACGCCTGTGTTGTTCACAGGTTCAGTTTAAATGTGTCTTCCATTGTGAAAACTTCTAGAACCTTCCTTTTTGCCAGTTTCACACAAACAGTGGTCCTGAAACACTTTGGATCCCTTTTCTTTATTTCCCACATCTACTATGGTTTGGTGTTTTTTAATCTATTCTCACCACGTATTGTGAACTCTTTCAGGTGGAGGAACATGTTTTACTATCTTTCCTGTCTTTCTTTGTTCTTCCACCCCCTGAGTTGTATAGCACAACACACAGTTCCAGTAATTGATTTGAGCTTATTGACTTGCATAGAACTTTCATACTACTCCTATGTATACATAGGAGTTGCTTCCAAATCTGTAAGGATTTGCAAGACATCTAATAGGAGGATTCATAGTTGAGAATCAGATGATCTTATAGATAAGACATTGGAAAAATGAGGAAGTGGACAGATACACAAAAATCATTTAAACTATTTTATGACATGAAAATAAGACAGTAAAATTAGTACACTAAATAAAGAGAATGCCAATGCCATATTACTCATTATTAGGTGGTTATAAAAGTTACATGACAGTTAATTTAGATTTGCCACTCCTTGGTACTGAAAACTATTTTCAGATTTCTTCTACCATTGTTTTAACACTTAAAAAAATGAATTCATCACTCCTCTTTTATTTCCAGGTAGCAGGCATGCTGAAAGGGCTTTTCTTTGTGTCTTCTCCACTGTTAAAGTATTTAGTGCCTTTTCTGATGACTTAGAGTTGTTGCCTCCCATCTCTCAGGTTCTACTCCTGTTTAGAAATGCAGTGACTTGGATATTAACAACGGAGAAAAATGAGGGAAACAAAAACTAACAAACAGGTAAACCTCAAATCTTTGAGGAAATTTTATTTAACCGGTTCGATCTCACTGAGCAGGCATTTCTCACCTTCTATCCTGATACAGAGATTTAGAAACTCTCTCTGCTCAGCTAGTTTCATGCCAGAGCACGCTCAGCCACCATACTCACATCTCTGTTTCCTGCCTTGCAAAAGTCACAGGAGTGCAGTTCTGAGGCCAGGTTTTACCTTCTTTCCACATCCTAAGGGAGAAAGAAAACATTGCAAAAACTCCAGCTCGTGTTCTGCTGTCTGTTTTGCTCCTTTTCCTATTCCCTACACCACTTTCTCTTTTTCTAATTATCCGCAGTCGGAGAGATTCATAAATCTCATACACTGTAACTGAAAGTGAAATTCTCCCCATTGCTGAAAAGCTGCACAGAAGCAAATCAACAGGTACTGGAATTCTGTATACAGGGAGGCTCACAGCAGGAGAAGTGTATGCTATATTCAATTTTAATATTCTAGTGTTCACAGGTTTGCCTCCATTTGGTATTTTTTTAAAAAAGGAAATAGTAGTTTCTCATAAAATCTTCTTGAAATCCTGCTAGAAATATGGAGAGTATTTATATTAATTGTTTTATTTTAGAAACTTTTTGGCAGTTCTTGCTAATTAACCTGATTGGCTGAGGGAGAAAATTGCTAAGAGACCAATCACATTGCTTTATATTTGAAACCTTGGCTATTTAAAGATAGCTCCCTTGGATTTCATGATAACCAGATCCTGAAATGGTCAGGCATTAGATTTTGAGTGTTTCAACAACTGAATGGGATGGCCCATTGATTGCCCATTCATTGTGACAGCCCAGAGCCCCATGATTGACCAGCATCTGGTTAACTCAGTTGACCTGGATACTCCAGGCCCTGATGATTGCTCCCTGAACCCTAAGGGGAGCTTGGACTGTCAAGAACTAGTCACGTGCCTGTTTTGTTTGCAGAATTGTCATTGTCAGAGAAGAAAATTCATAGTCCACCTTTGTTCTTTCACAGTACCAGGCAGAAAAAACAAAACAAAAACCAAAACCTGACAACACTTTGGAAAATTGGTTCCATTAAAGATATGCTCTATCATATCTACCCTGATGAGCACAATAAAATAAAAATGATTCTGGTGCTATTTACACAGCTGGGTTTATTTGATTTGTAGGTTATTTAAAGGTGCTCTAAATCAGTAGTCTACAAACTGTGGTCCCAGAGCAGAGGCAGCAGCTTTACACAGAAACTTGTTAGAAATGCATTCTTAGGCCCCACTCCAGACCTACTGAATCAGAAACTCTAGGGATGAGGCCTAACAACCTTTGTTTTAATGAGCCTTCCCAATGAGGCTGATGCCTGCTCAAGTTGAGAACCATTGCTCTTAACTGCTGGTATGTGGGGTTTTGTTTAAATGGTGACACCTGGGATCCTAATTCTGCTTGTTCTCTTCTCTCATTCTTTCCTCCTGAGTCTTCCAGTCAGAAGAGTCACTTCTCTCATTCCTTAGTCCCTCAAGGCCTTTTGTAACCTCCGCTCTGGGGGCCTGGGTGGGATGCCTAATGTTGGGATGCACTGGGAACCTTCTAGCCTCGTTAGAATTTAGCAATTAAACCAAAGTGTTCCACCTGGTTTTGTTAAGCAGCACTGGCTGACCTTCTGGGCTGGTCCAGGTACCTGACACTTTGTCCTTCCCTCCCTCTTGCACCCTCCTGCATATAAAGCAAAGCATTGCCATTGTATATCCCAGCATTATATGAGACAGGTAGTGGTTAACCCTCTCAAAGTATTTAGAACAGGACCCTGGCAATTTTAAGCCTTTCATTCTGGAAGAAAATTTTCATTTGTTTTCTGTATGAGTCTGGTGTGCTGGAAGTCCACAACAAACCTAGAATTTTAAAATACTCATTGCATTGAAAGAAGCATGGCCACTTTCTATTCTATATGTGAGATTTAAGGGCTCAGGAAAATGTCAGCTTGCAAAGCTGCCTAAACGTTGCATCTCCTTCTTTTTCAAAGGCTGGGTTGGATGGGGAGAGGTTGGAGATACAGACTTATTGGTCTTAACCAACAAAGTTTACTGAAACCAGATATATCTAAGAAAAACATATTGGTGTGGTGTTTTTTTTTCTTCACTAGAACTGCCCTCGATAAAATGTGGGTGTCATTTGAAAAGGGCATCATTTCCAGTGAATTCTGAAAGTGTCACACAGGGTATTGATTGATCAGTCTTGCCGTCAGCGTGATTGGGGCCAGCGTGGAGCTGCTCCTGTGATCCAATTTTCAAAGCTCACAGACACCTTCACTCTCTGGCAAATAGCATCAGCAAGTGGTCGAACAGAGGGCACCAGAGAGATGGGAGTGGGGTGCAGGAATAGTCTGGCAGAAAGGTGGCAAGAATGAATGATTTTGTATCATGATCAGCTTGTCTAACCACTGTGTGTTGAAAGCTGTAAGTACACCTCAGGTGCATTGGATGGTTAGGAGTCTAATTTGTTTTCTCTAATAAGCAACATTAAGCTGTGAATAAGTCAAAGCAGCTTCTAATCAATGAGAAATACCAATGCCAACATTGGTGAAGTCACTTTAAGATAATATAAGTGTCTTAATTTGTGTTCGCTTTTGCCCTCAAGTTCATATTCATAATATAGACATGGGACAGAAGTACTCCGCCGAACTGTATTTCCTTTATGGTGTGAGCCAAAGTTACATCTAGCCCAAGTGGTCCTTAAAATAACAAATATATAGTCTACACACATGGCTTCTAAGGGTGCCATTCACTTGCTCTAGGATTGTATGTGTGAATAAATGCATGAATGTATATGAGCAGATAAGTCTGCCTTGACCTGTGTCATGAAGAGTTTGGAGGTGGGTTGAGTGACCTTAGGCAAGGGATGATCTCTTTATGGGCCCTCATTTTCCTGTTTTTGAAACGAGGGACTGGACAACAGAAGTTTTAAGAATCATTCAAACTTCGATATTATGTGATGTTTTCCATGGCTTTTACTCAGGGGGAGCAAGAGTGAGGCAGCGGGCAGAGAGTTGGTTTGAGTAGAATGAAGGTGAATGAGTTCTTTCTACTTCCTGAGCAAACAGTTTCCTGGTGTGTGAACTCTGGACTTCTTGATGAGAAAAATAAGCTCCAGGTTTGCAGCTGGAAGGGTCAATTCCAGGGTCTTCCTTGGAGCTTCCTCTAATCAACTCCAGGTTCCCTGGACCTCAGGGCCGGGATTGAAACCAACTCGGGCAATAAGTACTCCTAGGAAGTACAGGCACCTCCATTCTGACCTGAGGGTCCAAAGGCACTTTGCTTCTCCTTAGGACTCCTCCCTGGGACTGTCAGGGCACATCATGGTAGGGAACATGCAAACGTGTTTCTTCCCTCCTTTGTAGCAGAGAATAGCACACTATGAAAAAACCACTCTAATTCTTACATACTCTTTTAACTTATAGGCCTGCCACACTCTCTGCCTATTTAATACTCTATCTTGGGATAATTAGCTGTGCCAAACATGGACAGAGGAAACTCCTTTGTTTCGAATCACATCCTTTCTTCAGTCTGACAGTCTATGCCCAGTCATAGGTGGCTATGTTTTTCCATAGCAAGACCTCACAGAGATACTGGGAGGTTAAATGCAGCACTGAGTTGAAAGCATCAGATCGTATGCAGGATGCTATGTGTGTAACATTTGGTTATTATTTCCAGTGAGCTGAAAATTCCTCAGAGACCAGGACTAGGCCTATTCTTTCCATGCCCTTTGCTTAACACATCATAGGAGCTTGATCGATGTTGGTTGAATAGAGGAATCAGTTGAAAACCTGCCTCTGTGGCTCTTGTAAGTGACTTGTAACTTACTCTTAGAGTAGCTCAGGGAGAAGCATTGGTATTTATTTTTGGTAAGGTCACTTAGTATCCTGGCCAGTTTTGTGGATAATGTATTCATGTGATGCATGGATCTTATGATTGTGACTCTCCATCATAAGTGATTTCCAGGTAGAAAATTCTGTCATTTAGTGTCCTGGCCAGTTTTGTGGATAACGCATTCATGTGATGCTTGGATCTAATGACTGTGACTCCCCATGGTAAGTGATTTCTAGGTAGAAAATTCTGTCCAACTGTTGACTTAACCTTGTTAAAAGTATGCCTAGTTCAACCTTTGTTCTCTTGCTGGGACATCTGGGCTTAAACAGTTCAGCCTTGTTTGTTCTTACAGCCCCACTCTCAGATATATGCAGGTCAATGGACTGGCTTAGCCTGGTGTCCTGCCGCACCCCCCTGGCAGCCTGCGCCATTGGCCAGCACCTCCCTGAAAAGCAGGTGGCTGTGCCATTTTTCTGCACAATCATCCTGTCACAGGGATGAGTGACGTCTACACTGACACCATTCTGGATGACAAAACTGAGGGGCTACTTTACAGAGTGGCCAGTCCAACCAGAAGAAGGGTAAAAGGAATCAAATAATCATTATTCTAGAGAGAGGACTGAGAGCTGGAACTTAGTGATGTCAGGTATTTTGCACATTTATCCAGTGGTTCATTATACTTTGTATGTTATGTAGGAATTAAAAATGATTTTATCTGATTGAATGGAAAAAAATACTAAAGTATAAAGTATAAAAAAGTTTAGTGATGTTTTTCCCCAATTAGTTAATGGCAGTATTGGGTCTAGAATCCAAAGTGTTTAAAGGCACCACCCCCTCTTTCTTTTTTTTTTTTTTTTTTGAGTCGGAGTCTTATTCTGTCGCCAGGGCTGGAATGCAGTGACTCAATCTCGGCTCACAGCAACCTCTGCCTCCCGGGTTCAAGCAATTCTCCTGCCTCAGCCTCCCAAGTAGCTGGGATTACAGGCGCCTGCCACTACGCCCAGCTAATTTTTTGTATTTTAAGTAGAGATGAGGTTTCACCATGTTGGCCAGGCTGCTCTCGAACTCCGGACTTTGTGATTCACCCCCCTCTTAGCATCCCAAAGTGTTGGGATTACAGGTGTGAGCCACCGCATCCAGTCCCCATCCTTTTTTTTTTTTTTTTTTTTTTTTTTTTAACCACACTATAGGCTCCTTTTTGTTTTTTAACCACACTACAGGATCTCAATATATCCAGTCATTGTTGTCCTATTGTTGCTTTGCCTGCTGTCCGGTGCTAAAAATCTTTCTACTGTTTATGGGAAAAAATTCCAATGGCTTTCAAAACCATGTTGCCAAAGCAAACAGCTCAGACCCTTACCTTTTCTCCATAGGTGACTTTTCAGTAAGGAAAATAAAAGTACTAAATGTTATTACACATTTGAGAGCCAGCCCAAATGATTTCAAAGGCAACTTATTCTACTTTTTCCAAGTTTTAAAATTTTATTAGAAATATTATGCATGCAGGTTGAAAGAAGAATATTTGGGTAAGAGAAGAATTGATGATAGTATAATCTCATAATTTCAACCTGACGTTAACTGGCATTTAGAGAACTTCTTGTCACTATATTTTCTCTGGGCTCATTTTCTTCCATCTAGTTATAATTATATTGTTGATAATAGTTGGCAGTTCCCTCCACTTAATATTACAGTAGAGGAGCTTCTCCTTATTATGTTTTCTTTATAGTCTTCTATGACTTATAATAGCTCATTATATTGAGTGAATATATCACAACTTGATCATTCCATATTTTTGAAATTTAGATTGTTTCCCCTTTATTGTGTCTATTTTTATATCCACTGCTGTGAATCTTTTAAAGCATAATTTAAAAAATTATTTAAAATTATTCCTTTAGATTAAATCAAAAGGATATACGTAGTCTACATTTTAAAAACTATTGGTATATCTTGTTTCATTATTTTTCAAAATGGTTTTACCAATTTATACTGCCTACAAGACGTTTATTTCACCTTTTTTATTTTATATTTTTATTTAATTTATATTTTCAAATTTTGTTTCTGTTTTTCCTTACTTCGATTGTTTACCACTGGAATCTTGAGACCAATTAAATTTTTAAAAAGGATTAAATACAGCTAATTAACAAAAACCTGTCACATGCTTATATGATTAAATCAGCAGATGGAAACCTAGGCCACTAGCTTATACTGGTCACGTAAGGTCTCTTAGACAACTAGTGGCTACAAGTAGAATGAGAAGGTGTTTTGAGGTCAGATTAAAATGGGGCTATGTAGCCTCAGAGGACTGAAATCACTCTCTACACTTTTTAGAACACTGAGACTGGATAACAGGCATTTGAGGCAGCCTTGCCCCTCTGTCTTTGGGAAATTTTGCTCTTGGGAGAATGGTTTGTTTAATTTAAACAAAACCAATTATTATTTTTTTTGAGAAAATGTATTTGTGACTAACATGTGACCTGGGTATCCAGTGTCCAGATCAATGCAATATTTTACTCATAAGATACCACAGTCATTGTTCTACCTAATTACTATAAGGAGACAAATGGTTCCTTTCTCTAAAAACTCCAAAGGTAGTGAAGAACTGTGGAATCCAGAGATGTGATTTGTAGATTGTCTGAGATGGTTGAAAGTAACTGCTACTAAGCATAGCCATGTGGTCTCCTTATAAGACACATTAGCTGTGGTTCAATGATTTCTATTGTTGCACCTTATACCTGGTAGATGTGTGGTTGTTTATAAGGATTTTGCGCTTTCTGTTTCTCCCTTAAGGAGGGGATTCGCTTTATAGGCACTTTTCTTAACCTTGCTCTGCAGATTAAAAAGCTTAAGGACCACACAGATTTCACGGCTTCTGAGTGCTCATTCATGAAATTCCAGTAAGGGTGAGTGTGCTGATAAAGGTTGTTTTCCTGAAGAGAAACCAGTGCAATTGCAATGACTTAGAATCGAATTATAAATGATTCAATGCAATCAAATACTGCTTATTCATAAGTAGAGGGTGAGGAGGAACTCTTTTTGTAAATAAGGTGCTCTTCTCCTGCAATGGGATGTGACAGCAAAAATACAATAGGGGAGAGAGTATGTTTGTTCTCCTAACTCCCTTCTCTCTGCTTGGCCATCTTGGATTTAAGGAATGTCTTAAAGGTAAGGGAAAGCAGGGGCTCACTAGCAAACGAGAATGGGCAAGGAATGGGTATTCCCAGTTTGGGGCAAAATGAAAAAAAAAAGAAAAAGGGAAAAGAAAAGACAAGCAGAACTGACTGACCAATGGGAGTTGGGCACATTCATGACAGTAAATTGGGCTCCTGCATGCTCTAATTCCTGCTGCACCCCAGACTGCTAACATGCCTTGGATAAAAAGGAGAAAAGAAAGGAGGGAAAAAAAAATCCATGCGGGAGGTTGTGAGTGAACAGAGTCTGTTCCGAGCTCCCTCCACAGGCAGACACCAATCAATAAATCAATAGGGAATGTTCACTGGCTGTGAAATGGGTAGAGAATCTAGTGTCAAGCTGCTTCAAGATGGATGGACAGCGGGCTTGCTGTCTGCTGAAAGGCCAGAGGTGACTATCACCTTGAGATGAGATCAGTGAGCAGCAGCCTAACAGCCCTTTGAACTCTAAGTCTATGATTGAGGATGTGGGCAGGGCTTAAAACAGTCCCAGTGCGACCCCACAGTGACATCGTCCTCTGCTCTGTGCATCACCCCCAACACTCACACCTCTTGGCAGAGCGGACGGTTTGCCATACAGAGCCTGGCTGCTGTCTGCCCCGGGCCTGCTGTGCCCTGTCATTGAAGTAAAAGCTACAGGAGACTGAATCAGAAATTACTAGATGCCCTAGTGGTGGGAAGCATCGATCAGAAAGGGTAGGGATTTTCTGCACAACAGTCGGATCTTTCCTTTTATATAAAGGGGGTTTAACATAGTACGGACGGTGCTCTCACTGCACAGCACTGTATGTTAACCCTTGCTTTCGTGGACTTAACCTAAGGCTGCCACAGGGGTGGCTATGATCCGTCTCTCTGAAACTCAGAAAAGTGCTTTCTGTTTGAAGGGCCTTTAGGTCAGGCCAGCCTGGCTGTGTGGGGCGGTCACTGCTGCTCTCGTGGCTGTGTGCTGGCTCCATTGGAGCGGTGGGTGGCTTATCTTCAGCTGCTGCTCGGCCAGCATGCTGCAGCATCACTGAGTTTCAATACAGAGAGGGGAACAGCCTGGCTCCAGAGACCCTGCTGTTGAGGCGGGCAGGGGATGGTGTATTCCTTGTCCTCTCTGTGACCCTCAACTTACTCTCACTTTCGAAAAGACGAGGCTCCTCACCTCCTATGACTGAGACCAAATTTTCACTTTGGGTTCAAATGCTGAGCTATGAACCTCCTGCTTAATTCTCAAAATGTGGCTCTGTCCAGAAGATGTAAATGGCTTATCCTAGAGAAAACATAAACAAAAAGTTCTGGGTGATATTTCATTTATCATTCAGATAATTTACCATCATCTGGACACACATATAGTCTGCATGTCTTATTCATTTCTTCAATTCTTTTATTTGATTTCACGTTACTTGCCATTCCTATTGTGTGCTAGGCAATAGGTAAAGAGATGAAGAAAATATGGTCCTAGCCCTTGAAAAATTAGGGGTCCTCAAAAATGATTTATAAAACTTCTGTTTCTCTTATGTCTAGAAGCTCTCATTTATTTCTCTAAAAAGATTTTTTTTTTTGGTCTTTAAAGTTTTTCATTCATTTTTTTTTTGATGGGCAGAAAAGACAATTTGGGGGGTTGGACAGAAAAGTAAAAAGTTATACTAGATAAATGAATAAATGAAGGTTGTGTAATGTATTGGGAAATGCATTGTGGAGGAATTCATTCATTCATTCATTCATTCATTCATTCATTCATTCATGCTTGCATTCACTCATTTATTCCACAAGTGTTTATGGACTATCTGGTGCCTGGAAAGCTGCTGATATTGTATACCTCTGGTGGAGGGCAGACATTCAACACACTGTGCTATAGACAAATGTACAAAGGTATAGAGTACTATGAGGGTGAGTAGGAGGAGTATCTAATTCAGATGGAGATGGAAGTCAGTAAAGGCTTTAACTGGAGAGCTGAAGGAACAGAAGTTAGAGAGGATAAAAGTGAGGACACAGGCTGGGCCTCTCATCTGGTCTTGTTACCAGCAAGATATGTGACCACCAGGCGAGACTCCTGTCTTCCTGAACCTATGCTAACCCACCTGTCAATTAAAGGGGTTGGACTAGGTAATTTATAATATAAAGACCCTCTGGCTCTGAAGTATTATAATTCCTTAAAAGATCCCATTTGCAAGAAGTCTAAGTCCATCAGACCCACTCTTAAGAATGGTTCATATCATTTCCACAGGAACATAGAGTTGTTGGTTGTTGCCATACAGTCTCAGAGGAACTAGTCCTATCTCAAACATTTAGGTAGTGCTATTTACCATGGCTCTTTATCATGGCCCCGCAAATGATGGTCTGGGTCTTGGTCTGAAGAACTCATAGGGCTGTGGAGCGAGACTATAGTAGATTTGATTGTGTGTGATTCACACATAAGGTTTGATCACCACACTTTGATTTCCAGTTAAAAAGACAAGCTAGGGTGCAGTGGCTTGCGCCTGTAATCCCACCTACTCAGGAGGCTGAGGTGGGAGGATCGCTTGAGCCCTGGAGTTTGAGGCTGCAGTTAACTATGATGGCGCCACTGCACCCTAGCCTGGATGACAGACTGAGACCTTGTCTCTAAAAAAAGAGAAAAAAAAAAACACACAGAAAAAAGAGGAAAAAGTAGGAAATAGGCTGCATTTAGAAATACTAACAGGTTTCTCATTTATCAAAAATGTAGTCAGTACCTACTTTGTATCAGGTAGTTTGCTTGGTAGGCAAGGGAGGGAAAATGAATCAGACATCAGACTTGGATTCTGTCTTAATGGAGTTACTTAACTGAATTTAGAAGAAAAATTACATTTACAAATTTAAGTACTTGTAAATATTTGAACGATGTATGCTGAACACAGAGCTGATCCACACAAAGATTTACATAAAGATGTTAAAGTCTTGTTACCTTGTTTCATCTCATTATGGTTACCCATCTCGACTTACTTCCTCTGTAGATGCAGACACACTTGTTCAAGATCAGACCTTAGCATGTAATATTCTTAGTCTGTTCACTTGACATGAAAGGTCAGCTTGCATCTTTAACTAAAATCCTAGTCTCCTGTTCCTACGAAGAGGTCTTATAAAAGAAGTCTTATAAAAGAATTGAAGAAATGAATAAGACATGCAGACTATACACGTGTCCAGATGATGGTAAATTATCTGAATGATAAATGAAATATCGCCAAGGGACAGTTACTCTGCATTGGTCAGGAGGAGCAAGAAGGTGGGAGCTCACAGGTGGAGAAGTACACATATGTGAGAAGCTACTAGAAAAATGCCATTTTGAACTACTATCTGTCTCTTCTGCTTTTCTCCAATCCCAGCTGATACAAGGTGCCACAAACTCCAAATAACTCACAGTCACAACCAGTATTATAGGTGGTGACCTAGAAACCTACAGGCCCCAGGATATGATGATATTAGGAGGTCTATACCAGGGTCTCCTGAGAAGGGTGATAAATGGAGTCACCTTGAAGAAAGTCCCAACTGGCTTTGTGGGAGCTGTTGGTGTGTCTGGGAAGCTCTTTAAACATTGCCTCCTTTTAATTTAAGCTGTCTTTGATGCTGGATATGTTGCTAGAGTTATTCTCCCAAACACAGGCTTTTTGATCGATTTCTTTTTAGTTGCTGCTGATTTAGAAACTGCTTGTAGGTCTATATCTGGATAATCTGAGGTTGCAGATGCCCTGGAAAGGCGGCTCCTAAATTATCACATAATTATCTGGAAAGTCCTCGCCTCTTGGCCTTGCTGAGACTTCCTTCTTGTAATCACCCCAGAAAGGCTGAGTGCTTCAGAATTAGGGGTCTGGCTTTACAGATACTGGGGCTCAAATCCTGACTCCCCACTTTGTAGCACTGTGATCTTGTGAAAGGTAATTTTAATCTTTCTAAATCTCAACTTCCTTACCCAAAAAATGGATTGTTGTAAGAATGTAATGAGATAATCCCTTTCCCAGTCCTTGCAAATAGAAAGTGCTCAAGAGATGTTAACTTTTGTTATTAATAGTAACAATCACAACTTAAGGTTAACACATTGTAGATCACAGAATCCTATATGTAGAAAACTTTAAAAACTCCACAAAAAACCTGTTAGAACTAAGAAATGAATTCAGTAAAGTGTCAGGATACAAAATCAACACACAAAACTCAGTTACTAACCAGCTGAAAAAAATTTAGGAAAAGTCATTTTTACAGTAGCATTAGAAAGAATAAAAGGCTGGGTGCAGTGGCTCATGCCTACAATCCCAGCAATTTGGGAGGTAGAAGCAGGAGGATCACTTGAACCCAGGAGTTCAAGACCAGCTGGACAACAAAGTAAGACCCAACTCTATAAAAAATAAAAAATAACAAAATTTAGCCAAGCGTGGTGGTACTTACTGTAGTCCCAGCTACTTGGGAGGTTGAGGTGAGAGGATCGCATGAGCCTGGGAGGTTGAGGCTGCAGTGAGCCATAATCATGCTCCAGTCTGGGCAACACAGCAAGACTCTATCTCAAAAAAAAAAAAAAAAAAAAAAAAAAAGAAAAAAGAAAAAGAAAGGAAAAAAAATATTTAAGAATAAATTTAACTAAAAAGGTGAAAGACATACATTGAAAACTATGATACATTGATACATGAAATTAAAGCATGTAAAATAAATAAATAAATGAAAAAACACCTCAGGTTTATAGATTGGAAGAATTAGTGTTGTTAAAATGTTCAAACTACCCAGTGATCTATGGATTCAAGACTATCCCCATCAAAATTCCAATGGTGCTTTTTACAGAAATAGAAAAAACAATTTTAAACTTCATATTCAAAGTCATGAAAAACCCAGAATAGCCACAGCAATCTTGAGAAAGAACAAGGCTAGAGGCATCACACTTCCAGATTTCAAAATATATTACAAAGCTAAGTAATTAGAGCAGTATGGCACTGGCATAAAGACAGACATGCAGTTCAAGGGAACAGAACAGAGAACCCAGAACTAAATCCAAGAATATTCTGATCTTTTAGAAGTGTGCCAAGAATATATAGTGGGGAAAAGATAGTCTCTTTAATAAATAGTGCTGGGAAAACTGGGTATCCATATGCAAAAAAACCAAAATTGGATTCCTGCCTTACACCATACACAAAAATTAACTCAAAGTCTATTAAAAACTTCAATGTAAGAAAAAACTGTAAAACTCCTAGAAGAAAACATGGGGTAAAAGTTCATTGATATTGGTCATGGCAATAATTTCTTGGATATGACACTGAAAACACAGGCAATAAAGTAAAAATGGACGAGAGACTACATCAAACTAAAGAGCTTCTGCACAGCAAAGAAAACAGTCAACAAAAATGGAAGAGGAGAAGATATCTGCAAACCACAAGTCTCATAAAGGATAAAATTTCAAAATGTATATGGAGCTCCTACAACTTATAGCAACTTCTCCCCAAACAAACCAAAATAAAAGATCCAATTACAAAAATGAGCAAAGGACCTGAATGGACATTCCTCCAAAGAAGACATACAAATGGCCGACACGTATATGAAAAGATGCTTAACACCATTAATTATCAGGTAAATGCAAATAAAAACTAAAATGAGATATCATCTCTCGCCTGTTAGGATGGTGATTATCAAAAAGACAAAAGATAGAAAGTTGACAAGGATGTGGAGGAAAAGGAACCCTGATACGCTGTTGATGGGAATGTAAATTAGTAGAGTTATAATGGAAAACTGTATGGAGGGCTCTCAAAAAATTAAAAATAGAGCTACCATATGACCCAACAATCCCACTATTGGTTATGTATCCAGAAGAATTGAAGACAGGACCTTGAAGAGATATTTGCACACTCATGTCCGTTGCAGCATTATTCACAATAGCCAAGATATGGAAACAATTCAAGTGTTCATCAACAGATGAATAGACAAGGAAAATGTGGCGTATACATACAATGGAATATTTTTTTGGCCTTAAAAAAGAAGGTAATACTGCCATTGGCAAGAACATGGATGAACCTTCAGGATATTATGCTAAGTGAAATAAGCCAGCCACAGAAGGACAAATACTGCATGACTCCACTTATATGAGCTATCTAAAATAGTCAAACTCGTAGAAGCAGAGAATAGAATGGTGGTTGCCAGGGGCAGAAAGGAGAGAGAAATGGGGAGCTGTTCGGTAGACATAAAATTTCAGTTATGGTACATAAATATGTTCTAGAGATCTGCTGTACAACATAGCGCCTATAGTTAATATGATATGTGCACTTCAAAATTTGTGGAAGGCGAATATTATTTTAATGTTCTTACAACAGTCACACAGAAAAGGACACAAAGAAACTTTGGGAGGTGTTGGATGTGTCTATTGTCTTATATACATTGATTGTGGTGATGGTATCATGGGTGTTTCCATGTATCCAAACTCATCACATTTTACACATTAAAATGTGCAAGTCTGTATATATCAATTATAACTCAAGAGAGCTAGAGAAAAACAAAATAAAGTTAATGGCTCTTATTTTCTCATAATCTAGAGGTAAACAGTATGTACATTTTAGTGAATTTTTTTCTGATAATTTTGTGCATATAACTTTTTTCATAATTTTAGCAGAAATAGGATCATATTACCCCTATAAATCACATTATTTCATGATCGATGTCATTAAACATTGTTTGAAAATTTCAAAAAGATAACGTTTAACAAAACATCTAGTCTAACGTTTAACAAAGCATCTAGTCTAACTTTAGCTATGATTAGATGTGAGATCTAATGAATCTGAGACTTGAGATTCTCATTTGTCCTACCTGTCCCTCCCCAGACCACTCACAGCAACTGGATGATGAAACTGAAGGACTCGTCCGGAGCCTCGGGCGTCACACTCAGATCTCTGCCTTGACCCTTCCTCAGCTCTTTGCACGTGACTCACTCCAGTGCCTTCTTTTACTTCATCATTTTTATATCAGCTTTTCTTAAACACATTCCTTGTTGCCCTACCCTTTTTCATCCCTCTGGGGTTCCAGTGTCATGTATGCTTACTGACTAGTTCCTCTTGATTTCCTGGGGAGTAGAGGAGAATAAATTCCAACAAGTGATTCCCCATTTCCCAGGAGACTACTGCCCTCCTCAGTATGCCCAGCTGGCCCTCATAAGGGGCCTCCTTACCATTTTCTTGAGGAACCATTTCTCCCATGGTCCTGCTCAAGGGCTTGTGCATCAGACTCTGTCACCCTAAAACACCAAAAATTATGATGGGGGTTTGGAAGCAGACCCAACTTCCCATCAGTCAGCCCTTCCCACCTCACTCAGGACTTGAGATCTCTTCCATTTGTCCTTGTCAGACCTCTCCTGTATCCTGAACCTAACACAATGTTCTACCGGCTTGTCAAGTGTCTCCCAGCCCTGGTCTCTCCTGGCTAAGGGGCCTGGGTTCTATGGCATTAGAAGGACAGTTTGCTGAGTCCCGTGTGCCTGATCCACAGCCACATGTAGCTGTCTGACCGTTTATTCATCTTCTGTTTCTCTAAGACTCTTTAAAATTGGTGTTTCAGATGTATTCTTTTCTTCTCAATCCTCACTCCTTCTTGCAAAGCAGGTGACCTCCATAATACCTACAGCAAAAACAGATGATCTCACCGTCCCCATTTCTCTCCATGTGAGAACACTGCAATTGCTCATCTTTCTATCAGCCTTGGAGTTGAGGTGTCTTTCCATTTCTCTGCCTTGGTCTGGGTTGTCTCCTATCCTACCTACTGGGAGATCCATCCCAGTCATCCCACCTCTTCTTTATCCCCAGCCTTCCTCTTCCCACCGCCTCATTCTTGTCTACTTTCTGATCCTCACAGTACTACCCTGAAAACAAAAATCCCCAGAAAACCCAAAGTCCTTGGCTGATGTTTCTGCCTAAGTAGACTTCGCTTTGACATTGCCCCCCTTTTTTTGAGACAGGGTCTCACTGTTTCCCAGGCTGAAGTGTTGTGGCACAATCTTGGCTCACTGCATTTTTGACTTCCTGGGCTTAAGCAATTCTTTCACCTCAGGCTCCCAGGTATCTGGGACTACAGGCATGAGCCTCTGTGCTGGGCTAATTTTTCTATTTTTTTAAAAAAAGTTGCTGTTGAGCTGGGGTCTCACTATCATGCCCAGGCTTGTCTCAGACTCCTGGACTCAAGTGATCCTGCCTCCCTCAGCCTCCCAAGTGCTGAGATTACAGGCCTGAGCCACTGTGCCTGCCCTGAAATTGCTTGTTCTATGAGAGATGTTCTGGATGTTTATCATAACCTAATTTTATCCAGCGGGGGAAAAAGTGAGGCTCCCCATTGCTTCCTCTGGGCCTGCAACCTCCTGTGCTGACACTCAGTCTCTAAGCCCTGTTATTGTTTCTTCATAGACTCTGTCATCTGTCTTTGTCATCTATTTCTGTTTCTCTCCCCTCCCTCTTTGTCCAGGTCTCTATCATCTCAAACATGGGATACTACCTGAGCTTTCTAACCAGTCTCTTCTATTTGAGCCCATGTGATAAGTAGCTGGCAGGTAAACAGCACTTTGGCTGTGCCACACCTCTGCTAAAAAAACAAGGATGACCCTCGATTCCACACAGGACAAAGTCAAAACTCCTAACCTTACACAGGCAGAACCACCTACAATCAGCCCATATCCTATTTCCAGTCACATTTCTTTTAAACCCAAGTCTACTCCAATTACTTGTCCCCGAAACCCACCTAATAATTCCTAGTGTTTATGCCATTATTAATCTCATCTCCCTTTTGAAGTGAATTTTCCTTCCAGTTCACTCATTGAAAGTGCACACATCCTGCTAGACCTGACTCCAGCAACATCTCTTCCTCATGTTCCCTCCTGACCTTACCATCTGGACATAACCTCTCTCTCTTATTGTCATACTTTGTGTCTCTTGAGCATTCTTCCTCCTCCCAAATAAAAAAAAATTATTCACTTTATTAGGGAATTTTAGGTAAAATCTATTTGGGCTAAAAATTCATCATTTCTCTGTATATATCTAGACTCAGCATTTTCTCTCCATTCTTTACCTTTAAAAATTATTTTGAGAATAAATAATACTGTTTATTAGAAAAATTTTTAGAACTACAGATAAGTAAAGACAAAAAAATCTTGAAACACAGAGATGACTGTTGTTAATATTTTGGTGCATAACTTTTCAGTCTTTTTTCATGGCACATATGCTTATTCATTGATCAACTACTAATATTTCTAACCAACTATGTACTGAACACCAGGAATAAAATGACAAATCAGATATACATGCATTTTGTCAGGTTGTGCTCATATTCTATTGTGTATAAATATAAAGGTAGTATAAACTATATAAATGTAATACACATGTATAGATGTATACAAATACATATGCATATACATGCTTATGTATATACATACACATATATTTACAAAAGTGGGATTATGTTACACATTATTTGTAACTTTCTTTTTGTAACTTTCTCCTTGATGTTTTTTTAATCAGCATGTCTTAATATCATAAGTACATACACATCATTATTTTCACCACCTGAACCGTTTTTAAGTATACAGTACAGTAGTGTTAACTATATGCACCTTCTTGTGCAATAGAACTCTAGAACTTTTTTATCTTGCAAAATGGAAACGCTATACTTAGTGAACAACATCTCCCCCTTTTCCTCCCCTCCACCAGCCCTGGCAACTGCCATTCTACCGTTTCCAAAAATTTGACTATTTTGGAAACTTTAAGTGGAATCATGTAATATTTGTGATTTTGTGACTGGCTTATTTCACTTAGCATAATATTCTCTAGATTCGTTAATGGCGCAACATATGACAAAATTTCTTTTATTAGGGTGAATAATATTGCATTTTATGTATATACCACATTTTCTTTATCCATTCATCTGTCTATGGATTCTTGAATTGTTTGCATATCTTAGCTATTGCAAATAATGTTGCAGTGGACACTGTTGTGCAAATATCTCTTCAAGGTCCTATTTTCAATTCCTTTTGATATAAAACCAGATGCAGGATTGTTGGATCATGCAGTAATTTTGTTTTTAAAATTTTCAAGGAACCTCAGTACAGTTTTCTATAGCTGCTGAACAATTTTACATTCCTACTAGCAGTGTACAACAGTTCTAATTTTCTCACATCCTCACTAATATTTTTATTTTCTGTTTTTTGATAATGGCCATTCTAACAGGTTTCAGGTGACATCTCATTGTGGTTTTGATTTGCATTTCCCTGTGATTAGTGATGTTGGATATCTTTTCATATCTTATTGGCCATTTGTGTTTTTGGAGAAATGTCTGTTTGAGTTTTGCCATTTTAAAATAAATTATTTCTGTTGATGTTGTTTGTTGTTGAGTTTTAGGAGTTCTTTATATATTTTCAACATTAACCCCTTTTCAGATATATGGTTTTCAAATATTTTCTCCCATTCCATAGGTTGTCTTTACATTCTGTTCATTGTTTCCTTTCTGCACAGGAGTTTTTAAGCTTGATGTAGTTCCATTTGTCTATTCCTGTTTTTGTTGCCTGTACTTTTGATGCCATATCCAAGAAATCATTGCAAGGACTAATGTCGTGAATCTTTTTTTCTATTTTCTTCTGGGAGTTTTATAGTTTCAGGTGTTTAGGTCTTTAATCTACTTTGAATTAACTTTGTATATGGTGTAAGATGAAGGTCCAACTTCATTTTTTTTTTTTTGCCCATGGATATCCAGGTTTCCCAACATTTGTTGAAGAGACTATTTTTCCCCATTGTGTAACTTTGGCACCTTATTGAAGATTATCTGACCATATATGTGAGGGTTTATTTCTGGGCTCTCTATACTGTTACATTGGTTTATGTTTCTGTCTTTGTGAGCACCATACTGTTTTGATTACTATAGCTCTGTAATAATGTTTCAAAATCAGGAAGTCTGAGCTCCTCAGCTTTGTTTTTCTTTCTCAAGATAACTTTGGCTATTCATGGTCCTTTGAGATTTCACAGAATTTCAAGCCTTTTCTATTTCTGTAAAAAATCATTGGAATTTTGATAGGGATTTCATAGACTATGTATGTGTCTTTCATTTATTTGTGTTTTCTTTTATTTCTTTCAAGACAGTTCTGTAGTTTTCAGTGTACAAGTTATTTGCCTCCTAGGTTAAGTTTACTTCTAATTATTTTATTCTTTTTTATCCTATTGTAAATGTAGTTGTTTTCTTAATTTCCTTTTCATATTGTTTATTGTTAGTGTACAGAAACACAACTTTTTTTTGTGTGTGTTGATTTTGTATCCCACAGCTTCGCTGAATTCATTTATTCTAACAGTTTTTTGGTGGAATCTTACATACAGGGTTTTATACATATAGGGTTATGTCTTCTGTGAAAAGAGATAGTTTTACTTTTTCTTTTCCCGTTTGGATGCCTTTTATTTATTTTATTGCCTAATTAGTCTGGCTAGAACTTTCAGTACTATGTTGAGTAGAAGTGGTGAGAGGTGGTAGGCTTGTTTTGTTCTGATCTTAGAGGGAAATCTTTCAGTTCTCCATGACTGAGTATATGTTAGCTGTGTGATTTTTTCATATATGACCTTCATTATGTTGAGATAATTTCCTTCTATTCCTAGTTTGGTGAGGGTTTTTTTGTTCATGAAATTGTATTGAATTTTTTTGAAATACTTTTTCTGAATCAATTGGGATGATTATGTCATTTTTGTCCTCCATTCTGTAAATGTGGTATACTGCATTGACTGATTTTCATATGTTGAACCATCTTTGCATTCCAGGAGCAAATTCCACTTGGTCATAGTGTATAATTCTTTTAAAATGCTATTGAATTCAATGTGCTATTATTTTGTCAAAGATTTTTACGTCAATATTCACCAGGGATATCGGTCTGTAGTTTTCATTACTCATAGTGTCTTTATCTCATTTTGCTATCAGGATTATGTTGACTTCATATAATGAGCTTAAAAGCATTCCCTCCTCTTTGATTTTATTGGAAGTTTGTGAAATATTGGTATTAATTCTTTTAAAAACATGTGGTAGAAATTTTCAGTGAAGCCAGCTGGTTCTGAGTTTTTCTTTGTTGGGAGGTTTTTAATTCAATATTCTTACTAGTTATAGGTCTGTTCAGATTTTTTTTTTTAGTTTACAATTCAGTCTTGGTAGGTTGTGTGTTTTAGAAATTTATCCATTTCTTGTAGGTTATTCAGTTTGTTGGCATATAATTGTTCATAGCAGTGTCATAGCATCAGTTATGTAGTCTCCTCTTTCATTTCTGATTTTTGTTATTTGAAGCTTTTCTCATTTTTTTCTAGTTGGCTTAGCTAAAGATTTGTCAGTTTTGTGGTCTCTTCAAAAAATCAACTCTTTGTTTTATTGATTTTTTTCTATTCTCGTTTTCATTCATATCTGCTCTAATCTTTATTATTTCCTTCTTTCTGCTAACTTTGGGTTTATTTGTTCTTCTTTTTCTGTTTCTTGAGGTGTGAATACATCATCTTTTTAATGACAGTAGAGTATTCTATGTGGGGATGTGCCAAAATTTATTTACCATATTTTCTATTGATTTAGAGCATTTCTTTAAATGCTAAAAATATGGCCAGCCAAAGCTTCACAAAAGACCTTTCTGAACAAATAAAACAAATTTTAGCTTACTGGCCAGACATGCTTGGCTCATCCATTCTTCCTGTGCAGATTGCTCTCAACTAATCCTGTCCTGATTAGTTGGTGGTCTTAAAGTTGCCCTTTAGCTACCTGGGCTTCTGTGGTGGAGTAAAATAGAATCCCAGTCACTCAAAATGCTCCCTTTATGCCTCATAAAAGGCAGCATTGAATAACATGGCAGGAAGCACCTGCTTCTTTGAGAGAAAAAAGAAGAAATAGCTGAGATAAAATTTATAGGAATTTTTTTTTGAATGGCGAGGGACAGTTGTTTCCCTCACTTCTTCACAGGCTTGGATCTGCCCCCAAGCAAGTGAGATGTTATTATGGGTTCATGTCCATGAATGGTCACATTACCTACCATATACTGAGCACCCACTACACACCAGGCATATTACTGGATACTGCAAAGGACACATAGGTGAATGGGACATAGGCCCTACTCTCCAAGAGCTTGTAATCTAGTAATGGGATTGATTTGGATACATATAAACAAAATGCCAAATAGATTGCCAGTGCTATAATGAAAGGTACAAAGAAGCATGAAGGTTGGTGTGGGGAGAGAGCACATCCTACAGAATGGATCAGGGAAACTGGACAGACCAAGCAGAGGAAAGAATCTCACAGCTTGAAGACTATCTTGCTGAAATAAGATAGGCAGACAAGATTAGAGAAAAAAGAAGGAAAAGAAATGACCAAAATTTCTGAGAAGTATGGCACTATGTAAAAAGACTGAACATATAACTGATTGGGGTAACTGAAAGATGGGGGGAACTGAACTAATTTGGAAAACATACTTCAGGATATCATCCAGGAGAACTTCCCCAACCTAGCAAATCAGGCCAACATTCAAATTCAGGAAATATAGAGAACCCAAGTAATATACTTCATGAGATCAATCCCAAGACACATAATCATCAGATTCTCCAAGGTCGAAATGAAGGAAAAAACGTTAAGGGCAGACAGAGAAAGTCCAGGTCACCTACAAAGGGAAGCCCGTCAGACTAGCAGTGGACCTCTCAGCAGAAACACTACAATCCAGAAGAGATTGGGGGCCAATATTCAACATTCTAAAAAAAAAAGAGAATTTCCAATCCAGAATTTCATATCCAGCCAAATCAAGCTTCATAAGTGAAGGAGAAATAAAATCCTTTTCAGACAAGGAAATGCTGAGGGAATTCATCACCACCAGGCCTGTCTTGCAAGAGCTCCTGAAGGAAGCACTAAATATGGAAACAAAAACTCGTTACTAGCCACTACAAAAACACACTGAAGTACAAAGACCAATGACACTATGAAGCAACTACATCAACAAGTCTGTAAAATAACCAGCTAGCATCATAATGACAGGATCAAATCCACACATAACAATATTAACCTTAAATGTAAATGGGCTAAATGCCCCAATTAAAAGACACAGGATGGCAAGCTGGATAAAGAGTCAATACCCGTTGGTGCTGTAATCAAGAGACCCATCTCACGTGCAAGAATACACATAGGCTCAAAATAAAGGAATGAGGGAAAATTTACTGAGCAAATAGAAAGCAGAAAAAAGCAGGGATTGCAATCCTAGTCTCTGAGAAAATAGACTTTAAATCAATAAATGTCACAAAAAGACAAAGAAAGACATTATGTAATGGTAAAGGGTTCAATTCAACAAGAAGAGCTAACTATCTTAAATATATATGTACCCAATACAAGAACACCCAGATTCATAAAACAAGATCTTATAGACCTACAAAGAGACTTAGGCTCCCACACAATAAAAATGGGAGACTTTAACACCCCACTGTCAATCATTGAGATCATTGAGACCGAAAATTAACAAGGATATTCAGGACTTGAACTCAGCTCTGGGTCAAGTGGACTTGCTAGATATCTACAGAGCTCTCCACCCCAACACAACAGAATATACATTCTTCTCAGGGCCACATGACACTTACTCTAAAATTGATAATATAATTGGAAGTAAAATACTCCTCAACAAATGCAAAAGACCTGAAATCATAATGAACAGTCTCTCACATCACAGCACAATCAAATTAGAACTCAAGATTGAGAAACTCACTCAAAACCACACAACTACATGGAAATTGAACAACCTGCTCCTGAATTGACTTCTGGGTAAATAATAAAATTAAGGCAAAAATTAAGAAGTTCTTTGAAACTAATGAGAACAAAAAGACAACATATCAGAATCTTTGGGATGCAGCTAAAGCAGTGTTAAGAGGGAAATTTGTAGAACTAAGTACCCACATTAAAAAGTTACAAAGATCTCCAAATGACACCTTAACATCACAACTAAAAGTACTAGAGAACCAAGAGCAAACAAACCTCAAAGCCAGCAGAAGTCAAGAAATAACCATCAACTTTTAAAAAAGAATCAATGAATCCAGGAGCTGTTTTTTGAAAAAAATAATGAAATAGATAGACTGCTAGCTATACTAAAAAATAAGAAAAGAGAGAAGAATTAAATAGACACAATAAAAATTGATAAAGGAGAGATTATCACAGACCTCATAGAAATATAAACAGCCATCAGAAACTACTATAAGCACCTCTATGCAAATAAAATAGAAAATCTACAAGAAATGGATAAATTCCCGGACACATACACCCTCCTAAGACTGAACCCAGAAGAAGTTGAATCCTTGAATAGACCAATTACAAGTTCTGAAATTGAGGCAGTAATAAATAGCCTACCTACCAACAAAAGCCCAGGACCAGACAGATTTACAGCTGAATTCTACCAGAGGTTCAAAGAGGAGCTGGTATCATTTCTTCTGAAAATATTCCAAACAATTGAAAAGGAGGGACTCCTCCCTAACTCATTCTATGAGGCCAGCATCATCCTTATACCAAAATCTGGCAAAGATGCAACGAAAAAAGAAAACTTCAAGCCAATATCCCCGATGAACATCAATGCAAAAGTCCTCAATAAAATACTGGCAAACTGAATCCAGCAGCACATCAAAAAGCTTATCCACCACAATCGAGGTGGCTTCATCCCCAGGATGCAAAGCTGGTTTAACGTATGCAAATCAATAAACATAATTCATCACATAAACAGAGCTAAAGACAAAAAACACATAATTACCTCAATAGATGCAGAAAAGGTCTTCAGTACAATTCAACATCCCTTCATTTTAAAAACTCTCAATAAATTAGGTATTGATAGAACATACCTCAAAATAATAAGAGCTATTTATGACAAACCCACAGCCAATATCATACTGAATGGGCAAAAGCTGGAAGCATTCCCCTTGAAAACTGGCACAAGACAAGGATGCCCTCTCTCACCACTCATATTCAACATAGTATTGGAAGTTCTGGCCAGGGCAATCAGGCAAGGGAAGGAAATAAGTCAAATAGGAAGAGAGGAAGACAAACTGTCTCTATTTGCAGATGACATGATCCTATATCTAGAAAACCCCATTGTCTCAGCCCAAAAGCTTTTTAAGCTGATAAACAACTTCAGCAAAATCTCAGGATACAAAATCAATTGTGCAAAACTTACAAGCATTGCTAAACACCAACAATAGACAAGCAGAGAGCCAAATAATGAATGAACTCCCATTCACAATTGCTGCAAAGAGAATAGCATACCTACGAATAAGCTAACAAGGGATGTGGAGGACCTCTTCAAGGAGAACTACAAACCACTGCTCCAGGAAATCAGAGATGACACAAACAGGTAGAAAAGCATTCTATGCTCATGGATAGGAAGAGTCAAATATCATGAAAATGGCCATATTGCCCAACCTAATTTATAGATTCAATACTATTTTCATTAAACTACTAGTGACATTCTTCACAGAATTAGAAAAAAACATTTAAAAATTCATATGGAAGCAAAAAAGAGCCTGACTAGCCAAGACAATCCTAAGCAAAAAGAACAAAGCTGGAGGCATCATGCTACCCAACTTCAAACTATACCACAAGGGTACAGTAACAAAAACAGCGTGGTACCAGTAGAAGAACAGACACATAGACCAATGGAACAGAATAGAGAACTCAGAAATAAGACTGCCTACCTACAACCATCTGATCTTCAACCAACCCTGCACAAACATGCAGTGGGGAAAGTATTTCCTGTTTAATAAATGGTGCCAGGAGAACTGGCTAGCCATATGCAGAAAATTGAAACTGGACCCCTTTCTTACACCATATACAAAAATTAACTCAAGATGGATTAAAAACTTAAATGTTAAACCCTAAACTATAAAAACTCTAGAAGAAAATCTAGGCAATATCATTCAGGACATAGGCATAGGCAAAGATTTCATGATGAAAACACCAAAAGCAATTGCAACAAAAGCAAAAATTGAGATCTAATTAAAAAAAAAGATCTAATGAAACTAAAGAGCTTCTCCACAGCAAAAGTAACTATCATCAGAGTGAACAGAAACCTACAGAATGAGAGAAAATTTTTGCAATCTATGCATCTGACAAAGGTCTAATATCCAGAATCAACAAAGAAGTTAAACAAATTTACAAGAAAAAGAAAACAACCCCATTAAAAAGTGGGCAAAGGCCATGGACAGAAACTTTTAAAAGAAGACATACACATGGCCAATAAACATATATGAAACAAAGCTCAACATCACTGATCATTAGAGAAACGGAAATTGAAACCACAATGAGATACCATCTCACACCAGTCAGAATGGCAATTATTAAAAAGTCAAGAAACAACAGATGCTGGAGAGGTTCCGGAGAAAAAGGAACACTTTTACACTGTTGGTGGGAATGTAAATTAGTTCAACCATTGTAGAAGACAGTGTGGTAATTCCTCAAAGAACTAGAACCAGAAATACCATTTGACCCAGCAATCCCATTACTTGGTATATACCCAAAGGAATATATATCATTCTATCATAAAGATACATGCATGTGTATGTTCATTGCAACACTATTCACCATAGCAAAGACATGGAATCAACTCAAATGCTCATCAATGATAGAATGGATAAAGAAAATGTGGTACATATACACCACAGAATACTATGCAGCCATAAAAAGGAAGGAGATCATGTCCTTTGCAGGGACATGGATGGAGCTGGAAGTCATTATCCTCAGCAAACTAGTGCAGGAACAGAAAACCAAACACCACATGTTCTCTCTTATAAGTGAGAGCTGAACAATGAGAACACATGGACACAGGAAGAGGAACAACACACACTACGGCCTGTTGGGGGAGGCTGGAGGAGGGAGAGCATCAAGATAAATAGCTAATGCATGCTGGGCTTAATATCTAGGTGATGGGTTGATAGGTGCAGCAAACCACCATGGCACACGTTTTCCTATGTAACAGACCTACGCATCCTGAAAATGTATCCCAGAACTTAAAACAATAAAATAAAATAAAATAAAATAAAACCAAAAAAGAAAGATACATTAAAGCAGTCAATTTCTGGTAGAGAGAAATGCATACATAGAACATGAACATGTGACAGAGTTTGGTTAAAATATCAGTGTTGCTAGAGAATAAGCTATGAGAGCTAACTTGTAGGAGATAAATTATGGAAGCAAATAGAGGACCCCATTCACAAGTGCATTCCACAAGAAGTGGATGCTCTAGACAAGTTTGAAAGATGAGTAGTTAGCAGGTGGAGAGGGGGAAAGCATTCCAGGCAGACGGGACATATGCAAAGGCACAGAGAAGGTATGAAGCAGCTTCACCCAGGTCAGGGGAGAATCTATCCTAAGACCATGTCCATATACCTGTGGTTTAAAAAGGCCTGGAACAAAAAATTTGGTAGTTGAATTTTTGAAGAATCAGCTTGCTATTGCATGAGGAATAAAACTGGTACTTCCCCCAAAGCAAATTGACTTAATAAAAAATCTGATTCAATCCAAGTTGTCCATCATTGCCCTGGAGATTCATGTGTTTGACAAATATTGAACACCTCCCCTTTGTCAGGCTCCTCCCCTTCATCAGGCAGTGGAGATATGATGGTGCACCTGGAACCTGTAGTATAGTAGGACAACTTCTGATAATGATAGGTGCTGCGGAGGATAGAAAACAAAATAATGAGTGGGGAGTGGTAGAGCAGAGGTGTCTCTCTGAAGGGACGACGTATGAGCTGAGACCTGAATGATGAATAAAATAGTTGCTGGCCACACAGAAGTCTGTGAGTTGTGTATTCCAGGCAGTGACCACACAGCTACCAAGGCTGTCAGGCCATGGAAGGAGATCTAGATTTTATTCCAGTCTTAGGAGAAGCATTGGAAGGTTTAAGGAAAATGGACTAAAGCTAGATTTGGAGCATGAACTTCCTGTAACATTCTCTACCTCCCAAGAACTTGGGATTCAACTGGAGAGGCAAATCTAGATTTAGCTAGCTAAATCCATTTTTTGCTAAGAAAAACTCAGCCCCTGTTAGAAACAGAATGTTTTGAACATTGTGATGGTCAGGGAATCACTGAGTCTACCATATCTCTCCACTGTGAAAACATTCTGGGATTCACATATACACCCAGTTTTACTCGCAAATAATGGAGTCAAATACTATGTAGTTGGAATTATAGAGAGTCATTCTGGTTTTTCAAACAGTTGGTAACTTCCCAGCTGCAAATAATGGATTTTTGTGAAAGATCTTTTGGCAATGACTTCACATGTTTTCGTTAGCTAATTCAAGTAGTCATCACACTTCCCTGAGCATGTTGAAAGCTTTGAATACCATAATTACCTACTCATTTCAATTACTAGTGCTTCAACAATCAACTACCATGGTAAGGACTTCCAGGGAATGTTAAAAAGAAGGAGCATATATCCAAAGTCCTTTAGGCAACTTGAAGATAGATGTGAATAAATGGGCAACCTGAAGCATGACATTTTATTGACAGCCATTTTGGGGAAATGTGTGAAATATGGCAATTCAATATTGAAAAATTACTTTGGAAAATTCTGAGGAAATGAGTCTTCATGGGTAACATGTGTAACACTTTTGGTTTTGGCCTTCCCCTGCTCATGAAGTACATACAGGATGCACTTATAATGCACTTATAATGTGTTTATCATGCATTGATCTTTCACTACGCAAGTGCAAGTATTTCTTAACAAGGGGGCCTACTGGGAATTTATTAATGAGCTGTATTCACATAAATATTCCAGAATTAGAGATGCTTAATAAATGTATCATAACTAATGACTTAACAAATTAAAAGTGACTTTCATGCTCATTTGAATATGGCACGATGGTTTGTGAACTAAGGAGTCAATCAAATGTAATTTTCTGGTCATTCCAATTACTACAGGTGGTGAATCTTATCAGCTCTATTCCATCTAGGTGGTGGTACCATAAGACAAATGAAGTAGAAGTGTAGACATCAGAATCAGAAAGAAATGGGATTAGACCCCTGTCTCTACCACTTTACTGTTGTGACCTTGGGCAATTACTTTATGTCACCAAGACTTCTTTCTCTTCTGTAATTTGGAGTTGATACTACCTATGTTGTAGGTTAGTTCTGAAGGTAAATTAGCTCAGATGTGTAAGAATGCTAAGCACACAGAGAGCTTGTCATATAGTAAATGCTCAGGAAAGAGAAGCAAGTATTATATGATTTTTACTAACAGACAGCGAAGTACATTTTTCCTGTTAACAAAAATGTAAGTAGGTCCAAGTATCCTGGAGAGTCTGTGAAGTGAGGGTACCAATAGTCTGTGAAGGTATCTACACTTGGGTAAATAGAACACAAGTGTATAAAGCTGGTTCTTATCGAAGTCTCAGGGGACTAGACTATCCCATTTTTTTTCACCCTGCCAGAATGATTGCCATTAGAAAATCTATGTTGATCTTAACAATGAAGCAACTTACTTACAGTATTAAAAAAATGGCCAATCAAATAGCCATTGAATGGATGCTTTGACTGCCACATATATGACGTCAAACCACTGGTTTGTCAATCTCTTTTATGGAACTGACTGATTTTTGTGGGTAGAATTGGCTGCCATCACACAGATGTAACCATCAGCCTAGGTATGTATTTATATAAGAAATGTATATTTAAGCTTCTGCTAGAGGAAAAAATAAAGAGTTGTAGTAAAATGATAGTCATTAAATTCACTCCAAAGGCTTATCAAATAACAGATGAGGCATTGATATTAAGGGAGAAAAAAAGAGAGGGATATGAATTAATAAGTAAAATAGGTCGCTACGATGACAACTATCAGTCTATTGGATTTATATAGATTTTTGAATCCCATAAATCTGTTTACCAATTGTCGTTACTATAAAGAATTGAAAATATTAATCGATTGGTAAGACTATTCTCTATGTTCACGAGTTTCTTCTACAAAAAAAAGCAAACAAATTGACAGGTAATTTTTGTTAATTTTATTCAAGGTCGTATGTTTCTTTATCACTTTTATTTAATGTAGGAATAATGTGAAATAATTTTTGGAAATACAGCAGGCTTGCACCTATCTACAAAAATAAATTACTGCTTAAAGGGCCAGAAGACAAGGTGATATTATGAGTTTAATTTGCTCTGTTATGAAGGGAACTCAAGGGTACTGAGTTATGAAAAACAACGGTTATTTTGAGAAAAATGAAGTCAAACTGGGGATTTTAAACACTTTCTGATGTGTTTAGTATTGGATGTGATCTGCAGTTTGGGGTGGGGGTGGGAGGCTCCGTTGTTCCATTGTCCACTCTATTCACTTTGGGGAAATGCTCTTTTCTCTGACTGTGTTCTGAACATGGACATTTCTCTAGATTGCTTTCTTGGAAATGGCAACAGAAAATGGTAGCAATAATAGGTTTTAAGGTGCTTGGCAGTGAATCATGCCATTTTATAAATTCATCTCCTTACACTTTATTTCCTTGCTGTGAGATAATTTAGACGAATGTCAGCGAGGAAAAAAGAAAGTGATTGGTGATTCCACCTCACCCAATAAAGCAAATTCCTAATTTTCTGTCTTTTATCTTTCGCCATTCTTTTGTGCTCCTCTTTGGCCTTGTCAAAACATATCGTTCAGTTAGAGACTAAAAATATTTTCCCATCGATTGGGGTTATTGATTTTTTTTAATCTGTACTTTGGCTTGAAGAGCGCGGGTGAAGGGTGAAAGTTCACCAGCTTAGTCTGCCGTTTTATCTGGACAGCAAAAGAATGTATTGGCAGCAGATTTGATTTACCTTGTTGGTCAGTTGTAGGCACTTCAGCCACTGAAGACAATCCTCCAGAATGTCCTGCTGCTGCTGTCTTTTTTTTTGTACCCAGGAGCTCTTCAAAGATTCCACCTTCCTATTGATTTTATCTCTCTGTTTCCAAGGCAAGATTTTTTTTTTTTTTTTTCCCCAAAACAAGTTTTAGGAGAAGTTGCGATGCTTTCTGGACTCATGGTAAATAAAACAAGATTGCATGCTTCTGCTGGAGTTTGGCTCCTCTGCCTATTTGGCTGATGGTTTGGGAACATGTTTATACCCCCGGCCACAGCAGAATCTGATGTGACTAGATCAAATTCACTGAGATCTTTTTGTCTCCCTTATCATAGCTGGTCAGACATACGTACTCAGGGCAGTTTTTGAGTCCTAATTTGAGTCCCCAAATGGCACCTACAGCTTCCTAACAAGTGTTAGGCTTGTGAAAGGTGGCACCATAGCTATAGTCAGAGAGGAAGTACAGTGTCATGAGTGAGTGTATGGCTCTGAAGACATACTTTCCAGATAAGTATGAGTGGGTGACATACTTGCCAGCTGGGTGACCCTGGGCAAGTTGTTTAATGTTTTGTGCTTTAGTTTTCTTATCTATAAAATGGGTATATAAAGTGTACCTTTTTCCTCAAGTGGTTGTAGAATCACATAAATAAATACATGTAGAAGTCCTACAATAGGGCCTTGCATACTAGAGGTTTTCAGTACATGTCAGCTATTGTTATGACTATAGACAAGGAAGCTGAAAATTGGAGGAGGGGATAGTTAAAAAACATAGAGATCACACAGAGGAAGAGAGAACAAACTGACCCTCAATATTTGGCCTCCTGGTTGCTGCCACAGTTCTGACCACTTGGCCTCGGCCAGTTGGTTGGTTACTTCTTGTATTGGATGTGGAGGCTCCAGGGTGAAACCTGAGCCTGCTAATGGGTGAGGCTTCTGGACTCTCAACTCATTTCTACATTTTGGTCCCTTCAGTTTTGATGGCTAGACTTGGTCCTTACTTCTAAGATCTGACTCTGAATATACTGGGTGATTCCTGGGACTAGGGCCATTATAGGAGGCAGGAGTCTCTCTGCTTTTCCCAGAGGACAGGCCTGTCTCAGAGAGGAGGCCCTGTGGGTACATAGAACCACCTAAAGAGAATCCGATTTAGAAGTACTGGGCCTGAGTTTTTAACAAGCGTCTCAGGTGACTTGGATGCAGGTGGCCTCAGTTTACACTTTGAGAAACACTGATGCAGTAGAGAGAGCAGAGGCTCTCAATGTGACAGACTTGGGTTTCAATTTGCTTATCAGCTATGTTTATGTGGGCAAGTCATTTAAGCTCCCTGAGCCTCAACTGTAAAATGGACTAATAAATTAACAATATAACTAATGTTCCTAGCACGATCCTTGACATCTAGTCTGTGCTCCCATCCTCTTCCCTGATTCTATTTGTCTTCTTGGAGTCCAGAGAATTTTACACTCTATTGGAATTAATTTGTCTTGACTCCTCCTTCCTCAGCTGTGCATGTTGTTGATTTCCTGTCTGAACTGCAGCTGCTCTTACCATACTCTTGTGAGCACTTTCCTGTTTAGATAAAATTGACCTTACTCCTACAAGCCTTTGCTCTTTCTCTTTAGTTATCTTCCCTAAATGACATGTTGGTGGTATTCTCATATCTGGGTCAATTTTTGTGTGCAGTTTTGCAGAATAGAGTTCTTCGTCCCTTTCCTTGGACTGTAGAATTTTGGGTCTAGTAATGATGAAAACCATATCTCACTTCTGTCTCTAGGTGCAGCTAAGGGATCTCTTTTCTCAGCCCTTGTTTGTTTCCCAGTGTGGGCATTTTCTTGCCTGCTCTATCTACCTTTCTGTTACATATCTAGATGCTCTTGTGATCTGACGGATTGAGGACAAATCAGCTAACCACCCTAAGTTAGTGGGTCTTTTAGCCTATAAGACATAACAGGTTCTATTTTATTTTATTTTTTACCATTACTATTTGGCTAGTTGGTAAGGCTTTTTTTTTTGGTCAACTTTTATTTTAAGTTCCAGGGTACATGTGTGGGATGTCCAAGTTGGTGACATAGGTAAATACAAGGCTACTTTTTTTTTTTTTTTGAGATGGAGTCTTGCTCTGTTGCCCAGGCTGGAGTGCAGTGGCGCGATCTCAGCTCACTGCAAGCTCTGCCTCCTGGGTTCACACCATTCTCCTGCCTTAGCCTCCCGAGTAGCTGGGACTACAGGTGCCCGCCACCACACTCAGCTAATTTTTTGTATTTTTAGTAGAGACAGGGTTTCACCATGTTAGCCAGGATGGTCTCGATCTCCTGACCTCGTGATCCACCCGCCTCGGCCTCCCAAAGTGCTGGGATTACAGGCGTGAGCCACCACGCCTGGCCAAGGCTATGTTTTATATGGAACTGAAGACATTGAGTTCAACTGATATCGAAACAGTTGTTTAGCTTGGTCTCTTTACTGAAACATACAATCAGGTGTGAGAGTAAGGAAATGCCATATCAGCTGTTTAGTCAATTCAGTCCCAATGGTAGTTTTCTATAAACACAGTCTTTAGCTTTAATAGACCTAAAGACCTATTGGCAAAGAAAGAAAGAAGAATCCTGGCCTTCTAAGCAGATACCCATGTGGGAACACCACTAACATGTCAGCTGGGGAAGAAAATGAAAGACAACAAAGTAAAGGCTTCTAGGAATAAGGTCAATGTCACCAAAACAAACAAACTGTCAACTTCCAAAAACCTAATGGAAAACTAGAAAAATGTCCTGGAAATATGTTTACTATAAGGCATGGATAAATGGATATGCTCTTAATTTATTATGAGATATATTAATATTAATATATTAGCAAGGGGGATAGTATTTTCAGTAGGGCATTGGATATAGGGATAACCCTAAATCTGAGATGATTTCATCTTGAGATCTTTAAACAACTACACCTGCAATGATCCTATTTCCAAATAAGGTCACATTGTAAAGTTCTGGATGGATATGAATTTTGGGGAAACACTATTCAACTCATTATAGCACACATGGACAGTAGGCTTGATACAGCTCCAGAAAGTGATGAGAATTCAGAATCTGGGCAGTATGAGACTGTATCTTCTTGATTCTGTCCATTCCATTGTGAGAGTCTTAGAAGCTGGAACTTATGTAAAGTGCCTTCATGGCAGGAACTCTGTAAATATTTTCGGAAAGAGTAAACTAGCAATGGCAGGTCAGGACCAATAGAAGGACCCTCAGGAGGAAGCCATTTTCAGAAGTCTCCACTTCAGTATCAACATATTAAAGAGGATGAGCTGATGAGCTGTGTCATTCAGCAGGGAGAGAACTGGCACAACTGGTCAAACTCATAATAAATTCTGCTAACTGGCAGTAGGTAGCAAGGACACCCAAAATGAATTAATTCAGTCACTGGATTTTAACCCTTTAAAAATAAGATAAATTCCCTATTTAATAAATGGTGCTGGGAAAACTGGCTAGCCATATGTAGAAAACTGAAACTGGATCCCTTCCTTACACCTTATACAAAAATTAATTCAAGATGGATTAAAGACTTAAATGTTAGACCTAAAACCATAGAAACCCTAGAAGAAAACCTAGGCAATACCATTCAGGACATAGGCATGGGCAAGGACTTCATGTCTAAAACACCAAAAGCAATGGCAACACAAGCCAAAATAGACAAATGGGATCTAATCAAACTAAAGAGCTTCTGCACAGCAAAAGAAACTACCATCAGAGTGAACAGGCAACCTATAGAATGGGAGAAAATTTTTGCAATCTACTCATCTTACAAAGGGCCAATATCCAGAATCTACAATGAACTCAAACAAATTTACAAGAAAAAAAAAACAACCCCGTCAACAAGTGGGTGAAGGATATGAACAGACACTTCTCAAAAGAAGACATTTATGCAGCCAAAAGACACATGAAGAAATGCTCATCATCACTGGCCATCAGAGAAATGCCAATCAAAACCACAATGAGATACCATCTCACACCAGTTAGAATGGCGATCACTAAAAAGTCAGGAAACAACAGGTGCTGGAGAGGATGTGGAGAAATAGGAACACTTTTACACTGTTGGTGGGACTGTAAACTAGTTCAACCATTGTGGAAGTCAGTGTGGCGATTCCTCAGGGATCTAGAACTAGAAATACCATTTGACCCAGCCATCCCATTACTGGGTATATACCCAAAGGATTATAAATCATGCTGCTATAAAGACACATGCACACGTATGTTTATTGTGGCACTATTCACAATAGCAAAGACTTGGAACCAACCCAAACGTGCAACAATGATAAACTGGATTAAGAAAATGTGGCACATATACACCATGGAATACTATGCAGCCATAAAAAATGATGAGTTCATGTCCTTTGTAGGGACATGGATGAAGCTGGAAACCATCATTCTCAGCAAACTGTCGGAAGGACAAAAAACCAAACACCGCATGTTCTCACTCATAGGTGGGAATTGAACAATGAGAACACATGGACACAGGAAGGGGAACATCACACACCAGGGCCTGTTGTGGGGTAGGGGGAGGGGGGAGGGATAGCATTAGGAGATATACCTAATGTTAATCATGAGTTAATGGGTGCAGCACACCAACATGGCACATGTATACATTTGTAACAAAACTGCATGTTGTGCACATGTACCCTAAATCTTAAAGTATAATAAAAAAAAAATAAGATCGATTCACCCACGCTGCATGGTTTAAAGACTATAGTCACAAGGTGACAAATAGTCACATAAAGACAGAAGCATTCAGTTCATTTGGGTATGGACCCTCTTACCAGTCTCAGAAAATTGACCTATTTTATTGCATTCTTTTTACAACCAATTTCAGCTGGCTGAATTGAGTATAGTTTTCATTCTGACTTGACTTCTAGCCCATTAAGACAGCCAATCCAATTAGGCTTTCTCCTGCTTTGCCTTCTGACAGAGCATCTGATTGGCTCACAGCTCTTGCTAAGTGACAGGCCTTCCACAACTGTGGGTTATCTTTCTTAAAGAGATCTTATCTCCTGTTCTCTCTTTAAAGTGCCTACACTTTTTTTTTCTGGTTATGTTTTGGCTTGCATTTTAGGGTGTTTCTCTTTCAAATCCTTGAGTTTGGATGCTTGAGTTTAGGACCTGGGCTGCTGGGTTGTTAGGGTGGATATTTCAACACAGTCTTTAGGTTACTAACTGTGGTAGGCTGGATAACGGTCTCCCACAAGATATACCCATCCTGATCCCTGGAGCCTGTGAATGTTAACTTACATGGCAGAAAACGACTTTGCAGGTGTGATAACCTAAGGATCTTGAGATGGGGAGATAATCCAGGAGGGCTCTAGATGCAGTCACATGCATTCTCATAAGAGGGAGATTACACACACACACACACACACACACACACACACACACACACACACCAAGAAAGCCACGTAAAGGAAGCAGAGGGAAGAAGAATCAGAGAAAGAAGATGCTAGGCCACTGGCTTTAAAGACAGAGGAAGGGGTTGGAGCCAAGGTAGGTAGCTCTAGATGCTGGAAAAGGCAGGAAAACAGATTCTCCCCAAGAGCCTCTGGAGGAAGCGCAGGGCTGCTGATACCTTGGTTTCAGCCCAGTGCTTATGGCGTCCAGAACTGTGAGAGAATAAATTCTAGTGCATTAAATTTATGGTGATTCATTACAGCAGTCACAGGGAACAAAAAGACAACCAAGACCATTCCTTCCAGGACTAAATCCCTGGTTCTGAGAAATGGACTGTGCGGTGGATTGGCCCCAGCCATGATATTCTCCAAGTATTTGCCTACACTTGTGTTTTCAAGGATAATTTTATGTGATTTGTTCTGCTTTCAAACTTCCCCTAAGATATTGTCTAAAAATATTTGATGACATTTGAAGTATTAGAGTGAGAGATTTTATAAAAGCACCTATGGAGCAATCCAGTTTCTTTAATCTATTACAACTTTTTATATCAAGGTCACCCAATTCTAAGATTTTTATTGACCCTCATTTTCATTTAGCTATATGGACACTTAGCACATTTCTTACTTGCCCCTCCCTGAAATTCTCTTCTCACTTGGAACTTGGGTAGCCAATGGGGTGGTCCCAGACTGAAGGCTGGAAGGCTCAAGACTCTGAAAGGGCTAGTTTCAACTTGAGTCCCAAGGCAGGATGTTTTGAGGTCCCAGCTCGAGGAAGTCAGGCAGGAGGAGTTTCATTCTACTTGTGGAAGGGTCATCCTTTTTGTTCTATTCAGGAATTCAACTGATTGGATGAGGCTCACCCACAGTGGGGAGAGGAATCTGCTTTACTCAGTCCACCAATTCAAATGCTGATCACCTAAAACACACACACCTACCCCCACCCCACACACACCCAGAATAATGTTTGACTAAATATCTGGACCATATTAAAATCAAATGTCTCAAAATTGTACCAAACTTCCAACACTTAAATGTGCATAATTCTAGCAGTGGTGTTTTCATTGTTCCATGTAAAACTGTGAAGATGTCATTGAATCTGCACCTATTTCTTTTCCTTTTCATAGTTAAAAACCAACTTCTCTTGATTCTTCTTTACAAGTCTCTCTCGCAGCATGCCTGTCCTCCTTGCCTTCCTTTTCATTTCTCCTGCCTGTAGAGTAATCCCAGCCCACAGAACCTAACTATTGTTGCTGCTACCCATCAGATTTCATTTAATAAACACTTGCTCTGTGCTAGGTTCTGTACTAAGCACTTTATATATATTATCTCATTTATTTGCTCCCAAAATCCCTTAAAACAGGTATTAGTATCCCGTATTTTGCAGATGAAAAGCAGGTTTGGAGTGGTTAAGTGATCCGTGCAAGGTTTCCTAGCTGGTAAGTAGCAGTGTGAGGATTAAAACCCAGGCCTATCTGAATCTCCAGCATGCCAAACCCTTTTATACTGCCCCCCATGAACTTCATAAAGTTTCTTCCTACTCACGTTTCACGTGGAGTCATTCCCAGTTCCAATCATTTCTATAATCACTGACAGTAAAATCTGGACACATGGCATTTGTTAGTTTCTTTCTCTTCTTAAAAACTTTCAGTACTTCCCTATTGCACAGAGAAATTCATTCCACTGAAGGCTTCCTTAGAGACTTATCTCCTCACCCCTTCCTTCTTCAGTACTTAACCCCACTGAACTTAATCGATTTTTTTGTACATCCATTCCTTCGCTTACTCTTCCTTCCATCTGGTGCAGGTTTCCCTGTCTACTCCAGTGGATACACTTTAATGCATCCTTCCACATCCAGTTCATATATCTTCAACATGGAAAAATACTCCAGGACCTCCACACTTTCTTTTCCCCAATCACAGAACTAAACCTTGGTCCCATAACTTTGGTGAGCATGTAACTTACTTTATTAAAGTTATTTAGTTATCATCCTGTCTTCCCTGTTAGATTATATTTTTTATTCTGATTATTGACAAGCGGAATTTGACAAGGACAGCAGTAGTATCCTGCTCATCCCCAAATTGCATCTCCAGATCTCCTCCTCACTCCTTGAGGACTAAATCAATCATTTCTCCCATTGCTAGGGTGTTTGCCTCTAGCTGAAGACAGCAGCTTACATTTAGTGACTGGTTGGTGTGGGAATACAAAGGTCTGGCATCGCGCTTCAATATGGGCAACTCTGAAGGACCATCCTAGCTCCGGAGCTCCCTTTGAGATTCATTGAGTCCTTTGTTGTCACCGGAGCACCTTCTTTTCTGCCCAGCCATGCTCCCTTCCCTCCTCCACAGGTGTTGATCTAGACAGCACTTCGAATACACGTTCTGCACACAAATCTTCACTTTATGCTTATCTTCCAGAGAACCTGACCTGCGACAGAGAGCTCCGTGCCTGGCTGCCAGCAGTATCTGAGCTGATTGGCAGAAGGAGGCTGGGGTTTGCTGTTCAGGGTGTAGAATTTTTCTTGTTCTCCTCTGCTTTCACTACAGCACTCTTGCTCACTTCTGCATTAAAAGTTTAGATTTTCTTTGGTCTGTTTTTCCATAGAGTAAACCTCTTGGGGGAATAAAAGAGGGCTGGTTGCTTGTCTGCTTCGGAGGGAGCCAGGGAATCTGAATACCTCTTATACTGTCATTCATCCACTTGTCCTGTTTTCAGTTCTTACTCCGCTTTCTTCCATGACACTAGGAGTTTCTAATTCCCGGGCCTTTCCAAGATGCTCTTGGTGGAACTGGCTTAGTTCTTATTCTTCTCTCTTGGTATTTAGCCATCAAATTATCTCTGTTAATTTTTCCAACTTTCCAACTTCCAAAAATTTTTGCTGTCTCCCACTTGCCATTGTCTTCTTCCCGTTTTCTTTACACTTGAAAGTTTGTAATTCTTTTACTCTCCTTTTGGTGGAATTTCTGGAGGAACCAAAGTTGAGCACAGGTGTATAATGTACCATATTCCTGTAACAGGAGTATGGGAGCTTTACATTTGTTGCTAACTTTGGAGCATTTTGATTTTATTTTAAAAGGAAGGCAGCAGTTTCTTAAACAAATTAAAATGTATGGCATTTTAATTTGAAAGTAAATTCTTATTTATTAAGGGAAAATTTGGAGGCTACATAGAGTGCTAGGTTAAAGTCAGCATAGTTTTTTCACCAGAAGAGTGCGAAGGCACCATGAGCCTCTGTCTTACCCAGGCATATGTAGAATCAGAGTCTTGAGCAGGGACTGAGGCTTCCTGTCGGTATTCCTAAGCATCTAAAGAAAAATAAAACCTTTTACCAGTCATTCAAGTGTTTTGTGTCTGCATGTCAAGAACCATTCAGAAGCTCCAAGTATCTGAATATTTGGTGCCCTATAGACAACATATCTCTGTGACTGTCTAAATTTCCCTAATTTAATTTTGATGTTTGGCCTCACAAAGATGCAGCCAAAGCCTGACCAGCTATATCACTGAATATGTCAATTACAGTGGGATCTGAGGGTTGTAAGTTAAAGATCATGCGTTTTTTTTTTTTTTGTTTGTTTTTGTTTTCCCAGACTGTGTTTGATGACCGCAGTCACATTTTGGTGCATGTTAGCCCATGTTTTGAAAACATAAGAGTGTTTTTGAAAAGATAAGGCCTACTTTCTGAAGAGTGGGCGTGTGTACTAGAGGTGGTCGGCAGTGCTGCAGCCTGTCAGTCAAAATCTGCCGGCAATGTCATTCAAGGTCAGAGACCCAGTGAACCACCAATCAAAGTCAGCAGGGCTGCTCATGTTCACTTGTCAGTGTTGGAAAGAGGTCACACGCTCAGTGGTGTGGCTAGTGTGTGAACAATGAGAGTATTTTAGTGGTCAGAAGCACATTCTGCTACCTACCCCCTGGCAATTTCAGGATGCTTGCCTGGGTTTTTCCTATCCTACAGGGATAGAAGGCAGAGTAGTGGAAAAAGCCAACAGTGATTTTATAACTGAGTTATGAATTCCAAATTCTAAAAGCAAACTTGGTAGCTAATTTGACACATAGCTCTGATTAATATCATTTGCTTAGTATCTCTGTCAGTAAGAAAGGATAACATAAAGAAAAACTAGAAATATAATTTTAGATATCTAAAAGAGATATCACCTTTAAACATTTTTTACTTGTTATTCAGTTTGCTTTCCTGCCTTAGCTACCTATTATCTTGTTTAATTTTCACTAGCAAAAACAAGCTTTGCATTTATGGAAAAAATTGGCAATTTTTAGGATGTGCTAACATCACAGATTAAAGCTTGGAAAATTTCAGTTTGATGGCCTAGAAAACAAAGATGACAAAAACGTTAAGCTCTGCCTTTTGGTAGGATCTTGATGGATTTTCAAAACCGAGCCCTCTCTGGAGGTAAAGGGATAATTCATCATCATCAAGAATATTTGCCATTCAAAGTTATTTAAGCAGCAGGAAATACTGGCGTGGGCAGATGTTCAAAGCTCAATCAGAATGTGTCTCCTTGATGGCAAAACCTCCAAAGGAGTCATGTTTTGCTTATTGATGGTAAAATATGCACATATTTCTGTAGATCAACATGCTCCACATAAACACAGACTATTTGGCTAAACATTCAGAATTCACCTGAATATCATATAGATGTAAATGCAAAAACCTGATTTTATGACTTACATTATTTATTAAAATATGTAACTATAGAGTTTTAAAAGTCCATACAAATAAAAGAACAAATAAAGCAAAGGGTATGTATGCTTGGTGTGAGCACTAGAGGTGGAGGTTTTTAAAATATGTAGAATAGTGAAGGTGAAACGCATATTTAGAGTGGTGTTATGGGGCCTGGGGCTTCAGGGTTGGAAAGGCCTTTAGGACTTTCTGTAATTTTGTGGGTGGTGGCATTAAGGTGCTTGTGGAGGAGGCACACATAGTTAATGTCAGATCCAAGTCCTGGCACTGCTTTGGAGTCCTGACGTCTTTCTCTACCAGGCTTGTGGGAATACAGCCTCTTTTCAGATTCACCTGAAAAGGCTTATGGCAGAAGTAAGTTTTCTGAGGCTGCTTACGAGGTGGGAAAAGGAGGGTTTAGACACTGCAGGAATAGTGGATGTAGTAAGGAAATGCTCAGCAGAGGGCTGGGCCATTCAGGTGAAGGAAGCACTGGGTGGTTTACATGGGAGAACCAGGGGCCTATGGTTGCAGAAGGAGTAGTAACGAAAGAGAGGATGCTCAGAATTATCCAGTGAAGCAAAGCAGTTCTCTTTAAAATGAGCTGTCCCTGCTCTAAATTTTGGATTAGAAGTATTCTTAGCTTTCAGTAGCAACACCTTTATACAGGTGAACTGAGGTTTTGAGGGTGATAGGCTCCAGACATAGAAAGTACCTGATTCCAGCTGCAAGGCTTGGCTGGCTTGTTTGATAGCGGAATATGAGAGTGAGATGTGGAGATGTGAGCAAGGGGATACAGATCATGTTTTCCTTCCCTTTCTCTGACACCCTAATCAACACCTCTAGGCTTGGAGGAAAGATTAAAATCCAAGAAAACAAAAGAGGAGTGATTCAAGCATGACTGGTTTCTTTCACAGATGTGGGGGGCTGGCCAAGAGGCACAAGTCAGCCAATTTTCAGCTCTGACAGCAGCTGAGGTCATCAGCTTCCTAATGGCACCCCTTAAGTCCTCCGAGGCCAGGGTGTCCTTTGAACTCAGTGGTTGTTACACTTCCAAAGCTAAGTGGAGAGGGAGAGAAACCTGCAAATTTTGCTGGCCCCTGAGTACACAATTACCTGGCTATTAAGACCTTAGGCTAAGGATGTAGGATTCTCTTATCTTCTCTGACCTGCAAACCAGTAGTTGTTCCTAGCTGACTTATACATATGTGCACATACAATCACACATATATACACTCAATGAGATAGAAAAAGGGAAGGGTAGCCTAACAAAAAGGGCTTCTAGGATGGCAGAAGGACTTTTCTGAGAAAGGCTAATGCCCTGGTTCAAAGGGTGCTTACAATGGTTAGTGAGGACTGTTGAACTGGGAAGGGTTGTCTGTGGGGGACTTTTGTTATGGCTGGATCTAGATCTAAGGGCTGGGTGAGAGCAAGGAGGCTAAGAAATACAAGTAGTCTTGCAATATGCTTTTGAAGGGTGTTTCAGTTCCTGGGGATTCATTGGTCCAGCATTTGTGGAGCTTCAACTTCAGTGGGGGAGAGAGGAGAGGTGTTGTCTTTACTGTTCTATAACCAAACCATTTGGCACGAGGTTATGATATGGGGAGGGAGTGGGGAAGACAGGCTTGGGAACTCTGTGTCAGTGAGAATTCCCAGCAGAGGCAGTATGGTAAATAAGGAAGGTACTTGGAAAACGTCACTAGGATGGAGCATGGTGCACTATTTAAAAATTATATATAGAAAGCTATGTTACATCAGGCAATAAACTATGACTAGTGAGAAACATGTGAGTAATGTTTAAGATGGTCCTTAAGACAAAGCCTGGAACATTTAAATTATTGTGAATTAAAATTTTCAGGATCCTTAATCTACTGAATGTGTTTTGGCTCAAGTGGTAGGCAGTTCAAATAAGAGATAAGAAATAAAATAGTTCTATCAAACTTCTAATTTTATCCATTTTTTATTTTAATTAATTATCTATATATAGCTGTGACAGCAGATGCAATTTAAACCTTGTCCTATACACAAGATGCATCCTGGACTCACACAGCGAATGTGAGACAAGAAGTCCTACCTGGATGACAATATCTGGATTCTTTTTACCTTTGCCCTCCTGGTCCAGGAGTGCTGAGCTCCCTTCCATTATCTGCCCCCCTATGTTACTGTTGATGGTATGGAAAATAGCAGATGGCGTATTACAGAAGCCACCTATGTCACATTCTGCCTTGGGCAGCATGAGGCTTCCCTTTGCAAGGAGATTGCTATTTCTGAGCTGTGTGATAGTTCCTCCCTCCCAAGCTTTATCTTGTCCAGCCTGAGGCTGTGGCCCTCCTGTTCAGCACAGGCAGTTCAGAGGCATGATTAGAAACTTGCTAGGGAACTGGCTTTTGGATTATGGAATAGCAGAGGATTCAGCAGGTGCTAGTGATCAGATCAGGGAAAGCCTGAGGCAGGGAGCCAGCCTAGAGCAAGTAAACACAAGCAGTTGAGTCAGGGCAGTAACTGATCTGGAGAGTGGCCAGTGGCAAGAAGGACTCAAGTGAGAAGAGACAGCTGGTGCAGGGGTGGGGATTATTTGCCAGATTCCAAGGTGTGAGTCAGGCTGAGGTGGCAGTCAAGACATGGCCAGAGCAGAGAGCCGTTTTGGGTTAGGCATGGAAACAGCCTAGCTAGCTCAGTACCCTGGACAGCTCCTGGGTTCAGGTCTCCTGGCAGCTGCCTCTGCAGCTCCATCCTCCTCGGATTGTTAAAGTGGCTTTATGCCAGACTTCTTGTTTATACACGATAAGGCTTGTCTTCAGAGCATTAGTCTAGAGAGCTCCATCCTAGAAGAAAGTGGCCACATATTCTGGCCTGACAGGTAGCTCTATAATTTGTTTGCCCATTCCTTCCTTCCTTCCTTCATTCAATTATTCAGCAAAATCATTAAATCCTACTATGTGCCAGGGCCTCTCCTGGCTGCAAAGACATAACAATGAAAGAGATGCAGCTTTGCATGGCTGCATCTAACTGTTATTGGGGAAGTCAGATATCTAAACAAATAAATAAAAATTCATATAGTGAGGGCAGTTATAGAGATGCACATAATATATTGTGGGAGCATGCAGAAGTTTCACTTGACCCTGAGAGAGTCATGGATGGCTTCCTGGAGGGGTGATCCCCGAGTAGTGTGTCTTGAAGAATGAGAGGGCTTTAGCCAGAGAGAGGAAGAGAAAGTAGTTGGGAGAGAAGGCAAAGCCATTGCACACAGAGGAGCCAACACAAGCAGAGGCAGAAACAGCATGGAGAAAATGTAAGGTATCTTTGGAGGAAAATGTATAAGATGCGGAAGGTTAAGTGATCTCATCTTGGCGCAGGGAAAATCTGTTTTTATCATTGATGGTGTGTTCACCCTCTCTCTTGGCTCACGTTCAGCCTGATACCAAGACACCAACATTTCATTAGGGACATGTGAAAGCCTTTTAAATCCAGATGAGTTGGTGAGACATACTGAGTCTGCATGGATAGCCCTCATTTGCTCCAACATCAAAAATTAACAGAAACCACTCATGTGAATGTGAGAGCAATTCATGCCTGTCAACAACTCCATTGACTGCTCTAACCACTGGCAGGCCTCTTGGAAGCCCCACTGCCCTATTCTTGGTGTGACAGGGAAGGAACAGGATTTCAGCCAGACTTTGGAGGGAGGTAGGGTTTTTGACTGTGGGTGAAAAGAGGAAAGACAGGCTCCTTAGGGGAAATATATGAATAAAACAAAAATGCAAAGAATACAAAGGATAAGGATAGTGAATTTATTGGACTAGAGTGAAAAAAAAGCTTATCCAGTGCTTCAGAGATAGAGAAAACCAGAAAGGTGGGTTGGAACCAGGTGACCATGAGCCACAAAGGCTAGACAGTGTTGAGGCCATTAATGAGAACCAATTGTTGTGCTGTCCAACCCAACCATTTAATTTTTGGTAATATTATTGCTACTTGTGACATTTCTTTCCTTCTTCTCCAGCACATCACCAGTTTCATTTGTTAATTCACTCATCTATTTACTTACTTAAGCTCCTCTGCATCACTATTTTATTAACATCACAGAAGACTCTTGCAAGGGTGGTAACTTGAGTTTCTGTACTGTATATCTATTTTCTTTCTTTTAAAAAAGTAGCATTATTTTCTTTTGATGATTCTTATACAGAAGTCTGTAGGACGTTCTAATTTGCATATATTCGTTAGCATTAGGGCAGGTCAAATTTGAGACTGTGCATGAGGTCAGAGCTCTCATGAATGGGATTAGTGACCTTATAAAAGAGGTTCAAACCTGGGTGCAGTGGCTCACGCCTGTAATCCTAACACTTTGGGAGGCTAAGTGGGGAGGATCACTTGAGCCCAGGAGTTTGAGACCAGCCTGGGCAACATAATGAGACCCTGTCTCTTAAAAAATAATAATTTGATTAAGTGTTTTTAAACTTAAAAAAAAAATTTGAGACTGTGGATTAGGGCAGAGCTGCAGGCCTTTTCTGTCTGTAGCTTCTCACTTTGCCTCAATTCAGCCCCTGTTATTTGATCTGCTGTCTATGAAGGCAGTGTCATGTACAACGGCTGCAGTCTGAATTCTGGTTTTGCCCCTTACTGGCTTTGGGATCTTGGGCATCACTTCCTGAGCACTGGATTCCTAATCTGAACTTCTGAGGTCATTATGAGACTTAAATGAGATAACGTGTGTTAAGTGCTTAACTCGTCTACTCAGCATATTGTAAGTGCTCAGTAAACAGTTGCTATTTATATTATTATCAGAAATTAGCCATTGAGCCATAGACCAGAACTTAGAGAAACCTTTGAGATGGTTGAGGTAGAGGTGAGCAAGGATTAGACACTGTTAACAAGATCTTCTGATCCCTGGCCCAGAGCTTTCTCTAATCAACACCAAGTCCCCACAGCCTTGTCTGTGGCAAGATTTCAACACAACTATTAATGATGTGGGGAAACTTCCTCTGAAATATACAGACCTCTGTTCTAGAGTAAGTGTGTATTTACAGCATCAAGACAGATCATTAACCCAGTCCTCAAAATTAAAGAGCAAGTACAAATCAAAGTAAACCATTGTAAAACTCCATAAGTGATACAAATGCTTCAATAGGCTTTCATTGAAAAGCTCCCAAATTGTGCTAGTGATTTCATAATTGTCAGAATCAGAAATGAAAGAACACTTGAAAATGTGTTCTGCCTTATTTTATCAGTTAGAGAAGATAAGGAAGTATTTTCCAGTGTTTCCTTCCATAGCCCCTCTCTCTTTCTGTCGATCACCACCCTGTCCCCGCATTTATCTATGTGTCTGTTGGTCTAGCTGTCATCTATCTCCAATCCTTGGCTTAATTCTCCAGAGTATATCTGTCACATACTTTTTCTCATGAGGTTAACTGACCAGGGAAACAGTCATTTAGATTTTTTTTGAAACTATATTGCTGGTTGTTTTCTAGGTAAACTCAGTTCCTGGTCTTGAATGAAGGCTACAAATCCTAAAGCTGAGGCTGGCACAGCTTTGAGAAGTGGGGCATATCCTCAATGGAAGTGAATACTTCCTTCCTTGACCTTGCAGCTTAAGTCTCCATCCCTCAATTTTCATTAACTGCCTGGCCCAGTGGATTTTCCTCGAGATATTAATGTCTTCTCTTCACAACAAGACACCAAGCTCTTGAAGAGCATAGGTCCTGCTTTCTTGATGTCATCAGCATTTCCTGACCCAATGTCTTGTATATGCTGGGGCTCACTACATGGAGATTTGACTTCCATCAGGACACTCAATCATTCTTGTCATAGAGACAAGAACAAGGGCATCCCAAGGCAACCACAAAGGCATTGCATTGCATCTTCAGCCACCAGCCACCCTCGGAGAAGTTCTTCCTCCTTGGAACAGAAGTGTTTATCCCATTAGTATAGGGAGATCATATCTGTCCAGTAGCCTCCTTTCTATGCATCTCTGCTTTTCCTAAGAAACAATTAGATATACATTTATAATGTATATAATGATAGGTCAAATTTATTATGTGCCCCTCTCTCCTTCAGGATGTTTACATTTTAACTGTTGAAATAGATCCCATTAAGTTCAGGCAAAAGGAATGAAATGTCAATTATGGGAATTTCAGGCATCAGTAACAGTATGTGTGAGTGTGTGTGTGTGTGTGTGTTTACGTATTGTGGGAGAGGCAGCTGCACAGGGAAGCCAGGAAATGGGACCTTTCTGGCTTTGGAATTTATGCCAGTAGGTGACCCCTTCCCCTCACAAGATATGCATAAGATTGTCCCTTTTCGGTTATGTTTTTGCTTTCCTTTGGCATTCTCCTCCCTTGCAATGAAAGTTTCTTGACATTTTGCTGGCTAAGAAATGATTAAATGGGAAACATTAAAAAGTGGAGACCCTCTTTAGTATCTGTGATTATTTTTTCTTTCCTGGAACACTAAAGAAGGACTCTAGCCTTTGCTTCTGATTCAGTCCCCTTCCTTAGCCAGCCACAGTCAGCGTTTGACTGTCTTGTTCTTTCTGGGATCATCATGTTTCCTGGGGCAGGTCGAGGAGCACTTGATTATGTCTAAGATAGCAGCTGGCAAAGCACCCTGAGCATAGTCAGTTTATTTTAGAGTTTGAGTTATTTTGTTACCTACTCTGGGCCCTGTCTTCTGGAGGGAGTTCACGATCTCTATTCGCAGACTTGACATTTCCTGCCCTTTCCTTCAGTCCCAGCTCTTCTTTCTGTCATTCGTAACTCTGATTCCAGAGTGACCTACTGTGTTTAGGTTTTTATTCTTGTACACTTCACAGTGACATCTTTTATTTTGATATATAGAATCATCCATCTTTAAAGGATTTCTCTAGTATGCCCTGCATCTTCTGTGGAATAGAATTCTCCAAACCACCTCTTCCCTTCTCTCCATTTAGCCTTCTTACAAAGTCTCTTTCATGGCTTTGTCAGGAACCTTTTGCATTTACCTGACTGCTGACCACATTTTCACCTTATTACTGGATCCTTCTCATTCCTCCTCTCTCCATGGGAGCCATGCTCCTGTCATTCTGAATTATTTGAGGTTCCCTGGAAATACCATGCCCTTTCATGCCTCTGAACAGGTTGTCTGTCTGCCTGACATTCCTTCTAGCTCTCCTTTCTTCCTTTCTTCTGCAGACATAATGTCCCTCCTCATCTGATCCTGCTGGGGCACTGCCCATCACTCTGTGAATTCTTATGCAGCCTGCAAGTCTTAGACAATTGCTCCTCTGGGCTTTTTAGACTCTCTTTATGTCATACTATTTCCTTCACCTATAGGCCCTGGTAGAATATATTTCTACTAGCACTTATCACAGGATATTTTAATTATTTATGTGCCTGTGTGTTTGTAGAGCAAAGACCTTGCCTTCTTCAACTCTGTACCTAAACATCTGACCCATTCAAGTCCCTGAATGCATGCATGCATGCATGTACGAACTAAGGTAACACACAGGCTAAACCTGGCTATCTTGATGGCTTCTTAGTGATGGAGTGAGAATTGTAAGGGAGAAGGAAGCCTTGAGTCCTGGCTCAACTCTCCACGTGAGCTTTTCTCTAGGGCGGGAAGCCAAAGACTCCATGGCTCTCCTGAAGCAGACAATTTGGTAAAAAAAAAAAATAGATTACTCGAAAACACATTGAACAAAGTAACAAATTGGTTAAAATGACTGTGTGAACAAAGCATTAAAATTTCAATTCATTGGGGTTTTACATATTGATATGTTTTTGCATCATGTAGATAATATTACAATATTATACGTAGACTTTAAAGCATTATTATCCATATTCAGGATTTATTCAGGTTTAGGGATCAGTTTTGTGCACCTCGAAGAATTCTTATGACTTTGTGTTGCAGGTTTAAAATCTTACCTGGACACAGCATCATTATGCAATCTAGTGGTTGGAAGCACTGGAACCATTCCTTTTGCTACATTTCTGCTGATAAATTAGATTTGAGCCATAAAGAAGAGTTAAATAATTAAAACATTTCCAAAGCAGTGGGGATATTATGATATTTGATTAAAAAATGAGTTGGAAAATTTTAAATGCCCAAATTTGAAAAATGAACAAAATGTTAAAAATAGATGGGAAAGGCTGGGACCCTGACTGGGCCTCCTTTCTCTCACCCCAAGTGGGACCCAAGGCACTTCCATGAAACTCAAGGGCTCTGGAAAATCCAGTTTGAAAACCAGTGGCCAAAACTTAACTGCCTAATTTTCCAGGTGTAGAAACTAGGGACCAAATAAGACAATAGAGCCATAACTCAAGTAGGTTTTCTTGCTCCTAGGTCAGTGGTAGAAGGAGGAAGCCTGCCTTGACTCCAGACCCATTTTTCTGGAGGGGAAAAAGTGTGGTATCTTTACTTCCCTGGCTGTAAGTAGAGTAGAGGTGGGATTATGTCTGCCCAGGGATTGTTCCTCAGGTCAATTTAAAACTTGCTGGCTAAGTGGTCACTCTATGTTGGGTCACACCATCATGGAGGCAGAGGAATGCCCAGTCATTGGTAAAGTACATCCCTGGGAATCCACACACATGATTCGTGTTCAAGCATCATAACACTGTAAAATCATGAGTCATGTTAACTCTCTGGGCCCTAGGCTCTTCATTTTAAAAATAAAGTGTTGGAGGACATTACCTCTAGTGCCCCTTTAGGTTTGGCATTTGGTGATGTCAGAGGCCATGTAACAGTTCCTGTAGCTGGGTATTCTCTTTATAAAGGGTCCCATTCTACTTCCCTAGCAAAAAGGAATGCATAACCAATCTTCTTAGTTCTGGACTGACTTACATGGAGAGGTGAGACTTCATATTGTTATAAGCAAAATTAAGAGAAGTTGATTAACGAAGGAAGCACGAGTTTTATCTTTTCATCTTAGGCTTGGTATGGACTTCTCTGAAGTGTAAACGATGCCTTCATTCATCATGGTCCAGGGATGAGGCATTGAAGAGGTAAATAAGACTTAGTCCCTGATCTCAAGGAGCCCACATTCTTATGGGAAAGGTATCCTTATAAACAAATATAATCTTTAGAACCAGGATAGAATGTTCATAGAACGGTGATAAAATGACCAAGTACTTCACATGCAGTCTCTCTTCAAATCTTCTCAATGATTACACCCATTTCCTAGGTGAGATAGATGAGAAAACTAAAGCTCAGTGATGTTAGAGACTTTCCCAAGGTCATTATCACTATTGAGAATGGGTTAAATGGGATAGGCTTTAGGCATTGAGGTCCCAGTAAGGAAGATATTGTAAAGCTTTAAGTAGGTGGGCTTGAACTCAGCTGAGGCCACAGGCAAGATGGATAGCCCAAACCTCAATATGCTGCCTTGCCTATATTTCCCTTTTAAAGAGTTCCTGCTACCCTTGAAACATAAGTTTTAAAGGTCCTTCTTCCACATAAATCATTGTGTTGATGTGGGCTGTTATTTATGGAATCAAGAATGAGTGCTTAACCTAAGAATAGCTCATCTATAGACTTACTAGTGGACAATGGGATGGTTTGGCACAAAAGTGATGGCCAGTGGGGATGGTTGAACAATTGGATCTGGTGACTTGGTTTATTTGAACATGAGAAATACAGAAAGGGTTAAATAGTCAGAAGTTAGAAGGAAAGCCAAAGATACAGAGCTAAGCAGACACACTCTATGGGAGAATGTATGCTGTGATTGATAAACGCCTGCTGGCAAGATACCTTGGTCACTAGAGTTGTATTGGATCCTGAATAAACTTCAACTTCCCCAAGCAAGTTCTGATCATTTTGAGCCTTACTGTGTGGCCACATCTACTTGGTCAAGATTCTTATCATCTTTATATACCTACACGTCTCCTTATCCCCAAGATCTTCTTTACCTGAAGCAAACCAAGTGAAATTTAATTCCTTGCAACCAAAACAGTACATTTGAAGTTGGAGTTTAGAATAGGGTCCAGCTTTGGGAAATTTTCCTGAGGAAAAAAGCTAATGGGATTTGATGACCAATTTTATCATTATTGATTATTTTCAAAAGGTAGAGCTATTGGAAAAGAGAAGCCTACTACATTTTACAGCAAATCGCACAAAACCAAATATGAGACATGAGGTTTCAAACCACTCAGAGTCTGAATTTGCAGCAAAATTAAGGCTGTAATAGACTAAAGGAATGTTCAGAGGAATAACAACCAGAAACAACATAAAATAGAAGATACATTACAAGAAATTAAAAGAACTAGTATAGTTTGGGGCAACCACAATTGAACTCTGCAGGAGCTGCCTTTGTTTCTCTGCCTTAACATGTATTTGTTCCTGCAGATTAGTAGCCTCCATTCAGGGAAGAAATGGCCCTGGATCAGTGGTCCATCTTAGGAACCACAGGTGTTGTTGTACACATTCTGTTTACAACCTTAGGGGTGAGTGAAAAACAAAACCTAACCAAGAAAACAGCGACCACAGACCAGAATGAGCTTTGCCAACATTTCCTTCCTAATCATTCCTAAACAACCAGACACATAATGGCATGATAACAAGCACAAAGTTCTAACATCTACGTGGAATGTCAATTTTAAATAAGAGTGAGGACATGGGTGTGTTTGTGCATGTGTATGTGGAAAACAATTTAAAAAATTAATGTGACTAATCTACTCATGTCTTGCATATTCAGTAACCTTCAGAATTCACCTCATTGAAGGGCCACTAGTTTTGAAGAATGTAGATTAATAAGCCTCCTTGCTTAAAAAATGAGCTTCAATATTTGTGCAAATCATAGAGTCAAAAGAAAAAAATCGATGGACTATCGACTACTGGGGATGATCACATTCATTTTGCCCTTTGTGGTTGGTGAAATCCATGCTGCAATTACAGAGACAGGCTGGCAGCAAAGAGCCTCAGTCGGGCTTTCAGCTCCACATTAATCCAAAACTCCCCATTTTAATGCAGATATAGATTGCCACAAGTCAATAGCTGACTACTTGAATTGTGAAGTAGCAGCTCTGCGTGGCACTGGCAAGCGTAAGCTTACAGTATTTGGGAATTTCAAAGCTTTGCTGTGTGAACCAGTGTAGCTGAGGCTCAGGGGGAGGTGTGGTTGTGCTGATGCTGTTGAAAAGATCTGTCTTTGGGATCTAAAACACAGATTATAGCAAATTCAAGGTGGGTGGGTCATAGAATTATAGGAGTATAGAGCTGGAAAAGACCTAGAGGTCACCTGGTCCAGCTCCTTCCTTAAAGATGAGGAAATTGAGGTCCTTGGAGGTTAACTAACTTGCATGTGGTTACACAGCCAGTCAGCAGAAGACTCCGTACTAGAAAAAGAGAGATGTCCTCCTGGATTTTCTACTACTCTGCATAGGTTATGAAAAATCAAAATTTGCTTTCTTTGCTAGATCACACACTTGTGCACATGCAGTAGATACATCACTGAGTAGGTTTTATTTAATTCAGTTTTAGTATTCAATGACCCACGAAATGGGGTGGTAAGGAACTCATTCTCATTACTGGGAGTATGTATGTAGTGAGGCCAGTGTAAAAACTAAATTGTAACATTTTGCAACTGAGGGGAAGGTGAGATCCTGAGAGGCATTAAATGGGACAAAATTTTAAAAAAAATTACTTCGCAAGTGATAAAGCACTATACTCATATTAGGGGTAATGGTTATTTTAAAGTATGCCTTTTTTTGGGGAAGACTTCTATTTCATGCGGTACATGGTTTGTTACTCATATCAAACCAGTCTGTGAATACATAGATAATAAGGATCAGTGTCTCATGTTTCTGTCATCAGGGAATACCACAGTGTTTGGCACACAGCAGATGCTCAGTAAATATATTTGCTGTATGTTGAATGTTATATATCTAAACCCATATCATAAGTTATTGTACTCAAAGTGTGGTTTGTGGTCCAGTAGCATCAATTCCACCTGGGAGTTTGTTAGAAATGCAGGATTTGGGGCCCTGCCCCAGACCTACTGAGGCAGAATCTGCATTTTAACAAGATCTCCGAGTGCCTGACAGTCTCATAAAAGTTTGAGAGGCCTTGCAATAAACTGTGCTGAACCATCTCTATTCATCCAAACCCTATTGCATGAGTTTAGGTGTGGTCTGCATATGGGGTAGCAATTGTGATTGATTGAAATTATCACTGAATGGCCCTGAAATCATCCACAGAAGCAGCAACATTGGACAGGCATGTTGGTTCATGCCTGTAATCCCAGCACTTTGGGAGGCCAAGGCAGGTGGATCATTTGAAGCCAGAAGTTCAAGACCCACCTGGCCAACATGACAAAACCCCCTCTCTATTTAAAATTTAAAAATTAGCTGGGAGTGGTGGAGCACACCTGTAATCCCAGCTTCTTGGGAGGCTGAGTCATGAGAATTGCTTGAACCTGGGAGACAGAGGTTGCAGTGAGCAGAGATCACACCACTGCACTCCAGCCTGGGTGACAGAGCCAGACTGTCTCAAAAAAAAAAAAAAAAAAAAAAAAAAAAAGAAAAAAAAATGGGGCAAGCTTGTCCTGCCAGGAGAGGATGACTGGGACTAACCAACTGAGGAAACACTGTGTTTTCATCTCCCATGTAATTCCCAAATAGGACCTGTGTTTGAGCAGCATGGCACCATTTATATAATTTTTTCTCTCTCTAGCTCATGTAGGATAATTTGAGTTAAGTCCACTTACGATGAAACGCCACTGTTGATGGAAAATATTTTCTCTTGAGTGTCATGCTTCTTAATATTTGGATTTGAATACATTTGCTCGGTTTAACCAGATTCTGTTTCAACTAGTCCCACCGAAACCAGGGTTTTCACTCAGTTATGTTACACTGTACTAGAGTATTATGGCTCTACATGTCTAAACATCTTCAATTGGAATTTTGAAACAGAGCAATGGGGCATGAATCCTGAGCTTTGTCATTTATTTATGACTTGAGAAGCTCTCTGGATACCATGTGTATCTCAAAGGAAACGGAGAGTGGCCTTGGCCTGTGGAGCTCTGACTCTCAATCCCATGCTCCTTTCTGTATGTATCTCTAGGATCTGAGCGGATGCCTGAAGGACCACACCTGAGCTTTGGCAAAGTATTTTATCACTGGGTTTTGCTACCTTGTTTTGTGATGTCACAAGAGAAAACTCAATTTAGGCTGAGGCTGAGCCCAGATCAATATGGAGCTACCTGTGCCCCTGCCCTGTTCTTGCCCTGGGTCATCCTGCACTCAGTGTTGACTTTGTGGCATCTACTGAAATACTTTCAGAAGGCAGATACATGGTTGATGGAGCTGGGGTTGCCTGTCTCACTGACAGAATGGTCAGAATTCAGCCACTTAGAACCAGCAACTAGCCTACTTTTACTTGCTTTAAAAGGAATCAAGACTCTTTGGGCTTCCATGGAAATAAGTGAGTTTGCCCTGTAGAGGAAGCTCTGGAAGGATGGATCAGGAATAAGAAGGGTTCTCCAAGGGCATGTCTGATCTCTGCAGATGCTGCCTTCACATTTAGCCCCCACCCTGGTCCTCTGTCTCTGCCCCCTCTCTGCCAGGCCCTTTTCTTTTTCAGGCTCACTTTGTAAAATCTCCCTCTTCTCTTTCCTTCTCATGCCTACCTCTTTCATTCTCTGATAAAAGACAGAGGAGGTCTGGGCAGGGCATGCTCAGTAGTCGCAGGCAGGTTGTGTATGTAAGGAGGTAGCCACAGCAGTATCTCTCCATGGTGTTTCTCTTGTTTATATGAGCATAATTCACCAGATCAGTAAACATATCAGCTGGAAACCTCTTGCTTTATGACAGAGCAGATCAGTTCAAACCAAATGTTTACTAGAACATATTGCTGGACAGCCTAGTTTGGCTGTGGAGAAAGCTGATTCTGTTCCCCCTGGTGCTGACCAGTTCATCTCAATGCCTTGCTTTTAGACATCCACATACATGCTGAAAAGAGGATAAAAACTGTAGTTAGTTTACCCTGTATTGGCTTTTAACCAACCATGACTCTGTAAGTGGATAACTTGTTTTAGGGAAACAACTTCCCCCAAGCAGAATTTGGACATTATTATTATTATTATTATTATTTTTGACTGAAGCAAAGGCAATGCTACATAATGATGTAGCCACAATTAACTTTTTGGGCTGAAGTTCCCATAAACAAGATCAATATCAATGTCATTATTTATCTCTTTTTTTTCCAGATACCACTCTTGTAAAATTATGACTAAAAAGCAAGCTGTTTAAGATGGAAATACGAGTCTGTTATTTAACTCTTCGCATCCCAAATTCCCATGGTCATGGCCTAAGAATTCTAAAAATGGTCAGGAAAGAGGGGAGCAGGGTGTTAATAGCAGAATTGAAAGGAAAGGAAAGACCAGAGACTTGAAGGAGTTTCTTCATGTCCGCATTACTGGATTGTTGGGAAGGATGATTAATCTGCAGTTGTCTGGGGAAACAATTGGAAGGGACCTTCTCTAGCTCACCACTGGAATATGCATCTCAGGGTGGCAGAGGCTGCAAGGGAAGGTGGGCTTAGGCAGTGGTTTGGGGTCTTGATCTCAAGAACATCATGGGGGAAAGGTATGATGTCCCACATTCACACAGAGTGGAGATACTGTGGACTGTCATATGTACATCCAGTTGTAGTTGGCCCTGCTGGGGTGGGGAGCAAGCAGTGGTACTTCTTGAGGGCTCTAACGAGGGCAGATAATGAGGGTGGGGAGGTAGGGACTCAATGACCTTCAAGCTGCCTCCACAAGCAAAGAAGACTTTTTGACCTAGTGATGAAGTATAGCTTTCTTTCTTCTTTTCACTGAAAATTGGCCTGCTGATCTTAACACAGTAACATTTCAGGATTTAAAAATTTTCCCTCATCCCCTCATCTGGGCCTGAGACATGCAAATAGAATCCAGCAATGTCCCTGCCAGGCTCCTTTTTCAACTCGTAAGTCTAGACAAGTATATATTCTTATGTCTTAAGAATGGACAAATTGAGTAAATTATTATAAACGTGATCTAGTAACATAATAGCTAGCTAGCTAGCACTTATTGAGCACAAACTGTGTGCCAAGCACTTGACATAATAATCATTCTTATAACAACCCTAAAATCTGAGAATTATGCACACATCACATGTAAGTAAACAGAAGCCCTCTGAGATTAAAGAGCTTATTCAAGTAAGTAGCAGGATGGAAATCTGAGCCAATTTCTAACTCCAAAGTGCATGTTCTGAACCAAAAAATAACTGGGAGCAGGGTGATTATGTCCTCAATAAGCAGAGCAATAAGAAATAAAAAGAGAGAAACTTCAGAAAATCTCTATTTTGTATCATCAGTGAAATTTAACAATGGTATTTTCTTTTCTTTTTAAAAATAATTCAACTTTTATTTTAGATTAAGGGGTACACGTGCAAGCTTGTTACATGGGTATATCACATGATGCTGAGGTGTGGGGTGTGAATGATTCCATCACCCAGGTGGTGAGCACAGTACCCAGAAGGTAGTTTTTCAGCCCCTGTGCCCACTCTTTCCACCTGGTCCCAGTAACCCTCAGTGTCTATTGTTCACATCCTTATATGTTCATGTGTACCCAGTGTTTAGCTCTCACTTGTGAGAACATGAGGTATTTGGTTTTCTTTTCCTGCATGAATTTGCTTGGGATAATGGCCTCTAGCTGCATCCATGTTGCTGCAAAGGTCGTATATATTTAATTTTTTTTTTGACAGACTCTCACTCTGTTGCCCAGGCTGGAGTACAATGGTGCGATCTTGGCTCACTGCAACCTCTGCCTCCTGGGTTCAAGAGATTCTCCTGCCTCAGCCTCTTGAGTAGCTGGGATTACAGGCATGAGCCACCACACCTGGCTAATGTGTGTATTTTAAGTAGAGATGGGGATTCACCATGTTGGCCAGGCTGGTCTCAAACTCCTGGCCTCAAGAGATCTGCGCACCTCGGCATCCCAATGTGCCGGGATTGCAGGCATGAGCCACTGCACCTGGCCAAAAGTAATAATTTTATTCTTTTTTATGGCTGTATAGTATTCCGTGGTGTATATGTACCACATTTTCCTTATCCAGTCCACCACTGATGGGCATCTAGGTTGATTCCATGTCTTTGCTATTGTGCATAGTGCTGCAATGAACATAGGGATGCATGTGTCTTTCCAGTAAATAATTTATTTTCCTTCTGGTACGTACCCATTAATGGGATTGCTAGGTCAAATCGTAGTTGTATTTTTAGTTTTTTTTTTTTTTTTGAGAAATCTCCAAACTGCTTTCCACAGTGGCTGAACTAGTTTACATTCCCACCAACAGTGTGTAAGTGTTCCCTTTTCTCTACAGCCTTGACAGCATCTTTTTTTTTCCTTCACTTTGAAATAATAGCCATTCTCACTGGTGTGAGATAGTATCTCATTGTGGTTTTGACTTCCATTTCTCTGGTAATTACTAATGATGTGCACTTTTCCATATGCTTGTTGGCTGCATGTGTGTCTTCTTTCGAGAAGTGTCTGTTCATGTCCTTTGCCCACTTTTTAATGGGGTTATTTGGTTTTTGCTTGTTAATTTGTTTGAGTTCCTTATAGAGTCTAGATATTAGATTTTGTCAGATGCATCGTTTGTAAATATTTTCTCCCATTCTGTAGGTCGTCTGTTTAATCTGTTGATAGTTTCTTTTGCTGTGCAGAAGCTCTTTAGTTTAATTAGGCCCCACTTGTCAATTTTTGTTTTTATTGCAATTGCTTTTGAGGACTTAGCCATAAATCTTCACCAAGACTGACACTGAGAAGGGTATTTCCTGTGTTTTCTTCTAGGATTCTTATAGTTTGAGGTCTTACATTTAAGTTTTTAATTTATCTTGAGTTATTTTTTTTTTGTATGGAGAAAGGTAGGGATCCAGTTTCATTCTTCTGCATATGGATAGCCAGTTATTCCAGCACCATTTATTGAGTCCTTTCTCCATCGCTTATTTTTGTCAATTTTGTTGAAGATCAGATGGCTGAAGGTGTGTAGCTTTCTTTCTGGCTTCTCTATTCTGTTCCATTACTCTATGTGTCTGTTTCATACCAGTACCATGCTGTTTTGGTTACTGTAGCCTTACAGTATAATTTGAAGTCAGGTAATATGATGCCTCTAGCTTTGTTATTTTGGCTTAGGATTGCTTTGGCTATTTGGGCTCATTTTGGTTTCATATGAATTTTAGAACAGTTTTTTTCTAGTTAAGTAGTAAATAGTATTTGTAGTTTGATAGGAAGAGCATTGAATCTGTATGTTGCTTTGGACAGTATGACCATTTTAACAAGGTTGATTCTTCCAATCCATGAGCATGAGATACTTTTCCATTTGATTGTGTTCTCTATGGTTTCTTTCAGCAGTATTTTGTAGTTATCCTTGTAGAGATCTTTTACCTACCTGGTTTGATATATTCCTAGGTATTTTTTTAATATGGCTATTGTAAATGGAACTGTGTTCTTGATTTGGCTCTTGCTTGAATGTTATTTGTATATGGAAATACTACTGATTTTTGTACATTGGTTTTGCATCCTGAAACTTTACTAAAGCCATTTATCAGCTCTGGGAGCCTTTTGGCAGAGTCTTTAGCTTTTCTGGGTATAGAATCTTATAATTGGTGAAGAGACACAATTTAACTTCTTCTTTTCCTATTTGTATGCCTTTTATTTCCTTCTTCTGTCTGCTTGCTGTGGCCAGGACTTGCAACCCTATGTTGAGTAGGAGCAGTGACAGTGGGCATGCTTGTCTTGTTCTATTTCTCAGGGGAAGGATTCCATCTTTTGTCCATTCAGTATGAGTTGGCTGTGGGTTTGTTACACACGGCTCTTATTTTGAGGTACTCCTTTCGATGCTTAGTTTGTTGAGAGTTTTTATCATTAAAGGATGTTGAATTTTATTGAACACTTTTTCCGTGTCTATTGAGATGATCATATAGTTTTTGTTTTTAATTCTGTATTTATGGTGAGTCACATTTATTAATTTGCAATTGTTGAGCCACACTTGCATCCCAGGAATAAAACCTACTTGATCATGGTGAATTAGTTTTTGATGTGCTGCTGATTTACAAGTATTTTGTTGAGGTTTTTTTTGTGTCTATGTTCATCAGGTATCTTGGCCTGGTGTTTTCTTATTTTGTTGTATCTTGGCCAAGTTTTGTTACCATGGTGATGTTGGTTTTGTAGAATGAGTTATGGAGAGGTCCCTCCTCCTCAATTTTTTGGAATAGTTTCAGTCGAATTGGTACCAGTTATTTGTATGCCTGGTAGAATTTGGCTGTGAATCCATCGGGTCTGAGACTTTTTTTTTTTTTTTTTGGTTGGTAGGTTTATATTACTGATTTAATTTCAGAACGTGTTATTGGTCTGTTCAGGGTTTCAGTTTCTTCCTGATTCCATCTTAAGAGGTTGTGTGTTTTCAGGAATGTATTCACTTATTCTAGATTTTTTAGTTTGTGTGCACAGAAGCTTTCATAATAGTCTCTGAGGGTGTTTTGTATTTCTGTGGGATTGGTTGTGGTGTCACCTTGGTCATGTCTGATTGTGCTTATTCAGGCCTTTTTTCTTTTTTTCTTTGTTAAAATAGCTAGTGGTCTATCAATCTTGTTTGTCCTGTCAGAGAACCAGCTTTTGGTTTTATTGATCCCTTATATAGATTTTTTTGGTTTCAATTTTGTTCCATCCTGCTCTGATTTTAGTTATTTCTTTCCTTCTGCTAGCTTTTTGGGTAAGTTTGTTCTCGATTTTCTACTTTGTCTAGGTGTGATGTTAGATTGTTCATTTGAAATCTTTCTCACTTCTTAGTTGTTGTTGTTGTTGTTCTCCTCCTCCTCCTCCTCCTTCTCCTTCTTCTCCTTCTCCTTCTTCTTGTTCTTGTTCTTGTTCTTCTTCTTCTTCTCTTCTCCTTTGTCTCCTTCTTCTCCTTCTTCTTCTTCTTCTTCCTTCTTCTTTTTCTAATGGAGCCTTGCTCTGTCACCTACACTGGAGTACAGTGGTGCAATCTCAGCTCACTGCAACCTCCACCTCCTGGGTTCAAGCAATCCTCCCATCTCAACCTCCTGAGTAGCTAAAATTACAGGTGTGTGCCACCATATCTGGCTAACTTTTTTGTATTTTTAGTAGAGAGGGGGTTTCACCACGTTGGCCAGTCTGGTCTTGAACTCCTGATCTCAAGTGATCTGCCTGCCTCGGCCTCCCAAAGTGCTGGGATTACAAATGTGAGCCAACACGCCTGACCTCAACTTTTTGATGTAGACATTTAGTACTACAAGCATTCCTTCTAACACTGCTTTTGCTGCATCCTAGAGATTTTGGTGAGTTATATCTCTGTTATCATTTATTTCAAATAAATTTTTGATTTCTGCCTTAATTTTATTGTTTACCAAGAAGTCATTCAGGAGCAAGTTGTTTAATTTCTGTATAACTGTGTGGTTTTGACAGAACCTCTTGGTATTGATTTCTATTTTTATTCTCCTGTGGTCCAAAAGTATACTTGATATTATTGTATTTTTTTTGAATTTGTTAAGCCTTTCCTTATTGCTGAGCATTTAGTCAATCTTGGAGTATGTTCTATATACAGTTGAGAAGAATGTATAATCTGTGATTGCTGAGTGGAGTAATCTATAGATGTCTATTAGGTCCAATTGGTTAAGTGTCCAATTTATGTCCAGAATGTTCTTTGTTAGTTTTCTGCCTTAATGATTTGTCTAGCGCTGTTAGTGAGGTGTTGAAGTCACCCACTATTAGTGTGTGGCTGTTTCAGTCTTTCTGAAGGTCCAGAAGTACTTGTTTTATGAATCTGGGTGCTCCAATGTTGAGTGCACATATAATTAGGGTAGTTAAGTCTTCTTGTTGAATTGAACTCTTTATCATTATATATGCCTTTCTTTATTCTTTTTTACTGTGGTTGGTTTAAAGTCTACAGTATCTGATATAAGAATAGCAACCCCTGCTCTTTTTGGTTTTCCATTTGTGGGATAGATCTTTCTCTATCTTTTTACTTTGAGCCTATGGCTGTCATTACATGTGAAATGGATCTCTTGAAGACAGCAGACTGTTGAGTCTTCTTTTTTGTTTTTTTTTTTTTATCGAACTTGCCACTCTGTGCCTTTTAAATGGGGTGTTTAGACTCTTTACACTCAAGTTTAATATTGATATATGAGGTTTTGATCCTATTGTGATGTTGTTAGCTGTTTGTTTTTTATTCTCTATTGTGTAGTTGCTTTATAGGGTCTGTGGACTCCAGCGTGGATGACAGAGCAAGACTCCATCTCAAAAAAAAAAAAATGTGTTTATGTGGTAGCAGGAATCACTCTTTAGTTTCCATGTATAGAATTCCCTTGAAGATCTCTTGCAACACTGGTCTAGTGGTAACAAATTCTCTTAGCACTTACTTGTCTGGAAAAAATTTTATTTATCCTTTGCTTATGAAGCTTAGTTTGGCAGGATATTAAATTCTTGGTTAGAATTTGCATAGACCACCATGCAACCTTTTTGATACAAGCCCTTGAACAAACACTTAAGCTAAATTAAAAAAAAATATATCAATAACTGACAAGATGTGACCTTCTTCTTCTTCTTCTTCTTCTTCTTCTTCTTCTTCTTCTTCTTCTTCTTCTTCTTCTTCTTCTTCTTCTTCCTTCTTCCTTCTTCCTTCTTCATTTTCTAATGGAGCCTTGCTCTGTCACCTAGGCTGGAGATAATACATGAGCGTATTTTAATCCATGAAACCTCTAACTTCTACTGCTATTCACATAGCTTTTATTTATGTTCATAAAAGTTAGTGAACATACCAGAAATAATTCTGTAAACCAGCAGCATCAAATGGAACTTTCCAAAATAAATCGTGTCTACACTGTCTGACAGTGTGACTGCCATCTATATGGAACTGTTGAGCACCCTAAAATGTGGCCAGTGTGACTTATGATCCGACTTTTTAATTGTATTTAACTAGTTAATATGAATTCAAATACCTATTTGTGGCTAGTGGCTACCCTACTGGATAGTGCAGCTCTAAGAGTAGGTACAAAATTAAAAATTGAGGAGGGCAGGTGTGAGGGGAGTAGATACATCTACTAAAAAGGTAGCAACAATACCTTTTACTTACAGAGTCCTTACTCTGTGTTGATACTTGTGCTTCAGCACATACACTTTGCACATATTCTACTGCAGTGGGTGCTGTATCAGTGATTTACATTTTTGTATATATGAGAGTGTGTATGTTAATTTTTGTTTGAGAAATCTTTCCTTATTGTTGGATTAGACAGGAGCAAAAATCACCTTAAACTTGAACTTCCTTGTTTTAAGACTACTTTTTATGGTCTTTTTAGTGAAGTAACTACAGATCAGGTAAGGCCTTATTGTCATGGAAGAAGGCTATACCAAGACTTTTGGTGACTTGAGTGCTTTAAAAGCAATCTGTTTTAACTCTATGCCTATTGATGAGCAGATTCTAAGATTTATGTGGAAATGTAAACCACCTAGAATAGCTAAAACAAATTTGAAAAAAAGGATAACTTGTAGGATTTTCACTTCCCAATTTCAAAACTCACCCTAATGCTGCAGTTATTAAGACAGTATGATACTGGATAAGGATAGATGTAGACCAATGGAACATATTGTGAATCCAGAAATAAATCCTGTATTTAGAATTTAGACTTTTTTGTTTGTTTGTTTTACAAAGGTGTCAATGCAATTCACTGGGAAAAAGTCTCCTCAACAAATGGTGATGGGACAATGGGATATCCATATGTGTGAAAGTGAACTTAGACCCTCACCTTATACATGCCATATACAAAAATGAACTCAAAATGCATCACGAACTTAAAGTAAGAGCTAAAACAATAAAATCTTTGGAAGAAAACATAGAAAAAATATCTTTGTGTCCTTCAGATAGGCAAAGATTTCTTAGATATGACACCAAAAGCACTGTTCATAAAAAATGGATAAACTTGACCTCATTAAATTAAAAATTTTCTCCTTTAAAAAATGCTATTAACAATATGAAAAGACAAGAAATAAATCAGGAGAAAATATTTGCAAAACACATATCTGCAAAACACATAAAGGATTTGTATCCAGAATTTATAAAAAATCATAGTGCTCAAAAATAAGACAAACAGCCCAAACAAAAATGGACAAAATATATGAACAGACATTTCATCAAAGAACATGTATGAATGTCTAGGATGCACATGAAAAGATGCTCAGCATTATTAATCATTAGGGAAATGATTCACACTCAATAGAATGGCTATAAAAATAAGAAGAAAATAACAAATGTTGGTGAGGATGAGAAATAAGAACCCTCATACATTGTTGGTGGGAATGTAAAATTATGCATCCATTGTGGTTACAGTTTGCATTTGTGGTAAGTTAGACATTTTCTTAAAAAGTTAAATATAAAACTATTACATGACTCAGTACTGTTCCTAGGTGTATACCCAAGAGAATTGAAAACATATGTCCATACAAAAGCTTGCACAAGAATGTTCATAGCAGCATTACTGATAAGAATTTCAAACTGGAAAAAGCCTAAATGTCTACCAATCTTGTCAGAATTGTCCAGGTATATATAACTCATATTTAGGGTTCACAATTCATATTTAGAATATGCAAAAAATATTTATTTTAACTCTGCCAGTGTAGCTGTGTATCATTGGGTAAATTACTTAATCTAAATCTCAGTTTCTCCATTTGTAAAATGGGAATAGTAACAGAACTAACTCATTATTGTGAGTATTAAAAGAGTAAATCCTCGGAAAGCCCTTGGAGTAGTTGTTGGCACATAGTAAGTCTTCAGTAACTGTTGGTAGCTGTTTCTCTTTGGGAAAGAGGATCTGGAGTATAGTGTAAAGAGCATTAGCCTAGAAGACTAGTTCTAGGCCCAGTCTGCTCATCAGTAGCTGGGAAAACTTGGGGATACTACTTGTCTTTCTCGGGTCATAGTTTCATCTTTGCAAAATGAAAAGAATGAAGTAGATGATCCCAAGTGACCCTCATGGCTAGGTTACTCTGTGAATTTGTGATAGAAGAGTTAGTCCAGTTGGCTGATTAAAAGAAATTCACGTTAAAAAATGATTGATTTATGTAATCTCAGCACTTTGGGAGGCCAAGGGGGGTGGATCATTTGAGGTCAGGAGTTTGAGACCAGCCTGGCCAACGTGGTGAAACCTTGTCTTTACTAAAAATACAAAAGTTACCTGGGCTTAGTGGTGGGCACCTGTAATTCCAGCTACTCAGGACGCTGAGGCATGAGAATCACTTGAACCTGAGAGGCAAAAAAGTTTGATTTAAATTATCATGATTGTGTTCATTACTCACAATATTGGTACCCCAGAATTGTTCTCACCTATTTATTTTGACAGCACAAACTTGGCCTAACACATGAATTTATCTTCATTTGTTTCTTTTATTCTTCCTTAGCCAACATCAGGTTTTGCTGACCTGCTTGTTTCATGTTCTGATTTTCTGAATTAGGATGAAATTTCGTTACTCTAAACCTGTCTCTCTCCCATATGGGTTACAATAGAATCCACCACTTTAAACAATCCCCAATTGGAATAAGAAAATCCTCATAAACCCTGCCTTCTTAGAGTGTGTACATGGGACCTCATTCTGTAGATTTTCATTACTTCTTGTTGTGTTTTTTTTTATTATTAGTTTTTTAAAAAACAGGAGGAGAAAGAGAAAATTGTTATCATCCCCTTGGGCGTTTCGTAGTTACAGGAATGGAAGTTTAACTATTGGTGGAGACTCCATGGGAATTTGAAATAGTTTTACTACTTATCCAAACTACTTACTATCAGAAAAGATAACCTTTGCCACTGATTTAATAACAGTTGTTCAACTCAATTATGTAAACACTTGGCACTTTTGATTCTTCTGGAATATTATTGAATTTTAAAAATGCCCTTTAGCATACTAAGGATAAAATTTATCCTGTCTGCAAATCTAGAGGGATAATATAATATGAAGATAAAAAATGTTTTAAGAAGCTTTTTTTTGAGATATGTAAACAATCAATTTTCACCTTCAGTTATTAATTGCACATAATTTTGAAAAATAATAAATTTAGCCAAAGTCAAGTCTGCTAGGCTGTTGTATGCTCTGGCTATAGTACTTCATTTTTGTAAAATTTGTTGTTTTCAAAGGTGGAATCTCACTCCATAGGAGTGAATTAAACATTCTGCTATGGTTGCCTGCCACTAGGTGAACTGTGGCATCTGAATTCTTGAGCTAAAATACACTGATGCCCTTAAGGTCCAGATGAGAAGAAGCAGGGCCAAAGTACTGATCCATTCATCTGCATCATTTTCTACAAAATATTAATTTTAAGTTGAAAAAGAGACACAGAGTCATTGCAAAAACAAGAGTTCTAAAAATACTTTTAGAACTTTTGTATAAATTCACTGCTAATCATTTTTTCACAGTAAAAAACAATATTGTTTTAGGTAGTTTTCCTCCATTTCTGAAGAAAGGCCATCCAGTTTGTTCCCAGTGGCCAGGAATGCCCTTTATTCCCTTCTCTTGATTTTGAGAACTCAAGTTGTCTTAATTCTTTTTCCATAAGCCTTGGCATTAGGGCAGACTTGAGGAAGAGAAAACATGAAAAGTTTGGGTTGTCTCTCTTTTTCAAGTGACTTTGAATTTCCCATCTCAAGACACACCTAACTTACTCTTGGTTGGCATTTTTCTTTGCTGTCTGGGTCTGTGTTTAGCTGATTTTCTCTCCTTGTGCCTTATTTCTCTACTGCATAGTCTAGATTGCTGGTTTTTTAAAAATACTTTTTATATTTATTTGACAAGTAAAAATTGTATATATTTATGGTGTACAACATGTTGTTTTTATATATGTAGATAGTGTGGAATGGCCAAATCAGGCTATTTAATACATGCATTACTTCACATACTTATTTATTGCGGTAAGAATACTTAAAATCTACTCTCTTGGTAATTTTCAAATACACACTATATTGTTATTAACTGTAGCCATTATGATGTACAATAGATCTCTTGAACTTATTCCTTCTGTCTAACTGAAATTTTTCTGTTTGTTTGACCAACATCTTCTCAATCTCTCCACCCTCAGTCTCTGGAAATCATCATTTTACTCTCTGTTTCTATGAGTTCAACTTTTTTACACTCTATATATGAGTGAGATCTTGTGGTATCTGTCTTTCTGCGCTTGGCTTATTTCATGTAACATAATGTCCTCTAGGTTCATCTATATTGCCCCAAATGACAGGATTTCCTTCTTTTTTGAGGCTAAATAGTTTTCCACTGTGCATACATGCCACATTTTCTTTATCCATTCATGTGATAATGGACACTTAGGTTGATTTCATGTCTTGGCTATTGTGAATAGTGCTGCAACAAACATGGAAGTGCAGCTATCTCTTTGACATACAGATTTCAATTCCTTTGGCTATCTACCCAAATATGGGGTTGCTTGATCACATGGTAGTTCTATTTTTAATTTTTTTTAGAAGTGCTGCACTGTTTTCCATAATAGATATACTAATTTATATTCCCACTAATAGTGTGCAAGGATTCCCTTTTCTCCACATTCTCACCAACATTTGATATCTTTTGACTTAAAAAAAATTTTTTTTGAGGCAGGGTCTCACTGTCACCTAGGCTGGAGTGCAGTGGCACTATCACAGCTCACTGCAGCTTTGAACACCTGGGCTCAAGTGATCTTCCTGCCTCAGCATCTCAAGTAGCTGGGACTACAGGCACATGCCACCACACTTGGTTAATTATTTTAAGTTTTTTTAGAAATGAGGTTTCGCTATGTTGCCCAGTCAGTCTCAAATTCCTGGGCTCAAGCAATCATCCCACCTTGGCCTCCCAAAGTGCTAGGATTACAGGTGTGAGTCACTGTACCTGGCCTCTTGACTTTTTGATAATGGCCATCTGGACAAGTGTGAGGTTACATCACATTGTAGTTTTGATTTACATTTCTCTAATGATTATATATGTTGAACTATTTTTCCATATAAAGTCATGTGCCACATAATGATATTTCTGTCAACAAAGGACTGCATATACAATAGTGGTTCCATAAGATTATAATGGAACTAAAAAATTCCTAGTGACATAATAGTGCAACATATTACTCGTGTGTTTGGGGTGATGCTGTTGTAAACAACCCACTGCACTGTCAGTCATATAAAAGCATAGCACATATAATTATAGATAGCACACAATATTTGATAATGATAACAAAAACGATTATCTATTATTAAAACTATTATTTGATAATTGTTGATCAATTAGTTGATATTATTGATAATGATAATAAAAACTATGTTTATGTATTTACTATACTTTTATTGTTATTTTAGAGTGTATTCCTTCTACTTATAGAAAAAAAAAGTTAGCTATTAAAACAGTCTCAGGCAGGTCCTTCAAGAGGTAGTCCATAAGAAGGCATTGTTATCATTAGTGACAGCTACAAACATGTTATTTTCCCTGAAGACCTTCCAGTGGGACAAGATGTGGAGGTGGAAGATGATGATATTGATGAGCCTAACCCTATGTAGGTCTAGGCTAATGTGGGTGTTTTTGTCTTAGGTTTTAGCAAAAAAGTTTAAAAAGTAAGAAAATTAAAAATGCTTATAGAATGAAGATATAAAGAAAGAAAATATTTTTACACCTGTACAATGTGTTCATGTTTTAAACTGTTATTACAAAAGAGTCAAAGTTAAAAAATTAAATTTTATAAAAAAGCTATGGTAAGCTAAAGTTAACTTATTTTTGAAGAAAGAAAAATGTTTAAAAAATAAATTTGGGCGCAGTGGCTGATGCCTGTAATCCTAGCAGGCATTACTTTGGGAGGCCGAGGTAGTCAACTCACTTGAGGCCAGGAGATCGAGACCAGCCTGGCCAACATGGTGAAACTCTGTCTCTACTAAAAAAATACAAAAAACAAAAGAAGGAAAAAATAGCTGAACCTGGTGACACACCTGTGAACCCAGTTACTTGGGAGCCTGAGGCACAAGAATCATTTGAACCCTGGAGGTGAAGGTTGCAATGAGCTGAAATCTCACTACTGCATTTCAGCCTGGGCGACAAAGTGAGACTCTGTCTCAAAAAATAAAATAAAATAAATAAATAAATTTAGTGTAGCCTAAGTGCACAGTGTTTATAAAGTCTATAGTAGTATACAGTAATGTTCTAGACCTTCACATTCATTTACCACTCAGTCACTGACCCACCTAGAGCAACTTATTCATGGTAAGTGTTCTATACAGGTATATCATTAAAACATATTTTGTACTGTTTTCTTAATGCACTTTTTCTATATTTAGATATGTTTAGATACACAAATACCACTGTGTTACAGTCTCTAAAGTATTCAGTATAGTACCATGCTGTACAGGTTTATAAACTAGGAGCAATAGTGTATACCATATTGCCTAGGTGTGTGATAGGCTATACCATCTAGATTTGTGTAAACACTCTATAATATTTACACAATGACTAAATCACCTAACAATACATTTCTTAGAATGTATCCCCATTATTAAACAATGCATGACTGGTCCCATTGGCCATTTGTATGTCTTCTTTTCAGAAATGTCTATTCAGGTCCTTTGCCCACTTTTAATTGAATGGTTTTCTTACTATTGATTTGTTTGAGTTCCTTATACATTTTGTATATTAACCCCTTATTAGATGTATGGTTTGCAAAAATACATTCTCCATTCTGTAGGTTGTCTGCTCACTGTTGACTGTTTCCTTTGCAATGCAGAAGCTATTTAGTTTGATGTAATCCCACTAGTGTATTTTTGCTTTTGTTGCCTGTGAGTTCGGGTTCACAGCCAAAAAATTATCTCCCAGATAAATGTCATGGAGCCTTTCCTCTATGTTTTCTTCTGGTTTCTGGTATTATGTTTAAGTATTTAATTCTTTTTGAGTTGATTTTTGTATATGATGTGAGATGAGGGTCTAATTTTATTTTTTTGCATGTGGAAATCCAGTTTTTTAGTGGCGTTTATTGAAGAGGCTGTCCATTCCCCATTGTGTGTTTTTGTTACCTTTGTTGGAAATCAATTGATCATAAATATGTAGATTTATTTCTGAGCTCTGTATTGTTTTCTGTTCATCTGTGTGTCTGTCTTCATGCCAGTACCATGCTGTTTTGATTCCTATAGCTTTGTAGTAGGTTTTTTAAATCAGGTAGTGTGATGCCTCCAGCTTTGTTTTTTTCCTCAAGATTGCTTTGTGTATCTGGGTCTTTTGTGCTTCCATAAAAATTTTTGTTTTTTCTATTTCTGCGTAATACGTCATAGGAACTTTGGAGCTTTGATAGGGATTGCTTTACTAAAGATAGCTTTGGGTAGTATGTGCATTTTAACAATATTAATTCTTCCAATCCATGAACATGGGATGTCTCTCTACTTATTATGTCTTCTTTAATTTCATTTATCAATGTTTTATAGTTTTCAGTGTAGAGATCTTTCACCTCCTTGGGTAAATTTATTTCTAAGTATTTTGTGGTAGCTATTGTAAATAAAATGGTTTTCTTGATTTCTTTTTTGGATAGTTCATTCTTAATGTATTAAAATACAACTGATTTTTGTATGTTGATTTGGTATTCTATAACCTTACCAAATGCATTAGTTCTAACACTTTTCTGGTGGAGTCTTTAGAGTTTTCTATATATAAGATCATGTCTTCCGCAAACAAAGACAATTTAATTTCTTCTTTTGCTATTTGGATGTCATTTTTTTTTCTCTTGTCTAATTGCTCTGGCTTGAGCTTCCAGTACTATGTTGAATAAAAGTGGCAAGAGTGAGCATCCTTGTTTTGTTTTTGATCTTATAGTAAAAGCTTATTTTTTCACTAAAATCTGGATTCTTAAAGTGGCTTGGTCATTATTACTATTATTATTGTTGTTGTAATTTATAAAGCCACAATGTAGGTATGCAACCTGGCCATGCAAGTTCATCTTTTCATCAACTCTAACTTAGACCCATACAGGAAAGGATGTTCTGAGAAATGTAGCTCCTAACCATAACAAAGTTGACATCATGATTGTGGCAAAATGGTCAGACACCAAAATTGTGAGGGAGCAAGAACTACGAGTAAGGAAAGGAACCTGACCAACAAAGACAGGGGAATGCATCATATTTATGAAGCATCAGAGGATCATATTGCCAATGAAAAATGGCAAGAATTGCTGGTCTGCAGAGCCACCTCAGTTCTCAACAACTTGTCAGTTTCAGACCCATATACATTTAATCTCCCCTTTTCTGAAGTATTTAAGTGCATTATCTTGCAAACAAAAGAATCCTCCAACTTGTTCCTAAAATAAAATTGGATTAACAGTAAAGGGTATCCAATTAGCTACTCAAAGATTTGTCCTAATTGGCTAGAAAATGTACAGTCAGGGTCTAGCACAACATGTATTGGCACATTGTCAGTACTCAAAAAGTATTTGTATAGTGCCTGTAGTTCTAGTCACTTGGGAGACTGAGGCAGGAGGATTGCTTGAGCCCAGGAGTTTGAGGTTGCACCTGTGAATAGCCACTGTATTCAGCCTGGGAAACATATGAGACTTCATCTCTTTAACAAAAAGTGTTTGTAGAATGAGTGAATAAGTTAATATAGGCCATGTGCTATTCTGTCAATTTTGGTACACAAATCAATAAAACTGCATATGAGATCCTCAAGTTTTAGATCTTCCACCAGGTTAGATGGGTACTATGAGCTGATTTGTTAGGAATAGTAATTAACTTTGTTGAGTCCTCTTTGATATCCCTTGGTGTCCAGGGGCATGTTTTAGGTGAGATGCCTCATCAGAATTAGATGAGCTGTGTGGCTCCCCTGAGTATTCTGAAAATTGTGGGCAGATATGGTGGTGAATCTAAGGCACTGGTTCATTACTACATAATGAGTAAATTGGAATAGTTGAGCTAACCAATTCAGAGGCATTCTCTAGAATATAGTTAAATTTGAAATGCCATATCAAAGCCTTTTGTTGAGATGGCCTTTTAACTCTAGGTTGATCAGTTCTTTTGTAAATGTAAATTTTTGCTGTTTAATTGAGGATATAGGATGTGAAACCATGTAACACATCTACTCCTAGGTACACATTTTACATATTCTTGCAATGACCTGAAAAGAATGGCCTTTGGCCTTTATATCTCATGTCTTCCTCATTATTATTCTAGTTATATGGGGGTGAGAGGAGTGAAGGATGTTCCTGTCTGTGATAGTGTAGAGAAAGATCTGCTAGCTTCCTTTACTTCTTTTAAGCCTTGGTGAAGACTGGTTGGGCATCTAGGGGAAATGTAATCCCAAATACAAGGCTGAAATAAGAACAATTTCAATTCAAATCCTCAGTGTTAGACCAAAACCAAAATTTGAGTCTATGAGGGTCCAAAGCAAGACCAGCTTAACTCTTCTCACTTAGCTCTTGGCCTGTGAACACAATAGTGAATGGTTTGTAAGGACTAATATTGGACTCCATGAGTTAGGGCTGGTGAAGTAAATTTATTAAGAAAATTTCAGATTCATCTCTCCATTGTGGATATTCTCTCCAAAGACATTCTTAAAATGCCTTTTCTGATTTTTTTTCCTTGCATTTTGATGCCTCATCATAGAATTAAATGTGGCTTGATGTAGAAACCAGACAGACCAGCAACTTTGATGTATTTCCTACAATTCTAAATATGCATTAGGTCTTTTTGAAAATTTGCTATGTTAGAGTGATGGCCCACATTGCACTTATAGTTACCTCAGCTCTCAGGCCGGGCATTTTTCAGGGAGGGGAAAAACTGTGCATGGGATAGTGGGTGAGAGCCCATGGCATGATCAGGGAACACTATGGTTATGGCACTGATAGAGTCAACAATCCCTTATGTCTGTTTTAAAATTGCTTTCATAAGCATTAACTCATTTATCTCTTACAGAATTATAATATAGGGAACATTTAATTACAATTATTTTTTCCAAAGTCAAGTAAACAAAACTTTACATTCAATTAATTACATTTTTTTCGTAAGTATAGTAAATTCCTACAATCATTGAATGTCCTTCCTATTTCTCCCTACTCTTCCTTAGGATTTGTACCATATGTCTAAGTTGTGCATGCCAAGGATAATGGAAACAAGACTGGCGAGGGGAGGCATGGGTAGGACTTAAAAATTCCAGAGGTCTGCAAAGGTTTCTTCTCAGGTAGAGCAAACTGGGTCTGGTGGAGCAAAACTTGGGCTCCATGGGGTGGTGCTGGGGTTGGAGGGAGGGTCTTTTAATTTATCCTTGTTGAGGAAGCCTTTTTATTCTGGATGTTCTTTCTCCTCCAGATGCACCGTAACTTGCTAATGTTTCTTGTAGGGTGAGGTGTCCCAAATTGAACACAACATTGTAGATGTGGCTTGATGTAGAAACCAGAGAGACTATTAGCAACTTTGATGTATTTCTTACAATTCTAAATATGCATTAGGTATTTTTGAAAATTTGCCATGCCAGAGTGATGACCCACATTGCACTTATAGTTACCTCAGCTCTCAGGAAGGGCCTTTTTCAGGGAGGAGAAGGACTGTGCAAAAGATAGTGGGTGAGGGTCCATGGCATGATCAGGGAACACTATGGTTATGGCACTGATAGAATCAACAAGTCCTTTAAGTCTGTTAAAGATTTATTGAGCATGTCTAATGTGAGTCTTTATCTAAGTTACTATAAAAATATTGATTACAAGGGGTAGGCCTAGGTCCCAGAGCATATCATTAAAGATCTCTTTTCTGGCTGATTTTGATTCTGATTAATACTTTGAGAAAATACATTTGTTCAGATATAATTTCTCCTAACTCTGCTCTCATAATCTCGAACTTCTTTTTCTTTATCACAAGGATATATGAAAAACCATCACATATCATGCTGAAATCAAGATAATAATACCCTATACCTGCTTTAAGGCCCAGCAATTCCACTTCTATGTATTTATCCAGGAGAAATAAAAACACGTCTACTAAAAGACTCATACAAGAATGTTTATGGAAACCATATTCACAATAACCCCAAGCTGGAAATGACCCATATGTCCATTAATAAGAGAACAGATCAACAAAATGTGGTATATGCATACAAGGGGATACTCCTCAGGAATAAAAAAGGAACAAACTACTGGTATGTGCAACACAGATGAGTCTTGAAAACATATTGAGTAAAAGAAGCTTTATATAAAAGAGTACCTACTGCATGATTCCATTCATGTGGAGTTCTAGAACAGTTACAACCAACCTATGGTGCAAAAAATTAGAACAGTGACCATCTCTGCGGGTGAGAAAAGGCAACTTTCTAGGATGATGATCATGTTTTCTATCTTGATAGCAGTTTGAGTTAGACAGACGTTATGGACCAAATTGTCTTCCCACAAAATATGTATGTGGAAGCTCTAACTCCCAATGTGACCATGTTTGGAGACAGGGCTTTTAGGAGATAGTTAAATTTATATGAGATTGTAAGAGTGGGGTCCTAATCCAATAGGACTGGTGGCCTTATAAGAAGAGAATCTCTCTCTCTCTCTCTGTCTGTCTTTCTCTCTTTATCTCTCATGAGAACATAGAAGGCAGACACCTGCAAGCCAGAAAGAGAGCTCGCACTAGAAGCTAACCATACTTACTCATGGATCTTGGAATCTGAAGCCTCTAGAACTATGAGAAAATAAATATTGTTGTTTAAGCCACCCAGTCTATGATATTTTGTGATGGCAGCCTGAGCAGACTAATGCAACACATGCATCCATAAACACAACAACGTAGCCAGCACTCTGACCAGTGTACCCAAGCAGTCCCCTGTGCTAGCTTCCAGTTACCACCTTCTAAGGTAAACATGCTCCTGATTTTTAACACCATCAATAATGATACGACTTGCCTGCTTTTGAGTTTCACAGAAATAGAAGCCTAAAGAAAAATACTAAGATAATAATACTATAACTCATTGTTTTGTTTTCAGGAGTGAATGAGGTAACATAGTATACTTGGAAGAGTGCCTGGCAAGTATTGGATGTTGAAATATTGGTTCTCTTCTATGACCTCTTTCTTCTTCCTGGTCACAGCATGTAGCAGGTGGCTTAATAAAGCAAGTTCTGTCTATATGACCTCCATGAAAAGTGAACAGCCCTGCTCACTGCTCACTGACCAGCTGATCTTCCACACACCCGAGTCTCTGAGATGGAGCTAAAACAACTGTATGCCTGGTTGAAATGTCTACTTCCCATTCAGATATTTAGACCTTGGTTAGACACCCACTAAATGAGGCATGTCTGTGCAAAAGCATTCCAAACTGAGCAGATGCAAAGAAATATTATCCTTTAGAACCCATTTGATCCCTTTTTTAAACCCAAGAAAACATAAATGCAACAATAGATCAATTTGACTGTAAATATTATCTAAGTATGTCCTTTAAAAGCCAAAGGAATGTCAGATACAATTTATTTTCCACCAGTGCAAGCTGAGACATTAAGTGGCAATTCTACTTCCATTAGCTAAATCTGGCAAATATGCAACTGTTTAAAGGCATTGTCGATAGCCATTCACGATTAAGTATTTGTACTGATGCCTTATTAAATTACCCTTTTCAAGTAGGCATAATAAACTAGGAGTTCACTGTGCAGATTTTCATGGGGAAAGTCAGATCACTATGGAATTTATTTAGAGAGAATTTAGTGCACTGAGTAATGAAGTAAATGTCAAATGTTTTGACCAAATAAATCTTATCTTCCTTAAAACTTTTTTTTGAGGTCAAGAGACACAGCAAAATAAAAATCCCAGTGATTATAATGGTCATAATTTATAACTTTATTGAAACAACTTTAAAACTTTGATTGTTTTTTAAATAATGAAATCTGTTTTGTTTTTAACTGACAGCATTGCCCTACACAGGGGATTTCTACTCTTCCTTTACAAAGCTGGTTTCTTCCAAACATTAAGATCTCTTACAGGGACTGAATGATAAATGGATGAATGAGGAGGATGATGAAGGGGGAAGGTGATGGAAGAATTAGGACAAGGAGGCTATGCAGGAGATTGGTAAGCAATGAGCTAAGAAGGCTTTGAGACCTATTGAGAGATTCTAAACTCCTGGATGGGCCTATCTGCATTTTGTCTGCAAAGCAATGGTAACTAGAAAATTGGGCTGGGCGTGGTGGCTCACGCGTGTAATCTCAGCACCTTGGGAGGCTGAGGGGGGTGGATCCCCTGAGGTCAGGAATTTGAGACTAGCCTGACCAACATGGTGAAACCCCGTCTGTACTAAAAATACAAAAATTAGATGGGCGTGGTGATGGGCACCTGTAATCCCAGCTACTCAAGATGCTGAGGCAGGAGAATGGCTTGAGCCCAGGAGGCGAAAATTGCAGTGAGCCGAGATCACGCCATTCCCCTCCAGCATGGGTGACAAGAGCTAAACTCCATCTTACAAAACAACAACAACAACAACAACAACAACAACAAAATAAAAATAAAAACAAACTAGAAAATTCTTTATTTAGTAATGCATTGGTCTCTCCTTCAGTCATTTGATATAGTTCTCATCATTGTAATTCTTAAGCATTAATTATGTATTTCTAGTTCTGGTACCATAATAGTTTCTAGGTACAAATTTTTCTACTCCCGTTTTCTTCCTTCCCCATCTATGTACCAAACCTAGAAATGTTTGACACTTGGTTGGCCTTTAATTGCTGCATATGCCCAATACCAAATTTTCTAGCACTGTGCTTTGTTCATGATAAGCATGTTAGTTATTGCTGCTTCAATCTAAATGAAACAAATGAATTAGCAAATTCCTTTTAACTATTACATGTTAGTATAGTTTATACCAACTATTTGGATACATGGCTGAATTTCTCTAGTTTTTATCCAAGTATTTGATGTTACATAATGATAACCTCTGTGACTTGTTTTTTTTTTTTTTTTTTTTTTTTTTTTTTTGCTAAAATTGCCAAGAGGAATACATTTGCTTTCCACTTAGCCATAATATAAAATACAACCTTGGGAATGGCTGCTTTAAAGAAACGTTTCCATAAGATACATCATACTTGACATACTTTAGGGAAGCTTCTTCAAGGAGTTGTGGTTAATATTTTTGTAATGAGAAAAAAGAATCACTTCAATGACCTTTCCTGAAAACTTTTGATTTTCATACATAATTATTTGTTGAAGGTGAAAATATGTTTCTATTTTGAGTTTTTTGAATGCTGATTATAATCTTTAGATTACAATGCTCCTGTGTATTGTATTGATGAAAGATAAACTGAGGCACATACAGATTTTTTTTTTTTTTTAGTGTCCTCCTACACAAGGTAAGAAATTAGCATAGGAATCAGGATGGCTAATGTTAAGACACCAAATAGATACTTTTATTACCTCTGGATTATATATTTATTTTAAAAATCTGTGATTCTTTTGATCCTGTAAAAGTGTGGCCAGGCTTTTACAGAATTTTCTAACTTTTCAATAAATGTTATCTTTATATATGCAAAAATACATGTTTTATTATTCCTTATTCAGAATACCTTAGAGAAGGGAGGTAGTATGTGTTAGAGGAAAGAAGTAAAACATGAAAGATATGGTTTAAGATCTACTTGAGAGAATCACTTACCCTCTCTGGCCTTGGAGGTTTGAAGTAGATAATGTGTTAAGAACAAGTAAGAGTTTCAAAATTTTTTTTTTTATTTTTTTTTATTTTGTGCGTGTGTGTGTGTGTGTGTGTGTGTGTGTGTGTGTGTGTGTGTGTATACATGTGTGTGTGTATTTTAGTCTGTTCTGAGCCCAGGGACACAGACTCAGTAGTCAGGGGCAAGTGCTGAAATGGAAATCAGGATAAACGACAGAGCAGCTGTCCTGGAAGTAACGTCAGTGGACTGTCTTTTAACAATGTGAATCCCTGGGCCCTATCAAGTCAGAATTTTCTAGGAGGGGATGGAAGTGAGGTGGGTCTGTGATTCTAATAAGTGCCTCAGGTGGTTCCAATGGTCACTGAAATTTAAGAACCAGTTCTATTAGATAAATATATTTGTTTCTCTTTCCCTGAAGATAATCGTTTAACAGCCACATTCATACATTTCTTACAGAAAACATGGGCATAATTCCTAGCTCCCTTCAGATTGCTAATGGCTAGAGGGTGCCCAGTATGGAACATGAGGCCAGGCTGGCCAGTGTGACCAGGGACACCATGGACACCTGAGACTTCTTAGCAGGATTTCTTGAAGATTATGATAAGATAACCAACAGGGTAGAGCTTGCCTAGAAGGTGGTGAGCCTGAGGCTTGGGTCTGAGAGAGGATCTTTGAAGAGACAGTGCAGTGCTCCTAGGTATTGTTTCCAACCTGCTTAACAAATTCTTTTTGTGGTTCTTGGAATGTTCAGAGCAACAGACATTGAGGTAATCAGTAATCTCTGAACTAGGTGATTGACAAAATTTAAAAAAAAAGTTACTACAGGAGGGTCCAAATCAGGGCAGCTTCCCAGTTGTTATCCTGCTAGAAACTAGCTACAAATATCAAGAAGGAGCCCCTTATGGTGTGACAGTCTGTGAGAGGCAGCTGTTGGGTAATGAGTAAGATTCTGGGGTTGGGAGCCAGATGCGCAGGGTTCACATTTCTGGCCCAGATTTACAAGCTGTGGAACCCTGAGCAATCACTTCTACTGTAAAATGCAAAGACAGGGCCTATCTTGTAGAGTCATTATGAAAATTAGAAAACTAATACATGTCGAGTGCTTAGAACAGCCCCTGGCACTGTTAGCTGTTACAGTTAACCCTCCCCTGCACATAGTAAAACAGGCAACGTCCTGTGATGTTGGAGCGGAAGGATGTCCAGTCTGCATTCCTGTTGACTAACAATGGGGTCTGAAATTCTTACTATTGATAGATACTCTGGATTAAGACAGCAGCAATTCTAGAATTATTGCATGATTCAGGAGGAGTACATGTTCAATCATTATGCTAGTGATACACCTTGACTTTGTCAGATGAGCTAGACAGGCCCAGAGGGAATTGCCGTTGGATTAGTCCAAGTGTGAGCAATGACATTCAAGCAAGTTTCAGCAGAATGTAGTAGGGTGAGGACCTCTGAGGGCAGTCCAAGGCTACATAAAGCAAGAAGTAATCAGGGGAACATGCTTTTGTTTTGCCTATCCCAGACAGGCTTGCCTATGAGAGAAATTAAAAAACAATGAAATAGATAATTTCACACTTAACCAGCATCTAGGTGGGTTGTGCGTCTTTTGAATACTCATGGTTTTTCTCCCTTAGTTATGGAAGGCTGCTGTCCCTCTGTCTTTATTAGTAGCTCTGTAAAGCGCTAGGCTGAAGTGCTCTATTGATCTCCAGATAGTACAGCCAGACTCCCAGCTGCCCTGACAGTTGCCTCTGCTCAGAGCCCCAGGAGCCGGGTGAACATTTCTGCCTTGGTATTCACTGGGAAGGTCCCTTGTTCGCACAGACACTGTCCAATCCTGCGCAACATGGAGTGAATAAAAAATGGCTTCTGAACAAGAGCTTGCAATTGTGGGAGGAGTGAGTGGAGGGAGGAACAGCGGCCATCTTATCCAAGGGTAAATGAATTTAGGATTTATTTGAACCACTTAGTCTACCTCATGTCTACATGATCTTCTGTCATGCTGAAAGAAACGGATGCTTATTAATTCCAACAATGAGAAGGAGCTTGACTTTAAATTAGAGAATCCACAGAGCCTCTTTTCATTCATTTGGTAGCTTTATTCTATTATTTCAGGCAATGTAATGTTGCATATTATAAGATCTATATCTGTAATTTCTATATTTATGTATTTAAAATTGTAACTTGGTATATTTAGCTGGTTTATGTTACATGCAGCGTTTAAGAGGAATTCTTTTCATTGACATACTATAATGCCCCCCTAATATTCTTCTTATTGATTTTAGTATTTCAGAAGTATTATTCATGGTGACATCTACTGGAAAGCAAATTTCAGTTATATCAATAGATATTATTATAATATAGAAAACATTAATATTTGATGGTGACATAAGTGTGACACAAAGGCAATGAACTCATTAATAAACATACATATATCATTAATAAAGCACTCCAAGGTGGCAACTATGAATTTTCAGCTCTTGTTTCTAAAGTTCACTATTTATTTGCCAAGTATATTTTGCACATTGTCCATTGTTCACCAAAGTCATTCTCAATTAATGAAGCTGATCCCCCTTTAAGGTAACACAAAGCTTGAAAAGAATTATAATGATAATATCAGTATGAAATCCATGAATTTTCTAATAAAGGAAATTTATCAAAACATAACAATGTTTCCTTCTCTTTTTCTTTTTTCTTTTTGTGTGTGTGTTGCTTGGCAACCAACATTGATCTGTTCCAAAAAAAAAAAAAAATCACATGACTTAGGAATTGCTAGTGGCAATATTACTGTGTCATTTTTCTTTCTCATACCAAGCCGATGAAGGTTCTACTAACTGGAACAGCTATTAATTGTTTCTTCTTTCTTTGAACTTTAATTTCCATGTATGCTGTGCATTGAGAATCGTTTTGCTAAAAACTGAGTGGCCTAGGAGAGACGGCCTAAGAGAGCTGAGTGGGAAAGACTTCTTTTTGAGATAAAAGAGAGAAGTATCACATTCAATTTTTATTCATGATTAATCAGGTCAATCTTGTCTTCCCAAAATGTCAATTATGACAAAACCTAAAGTCAGGCAGCCTCCATTTTTCCTCACTTATATTTTGAAATGAGAACTCCAGAACTCTGCTGCTAGCCTCCAGGAGGCTGACGGATGTGTAAGTTCCTGTGTGTTTATTAAAACCATCCTCCTGATCTGATCCTGCATTAATGCACTCCACCTTGGAACTTCCCATCAGCCTGTGGTGTCCCCCTCCTGCATATTCAGTTCAGATTCCTGTATAATGTCACCCTGTCTTGAATGAGGCACTCCGTTCTCAAAGGAAATCTTTGATCTGCAGTCTCCTCCCTTTTGTTCTAAAAGCTACTGCTTACAAAGCATTCAGTATTTTGGAGCTACTCTTCCATTGCTGTCATAGTTTTTTTGTTAGAATTAAACAAATCTCAGACATGGACAATGGGAATTTTGCTGAACTCCAGAAATTGTTTTTATAAGGTGTTTTTCTGTAAAAGAATCAGCCTAGAAGAAATTATGCTTTGCCTGCAGGTTGGAGACAAGTGGCAGCACTGACACGCCAATCAAATGGTCAAAAGTGTGTCACAAGTAAATATAAAATTGTTTCCTTTCCAAATCCTTTGTCTTTTACCTACAGTTACTTGTTTATTTTGAAAGGCTTTGAAATGTATTCCTTGTCTGAGGTATATCCAGTTTCCCATTTCCTCTGTATTACATTCTCATGTTTATGAGAATTGATGCTGTTTTCTCATATTGCTTTTGTGGCTTCTCCCACCCCACCTCGTGTAAGAATCTAACAAGGCAGAAGCTTTGGAGACACTTTACTGGCTAATACCTGACCTCCCTCTCTCACATTACAGCTCCAAGTGACCATTTTCAAGGTAAAAGGTCATCCCCATCCCCATCCCTTTGGAACCAATGTGCATCAACCTTCTAACCTCTGCCTCAGGAGATGATGGCTGTTTGGGCTGCAATCCCTTCATTACAGATGGTCCATATTTTATATTTAGTGTGGGAAGTCAAATTTAGGAAAGCAATTTCTCTTAAAGCTAGGAGTTCCAATAACCCAACATCTTCTATTGGCTTATGAGTGAGTGGGCAGTAATGGGTTTATGGGAAGCGCCCGCTGGTCTGTCTTTTCCAGGGAGGGGATTATTCCTGTCAATCTAAATTTTTAGAATTGGTGGGCTCCCATTGTTTATTATTCAGCAAGCTTTTATTAGATTGTCTCTAAGCACAAGGCAGCAAGTGCAGCATCCTTCTGAGTAGGCTAGCAGGCTGGATCAATATTTCCAGGCATTTAAAATCTTGGATAAAATAGTGCTATGTTTTCATCTCGGCTCCAGAAGAGGAGTCCTGCATGTAGTCTGTCTCAGAAAGAGGGTATAGAAAGACACAGGATGACATTAGCATGGACAATAATGGTCTAATGATGATAGAATTCACGAATAAGATGGTACATTTTTCAAGTGAAGTTACCTTCAAATAATATTTTACTCTTTTGTGACAGTTTAGCCTAAATGTATATAAAAAAATAGTACTACTGGGCGACACGAAAGCATTTTTGTGCTAACTTCAAATGAAATACCACGGGAAGATTATACTAATTTAAAAATTAACAACGTACATGAATTTTTGTCTATTACTACATGTAAACATGAAGTGAGACAGAGACTAGATGAGCTTATTTGTCTGTAGTAGATGAATCAAACCAAGCACAGTGACTTGGGACCAAAGAGAAGCCATGTGACCACAGGGCCTTTGGTTGTGCAAACCTCAGAAGGCCAAACTATCCTAAGGAAATGTGGGTGGGTGACATGAGCCACATGTCAGATATCAGATTTTAAAATCCCTTATCCTGGTTTTCTAGTTAACCTGATTGAAAACTAGGTTGGAGTAGAAGAGACCCTAGGAAGGAAAGTCTCCTGAGACTTAAGTGATGTTAAAATAAACGTGTCCCTCACCTGCTTCCCATCCCCTCCACCAGGAATAAAGGCATATGAGGACACACATGAGGCATGATCCACTCAGGCCATCAGGCTGGTGTGCCCTGAAAACATTTCAATTTAAAAAATGATAATAGGTGATATGGTTTGGCTCTGTGTTCCCACCCAAATCTCATCTCGAATTGTAATCCCTACATGGTAAGGCAGGCACTTGATGGGAGGCGATTGGATCATGGGGGTCATTTCCCCCATGCTGTACTCGTGGTATTGAGGGAGTTCTCACTATCTGATCTGATGGTTAAAAAGTGTGGCACTTTCCTTCGCTCTTTCTCCTGCCGCCTTGTGAAGAAGGTGCTTTGCTTCCCCCTTGCCTTCCACCATGGTTGTAAGTTTCCTGAGGCCTCCCCAGCCATGCAGAACTGTAAGTCAATTAAACCTCTTTCCTTTGTAAATTACCCAGCCTCAGGTAGTTCTTTTCAGCAGTGTGAGAACGGACTAACACAGTAGGTAATGATGGTATGGTAGCTGCTGGTCTTATTATTATTTTTATCACTGTTGAATATTTACTATGTTGTAAGTATTCTCACAATATTTTCTCACAAGTTCTTTTGAGACAAAATATTGTTATTACCTAGTTACTTTACACTCAAGAAGATGAGGGACATGAAGGGAGGTAATATTTATTAACTACCTCTTATGTGGCAGGCAGTGTGATAGAAATTTTCATACGTGTTATTAAATTTTATTCTTAAAACCTTTGTTTAATAAGGTATATAGAGGAACTATAATTACACAGGTGAGGAATTGGAGACTCAGAAAGGTTAAATAATTTGCCCGAGGTCATGAAGCTGGTAGGTGGTAGAACTGGGTTGCAAGTAACCAGGTGTGCTTTGTCCCTGGATTGCATTCTGTTTTCACTTGACAATAACGCCTCTCGGAAAGAGCAAATAACCTCCACATGCAGGGTCTTTGTCTTATCTCTCAGAGGTATTTGTCTCCCCACTGCCTCACATACACTCAGCTCTCAAGATATTTGACCCCAAGAGAATTGGCCAGATAGAGATGTGAGGACGTGTGAGTTGAAGCCCAATGTTATTACTCTCTGGCACATAAAGGGCCACAATGTCTGAGTAACACTGGAATCAGAAGACATGAATAAACAGAGGTCAAGGTGGTGGTTTAATCCCAACGACATGTAAACAAACTCACTTTTAAAAGTTAGTACTATTAACTCGTGGAGTAAAGCTCTTATTCGACAGCAAGTTAAATTTACTTTGTTTTTGGAGAATATTTCATCAAAGAGTTTGTGTCTAAGTCTTGACTATAATTTTGTAATTGGGTGCAGGGAGTTGCAACAATCTTCCTAGGAGCTGAGGAAGAGGATCTAACATGAGAACACAGAAAAGGCAGACCTAACATCACTGTGGATATTTCTTTCCTCCTTTTCCTGCTTGAACAGCCTGAAAAGTTATCACTATTACGATCCTTGTGGGTTCCCATGTGCCTCATTTCTTCACATGTAAAATTGGATAATGCAATTGTAGCATGACCTGTTGATTAAAGAATAACATGCAAACAAAGCAGTAGGAGGAAATGCCTAGGTGTCTGGCAAGAAAAAAGAAACATTGTCCTTTTTGTTCAAATGTTATTTTAAAAGTTCAGGGAAGAAGACGATCAGGATGCTAGTGAAAGCAGGTGGTAAAATGCTGAGGCCACAGCACTTGGTCAACTATTAAACATGAACCCTGTCCTAGTTACCAAGGATTATCTATAGGGACGGAGAGGGAGAGAAATCCAAATGGGGAAAATGTCGTGGGGAATCTGACATCAGGAATGCACTGCTTTTTCTCTGTGATGTTTTTTCTGTCTACGAGAGAGAATGCAGTAGATGCGAAGTTAAATCTTTGGTGACTAAACTCTATTCTGCCTCTCTTGGCAAGAGCATGAAAGCCACCTCTCTTTTACTCCAGTGTGCTAGAGGGAGTCCATGAGAATACAGCAACTCAGAACGAAGTGGGAAATTAATTAGTTAACTAACACCTATCCCTTTGATTAGCTATAAGGAGATATTCAAAGAAGGAACTGACATCCAGCCTCCTGGAGGGCTTTGGTTGGCATGTGTTTACGTGGACACAAGGGCAGCTGGGCATGGGAGCCCATGAGAACAGCACATATATATCTACAGAGTCATAGTGATGAGGCTGTGCCTCCCAGTGACTATGGCATGGACCCTAGAGTTCTGGAGACCTGGCCTGGAATCTTGGCCTTGTCATTTACTTTGGTGAGTTGTCTGAGTCTCAGTTTTCTTAGTAAAAGTTTCCACCTCATAGGGTTTGAGGATTAAGAACTGCATTTAGCCCAGTCCCTAGAACATATTAAAAACTCCGTAAAGGACAGTTACAATAATAATAATAAACTCTTAAGAAAAGATTTAGGGAGAAAGTTAGGTTAAGCATGATGAACAAAAGTTGATGGTGGTCAGAAAATATTTGTGGTGCTGAGGAGTTTGATTCTTTTTAAAGTATTGATGAGTGTTCTGCAAATTTTTGTAATGAGAAAGTCATCACATTTTATGACATAATTTATAGAAAAAGTATTAAAATAACATTGGCATCACTCACCCTTGCTTTTTACACTAGTCTTTGGCAGTTGGGGGAAAGACCAGGGCAAGCCATATTATAAGGCAGCATTTTCTAAAATATACGTTCAGAACACAAGTTTCTTGAGAAATGTTTGTGAGATTCACACTGAACACTATTGTGTTAAAGGCTCTGTGATGTCCCCAAGTAAGTTAATCTGCTTAATTTTGCTAAATTCAGTACTGTATTTTTCAAACTCATTTGGCTCATTTTCTATGTATTAACTGTTAACATCACTGAAACACTTTGAGGAAAGCTGATCTAAGGCAACACTTTTCTCCTGGAGATAATCTGCTAGAATTGTAGGGATAGGGCCAGGCACAGTGGCTCATGCTTGTAATTTCAGCACTTTGGGAGGCTGAGGTGAGCGAATTGCTTGAGCCCAGGAGTTTGAGACCAGCCTGAGAAGCATGGCAAAACCCCATCACTACAAAAAACACAAAAATTAGCCACACGTGGTGGTGTGCTCCTGTAGTTCCAGCTACTCTGGAGGCTGAGGAGGGAGGATCATTGAGCCTAGATAGGTAGAGGTTATAGTGAGCTGTGATCGTGCCACTGCACGATCTACCTCAAAAACAAAACAAAACACTCCAAAACAAAACAAAAATACCTCAAAAACAAAAACAAAACAAAACAAAACCACTGCACCCTACCTCAAAAACAAAACAAAACAAAACAAAAAGAATTGTCGGGATAGAATCCAGGAGAAAATATTAAGTTTTGTAGATGTGGAACTAAAAGCCCCAACCTTAAGTTGCCATAGAAATCTTTGCTAATAACCCTGAAGGAATGCCATGCCAGTTGTCTGCGTTGGGCAAAAGTGAGCAATGCCTATCAGGCACCATTTAGTGAGTACCTACATATTTATTAAATGTTCATGCTTGACAAACACTTCAGGGTACACAAAGTCAAAATTTGACAGTGCCATAAAACCAATTTGACAGTGCCATAAAACTACTTGCTAAATATTGGTGACTCATTTTGCTGAGAGTTAATTACGATTCTGTAAGTAAAAATTAAAAGGCAATGAAGAGTGGACTCCTGTGAGAGGAAGAGAGAAACAGCTCCACCCAACCTCCTAGGTTTTCTCTCTGCCTGGATGTAAGAAGTGCTTATGAAGCACAAGGAATATGATTATTTTGTCATTGAAAAAGGCAGAAAAGGCCTTACTTTTATTTTAGGGATTGACTCTATATTGAGCTAATTCTGACTCAGTGTGCTTTTATCTTCACCCAATTCATACACAAGGTGTCTTGTAAATTAGATTTTTTTCCCAGGAAAATAGGCTTTTAAAAGGTAGTTCATGCCTAAGCTAGACCACAAAAACCCATTTCAACTAAATTTTCCCTGAACTTTCAGGACCCTGCTATCCTAAACCTGATAATAAAAGTGATGATTTTCACCATGTATCTAGTCAACAAATATTTAATGGCTTGCAATGGCCTGAGGTGTAAATACGGAAAATACCTGGTCCTAACTCTCAAGTTGCTTATCTGGTAGACTATATAAGATTTGAACAAATAATTACCAGAAAAGGCAGTTGCTGATACATGAACGGGAAATAAAGTACCCTGGAAGCATTCTGGTAGGGTGGAGAAAGCCTTCTTGGAGGTGGCATTTAAGTTAGCGTCACAGAATGGGTAAGGATCTAACAGGCAGAGAAAAAGGGATAGGAACTTAAGACAGAATGATTTGAAATCCCCTCTTAAAAACAATCCAGCAGGAGCCTGGTAAATGATCTTACTTCTCATGCTCTATAGTTTCCTCATGCTAAGGTCTACAGAGTTGAGATAATTTCCAAGAGTCTGACACAGCAGCTCTTTCCCTTACTAGGGCATGAATAGCAGAACTGCAGTTAACAAGTCTTCATGGTCCCAGAGAGAAATTGATATTTGCTGACTGCATTGTGCTGAAGTAAAATTACAAGAGTGCATTAAAATCCTTTGTAAAGAAGGTTGAAGACATTACAAAAATGCGTGGGCACCTTGGGCATTAATATTTGATTCAATATCTTTTAGTTGCATATGGCATATTTTGATGGAGGAGGCGTGTACAGATATAAATACAAATTGGAGAACCACCAGGGCCACTGCTAGCTGTCTATAAGACTCCTGGCTGGCGGGATCCACTCAGCCTCACCCCATACACAGACTTTCTGAGGCCATATTCTGAAGTAAAAAGAATCAAGGGAGACTTTTTTCTGTCTACTCCATTGTTTATAAATGGAAACTTCCATCCCTCTTCAGGAGGAGCTGGGAACGTCATGCAACAAACAACCATATCACACCACACCCAGTAAGTATTGCTAGAGCACCTGCTAAACATCTACTAAGTCCAAAGTCCTATGTTCAGATACTGACATGGGTGACAAAAAGAAAAGCTTAGTTTCTACTCTTCAGGAGCTCAGAGTCTGGGGGAGGGACAGACACAAATAACCAGTGAACGTGAAAATGGCAAAATAAGTGCTTTGGGAAGAGGCGAGGGAAAAATGAGATCCTGCCAGCTCCCCTTGTATCCGTTTCACTGGAAATGTTTTTCTCTATTTTCACTCATAAACCACCTGCTTGGGACTCCGTTGGCCATCACCAATACATTTTCTTTTTCTCTGTATCTCTTGTCCAGCTCAACCCTGCTAGAGCAACTTCCTTTGCTGATGTGCAAGAGGCTTTCTTTTCACCCCTTCCTATCAGCCAGGGTTCAATTGCAGTCCACAGAGCCCATTCAAGTTTGATTAAGCAGAAAGATATTTATTACAGGGTATTAGGAACTTACAGATTTCTAGGGACAGGTGAGAGAACCAAACATGAATGCCAGACAGCAGAAGTGAGCAGCGAGGAAGAATGCTCAGTTACTCCCTGAGGCTGTTCCAGTGGAAAGTCCACAGCTGCTGCCACCTGTCACTCTACATTCATAAAACTACTACCTGAACACCAGAACCTCTGCTACAGCTGCTGCAGATTAACTCAACACTTTTATGACCAGTGCTTGCCAGAAAAGGCTGTGGCCTTATCAATTTTAATTTTTTAATCCAAAGACTCACAGGGTGCATTTGCTTGGTTGAAGCTAGTCATGTGCAAGGGATGTTTGAAATGGAGGTTTTCAGATTCTTCTTGGGAAAAGCTTAATGAATCATGCGTAAAACTACCAAAATGAGGTTAACAGAATCATTGGGAGCCACAAATGACAGGTCTATTTTATCTATTGTATCATCACTTAGACTATTTGCCCTTAGAAAGTTTGAGCACAGGTTTTAAAAAACATTTAATGATATGCACAGAGGGGCCTGGTAGAGTATACCATTTCAACATTTTACCAGGTGTAATGTTCTGAATGTGTTCCCTTAAATTTATGTGTTGGAAACATAATCCTGAATGTAACAGTGTTGGGGGCTGGGGCAGAATGGGACATGCCTAGGTCATGAGGACTCTGCCCTCATGAAAGGATTAATGCTGCTATAAAAACAGCCTGCAGGAGTGGCTTTGCTCTCTTCTGCTCTTCTGCCCTGTGAGGATGCAGCAAGAAAACCCTCACCAGATGCCAGTGCCTTGATCTTGGACTTCCCAGCCCCCAGAGCTGTGAGAAAATAAATTTATTTTCTTTATAGTAAACAGTTGATTCAGATGAGCAAAGCCCTCTGTGCCTCCAGTCTTCTCCCAACAGTGTGCCTGTCAGCTGCTCAGAATAAATATTTTTCAGTGGGATTGGCTGACTTTTGATCTATACACCTGTCAGAGTCTGATTCATATTTTCTCTGTCAAAATCTCTATTTACATAAATTAATCAACTTAAGTCTATTTTTAGAGGAAGCAGGATTAAAAATTTTGCCATAAATTTCTCATCTTTGAAATTAGGATTAGGTCTAGAGGAAAGTGGATTAATGCATTTTTTTCTTGGAATCAAGATCTAATTTTCTTTCTAACCATCTCCCCTTTTGTTTTTTCGTGTTTTTTTTTTTTTTACAATATAAGTATCTTTACCATATTTTCTTTTTTTCCTCTCTTTCTCCCTTCCTTTCTTACTCACTTTCTTTTTGTCCTCTCCATTTCCTTGCTCTTTCTTTCTTCCCTTCCCTTCTTCCTTCCCTCCCTCCCTCCTTTCTTTTTCTTTCTTTCTTTCTTTTCTTTCTTTCTTTTCTTTTTTCTTTCTTTCTTTCTCTTTTTCTTTTTCTCTCCCTCCCTTCCTTCCTCTTTCTTTCCTTCTTTCTTTCTTTCTCTCTCTCTTTCTTTCTTTTTTTCTTTCTTTCTTTCTCTTTCTTTCTTTCCCTCCCTTCCTCCCTTTCTCCCTTTCTCTCTTTCTGTCTTTCTCTCCTTCACTCTTCCTTTCTTTCTCTCTCTCTCTCTTTCTTTCTTTCTTTATTTATTTCTTTCTTTCTCTTTCTTGCCTGCCTGCCTGCCTGCCTGCCTGCTTTCTTTCTTTCTTTCTTTCTTTCTTTCTTTCTTTCTTTCTTTCTTCCTTCCTTCCTTCCTTCCTTCCTTCCTTCCTTCCTTTCCTTCCTTCCTTCCTTCCTTCCTTCCTTCCTTCCTTCCTTCCTTCCTTCCTTCCTTCCTTCCTTCCTTCCTTCCTTTCCTTCCTTCCTTCCCTTCCTTCCTTCCTTCCTTCCTTCCTTCCTTCCTTCCTTCCTTCTTTCTTTCTTTCTTTCTTTCTTTCTTTCTTTCTTTCTTTCTTTCTTTCTTTCTTTCTTTCTTTCTTTCTTTCCTTCTTTCCTAGCAGTCCTTCTTGGGGTGAAGGTACGGTGGGGAGGATAGTCTTTTAAATCAGCGATTTTTTCAACTGGGATGATTTTGCCTCCCAGAGGACATTTGGCAATATTTGGAGATATTTGTGGTTATTACAATGGGGGAGGGGGGATGCTACTGGCTCCCCCCTGTAGAGGATACTGGGTTGAGGCCAGTGATGGTGCTAAACATTCTGCAATGTACAAGACACCTCCCCACAACAAAAATGATCCAATTCTAAATATCGAGTGTCAGGGTTGAGAAATCGTTCTTTAAATGAAGCTGATTCTATTCTGTGAAGAACATAGTAGTAATTCCTAAGAAACTGAGATGTGTTATATATGTTTAAGATATATTTCTTTCCTTAAAATTTCAGATTTGGGAACCTGGGAAATTAGGTTGAGGGTAAACACACCTAGTAGCTTCTTGTCCAGACAAAATCAAGAGGAGGCAGAGATTGAGAACAGTGGAGAGGGTCTCTTGTAGTAGGGTGACCAATTCCTCCTGGTTTCCCTGGGGCTTTCTAGGTGTTAGCACTGTAAGTGAACATAAAGTGAGCAGAGCTTAGGAGTGTAGAGAGACCTCATGATGTCCTGCTTCTCTCCTCTCTTCCTACCCAGGACTAGATCGCTAGCTGGCCCTTTGATTTAACTCTTCATCTACCATAGTAAGTACAAGTTTTATGTATATAGACTTGTCTCTTTTGACAGCAATGATTATAGTTTCAAATAACAGACAGAAGAACCCATTAAAGCTGTATATGTGGGAAATGTGAAAGACAAAGCTTTCTTTTGATTTATTTTTTCAAAATGTATAAATGGTAGACTATGTGCTAGGAAAAATAGATGTGAATAAATAAAATTATGGTGGAAATTTTTGTCTAGGCATTTTACAGAGTGGGTGAGTTTACATATTCTCTGGGTTACTGTGATAGTTGTGACAGATAGGTTTAAAGAATTAAAGATCAAATTCGTGAAGAGAACAAGGAAGTCTATAAATATCTGGTCTTATTGTAATTGAGATGGTTAACCATAAAGCAATGAAGGGAAACCCATAGAAAACATTTAGTTCACAAGTAGAAAGAATAGTTAAAACTTACAACAGTACAGGCAAGGAACTTAAGATGATAAATATTTTTAGTGCCAGTTCTAATAACTCTGTTTAATTGTAAACCAAAAACCTAGATGCCATCACACATGAGCTGTGAATATTAGTGGCCCAATTTATCTGGGTCACATGACCATGAGCAGACAGTGGAAAAGGGAAAATTGGCATCTAAAATTTATTTCCTTCCTGGGTTACAAAACAGAACTACTAGCCAGGTTGTAACCTAACTAAATTGGTCAGTAAAACCAATCACAGTTTTATAGAGTCTACACTAAAGCTGGGAAAGACACTACAACTCAGCAGAAAATTTACCAACATGCCAGAGTTAAATAAGAAAAAGAACTTGCATGATTCCTACTAGCAACAGCTAACCTTAATAAAATTGGACGTGGCAGTTGAGATGCCCAGGCCACTGGGCTAGATATTACCATGAGCACTTGGGCAGTTTCCACACAGGGCTAAAGTAGGGAGTAGCTGCAGGAGTGGGCCCCATACTCCTCTGGTCCTTGGCCTTTTCAAGACCCTAGCAGCATTACCCAGGCAATGGAAAATTGAGTCCAGTTAATTCAATTGAATCCAAGGTCTTGGACACCACAGACGTGCTGATTCTGTCAATCTTCATTCAATTTTTTGCCTTTATATTTCTCCTGGGTGTCCACCCATTTTCCAAATGGAGATCCTCCTGTCTATTTTTTACACAGTGTTTCTGGCACCTCAGCCTCTTCTTGCAGCACTCCTTCCCCATTCTGGCCCTAACCATCACCTATCTTTCATAGGTCAGAAGATATGATCTATGTCTCATCTGAAGATGTCACTTATCTGTATCCCTCTAAATAGTAAAGTAGATAAATAAAGTATATAAATAAAGTATTTTATAAATAAAATAAAGTATCTAAATAGTAAAGTCTATAAATAAGTATAGACTTCTCCCCCTCTGTGTCTTTTCTCACTTTCTACAGCTTCTTTGATACTATTTCTCTTCATTCCCAAAATATTCTCCCTGCTTTGAAGATCACACCAAGCTTTTTATATTCCTCTGCACGCCCTGTTGCCATTAACTCCTTCCCCTCTGATCTGTCCCATGTGAGTGACATGGGGACTTTTCTCCTCTCCAACTTCCATCATCACCTGAGTGATTTCTTATATCACGTAGACAATATATTTAGCACCCTATTTCCAATTCCTTGATCTCAGTGCCAATGGCCTTCATCTCTAATCCACATCAATGATTCTTATCTACAGCAACATGTTGCCATCATGGGACTGTTCCATACCTGAAATCTCAAGCCCCACAGCCCTTTTCTAGGATGGCGCCTCCCATGTGTACTGCCTTCTCTGTCACCCCAACAGTGCCTGCCTCTCATGCTTCTCGATTACTCAGTTTTCTGACTTCTTTCTGCACCAGCCTAAAATTGCTACTGTTCGTCATAACTTCTCTCTCACCAATACCATCATATCTCTCTACTGCTTATGTTTTTGGCATGCATCTCCTACACACTTCTAGTGGCACAGTCTGTTGAATACTGTTGGAGAAAGTCACAAACTGCATATTTGTGTCAGTACAAGTTCATAACTTCTAATATCCTTTGGGCCTCAAGATCCCTTACCACTTATCTTCCTTCCTTTCTGGTGAGTGCTTCTATTTCCTTTAACAGCTTTGTCTTCTCTGTGATGCCCATCCTAATTTCTCTTGGTGGATGGATCATCCCATTTAGCTACTTTAAAGCATGTACAGAACACAGTGGTGTTTACTTATAAATAAATATCCTTAGTTTCTACTTATTAGAAATTACAGATTATTAATCAGGAACTTCTTAATTTCTTGTCTCCTTGTCTACAAACTTATTTACATCTGTATCATTCTCTGGACCCATAGGAGGCATTACCCTCCCTGCTCTGTTCTTCCTGAGTCACCTGGAGCCTTGCTGTATCAACGATCTACTTTTTCTACTGTGTTTTCAGCTTCCTCTCTTCCTTCCCTTAGCTTAACATGTGATCAAGTTCCTCCATTCTAGCAAAACCAGAACAAAACCTTCCTTGTATTCTACAATGCTTTCAAGTATTTAGACAATCTCTCTTTTCCCTATCATAGCCCATTCTTTTAACATCCTGTTTACTAAACCCCACTGCAACCTAGCCTCAGCCACTGACACCGTTCTCGCTAAGATCACTGTGGGAATAGTCTGTGTTTGTCTTATGTCAGCTTCTCTGCAGTACCTGACACTTGGGAGCCCACTCCTATTTTTAAGGCTCCCACATCCCCTTCTTTACACCAGCAGTGTGATGAGATGATTTGAATAGGCCAAGAAGTGGCCCACGTCTCTGCCTTGCACATGCCATTCACTCTTCTTGGAATGCTTTCCTCACCATTGCCTTCTGTCTTTTCTGCCTAGATGAATTCTCATTTATTCTTCAAATTCTGGCTTAGATGTCACCTCCTCTTGGCAGACTGAATTTCTCTGTATGAACCTCTTGTTACTAAGATAGCCTCCTTAACTGAAGATCTCTTTCTTCAACGTGGACTTCCAAAACAGCCTCTGAGTTATGGAGTCATCTGTTTTAAATCAGAAACAGAAAAAATAGAGGAAATCTTGGATCTTCTTTATTGCTAATAAGGAAAACATTACACATATTTTTCTATTGGCATGCACTGGCAGTGTCAACATAGTCTAGCTAGTCATTTCTCTTTCTACCTGCTCTAACCTTATCTTTTTCCCCAATTTTAATGCATTTTTTGATTGGCATTGACTGGCTAATTAGCATTTACTTCTAGCATGGAGGCTGGCCTGATATAAAAATATTTACAATGTTTAAAACACAAACTGAATTTTATATTTTTTTCAATCTGAGTTATAAGAAGGTCACTGGTTCTTTCCTTAACAAATACAATGACTTTTAAAATACATGGTTTTCCTTGTAGCATGGTACATGCCTATGCTTTGTAGGAGAAGCACAGGATGTGGGTTTAGTTCAAATATAAGCATGTAATTATACTAGGGAAAAAAAGAGAACAATATTCTTTTTTTGAAGGTCAACAATAGACTCAAATATGAATTAATATTCAACACCACTGAATGACATTTCATCAAACACTTTATGTTTGGTTTTAATTTGTAATTTTTCTGAAAAAAGTATTAGCTAAGTAGATGAACTATGATGACACTGAAGTCTTCTCTACAGTTAGAAAGATCTCTTTTGCCAGGGCTCTGGACTGACTCATGTCTTTTCTGTAGCTTATGTGTTAATGGCACTGGTGTCACTGATACTTCTGTGCCCCATCACCATGGAGATTGATGGCAAAAACGATTCTGGCCAATATGGCTTTTAGATGTTGCCTGTCTAGACACAGTCAGGATTACTGGAAACTTGTCTCTTTTTTTAATTTCATGGATACTTTATCCTTTTGCACTTAAACCTTAGTCTCTAAGGGGACAGACAAATCTTTCCAGCTTTGATATTTCACAGGGATGATGGGTTTTGTTTATGTTTTTATAGTTAACTACATTTGGTCCTACTCTTTCCTCCCTATATCCTCATGTGTTAGTGGAATAGGTTTATCCAGTGGCTTTGAAGGATACCCTGAGTATTTTGCACGTTATCATGTGTACTAGGTATAATACTTTTGAAATAGCTCCTTTTAATGCTCTTTTATCAGATGCCTTCATCCATACACTACATCACCATTATGGTTGGGGCAGGAGTATGTAATTTAAATGCAACCTATGAATGGAGGAGGGTAGGACATAGGGATGTTCTATCCTAACTGGAAGAGTGGAGAGAAAGCCCACTGCTCCTGGATCTAGGGAAATGTAGGGAGAATGAGTGGGTCAGAGGCAGAGTGGAGAAGTCAGCATGTTCTGAAGGGGCCCCCTTCAGTGAGGAACACTTATGATTGGCAATGGGATGATGCTGTGTAGACCTAAACCTCCTGTCTCTTCTCTATGGTTAAGGCTTCCTCTATACCCAAACACCATTTTGAAGTAGGAGGAAATCTGAAATACTGAGTCTTTAAACCAAATAAGATGACTGAATCGCCTATAGCAATTTTGTTTACAATGGCCCTTCTGAGTTTACTAGATTGGACCAAAATGAACCACTCTTAACTCTTCTGCCCAAATGTTATGGGCTTGGGAGGAAGATTAGTTCAAACACGAAAACAAAGAAATGATATTTTTCTTTGCACATATAAGTATATTTTGAGTGTGTGTGGCACTCTCTTATACACAGAGAAGGAGACATGCCTCTCTCTCCTGAAAGCATTGGGTTAATGGTCATGAATGTGGGTTAAGTGTATGAGTCAGGAAGGCCTTGCCCCAAGATAACATTGGCTAACACACCCTGAAAATGGAAAATAGTCCTGTGTCCACTAAGGGTGGGGAAAGTGCCTGGTGGAGGCCAGGCCCCTGAGTGGCTTTTCTCTGGGGATTGACTCTGGCTGGGGAGGTTATGGGAGCTTCTCTAGCCATTTCCCTGTCGGGCTGTAAAGCACATTGTGGTTGACTCTCCACCTCTGTTCCACACCAGCTGGTTATTACAGCCCACTATTTTTCAGTCTTATTGTACTATAGTCTTGTAGTATTTTTAGTCTTATTTCCAGTAATTGGTTGAGGAATGGATAAACTTCCACTTATTTGAGCCAATGAAAGAAAAAAAATCTTTCTGGGGCCTTCTTGGAATGACATTCTGGCCTTCAGAGAGAGAAGTGACATATTAGCCTAATGATCTGGATGGTGAAGTGGAGAGATGATAAAATAGGGTTTCAAATGGCAGGGTTGAGTCATTGGATCAACTGACCCAGGAGCCTGCCTCACCTCTAGACTCCCCCTAGAATGAACTAATCTATTTCTTTATAGTTTGACTCTCTTGTAGGTGAGATTCAGTTATTTGTGGTGCCAAGTAAGCTGACTAACACATAGGTCATTGATATTTTTCTCCACAGTAATTATGCAGAGAAACAAACTACTTTGATTACTGCTTTGATGCCAAGTATATATTCCACAGGACATTTTCTAAAAATCTATTTGTAATGCTTCCAAGTAGATAAGGGATTTATTGGCATGGGAATTCTGGACATCTGATTCTGTTCCTGATTTTTTCTAGTAACCAGATGGACAAATATTGATTTCTCTAGATATCCCTTTCCTTAGTAGTGGAATAAAATCCTTAGACACAAATCTCATTGGTTCTTAAAGCTTAGTGTACATTTGAAAAAAATGGGTTGGAAGAGTGCTTAAAATGCAGTTTTTTGGGCCCCTCTTTAAAGAGTCTGATTGATTTTTAACAAGTACAGTACTAGAGATAATTCTAATACAAAGTGTTCAAAGGGCCACAGTGAGGAACTCTGAACTAAAGACACAGTTAAGATCTTTGCACGTTAGCTTGGGGCCTGATTTGTCTTATCCATCAACAATTGTTACCTGTACCATTGCTGTACTTTATTCTTCCCAGTTGTGAAGAAACCATGGATTTTAGCAATGAAATTTTATTGGGATGAATGACCAAATGTAGGGGCTTATAGAATCATCAAGCCGGAAAGAACCACAAGAGGTCAACACAGTTCACCTCCTTGCTTCTGGGACGGACTCCATCAAAAGCGCACAGACAAATTGGTGTCTGCTTCTATTCACAGAGGGCTCAAGAAAGTGATGCCACATCTACCTGGAGTTGTTGGTCATGTAAACTCTTCCTAAGCAGATAGTTCTGGGAATGACATAGTCTGAGGAATCATATATTCTCATTTGATAATTTTCATATTAGCCTTGTATGAGTGTCTGATTATCAAATAATTGAGAAATAAAACATATTTGAAACTAATATTGTCCTGAGTGTAATTTAATCATTCGTGATTCAAAAGGGAATTCTTGACCTCATTAGGAATAATGCTTGAACTGGAAAAATAAGGAGGGCTGGTTAAATTGAAATTCACAATTGATAGAATGCTACCTAATGGAAGTTCTTCCTTATAGCTGGTTTAATGTCTTCCTGCTGCAATTTAAGCTGGTTTTCTCTTACTTTATCCTCTGTGGAGTGGGAATAAACTCTGATTACCATCCCCTCCATAACAATCCTTTATTCTTTTGAAGAGTTATTAACTTCCCCTTCAGACTTCTCTTTTTAAGGCTAAAAAATTTCACTTCTTGTAACCTTTCCTCATATGTTTCATTTTTCAAACATTAATAATTTTCATTATGTATCCTTGGACTCACTCCAAATTTTCCACATCTTTAAGCAGTGATGTTGTAAATAGTACTAAAATAATAGCTCTGGTGGTTGCAGGGTGCAGTTTCCATGCACTTTGTTTGTATGGAGAGACAGCACAGTGTAGGGGATGGCACATGGACTCTGGCATCAGGCTGCTTGGGTTCAAATCCCAATTCTGCCAACTTTGCAGGTTATTTAATCCCTGGGCTTCAGTTTCCTCATCTGTGAAATACGTATAATAACAGTACTTTGCCTCCTAGAGTTTTTAAGAGGATTAAACAAATCAAGTTGCATAAATAACTCACAACAGTGCCTGGTACAGAGCTATTATCATGGAGGGAAAGTCATGGAAAAAAATGCAGAAAGAATATTAGCTTTCTAAAATAGCTAGTTTTATTCATACAGAAGGCAAGTTATATATAAATGGTTTAAGGATCACCAGCTATGGAACAAGAACTTTCTTGTTTGGAGTGAAAACTTTAAATGTTGCCTGTACTGATGGGTCTCAGGAACAAGGAAGGGCAGGATGCCTGGGTTCCAGGCTCTTCTCTGTTACTTGTTAGCTATGTAAATTAAGGAGGTTCCCTGAAATGTTTTGAGACTTAGTGAATGCATCTGTGAAATATGAATAACACAATTCATCCACCTAAATTATATGGTTTTCAGTTTCTTTTAGGTATCTAATATGTAGGTTTCTGATACTAAGTTTTGGTTAAGAGTTGATGGGAGGTTTGGAGAATGAAGCCGTAAATCCTAACAAGTAACAATCTACTGAAAAAGAGAGGAGAAAATGATGAAACATAAATGAATCTCCTTTCTAAATATCAAAATCCAACGGCAGGGCTTGTATCCAGGTTGGTTTTAAAAGCATGATTTCCCATCTTATTTGGAGATAATATGGTGCAGTGGTTTTAGAGTATAGGCACTGGCGTTGAGTTAAATTTAGATTTTTGACTATGGAAAACTTACCTAAGTAAATCAGATTACTTATCTTCCTTTGGCCTCAACTGTCTTATCTTTAAAGTGGTGATATTTATGCCTACTTTGCAGGGTTGGTTTAAGAATATAAACAAGATAATATGTGTGAAGCACTTAGCAGAGTGACGGCACATCTTAAATCCTGAACAAATGGTCCCTTATATGATACCTCTGGTTTTTTTTTTTTTTTTGGTTTTGGGGGCGCGGTTCTAGAATTTAAAATAATTAACTCTTCTTGGCCTTTCTGAACACATGCCTGTCCGAATGTTATGTTTGGGGTACACCCATGAGTGCCTTGGGTTTGGGGCAGTGAAAGTTCAAGTTATTAAGTATGAGCAGGTTGTGGGATGGCAATACCCCCTTTCCAAATTTGAGCACATTTGCTTAGATGAAGTGCTGGCAGGGGTTGGGGGCAGGCCCGGAGGAGAACTGAGGATGGGGAGGCAAAACTTGAAGCCACATATGATAATGCAAACCACATTTCCTGGCTCCACCACTTAGTTCTTTCCCTTGGGAAATTTTTACTGGTATTTTGCCTTACTGCGAGTCTTTGCACTTCCTGTTATGAACTGGTTAAGAAGATAATTATAACGTGGTTATGGGAAACAGTAATGAAATATACCTCACTATACAGCAAGAGAGATTAAGACCTCTGCCATTTGGGAGGACAGTAAAAGAAAGTTATTATTTTTAAATAACATTTATTACTTATTAAATTATAAAGAATTCTGTCTTATTTTAGACATTTTTGAAAAACACAGAAACATAAGGACTATTAAAATGACAACTCTTCCCAACTCTCAGTAATAATTACTGTTCACATTTTGTCATTTTTTTCTTTTCTTAATCTTTTTTTGTGATCGCATATGTATTTATGCATATATTATTATAAATGATGTATAATGTTGAAATATTTTATATACTATTAAATAAAATCTGTATAAATATATACACATATAAATATAAATATGTGTATACATACATAATTTTTCACCCTGTTTTAATGGCATTGTGTGGTAAACATTTCCTCACATAATTACATATTTCTAGAAAGTACATGATATTTCATTTTATGGTTGTCATATGATTTTTGTAACCAGATTGACATTTACATTATTATAATATTTTGATGTTATAAATGAAGCTGCAATGAGAATTCTTTCTCAAAAATTGCTATGAATATCTGTGGTTATTTATTTGGGATAAATTTCTCCTCAAATACATTAAAGTTCCCTACGTGAGGCCAAAGTAACTTCTGGGAAGATGGTAGCATGTTACAGTTTGCTAGCAATGTATGCGAGTTCGTACTTTACTTCATTATCATGAGATTAACAATCATGGTTTTGAATCTTTGTTAGTTTGCTACATTAAAAAATAGTTGAACATTATTTTTGGAAGGTGTATGTGTGTACCCGTGTTGTTTTTTGTTTTAAATAGGTGAATGTGAAAGGATTTTTGGTCTTTTGTATTTCTTTAATTTATTTATTTCTATTATGCCCTATGACCATAAATGAGATGTTTTTACTTATTTTCATATAAAAGTTTATATATTATATACACTTGTATATGAGTGTTTGTGTGTATATGTCCGTTTAAGGTATATTGCCTGTCATACATATTACAAACATTTCCCTGTAGTTTTTTATTTGCATTTGCGTCTTGTTGATGGTATTATTTTGATTTGACTTTTTCAAATTTATTATGTTCAACTCATCAATACTGTTCTTGGTGTTTTTAATGCTTATAAATTCCTAAAATCAATGTATTACTTTATTTTATAAAAAAGATCAATTTTATGGCTTATTTTTATTTGTAAAATAAAAGCCTTTAATCCATCTAGAATTTATTTGGGTGTAGTATACATAATATTGTGCCAATTAATCATCTTTTCTTTTTGCATAAGTCTAAAGATGTTCTTCTTCTTTTGGTAAGAAACAAAGATTTCCCTAAGCCAAGCAAAGGCTACAGAAGCAAAGAAATTTGTCTCTCGTTGGCTGCAGGCCATCTGAGGTGGGACAGAAAGGCTAAGTGACTGGCCCCTGGCTCCAAGGGAGTTTTAATCCATGGGCCAATGTTGGTATAGCAGAGCTGGTCTGCTTCTGTATTAAGAGAAAGGAATTTAGACACTTATGCTCTCAAGGTTCCTAGTAAAGTCATAGAGGCAACAATCTTCTGTTGATTGAATTTTAACTTAATTTAATTTAATTTCCTTGGCAATCACAGATGGTGTCATCCAGCAGCTAGAGGCTAAAAAGGGGCACTCTACAAACCGAATGAAAACATGTTGACTTATAATGAGAAGCACAAGCAAATGGAAGCAAAAGTGTGACAGTCAACAGTGAGTTGCAGCGTGAATTCTCAGGATAGCAAAGGCCTGGACTGCTCACCAAGTGCTTTGTGCAAGTTTGAACAGCCACAGCAATGTCATCTAAAACGACTGTTCTCAGGGTTAGACTCTACTAGGGTGGGTTCAAAAACATTAAACAAAAATGATGAAGGAAAAGTATTAGAGTGTTCTTAAATGAGTAGCATCGGTACGGTTAAAATTATGTTTGATTAGAAATAGACAAATATTTAGCTAGGAGTGGAATTTTATCTCATTCCAAAGCAAGAGGGGAGAAACATCTGGCTTTGTTGATTGTGCTTTGGTGTTATCATTTAATCATATTTATTACAATATATTACCATATTTGATGTTTGATAATTTATGTTGCCCCAAATTACGAGGCTGTCTCTTTCTAATGAAATGATAAGGGTAGGTGATTGGAGTCTCATGTGGAGAGAAGGCACTCATGCCACGGAGAGAGTTTGAGGGGAGGGGTTCTGAATCATCTTAGGCCCTCTGTCTCCAGATATGTTATGCATTCACCCAGTTAACAGCCATTTCCTGTAATCAGTAAAAGCTCCTGATGAAGATGGAATCAAGAGGTTTCTGTTTGTGTTGCTTCTAATCAGCCCACACAACGGATAGGTCAGGGAAGAAGCTATGTTCCCCCGGTGTTGGAAAACAACCCTGAGCTCTCACCCCAGCTGCGGTGGTTATCTTTATTGCAGACCGCAGAAGCTCAGGCCTGGGCCATTTTCTGATGCCACTGATATGATGATACTTTCTTTCTATCAGTCTTTGCTGGAGATTTTGATGTTTCAAGCCATATTCAACAGGATATGAACTCACCATTGTTCATTTTTTTTCCAATTTTGGAGAATAAATGGTATGCTTTCACGAAAATTTGTTAAAACGCAACCCTGATAAGCAAGTGGATCTAAAGGTGGCTGTCAGATATCCCTTTTTAAAATAGAAAACCTGCACTTTGAAATGCTCAAATTGTACTATTTTCTATACCCTTGTAACAGGTCAGGTGCCACAGCTTGATGAACGAGATAGAATCGCACAATGGGATCAAAGGGACAGCCAGCCCAGTTTATTTCCAGAGGAAAAGCTTACCAGGACACAAAGGAGGAAAAAAGACTCGGCTTGAAACCAATTCTTCCCTGAAGTACAAATGTAAGAGAAAAGACATCACCAGGAGCAGTTACGTCTATGGCAATCGTAGCTCTGTAAGCCTGGCCTGCTCACGTGGAAGTAAATTATTTGATGAGCTGGGGAAATATAAGCAGTTTGTGTGGATTAAAAGGAAATCCTCACCCAAACTATATCTTTAAAAATTATCTAGATAATTCAGGTGAAAGCAGGCTTTCTCCCTTGTGAATTATTAAAGTAATTGATTACATCCATCTGCTCCTCGTCAGAGAATTCAAGGGCCAAATGCTTTTTCGGCGTCTCCTTTTCTATCCTTCCCTTTCATGTGACTTACTCTTGTCTGAATCAGGAGTTTCTGTGAATAATCACCGGCCAGCTGTCACCGGTTCTCTTTTCACCTGTTCTCTTTGCAAATCTGAGCAATCCAAACCTGCAGGGGTAACATTCCCCAACTGACTGAGAGTACATAAGTGGTTCTTCAGCTCTGAGATGATCCTATCATTGGCTGCTTTAAAATTTGTGATTAGTCTGCTTTTTGGGCATGTGAAATATAATTGGTGGTGCAGATAAACTTTTATTCACCAGAGAGAGCTTATTACAGAGCTGCTTGTCATGACACGTGGAAACTCAGGAAACTTCTGTGGAGTCTCTGTGTGGCGATTCTGGCCAGAATGGTCGTATGTTTTCAAGATGCTAACTCTAGTTTCCCCAAAGCTGTCTTTTGCCTGCTGGCTTTGGTCCTATTCCACGTGACTGTGGAGTGCCTCAAACTCAAGACAGCAAATGGGAAAGGAACAGGATCTGGCTCCTGGGAATGGCCTGCTACCTGACAAGGTGCCCTGATCAGCTGAGTGCTAAAAACCCCGTGCTGCCCTGTGAGCCTACACGTCGGGTGAATGATCTCCAGCTGGATACATAGGGGGATGCAGGGTTAAAATGGAAGTATTTGTTTCAATTTAATTAAACATTTTAGCCAAAATTCTACGTAAGCTGTGTTATATGTAAACTTGAAACCCAAACCCCTGGTTTCAGTTGCCCCCTCTTATAATTATGAGGTTCATAATCTTGGCCTTGGATAAATCATATAAGTTCTTTGAGCCATAGGTTTTCCATCTGTAAAGTGGGGATAATGGTTCCTGCCAGGCCTCTCTGGGTTGTCATGAAATTTGAATGAGAACCTGAAAGCAATTAGGGAGCTCTAAGCAAGCTGTGTAACTATATGACAAACGGGTGCGTGGTTTAGAATAATAATGTGTATTGAGCACTTACTATGTGTGAGGCATTGGTCTACCTTACATGTAGTCACTCACTTAGTTGTCATCACAACCCCATGAGATGGATACTATGATTGTTTGTTCCACCTTTCATGATGGAGAAAGTAAGGCAGAATGGTTAAGTAACTTGTCTTAGGTGGCCCAGCAGAGAAGTGGCCTGGCTCTGGAGTCTGAGCTCTTAATTTCTGTATACCTATAGCACCTTCTACATCAGCTTTCTAGGAGCAATGTGTATTGGTAAGTGGATACAAGTCCTTGAGAAGTACCAGTCTAGTCCTTGTTTTGGTTAAATTGGCTAATTGACTAATAACAGTAGAGGCCTTCTCTAGCATGGGATACCCAAAGCTTCAATCAGGTAGGACCACTAGGCATGGTAGCTGCTGTCAGGATCAGTATAGCCACCTGAGTGCCACCTCCACCTCCCTCCCAACTTCTTCCCCACTCTTCTGGCTCTGCCAGGAAACTATGGTGCAACACTGTCAGGCTGCATGGGAGGAGGAGAGCACAGACTAGGAACCCCATGGGGTTGTCCTTGAATTAGTCCTTCTTCCTGACTTTCAGGATTCAGCCATGAATACTGCCCCCTGAGGGAGCAGGAACCAGCACATTGTCCTGTACTCCAAGTGGGGTTCATACCCCCTTCCTTTTGTCTTCAGGAATTCTATAGCGATTCTTCCCGATTAAATACATGCCGGTCAATTAGGAGCTTATGGGCTCAAATCCATGAGGCCTGATGATTGACTCTCCTTGGTCCATCTTTCTCAGCAGGAACAGACAAATCATCAGGAATTTGAACATGTGTCTTTTAAACCCACCTTCCTTTGCTGCTTGCTATGCATGATGAAATTTCACATGAGAAATCATGAGATCCTCGCAAGATGCTCTTTGTTTGCCAATGAATTTTGATTTGGTTTTAGAAAAGTGGAAAGTGCAAATAGAATTAGGCTTGAAAATTATTCAAGAATCATTTTAATGCTCCCAGGAGATTGGTCTGCTAACTCACATAGATTTCTGCTCTCTGTCAGAATTTAGCCACTTCAAGGAAGCTTTTGTTTAGAAAGAGGTAAAATCTTTTAGAGAGAGATCACTTGTGAATTATTTGACAATTGCTCGTATTTGCTTAATGTTCTAGAGAGACATAACAGGGTATTTGAGATTTTACATTTTATATAATGTGACTTCTGAAAATGTATTTTGGTTTCCTTTTTGAAAGATTTTTGCCTTTATAAAAATGATAATGAATTATAATAGCTCTAATTATTAGCCACATTCTCTGTTAGACACTTTATACAATCTCTGTTATTCTTCCCAGCAATCTTTGCAATGTAGAGATTATAATTTTATTTTATTTATGATAAAACTTTATGTGTCCTCTCAGAGAGATTAAGTAACTTGCAGAGGATCATAGAGCTGATTGTCAGTTAAGCTGGAATTCAAATCCTAGTCATTGTAACTCTAACCCCACAGCATCTTAGACCTGTTGGCCCCTCAGAAGGAAGGGTGGGCCTAGAACTTCAGTGCTACCCCTTCTCTGACATCACTAGTTACTAAATCTGCAATCAGCCTCAGCCTGTGCTTGGTCAACTGTAGCTAGGAGCAGCCAGGAATCTTAAAGGGCCTCTAGAGAGAATTCCCAAATAGGTTCCTTTCCCTCTGAATTAGTAGATAGGCAGGTCTTTGGCTCATTTGGAGGGTAGGTTAGCAGGGCATAATGGTTAAGTGCTCAGGTCCTGGAGTTAGTCAGACTTGGTTCAACTCTCAGCTTTATCAATCTGGGCAAGTTTCTTATTCTCTTACTATATAGTTTATGAGAGTTAGACAGAGGATTGCAGGTAAAGCATGTAGCTAATGCCTGGCGTGTGGTGGGCTCAATAATGTCATTTATTATTATTGTTCTATGTTGCTGTAGAGGGAGAAAAAGCTCAGACTGTAGGTTTATTCATACTGTTTCCTTGTTTCTTCTATGCACTAAAGTCCCTTAAATAGTTAACCATTGGAAAACTGTGTATTTTAGAAGAAGAAGAAGGTAGATTTTAGCTTAAAAGCATTCATTTCAGACTATATTGCTAACTAATGGCAGAATCAAGAATGAAGACACAGGACTTCAGACTCCATTTCCATGATTCTCTTTACCACACAAAGGCAGGAACCTTCCAGGTGTCTGGCAATACCACCAGTATAATGATAAGAAACATTTATGTTGCACCTATGGTGCTGATCACTTTACACACCTGACCTGACCTAATCCTCATCACAGCCTATGAAGTAGATAGCTCCATGCAGATGAGGAAACTGAGCCTTGGAGAAATTAAACAGCCTCAGGTCCCAAGATACATGAATGTAATCCAGGATCCAAACTGTCTGTCTTTGATACTGAGACTTTACAGTGCAGTACCTGCTGGTGTAATTCCTTCTGGAATCAATAAGCCTATAGATCTGAGTAAGAAACCACCACTGATGTGATCATTGAGACACCACTTAGAGTGAAGCCAGTCCCTTTCTCTCAAAGTGGAGCACATGAAGCTCTGGAGGGAACTGGTCTGTGGGCTGGGGCTCAAGGAATTGCATGGAAATAGGGGGAAACCTATGCTTTTTATATGAAAGCAAATGGATATTGTGGAATAAGATGCTAAATTTACATGAATATTAAAGAATAAACAGGAGGCTTTGACTACATTTTGAGCTTTTAAATTTTGTTTCTGAACCTCCAGAGACTCAAGCTTACTGGCTATTGGTGTCAGGAACACTCCCATGAAAGAGTTTTGGAAATCCTGACTCAGCCAGTCCACAAAGTTCACTTCTTGCTTTGGCAAATGAACACACACAAAAAATCACTGAGCTACGATTGCTTTTTGCAACTCGTTGCAGCAAGAAGCTGTTGGCCATTGATTAGCAATGGGCACATTTTTCACCAAAGGCTTTGCCCTCCCTTTGCTTCGCTAATCCTGTTTGCAAGCATTTCCCCACAGAGATCGCTACTTCCTCATAATGAATAAGCTCGCACTTGTGAGTTCAAACTGGCAAATTGCCACCAGACATTTATTAGCTCTGGATTAATGGATCAAGACTCAAACTTTCTAGTTAAAAGAACAAGACAAGCCCTTAGGATTCAAGACTCTTTAAAAAAATCCTCATTCACTTGGCATTACCATTTCTTGCAGTCCTTCCTCTCCCTTGTAGGGTTCGATTTGTCAGTAAAGCAGTGGAAAGGACTTATTTTTCAGCCATTTTGGATCAGAGAAAATTGTTGATCTTAGTTGTTCATGTTTTCCTGGGACTTTTAAATGGGACTGGTGTTCTGGCAGAAATTACTGGAATATGCTAGGTGGAAGGAGACTAACATTGCCATGACATCATGGGCTCAAAGGGGCAGGTAGAGGCAAGGTTGGGAGGGTGATCCTCCTGGAGAAGAAAAAGACTCAAGGGGCTGTGTGAATTGTCCAAAGACTGCTGGCAGGCTGAGCTGGAGGAAGAAAGGTCACCCTTATTCTTACAGCTACAAAGAGCTGTGCAGAGACTCCTGAGTGGGACCCTGGGAGACAGATTTTGGTTCAGAAAGAAAATGGAATTTCTGGAATAGTCAAAGAGGCTCAGAATTAGAATGGCTACTTCAGAAGGCATTAGCTCTTCATTCTTAGAGGGAAGAGGGTGGGCAGAGAGAGAGAGAGAAAGAGAGAGAGAGACTTGCTTTAGTGAGCATATACTGTGTGCGGAATCTTTCATAGGTTATTTCTTTTCATCTTCTCAACACCATTGTAAACTCCATACTATTGCTCTCATTGTATACAGAAGGGAAAGACTCTCTAAGAGCTGCAGTCAGGGGTGGAGGCTTAGTTCACCTGATTGATCCGAGATAAGCAGGTTCACTGTTAGAGAGGGAGACTGTGTAGCATTTCAGGTTTTCACAATGTACAGGTTAGTTACTAGGGCTAAGTGATGATATTTGGACTTGCCCATTGGCAGCTTAAGTGACACAGAATTGAAGATTGTTCAGTTTGGGATGGTCAAGTAGCTGTAATCCAGGTCATCTCTCTGGATGCTGAAGCCATCAAGAAAGATGCACTGCATTCTGAGACCATAGTTAGAATCATAAGGGAGAAGGTGCAATCACCATGCTGAAGCTTGCAGGATAGGGAGAAGGGGATAGTGCTGGCTGTAGAAAAAATACTGTTGACATTTGGCAAAGAAACAATGATTTGGAAGCTCCCTTAGGAGTTTAATAAAAAGCTGTCTCCTGTCCATTAATATCCTAAACATTAATTGGCTGAGTGTGCAGAACTATAATGCTTACAGTCAATGGGGGATAAAAAAGCAAAGAATATCGCTTCTGTCTTCAAGGGTTCTGCCTTCTGATTTGTTAGACAAGGCAGACATTCATGCAACAAAGGAAGGTTACAAGGGTCTTAAGTTTAGAGGAGACTTTTGCACTTTTGAGCTTGGACTTTGACAGAGATTGACGAGGATGAGGCAGATGGGCACTGAAGGGAAGGATCCTCAAGGATTCTATTCCAGGGAAATGATTCGAGCAATACCACTGAGGGGACAATCAGCAAGATATGCTCAGGTGGTGGTCGGTGAGTTTCCCTGGAATAGAACGGACTGAGTTGGTGCATGATATAATATATGGAGGGTTTTGAACTCTACTCAAATGAAGCTGAACATCTTGAATCAAACCCCAATTCTGTGGCAATGGTCTCCAAATGAGGAAAAAAGATGAAAAGATCTTAGGCATCAGGGTACAATTTGAAGGAAAGTTCATTTTCTCTCTGTTTTCGCTACTACTTTGTAGTAGACAATTTTCTTTTTTTTTTTTTTTATTATACTTTAAGTTTTAGGGTACATGTGCACATTGTGCAGGTTAGTTACATATGTATACATGTGCCATGCTGGTGCGCTGCACCCACTAACTCGTCATCTAGCATTAGGTATATCTCCCGATGCTATCCCTCCCCCCTCCCCCCACCCCACAACAGTCCCCAGAGTGTGATATTCCCCTTCCTGTGTCCATGTGATCTCATTGTTCAATTCCCACCTGTGAGTGAGAATATGCGGTGTTTGGTTTTTTGTTCTTGCGATAGTTTACTGAGAATGATGATTTCCAATTTCATCCATGTCCCTACAAAGGACATGAACTCATCATTTTTTATGGCTGCATAGTATTCCATGGTGTATATGTGCCACATTTTCTTAATCCAGTCTATCATTGTTGGACATTTGGGTTGGTTCCAAGTCTTTGTTATTGTGAATAATGCCGCAATAAACACACGTGTGCATGTGTCTATATAGCAGCATGATTTATAGTCCTTTGGGTATATACCCAGTAATGGGATGGCTGGGTCAAATGGTATTTCCAGTTCTAGATCCCTGAGGAATCGCCACACGGACTTCCACAATGGTTGAAGTAGTTTACAGTCCCACCAACAGTGTAAAAGTGTTCCTATTTCTCCACATCCTCTCCAGCACCTGTTGTTTCCTGACTTTTTAATGATTGCCATTCTAACTGGTGTGAGATGGTATCTCATTGTGGTTTTGATTTGCATTTCTCTGATGGCCAGTGATGATGAGCATTTTTTCATGTGTTTTTTGGCTGCATAAGTGTCTTCTTTTGAGAAGTGTCTGTTCATGTCCTTCGCCCACTTTTTGATGGGGTTGTTTGTTTTTTTCTTGTAAATTTGTTTGAGTTCATTGTAGATTCTGGATATTAGCCCTTTGTCAGATGAGTAGGTTGCAAAAATTTTCTCCCATTTTGTAGGTTGCCTGTTCACTCTGATGGTAGTTTCTTTTGCCGTGCAGAAGCTCTTTAGTTTAATTAGATCCCATTTGTCAATCTTGTCTTTTGTTGCCATTGCTTTTGGTGTTTTGGACATGAAGTCCTTGCCCATGCCTATGTCCTGAATGGTAATGCCTAGGTTTTCTTCTAGGGTTTTTATGGTTTTAGGTCTAACGTTTAAGTCTTTAATCTATCTTGAATTGATTTTTGTATAAAGTATAAGGAAGGGATCCAGTTTCAGCTTTCTACATATGGCTAGCCAGTTTTCCCAGCACCATTTATTAAATAGGGAATCCTTTCCCCATTGCTTGTTTTTCTCAGGTTTTTCAAAGATCAGATAGTTGTAGATATGCGGCGTTATTTCTGAGGGCTCTGCTCTGTTCCATTGATCTATATCTCTGTTTCGGTACCAGTACCATGCTGTTTTGGTTACTGTAGCCTTGTAGTATAGTTTGAAGTCAGGTGGCGTGATGCCTCCAGCTTTGTTCTTTTGGCTTAGGATTGACTTGGCGATGTGGGCTCTTTTTTGGTTCCATATGAACTTTAAAGTAGTTTTTTCCAATTCTGTGAAGAAAGTCATTGGTAGCTTGATGGGGATGGCATTGAATCTGTAAATTACCTTGGGCAGTATGGCCATTTTCACGATATTGATTCTTCCTACCCATGAGCATGGAATGTTCTTCCATTTGTTTGTATCCTCTTTTATTTCCTTGAGCAGTGGTTTGTAGTTCTCCTTGAAGAGGTCCTTCACATCCCTTGTAAGTTGGATTCCTAGGTATTTTATTCTCTTTGAAGCAATTGTGAATGGGAGTTCACTCATGATTTGGCTCTCTGTTTGTCTGTTGCTGGTGTATAAGAATGCTTGTGATTTTTGTACATTGATTTTGTATCCTGAGACTTTGCTGAAGTTGCTTATCAGCTTAAGGAGATTTTGGGCTGAGACAATGGGGTTTTCTAGATATACAATCATGTCATCTGCAAACAGGGACAATTTGACTTCCTCTTTTCCTAATTGAATACCCTTTATTTCCTTCTCCTGCCTAATTGCCCTGGCCAGAACTTCCAACACTATGTTGAATAGGAGTGGTGAGAGAGGGCATCCCTGTCTTGTGCCAGTTTTCAAAGGGAATGCTTCCAGTTTTTGCCCATTCAGTATGATATCGGCTGTGGGTTTGTCATAGATTGCTCCTATTATTTTGAAATACGTCCCATCAATACCTAATTTATTGAGAGTTTTTAGCATGAAGCGTTGTTGAATTTTGTCAAAGGCTTTTTCTGCATCTATTGAGATAATCATGTAGTTTTTGTCTTTGGCTCTGTTTATATGCTGGATTACATTTATTGGTTTGTGTATATTGAACCAGCCTTGCATCCCAGGGATGAAGCCCACTTGATCATGGTGGATAAGCTTTTTGATGTGCTGCTGGATTCGTTTTGCCAGTATTTTATTGAGGATTTTTGCATCAATGTTCATCAAGGATATTGGTCTAAAATTCTCTTTTTTTGTTGTGTCTCTGCCTGGCTTTGGTATCAGAATGATGCTGGCCTCATAAAATGAGTTAGGGAGGATTCCCTCTTTTTCTGTTGATTGGAATAGTTTCAGAAGGAATGGTACCAGTTCCTCCTTGTACCTCTGGTAGAATTCGGCTGTGAATCCATCTGGTCCTGGACTCTTTTTGGTTGGTAAGCTATTGATTATTGCCACAATTTCAGCTCCTGTTATTGGTCTATTCAGAGATTCAACTTCTTCCTGGTTTAGTCTTGGGAGAGTGTATGTGTCCAGGAATTTATCCATTTCTTCTAGATTTTCTATTTTATTTGCATAGAGGTGTTTGTAGTATTCTCTGATGGTAGTTTGTATTTCTGTGGGATTGGTGGTGATATCCCCTTTATCATTTTTTATTGCGTCTATTTGATTCTTCTCTCTTTTTTTCTTGATTAGTCTTGCTAGTGGTCTATCAATTTTGTTGATCCTTTCAAAAAACCAGCTCCTGGATTCATTAATTTTTTGAAGGGTTTTTTGTGTCTCTATTTCCTTCAGTTCTGCTCTGATTTTAGTTATTTCTTGCCTTCTGCTAGCTTTGGAATGTGTTTGCTCTTGCTTTTCTAGTTCTTTTAATTGTGATGTTAGGGTGTCAATTTTGGATCTTTCCTGCTCTCTCTTGTGGGCATTTAGTGCTATAAATTTCCCTCTACACAGTGCTTTGAATGCGTCCCAGAGATTCTGGTATGTTGTGTCTTTGTTCTCGTTGGTTTCAAAGAACATCTTTATTTCTGCCTTCATTTCGTTATGTACCCAGTAGTCATTCAGGAGCAGGTTGTTCAGTTTCCATGTAGTTGAGCAGTTTTGAGTGAGATTCTTAATCCTGAGTTCTAGTTTGATTGCACTGTGGTCTGAGAGATAGTTTGTTATAATTTCTGTTCTTTTACATTTGCTGAGGAGAGCTTTACTTCCAAGTATGTGGTCAATTTTGGAATAGGTGTGGTGTGGTGCTGAAAAAAATGTATATTCTGTTGATTTGGGGTGGAGAGTTCTGTAGATGTCTATTAGGTCCACTTGGTGCAGAGCTGAGTTCAATTCCTGGGTATCCTTGTTGACTTTCTGTCTCGTTGATCTGTCTAATGTTGACAGTGGGGTGTTAAAGTCTCCGATTATTAATGTGTGGGAGTCTAAGTCTCTTTGTAGGTCACTCAGGACTTGCTTTATGAATCTGGGTGCTCCTGTATTGGGTGCATATATATTTAGGATAGTTAGCTCTTCTTGTTGAATTGATCCCTTTACCATTATGTAATGGCCTTCTTTGTCTCTTTTGATCTTTGTTGGTTTAAAGTCTGTTTTATCAGAGACTAGGATTGCAACCCCTGCCTTTTTTTGTTTTTCATTGGCTTGGTAGATCTTCCTCCATACTTTTATTTTGAGCCTATGTGTGTCTCTGCACGTGAGATGGGTTTCCTGAATACAGCACACTGATGGGTCTTGACTCTTTATCCAATTTGCCAGTCTGTGTCTTTTAGTTGGAGCGTTTAGTCCCTTTACATTTAAAGTTAATATTGTTATGTATGAATTTGATCCTGTCATTATGATGTTAGCTGGTTATTCTGCTCGTTAGTTGATGCAGTTTCTTCCTAGTCTCGATGGTCTTTACATTTTGGCATGATTTTGCAGTGGCTGGTACTGGTTGTTCCTTTCCATGTTTAGTGCTTCCTTCGGGAGCTCTTGTAAGGCCGGCCTGGTGGTGACAAAATCTCTCAGCATTTGCTTGTCTGTAAAGGATTTTATTTCTCCTTCACTTATGAAACTTAGTTTGGCTGGATATGAAATTCTGGGTTGAAAATTCTTTCCTTTAAGAATGTTGAATATTGGCCCCCACTCTCTTCTGGCTTGTAGGGTTTCTGCCGAGAGATCCGCTGTTAGTCTGATGGGCTTTCCTTTGAGGGTAACCCGACCTTTCTCTCTGGCTGCCCTTAACATTTTTTCCTTCATTTCAACTTTGGTGAATCTGACAATTATGTGTCTTGGAGTTGCTCTTCTCGAGGAGTATCTTTGTGGCATTCTCTGTATTTCCGGAATCTGAACGTTGGCCTGCCTTGCTAGATTGGGGAAGTTCTCCTGGATAATATCCTGCAGCGTGTTTTCCAACTTGGTTGCATTCTCCCCATCACTTTCAGGTACACCGATCAGACGTAGATTTGGTCTTTTCACATAGTCCCGTATTTCTTGGAGGCTTTGCTCATTTCTTTTTATTCTTTTTTCTCTAAACTTCCCTTCTCGCTTCATTTCATTCATTTCATCTTCCATCACTGATACCCTTTCTTCCAGTTGATCGCATCAGCTCCTGAGGCTTCTGCATTTTTCACGTAGTTCTCCAGCCTTGGTTTTCAGCTCCATCAGCTCCTTTAAGCACTTCTCTGTATTGGTTATTCTAGTTATACATTCTTCTAAATTTTTTTCATAGTTTTAAACTTCTTTGCCTTTGGTTTGAATGTCCTCCCATAGCTCAGAGTAATTTGATCGTCTGAAGCTTTCTTCTCTCAGCTCGTCAAAGTCATTCTCCATCCAGGTTTGTTCCGTTGCTGGTGAGGAACTGCGTTCCTTTGGAGGAGGAGAGGCACTCTGCTTTTTAGAGTTTCCAGTTTTTCTGTTCTGTTTTTTCCCCATCTTTGTGGTTTTATCTACTTTTGGTCTTTGATGATGGTGATGTACAGATGGGTTTTTGGTGTGGATGTCCTTTCTGTTTGTTAGTTTTCTTTCTAACAGAGAGGACCCTCAGCTGCAGGTCTGTTGGAGTACCCTGCCGTGTGAGGTGTCAGTGTGCCTCTGCTGGGGGTTGCCTCCCAGTTAGGCTGCCCGGGGGTCAGGGGTCAGGGACCCACTTGAGGCGGCAGTCTGTCCGTTCTCAGTTCTCCACCTGTGTACTGGGAGAACCACTGCTCTCTTCAAAGCTGTCAGACAGGGACATTTAAGTCTGCAGAGGTTACTGTTGTCTTTTTGTTTGTCTGTGCCCTGCCCCCAGAGGTGGAGCCTACAGAGGCAGGCAGGCCTCCTTGAGCTGTGGTGGGCTCCACCCAGTTGGGGCTTCCTGGCTGCTTTGTTTACCTAATCAAGCCTGGGCAATGGCGGGCGCCCCTCCCCCAGCCTCACTGCCACCTTGCAGTTTGATCTCAGACTGCTGTGCTAGCAATCAGCGAGACTCCGTGGGAGTAGGACCCTCCAAGCCAGGTGCGGGATATAATCTCGTGGTTCGCCATTTTTTAAGCCCGTCGGAAAAGCACAGTATTCGGGTGGGAGTGACCCGATTTTCCAGGTGCTGTCTGTCATCCCTTTCTTTGACTCAGAAGGGGAACTCCCTGACCCCTTGCGCTTCCCAAGTGAGGCAATGCCTCGCCCTGCTTCGGCTCGCGCAAGGTGCACGCACCCACTGACCTGTGCCCACTGTCTGGCACTCCCTAGTGAGATGAACCCGGTACCTCAGATGGAAATGCAGAAATCACCCGTCTTCTGCGTCGCTCACGCTGGGAGCTGTAGACCGGAGCTGTTCCTATTCGGCCATCTTGGCTCCTCCCCCAACAATTTTCAAATCTGTATTGTGGATGCCACATTTCCCTCCCAAACATCGCCAACTAACTATTTCAATCATACCTACTTATATGGTTTGGCTTTGTGTCCCCACCCAAATCTCATCTTGAATTGCAATCCCCAGGTGTTGAGGGAGAGACCTTGTGGGAAGTGATTGAATTATGGGGGCAGTTTCCCTCATGCTGTAGCGAGTAAATTCTCATGAGAGCTGATGGTTTTATAAGAGGTAGTTTTTCCTGTGCTCACACACTCTCTCTCTCACTCTCGCCTGCCACCATGTAAGATGTGTGTGCTTCCCATTCCACCATGATTGTAAGTTTCCTGAGGTCTCCCCAGCCATGTGGAACTGTGAGTCAATTAAACCTATTTTCTTGATAAACTACCCAGTCTCGGGTAGTATCTTTATAGCGATGTGAGAATGGACTTATACACCTATTTTGTGAGTCAAATACCAACATGTTATTTTCCCCAGTAACCACTCCTTCATGATCCTGTTATCTTCAGTGGCATTTCTATGCTCAAATACTCTTTAAAAACAAATTTCCAAACTCCCTTTATTCCTGCTTTTGACATTTAGTGGTTGACTATTGTGCATCAAGGACTGTGTTGGGGAAACAAAGTCAAATAAATCTTGGTACTTTCCCTGGAGGAGCTCACAGAAGAGATGGAAACAATGCAGAAGGTGCACATGGCTACTGTGATCGGAGGTGATAGGAGGCTGCTAGAGGGGCACTTGGAGCTTGGGGTGAGGGAGGCAAAAGATGATACCTGGAGATGGTGGTGAAGAGTTGACTAGGAGGGTCATTTTAAAAAGAGGGAAGTGTTGCTGTAAAGCATAGAGAAGAGAAAAGCAATTGTATTGCTAGAGTGGGAAGCAAGGCAGGGAGTGTTCAGAACTGAGGCAGGCCAGGTAACCCTCACCTAGTGATTCCTGGCTGGATAATATCTACCCATTTTCCCAGACACTCTCTTGACAGAACTGGATACTGTTATCACTGAACACTCACAAAAATACACTCAACCAATTTCTATGCCCATTTTTGCAACATCAAATAATGTCACTGCAAAGAAACTTTTGAATTACATATGCTTCCCATTATTGTTTCAAGATCCTTTGTTGAAATTACCCCTTGGTCCCTACTTTGCATTATCCAGCTGTTAGCATTATTCCAGCTTGGGGAGGACCTCGATGGGGCAGCCCTCGAGTCCCTGAAGCCATGCTTTCAGCATCCACTGCCAGCTCTCACTCAGGATATTGATCATCCTTCCTTTGTGGCATCCCTTTCTCTTCCATCCTTCCAACCCCATGGGAGGCTCCCTTCTTACACTGCTTCTGCTCAGAATGGGCACTGCTCTTGGATTTCATTTTATTGAGAATTGATTTAAGATATCCAAAAGAAAAAACATTTATTTGTTTTCTTTACACTGCAAAAAGAAGTAGCTGTATTATTTATTCAATGTTACTTATGTAATTCACACAGAAAACTCCTTCAGGAAAAGCTTTTCAGGAAAATGTTTGTCTCTCTTAAGTTGTATACTTTCTTTTATCAGACAATGAGACTGTTTATCCTTTACCCTTTAGTTTCCTTCTGGAAGCTCAGACCTAACTTTGATGTTTAACTTCAGTAACTATATTCCCCAAAGTCTTTGATATAAATATTCCCTCCCTATCCCTATACAATGCATTAAAAAATTTAATATTCCCATTTTACACTTTTTATAGTGTCATGCCTCAGGTTGTTTCAGTCATTAATTCATTCAACAAATATTTATTATACTATCTCTATGTTCAGGTCCTATGGTAGATCTAAGGTGGGGCTCTCCACTTAATTTCTGCACAACAGGAAAAAAGCTGCTAAAGTAATTGCAGTTTTGAACTGTGAATTTTAAATCATCATAACTAGGTTCATACACATCTTTATTAATCAAAACAGGAATATTACAATCAATACATTTTTGCCAGCAAGAAATAAGTTTGTTTATTTCTGCAGCATGCAAATTCATGCTTCAGGATCTGATGTACACTTGGAAAGCATTTTCTGCATCCTGCTGGTTGTGGAAGCTTCCATATCCTGCTGGTTGTGGAAGCGTTTTCCCTGCAAAATGTTGTTGATATGCATGAAGAAGTGGTAGTCTGTTGGCGGGAGGTCAAGTGAATATCGTGGATGAAGCAAAACTTAGTAGCCCAATTAGTTCAACTTCTGAAGTGTTGGTTGTGCAATCTGTGGTCGGGCATTGTCCTGTAGAAGAATTGGGTCCTTTCTGTTGACCAATGCTGGCTTTAGGTGTTGCAGTTTCAGGTGCATCTCATCGATTTGCTGAGCATACTTCTCAGATGCAGTGGTTTTGCCGGGATTCAGAAAGCTGTCATGGATCAGACTATCAGCAGACCAGCAAACAGTGACCATGACCTTTTTTTGGTGCAAGTTTGGTTTTGGGAGGTGTTTTCGAGCTTCTTCTCAGTCCAGCCACTGAGCTGGTCATTGCTGATTGTTGTAGAAAGTTCACTTTTCATCACACATTACAATCTGATCAAGAAATGGTTCATGGTTCTGTAGAATAAGAGAAGATGACACTTCAAAATGATGATTTTTTAAAATTTTCAGTCAGCTCATGGGGCACTCACTTATCCTTCTTTTTCACCTTTCCAATTTGCTTCAAATGCCTAACAACTGTAGAATGATTGACGTTGAGTTTTTTGGCAACTTCTTGTGTAGTTGTAAGATCAGCTTCGATGACTGCTCTTAATTGTTCATTGTCAACTTCCGATGGCCGGCCACTACACTCCTCATCTTCAAGACTCTCGTCTCCTTTGCAAAACTTCTTGAACTGGCTGGGCACGGTGGCTCACCCCTGTAATCCAAGCATTTGGGAGGCCAAGGCTGGCGGATCACTTGAGGTCAGGAGCTTGAGACCAGCCTGGCCAATATGGCAAAACCCTGTCTCTATTACAAATACAAAAATTAGCCAGGTGTGGTGGTGCGTGCCTGTAGTCCCAGCTACTTGGGAGGCTGAGGCACGAGAATCACTTGAACCGCAGAGGTGGAGGTTGCAGTGAGTCAAGATCGTGCCTCTGCACTCCAGCTCTGGCCAACAGAGTGAGACTCTATCTCAAAACAAACAAATAAACACTTCTTGAATCACCACTGCACTATATATTCATTAGTAGTTCCTGGGCCAAATACGTTGTTGATGTTGTGAATTGTCTCCACTGCTTTATGTCCCATTTTGAACCTGAATAAGAAAATTGCTTGAATTTGCTTTTTGTCTAGCATCATTTCCATAGTCTAAAATAAACACAAAATAAGCAGTAAGTAATAAGTCATTAGCAAAAAAAAGCAAGAAGTGCTCATTAAAATGACGTATAACACAACCACATTTATTTAAGACTGTATTCCAATATCAAATGGCAAATTCCAACAATGCAAAAACTACAACTACTTTTGCATTCACCTATTATAATCATAATTGTTAACTTCTATTTTGCATCTACTTTGTGATAAACCTAAAACTAAGTATGAAATTAACAATATTTCATTAATTATGTAAACAAGTGAGACCAAAGTATGGTGAGAAGATAGGGGGAATGCTACTAGCTACACAGGATGGCTGGAAAAGCCTTCATTGCAAAGAAGTTATTTGGATGGAGTCCTAAAGGATGAGTATGTGTTTGTCATGTATAGAAACAGGGATGACATGAACAAAGGCATGGAATCACTCCAAGATCTGGTCTGCTTAGGGAACAGGGGGAGGTTTAGTGTAGTTGTGCATGGTTTGCATTAAGGTGACTGGCAAGAGATGACACTGAAGCAAAGGTTTGGAGTCAGAGAGTCCAGTAACTGATAAGCCAAGCTAACGAATGTATCTGTTAGGAGTCATTAGAAATTTTTAAAATGTACATTAATTTTGGAGGGAAGTATTCAGACAGCAATGAAGAGCAGAGGTTGGAGTGGGGAGAAGATAGTGGCAGGCAGTAGATGGGATAGGCCTGGTAAGAAATGATGCTATGGCAATGGGGATGGAAAGAAGGGGAGGGATTCAAATCAATGATTAGGATAAGTATGGTGTATAGAAGATGAGGAGAAGATTGAAGATAACTTCGAGTTTCCCATATACCTTGAAGGTGGTTGGCCCATAATAAGCAGTCAATAAATGCTTGTTGAATAAATACGTGAGATTGACATCATTCACTAGGAAGAGACAGTTTAAGACCGGCCAAGTTTATGGTGTCTTCTAGGTACCTAGCAGAGATATTTAGAAGACAGACTATAAAATGAAAATGATTCCAAAAGTAGTTTGCTCTTATGGACATATCCCTTGTACATAATTTGCATTTTTCTTTTTTCTCTTTCCCTCAATAGTCGTCACACTTCTTGTGGATGAAGATCAGGTCTTAAACTTCTCTTCTCTCTCCCTGAAACAGGCAGGGCAGTGGCTGCTATATAATGTTAGCTAACATTTATTGAGCCCATAGTATGTGCATAGCGCTGTTCTAAGTGTTATATATGTAATAATTCATTTAGTGTTTCCAATAGATCTTTGAGGTAGGTGCTATTGTTACCCCCATTTTAACTGAAGAAATTGAAGTCAGAGAAGTTAAATGGTTTGCCTGAGGTCTTACATGCTGAAGCTAGGATTTGAAGCCAGGCAGTCTTCCGATTTTCCTTGCAATTTTCCCAGCAAGTAGCTGAACTACCTCTGACCCCCAGAACCAGTGAACTAACACGTTGTGAAGTCTGTTGGGGGCCTCCCTGGAATTCTGTTGATTGTACCTCAATGACAAATTTTTGTGAATGCTGCCAAAGACATTTTTGTAGTAAATCAGATGCGAAGGATAAAAGAGCAAAAGCCTCAGAAGTGGGGAAATATATAATTTATTTTGAAAGTATAAATGGAGACATAAAAAGTAATTTCTGAATGAGCAGTTATGCAGGCCTAGGATAAAGTTTATTTGTGTGTTTATTAGAATAATGAGATTTTAAGATCGGAAAAGCCCTAATTATTATAGGCAACATTACCATGTGATTAAGAAAGACACAACGTGGAACGGGAGTATGTGAACGAAAGATGAGCTGGATGTCTAAATAGTTTACTTGTAAGCAGACAGTGAAGGTGAAATAGAATGTATTGATGGCCCACTAAATAAGAGGACTGAACTGGTTCATGCTTCAGTGCATACAGTGAGGGGCACAGGTAAGGTTGGAAAGAACCCACTTTGAGCAACATGAGTACAATATCTGGGACACACTAATATACAATATATTTCTTCTGAATTCCGTGGCATTTGTGAGGCAAGGAAGGCATAACAATTATGCTCAAAATCAGCAGTCAAAAATAGAAATTTAAAAAATTTTCGAATTTTTGTTTAGGAGCTTCTGTAGAAGAAGATGTTTATGTTCTCCAGTGCTGAAAGGACCAGTTTTAGAACCACTGCTTGAAAGTGACAGGAAGCTAAATTTTTAACTCGTTACTGTATACAGAACTTTCTAATACATGGTGCTGTTTAGCAAAGAAGCAAACTATTCCAAGTAATGAGGAAACTGGATTGGAGGACCACTGCCAAAAGTTTTTTGTAATAGACTTTATACTTGAATGTCATCAAGAAAAGGTTCAGAGAGGTTTGTAGTAAGTAGTGTAGCTGAGATTCAAACCCAGACTGGGTGGCTCCATTATTATTTTTCTTAACTGCTGTGCTGTGCTGCTTTTCCAGGTAATTAAAAAGAAAGATCCAAAGTATTAATAAGATGGAATAAGAACTGCAGAAAGCAGTCTTGTATGTGACGTGTACTTGAGCAAAAGTTTTTTTAAAAAGCGCTATGATTTCCACCCCTCATTCTGTGTACCTGATGTTGTTAATCACGTACCAATCTTGTAAAATGTTCCCTAGGGACATATTTAGGGTATCTATATCATAAGTGAAATGCTTGCTTTTGCAGAAAAATGAGTAAATTGGCTAGCTACTGTCTACAATAGTTATGGGCTACATTCTAAAATCTGTTCATAAGTCAAAGCATGAGAATGCATTTCCCACATTAATTTAATTTGCTCAGCAAATATTGAGAACTTTCTACATGCCAAGCAATGTTCTGGGCATCAAGGACCCAACAGGGAACAAAACCAACAAATAACTCTGCTTGTATGGAGCTTAGATTGCAAAGAGACAAGCAATAAATATTACACATAACAAATAAAATATTATAGAGTACATTAGAAGATGGTAGATGACAGGAATGCTGAGGTGGTCAGTGTGGGCTTTACTGAGAACATTACAGGTGAGTGAAGACTTGAGGAAAGAGAAAGAGTAAGGGGCATGCCAGGCAGAGGGAATAGCCAGTGCAGAGGCCCTGAGGTGGAAGCATGCTTGGTGTGTTTGAGAAACACTAAGGAACACAGGGTGGTTGTAGCAGTGTAAATGAAAGGGGAAGTGGTGGGAAATGAAGTCAGAGAGAATTGGGCTCAGATCACTCAGGGTCCTGTATGCCATTTGATGGACAATTTTTACTCTGAGTGAAATGAGGAGCCCTTAAAGGATTTTGAGCAGATAAGTGACATAATCTCTTTCTGGCTGCTATTTTGGGAAGAGACTGTTGGGGACAAGGATAGAAGCAGTTAGGGGGGTTGTTACAGTAATTCAGGAGAGATAATGGTGGCCCCAGCATGAGATGCTAGAAGTAGCCAGATGCTGGATGAAACCAACAGAATTTCCCAATGAACTGGACCTGGGTGTAAGAAAAAAAAGTCAGGGATGATGCTTAGGAGAGACTTTCAGGAGTTTATCTTAAGACATTTTAATTAAAAAATATCTGTTAGGTCAAGTAGGCAGTTGATCATTAAGTCAGAAATTCAGAGGCAGTCTAAAAGTTGTTGGCAATAGAGAGCATCAAAAGATATGGGATTTAATGTTATCCTCAAGAAAGTAAGGGTGGATAGAGGATAGAAAAGACCAAGGTCACTTCAACATTGAAAATGGAGGGAGAACTGAGAAGGAGCCACCGTTATGCTAAAGGAAAACCAAGAATGTAGTATTCTAGAAACCAAGAAGAGGGTAATCAACTGTGTTAAGTAGCAGTGATAGGTCAAATGATAATTGGATTAGTCAACATGGAAGTCATTCGGGACTTTAACAGAATTATGGGGAGAAAATAGTGCATAATGGGAATAGGGCCAGGCAACACTATTTAAGCCTTAATGCATATGCACCACAGCACTGAATTGCTATATTTCTTATGGAAAATATGCTTAGCAATACAATGAACAAGTATTTATTGACCATCTACTGTGTGTTTAACATTCTGAGAAGCACTGCTGAGGGGGTTCACAAGTTGTGTCTCATAATAGACATACAATGGAAACTAGGTGGGGAGGCATGACTTAACTGAAAATAGAAAGCTACAAGAATGTGAAATCTTACCAGTCTGGAGAAGCAAAGAACCCAGCTGTAGCTCTCCCAGGTGTGCAGAGCAATGCACTTAGGAAGATGAGGAAGTCTGAAGATATGTTTTCCCATATTTTTGTTATGCACTTTTTACTCCAAGGAAATATATTTGAGTAGTGAATGGACAAACTTAATAAAAGATTTGGCCTCATGGAGATCTTGTTTGTGTTAGTCACAACCAGTCTGATTCTGTTTTCTTGGTGTGGTGAAGACCATGTGTTATGCTTAGGGGTAGGGCAGTGATTGAGAAGAGTGGAAACACAAAAACTAGGGACAGAGAAGTGTGGCCTACTCACAATGGAGGGCAGGTACCCATGTAGTTTCCCAGCAGGAGAACTTCCTAAGAGGAAGTTCAGGCAGGCATTTGAGGCCATGTTGGGAAGCTCTGGTATTAGGCAAAGGCAAATATTTCTGGAAAGCTGAAGTGATTATAGTAGCACATGAAGCACTTACTATGTAACAGGCACTGTACTATTTCATTCTTTTAATGCATTTAATATTTATGACATTAATCCTATGAAGTAGGTATCATAAATATCCCAATTTTCAGATGGAGAAACTAGGAGATCAGATGACTTGTCCAAGGTCACGAAACTATTAAGTAGTAGAGTCAAAACTCAAACCTAGATGATATGTTTTTATATAATCTGTAGTGTTACCACCATACCATACTTTCTCCTAAGAAACTGATTGTGTTTTGAGTACAACCAACAAAACATTATCACAACATTATTTAAATATTCTAACATATCTTTTTAATACAGGCTTATCTTGTTTTATTGTGTTTTGCTTTCTTGCACTTTGCAGATATTGCATTTTTTACATTTTGAAGGTTTGTGGCAACCCTATGACAAGAAAGCCTATCGACACAATTTTCACAACAGCATGTACACACTTCATATCTCTCTGTCACATTTTGGTAATTTTTGCAATATTTCAGACTTTTTCATTATTATTATTTTCTGTTACAGTGATCTGTGATCAGTGATCTTTGATATTACTATTGCAATTATTTTGCGGCACCACAAATCATGTTCATGTAAGACGATGAGTGAGCTTAACCAATAAATATTGTGAGTGTTATGATTTCACCAACTGACTGTTCCCCTATCTTTCTCCCTATTCCCAGGCTTCTCTTTTCCCTGAGACACAACAATGATATAGGAGTTGAAAAGAAATTACTTATGCAGATAGTGAGGGTAAGGAAGTCCTCGGTAAGATTTTCCCTTTAATGAAAAGCAGCCCCCAAATAATTTCTTTTCTAACAAAGAGCAGCCTGTGAAAGTTACAGACATAGATAAGCAAGCTGGAAGCTGGCATGGGTGAATGCTCGCAGCTGTGCCAATATGAAAAGGGTACTTGGGGCCAAGCATTTTCAACATGGCGGCTCCATCTTCCCTTTTCTTTGTCAACCATGTGTACACTAAGGAACAGACAACATGGTGGTAGCCAGGTAGAGAACTCATCTGCATAATAAAAGATGAGAGTGGTATGGCCAGCTTCTTCACACACTGTACAAATGTCATACCTGGTCTGACCAATCTCTTGGCCCTATATAAATCAGACACCATCTCCTTAAGCTCATCTGTAAAACCCCAGACATTTCACCACAAAACCAGAAAATTCACTTGTGTGCCCCTCTCTCTCTGCAGGAGAGAGACATTCTCTTTTCTCTTTCTTTCACCTATTAAACCTCTGCTCTTAAACTCACTTCTTGTGTGTCTGTGTCCTTGATTTCCCTGGCTTGAGACAACAAACCTTGGATATTTACCACAGACAATGATACCACTTCAACAACATTGAAATTTGGCGAGTTCCAGATGTATTTTGTCATATAAATATTTCATATTTACTTGTCCCTGTTGTTGAACATATATCTATTATTGAACATTTATATTCTTTCCAGTGTTTCAATATTATAAATACTTTTTTTTATATCTCTCTTATTAGTTCTTTAGGAACAATTCCTATATGTTGACTTATTGAGTTGGAGCATGAACATTTTAAAGTCTTTCAATGTATTCAGCCAGACTGCTCTTCAGAAAAATTATGCCCATTTGTTCCCACCAGCAGTCATGACAGCATGTGCTTCCCTGAGCTCTTGCTAACATTTGATATAAAATTGTTATGTCATTCAAATGTGTTAATCTTTTTTAAAAACTTTTTGCTTGTAAAAATCTTCCCTAGCCCAACATCAAATGAATAATAACTTTTTTCATAAAAAAAGAAATTAGGCCAATTAATAACCCTACAATGGCCTCTAAGTGTTCATCAAAGCTAGAAAGGATTAAGCTTATGGAGCAAGATATGTCAAAGCAGAGATAGGCCAAAAGCTAGACCTCTTGTTTTAAATAGTTAGCCAAGTTGTGAATGCAAAGGAAAAGTTCTTGAAGGAAATGAAAAGTGCTACTCCAGTGAGCACATGAATGATATGAAAGCAAAACAGCCTTATTGCCGATATGGGGAAAGTTTTAGTGATCTAGATAAAGATCAAACCAGCTCCAATACTCCCTAAAGCCAAAGCCTAATCCATAGCAAGTGCTTAACTCTCTTCAGTTCTATGAAGGCTGAGAGAGATGAAAAAGTTGCAGATGAAAAGTTTAAAGCTAGCAGAAGTTGGTTCATGAAGTTTAAGGAAATAAGTCATTTCCATAACAAAAACGTGCAAAGTGAAGCAGCAAGTGCTGATGGAGAAGCTTTAACGAGTTATCTAGAAGCTCTAGCTAAGATCACAGATGAAGGTGGCTACACTAAATAATGAATTTTTAATGTAGGCAAAACTGCCTTCTACTTAAAGAGGATGCCATCTAGGACTTTCAGAGCTAGAGAAGTCAATGACAGGCTTCAAAGTTTCAAAGGACTGGCAGAGTCTCTCATTAGAGGCTACTGCAGCTGCTGACTTTAAGTTGAAGCCAATGCTAATTTCTCATTACAAAAATTCTAGGGCCTTTGTGCCAAATCTACTCTGCTTGTCCTCTATAAATAAAACAACAAAGCCTGGGTGACAGCACTGTTTACATCTGTTTACAGCATGGTTTACTGAATATTTTAAGCCCACTTTTGAGACCTACTGCTCAAAAAGATTCCTTTCAAAATATCACTGCCCACTGACAATGCACTTGGTCACCCATGAATTTTGATGGAGATGTACCAAGGAAATTAATGTTTTCATGTCTGCTAACACAGCATCCATTCTGTGGCTCATGGATCAGAGTAATTTCAACGTTTGCCTTATTACTTAAGAAACACATTTTATAAGGCTATAGATAGTGATTCCTCTGATGAATCTGGGCAAAGTAAGTTGAAAACCTGGAGAGAATTCATCATTCTAGGTGCTATTAAGAACATTTGTGATTCAAAGTAGGAGGTCAATATATCAATATTAATAGGATTTTTGATTAAGTTGATTCCAGCCCTCATAGACCACTTTGATGGATTCAAGACTTAAATGGAGGAAGTAATAGCAGATGTGGTAGAAACAGTGAGAGAACTATTAACAGAATGAAAAGTAGAGCCTAAAGATGTAGCTGAATTGCTGCAATATCACGATAAAACTTGAATGAATAAGGAGTTGGTTTTCATGGATGAGCAAAGAAACTGGTTTCTTGAGATGGAATCTACTCCTGGTGAAGATGCTGAGAACCTTGTTGAAGTGACAACAAAATTGCACAGCAAAAGAAACTACCATCAGAGTGAACAGGCAACCTACAGAATGGGAGAAAATTTTTGCAACCTACTCATCTGACAAAGGGCTAAAATCCAGAATCTACAATGAACTCAAACAAATTTACAAGAAAAAAACAACCCCATCAAAAAGTGAGTGAAGGATATGAACAGACACTTCTCAAAAGAAGACATTTATGCAGCCAAAAAACACATGAAAAAATGCTCATCATCACTGGCCATCAGAGAAATGCAAATCAAAACCACAATGAGATACCATCTCACACCAGTTAGAATGGCGATCATTAACAAGTCAGGAAACAACAGGTGCTAGAGAAGATGTGGAGAAATAGGAACACTTTTACACTGTTGGTGGGACTGTAAACTAGTTCAACCATTGTGGAAGTCAGTGTGGTGATTCCTCAGGGATCTAGAACTAGAAATACCATTTGACCCAGCCATCCCATTCCTGGGTATATACCCAAAGGATTATAAATCATGCTGCTGTAAAGACATATGCACACATATGTTTATTGCGGCACTATTCACAATAGCAAAGACTTGGAACCAAGCCAAATGTCCATCAATGATAGACTGGATTAAGCAAAGGTGGCAAATATACAGCATGGAATACTATGCAGCCATAAAAAATGATGAGTTCATGTCCTTTGTAGGGATATGGATGAAGCTGGAAACCATCATTCTCAGCAAACTATCACAAGGACAAAAAACCAAACACCGCATGTTCTCACTCATAGGTGGGAATTGAACAATGAGAACACATAGACACAGGAAGGGGAACATCACACATCAGGGACTGTTGTGGGGTGGGGGAAGGGGGGAGGGATAGCATTAGGAGATATACCTAATGCTAAATGATGAGTTAATGGGTGCAGCACACCAACATGGCACATGTATACATATGTAACAAATCTGCATGTTGTGCACATGTACCCTAAAACTTAAAGTATAATAATAAAATTTAAAAAAAGAATATTACATACACTTAATTGATAAAGCAACAGCAGGGTTTGGCAGGATTTACTCTGATTTTGAAAGATGCTCTACCATAGGTAACATGCTATCAAATAGCATGGCATGGTACAGATAAATATTTCATATTGTATTATATTAAGAAATTTCCACAGCCATCCCAGCCTTCAGCGCCCACCACCCTGAGCAGTCAGCAGCCATCAACATTGAGACAAGATATTCTACCAGCAAAAAAGATTACAACTCGCTGAAGAAGTCTTATATTATCATTAGCGTATTTTAGCAATAAAATATTTTTAATTAAGGCATGTAGATTTCTTATCTAGACATAATGCTATTGCACACTTAACAGACTATAGTATCTTATAAACATACTTTTATATGCACTGAGAAACCGGAAAACTCATGTGACTCACTTTATTTTGGCACTTACTTTATTGCTATGGTCTGAAACCAAACCTGCAATATCTCTGAGGCTGGTCTATAATTTTTTAAATCTTTTTTTGTGAAAAGAGAAACCTGAGGTTTAATGCCCCTCATCTGAGGTCACACAGCAGGTAAGGAGACAGAGTCGATGTTTGAGCCAGTATCAGTCTGGTTCTAAAGCCTGTGATGGGCTTTCTATGCCAGTGGCTGCTGCCAGCAGGAGAACTGATTTTGGAGGAACCAGCTTGCAGACAGCCCAGTCTACAAAGATTAGTGGCTGGGTGTGAAAGACGGAGTCTTTAAAAGCAGACTGATGTGGGCATGAGTCCTTGAATTACTCCTTCATACAGACCCGACCTCGAGCACTTTAACCTCCCTGGGCCTCTGGGAACTCCTTTTTAAAATGGGAACAAAATATCTACATCATAAGGTAATTTTGTATAGGTTAATGAGCCTTAGCACCATGTGCATAGTGAAAGTTTCCTTAATGGTAGTGATGCTCTTATTTTACAGGCAGATTTTCATTGTATTACTGTTAAGGTGTCTACCTCACCCATGTTCCAGACAATACCAGAGTTTCAGAATAAAACCACAGTGTTTTCTGGAACATCTTTCTTTGTAACTGAACTTGATATAGTAATTGCTATACTTTCTTGTGTTTGTGTCCAATAATTTCAAACTTCAAATGCTAAAAATGGAGGCAAATACCACATTCCCTGATAAAGCAAGAGAGAAAAAAGCCTATCAGTTGTTTTGCTTTTCTGAAGGCCTGTTGTGAATTTCAAAATACAGCAAATCATTTTCTGTGGGAGACTCCAAAGTGAAATTGTAATGATTCCTGGCTCAGTGAGTTAAATATCAATTGATCATTTTTGTAACCAGCCTCTAATTGATCAAAAATTGTAGGTTTCAATATCAAAAGGGAATATGATCTCCCTAGCACTAAGCAGTGTTAATTTGGTCCATGTGGGAGACTAGGGAATTGGTAATTCCATGGAGAAAGAATCTACTTCTGGAAGCTGTCTCCGGAAGTTGCACTGGAGTCAATTTGAACAAACAAGGGATTTATGGAAGATGATACTACCTTCTTTTAAAGGACAAAGAGGAAGACCATGTTCTCCCATTGTCATAATATTTACTGAGAGATTCTTTTGTGCTATTCTCAATACAGATTGTTGGACCAAAGCCATAGGGTAAAGATTAGTAGTGTGGACGTTTGCATGGTATGATACCTTCATGAGCTTGGGAAAGTCACTTTATTTTTGAAAACCTCAGTTTCCTCATACATAAAAGTGGTCTCATAACACACTAACAGCCAACATTTAGCAGTTGCATACTTTGTACCAGGAACTTTGCTAAACACTTTTTATGCATTACTTGTATAATTCTCAAGACCCAATGAGATAGTTTTCACCTCCACTTTGGTCATTTCAATCCCACAGTTGATGTTCTTCCTTGTAGTTATTTAACTTCAAGGAGCTCTATGGGAAGAATTGCTTAATCCAGAAAGGGTTCTAGGGACCACAAATGGTAACATCTTCCCATTTTGGTGCATGTCCACAACCCCCTCCGTCTTCACTGTGGTGCTTCTAGTGGATGGGCCTTGGCAGGTTCTAGTCCTTTGCATTTTAGTTTTGCTATTTATGCTGAGACAGTTTATCTTTGACTCAATTTGCATTTGAATGATGGCCCTAGTGCCATTTCTTTTCAATGTGTACCTTTCACATAATCAACAAATGAACTGAATTCTAGAGATTGTAGCTTACATCTCAAATTCTGGTACCTTCTCTCTGCAGTTCAAGAGCTTACATTTTAACTTACAAACTGAGAGTTCTATTTTTCTTTTTTTTTTTTTTTTTATTATACTCTAAGTTTTAGGGTACATGTGCACATTGTGCAGGTTAGTTACATATGTATACGTGTGCCATGCTGGTGCGCTGCACCCACTAATGTGTCATCTAGCATTAGGTATATCTCCCAATGCTATCCCTCCCCCCTCCCCCGACCCCACCACAGTCCCCAGAGTGTGATATTCCCCTTCCTGTGTCCATGTGATCTCATTGTTCAATTCCCACCTATGAGTGAGAATATGCGGTGTTTGGTTTTTTGTTCTTGCGATAGTTTACTGAGAATGATGGTTTCCAATTTCATCCATGTCCCTACAAAGGATATGAACTCATCATTTTTTATGGCTGCATAGTATTCCATGGTGTATATGTGCCACATTTGCTTAATCCAGTCTATCATTGTTGGACATTTGGGTTGGTTCCAAGTCTTTGCTATTGTGAATAGTGCCGCAATAAACATACGTGTGCATGTGTCTTTATAGCAGCATGATTTATAGTCCTTTGGGTATATACCCAGTAATGGGATGGCTGGGTCAAATGGTATTTCTAGTTCTAGATCCCTGAGGAATCGCCACACTGACTTCCACAATGGTTGAACTAGTTTACAGTCCCACCAACAGTGTAAAAGTGTTCCTATTTCTCCACATCCTCTCCAGCACCTGTTGTTTCCTGACTTTTTAATGATTGCCATTCTAACTGGTGTGAGATGATATCTCATAGTGGTTTTGATTTGCATTTCTCTGATGGCCAGTGATGATGAGCATTTCTTCATGTGTTTTTTGGCTGCATAAATGTCTTCTTTTGAGAAGTGTCTGTTCATGTCCTTCGCCCACTTTTTGATGGGGTTGTTTGTTTTTTTCTTGTAAATTTGTTTGAGTTCATTGTAGATTCTGGATATTAGCCCTTTGTCAGATGAGTAGGTTGCGAAAATTTTCTCCCATGTTGTAGGTTGCCTGTTCACTCTGATGGTAGTTTCTTTTGCTGTGCAGAAGCTCTTTAGTTTAATTAGATCCCATTTGTCAATTTTGGCTTTTGTTGCCATTGCTTTTGGTGTTTTGGACATGAAGTCCTTGCCCACGCCTATGTCCTGAATGGTAATGCCTAGGTTTTCTTCTAGGGTTTTTATGGTTTTAGATCTAACGTTTAAATCTTTAATCCATCTTGAATTAATTTTTGTATAAGGTGTAAGGAAGGGATCCAGTTTCAGCTTTCTACATATGGCTAGCCAGTTTTCCCAGCACCATTTATTAAATAGGGAATCCTTTCCCCATTGCTTGTTTTTCTCAGGTTTGTCAAAGATCAGATAGTTGTAGATATGCGGCATTATTTCTGAGGGCTCTGTTCTGTTCCGAGAGTTCTATTTTTCTTAATTAAGATATAGATTTGGTGAAATGTATTCCATTTTCCACAGTTTAAAAGGCTTTGGCTCTTACATTTTATTTCCAGAACCATCACCTTAATCATCTGCATTTCACTATATTTTGAATATTCACTCTTCACGTATTTATCACATGCCTATTGATAAATGAACAGGATCTGGAGCTTAGCAGAATTAGTGATAATAACAGTAATAATAACTAACATCCATTGAGTTCTTGTGGTGACTCACCCTGGGCTCAGTGTTCAACACAAATTATACAGCTTAGTTTAATCCCCATAGCGACCCTCTGAGATTTTGTTATTACCTCCCTTTTACAGATAAGACAGCTGAGGCTCTGAGAGGTGATGTGATGTGTCCAGGTTCATACACACATTCATCCATGTAGGCCTGACTCGAAATACAAGCTCTTGTTTTCTTTTCTCAGTACCAACGCTCCTGGTAGGTCCCCAATCAATTTTTAATTTTCTCTAACTTTCTCTACATTTCCTATGCCTCAGATACACAACAGGGTCTTCATTCTACTCTTCACCATCCCCCACAGTGCCTGTCCCAGCTCCTCTCTATATGTCTTATATACTCTCCCCTCACAGGTATTCCTGATCTTTAAATCTCTCTGTTTTAGCCCTGGATTGGTAGGCTTGAAAATGAGCTTGAGCAGCTCCTGGGGATATCTTTGACCAGGTAAGGAAGCATCTTCTACCCAACCATCTGGTTTGTTTTGATTGTTTTGACTTCTCTTTCCCCTGTCAAACCCCTCCTTCTTTCCCCCACCCCATTGCCCCATCATTAGCTCCATCATCTCTGTGTTCAGGTGAGGGCCTTGCCTTGTGCTTCTCAGCAGATGTCCTTACTCTCACTGCCCCTCACCTGGAAAGCCTTTCCTTTCTCTCCACATCTATGAAAATCGTACCTATTCTTTAGGACCCTCCGAAAATATCAATGTGTTCTAAAGTTTTCCTGGTTCTCTAATTGGGTGAAATTTCCCTTTTCTTTGAGTCATTATGGTGCTTTGTCCACATACAACACCTTATAGTAATGGTACTAATGATGACAAGGAGGAGGAGGATGTGGAAAAGGAGGAGAATGAGAAGGAGGGGGATAAAGAGAAAAAGATGCAGACAAAGAAGAAGGAGGAAAAGGAGAAGGAGGAAGAGGAAGAGGAGGAGGAGGAGGAGACCATGACATGCCATGCACTTCACATGTATTATCTCATTTCTTCTTCACCAACACCTTATGGAATGACGCAATGCTGTCACATTTTACAGATGAGAACATTGAGGCTAGAGAGGTCATGAGTTTGTCCATGTCCTATGCCACTCAGGAGATGGTCCTCTCTGACTACAGGAACTGGGTCATCTTTACCTTAAGTTCTCCTCAGTGCTTCTCACAGTGCCTTGAATCTAGTAGGTTCTCTATGAACATTTTCTAATTGAGTGGAACTGAGATAATTTACCAACTAACTAACAAGCACTATACCTACTACACTTAAGTGGAGGGGTTGTTTTCCATTTTCTTTCTTCTAATCTTTCTCAATGGACTTTCCTGGTGTGGCAGAGACAACGCCACAGGTTCATACAGGAAGACTATGTGTCATATCTCCTGCTTTGAGTGAGGTCACATGATACATTCTGCCTGCGGAATATGGAAGGATGTCCTAGGCCAGGCCTCTAAAACTCCACTAGATTCCTCCCCCACCCAAACCTCATTCTCTGTCTTCCTGAATATAAAACATCCAGCACAGAATCCTGCAGTCTAGACTGAAGAAGCCTGGGTCTCTGACTAACTGCATGAAGCAGATGCCCCCTTTCCAACCCTTTCAACCAACCTGCGCTGGACTAGGCATAAAAGATAGATAATCTTTTATTATGTAAAGAAATTGAGACTTCAGGGTTATTACAGGCACTACCATTACTTGTTCTGATTAATAATTCACTTGATGTGGAATCCAGGCATTGATTCCACACAGTCTCTCACACAGACCTTTAGTTTTGAATGAATCCTCCCAGATCGCAAGTGTGGCCAGGGTGGCTGAGTATCAGCATTCTTGAGGTGACAATCACTAAATATGGTCCCGCAAGGGGTGCCTGTCTTACTATCTCAGATCCTGACCTAGAGAAGAGGCCCAGTGGAAGATTTTCCAAGCTAATGGCATAAAATTTTTCAGATAAAACAAGAGCAGCAACAAAACAGCAAAAAAACTTATTTAAGGCTTTTTCCCTTGTTCACCATTCTGCCCTTGTCTTCCCATATTAGATCTTTTTCTTTCCAAACTGTTTATGATGCTGGAAAATTCTCTATGGCTTCCCTGGATGGCTCCAACATCTAAAGATGTCTCTCACCTCTGGATTTATTACTGGGCCTCTCTGAGTGGGGTCAAAGGGCATCCCAAGCCCCATATTCTGAGCCTCCTCCTTCCCTTATGTGCTCCATAACTCTCCTTTGCCATTTATTGACATTTGAGACACTTGATCTATGACTGCCTTTCATTCCCTCCCCCCTGTATCCATGCCTTGGTTTCCAGGGACAGCAAGAATATATTATTTCAAGAATGAGGACAGGGCCAACTTATTTAGGATCTGTGAGAAAATTACTGTGTAGAATTTTGCATAGACTGACATTGCATTTAAGACTTAGGGTTCAACATAGCACCAAACACATTATTCAGATTGTAGATTCAGGAACTTAAGGCTAGAATTGGAAGTAAAGATCCACACTGTGCTGTTCTCTAACTCTCCGTTTTTTCATCCTCCTGTGAGGTAGGCATTTTCTCCATGTTATGAGGAACCAAGACTCAGAGAATGATTGACCATGATGGGGGTAGAACTGAAGATGGAGCCAGGCATTCTGGCTCTTTCCCCTGCACCAGGCAAGCTTCCCCCTTTTGTAACAGATTATTTCTAAAAAACATAGCATTTATGTAGGGTATAAATTAGAAATGCTTTGAAAAGCAGACTGGACCTGAAATTTCTGAGTTTCTTAGAAAATCAGCCTGGGATCATTGCCAGGAGTGTCTGCAAGCCCATGCTGCTCAGGTGGCTTCTTGCCAGATGCCAGCCCTGCTCATCCAAGGTCACAGCCCTGGTCAGCTACGTGCCAGACCAGAAGGGGCTGCTGTGGATCCGTGGGCCTTGAAGGCTTTGGTTTCTTTATTCTGTTTCCAAATCAACCTTTAATTCTGCAAAATGACTTAGAATATTGACTTTAAAAATCAGCAGCTCCTGGGCTTTAGGGAGCTGTTATGATATCGGGAATAGAATAGCTAGCTCTGTGGTTGCTGAACTCTGATCTTTGGAAGTTGCCTGCCCAAGATGGATTTTCAATTGGTGGAGAGTAAATGAGAAAAAAAAAAAAAGGGCAATAGTGAGTATTCTTGTTAAAGATGTTTGTATTCAATTTAAAGTCCTGCCCTTTATTCCAGAATCATACTTTTCTATTTTTTGATGGTAAAATGATATTGAGGATATGTTATTCTTTTTAAATTCTTAACTGGTAAAATAAAAAGAAACTCAATCTTTATGTATTTAAGAAATAATATAGAGTATTATATAAATACAGTCATGTGCCACATAATATGGACCACATATATGACAATGGTCCCATAAGATTATACTACCATATTTTTACTATGCTTTTTCTATGTTTAGATATGTTTAGATATACAAATACTTACCATTGTCTTATACTTGCCTACAGCTTTCAGTATAGTAATGTGCTGTACAGGTTAATAGCCTAGAATCAATAGGCTATACCCTATAGTCTAGATGTGTAGTAGCTTATACCATGTAGGTTTGTGGAAATACACTCTATGATGTTCACACAATGACAAAATCACATAACAATGTGTTTCTCAGAATGTATTCCTGTCGTTAAGTTATGCATGGCTCTCTCTCTCTTTCTATACATTATAGTACTGGCCCATGTGATGACAAATTTGGAAACTACAACTTTAGCGGATATTTTTCCAGACATAGTAATCTCTGTCATTTGGGGAAGGGGGTTTTCTTTTGGTATGTTATCAGTCTTGGGTAATCTGTCTTTATCTGAGCAAAATTAAAATTTTATCTTTACCTTCATATCAATCAATTCATGTATGGAAAAGCTTTGATCTCTTTTGGCTATAGGGACTAGGGACTTAAGATCTCTTTCTCTTTCTTTCTCTGCATGTGTGTGTGTTTTAGAGGAAAAGAGCTGGCCTCTTAAGGCTAGGCTACAGGAACTGACTCATGGCCATTTTGGTTTCTTGACACGCAGGAATAAATAAATTTGCTTACTGTCAGCCATGTTAATATTGGATTAATTTTACTTTTATACCTAATGCAACATTTTTAGTAAAGTAATTAATAAATTACTATGAGATAAAAAAGCAAGGTTTGGGGTCTGTACTACATTTTACAAAGCAACAATAGTTAACAGTGCTACCTTAATAAATACCCCTCATTAATAAATTAGATCAGATATGTTGAGTTAAATTCAATTATATTTATTTCTAAGTTACGTACATTTTTATGTTAAGAAATGGCTTAGGAATAATTGCTAAGAATCTGTAGGGTTCCAGTCAGGAAGGCACTAATCAGTTCTCTGTTGATTGTTGCAAATTCGAATAATAAAGTTGAGTTGGTGAAGTAGATTCTATAATTACTCACTGTTGTTAAAATAAAACATCACTAACATGCACTTCTTTAAAGCTCACTATGGTCCTTCTCCGTGACATACAGGGACAATCAGGAGCATTTTGGTCTTTATTTATTGGGGCTGCATAATCTAATTATCTCTCATTAGTTCAGAGCTGATTATTTCATTTATCTTTGTAAATGTGACAACAAAAGGCTCACTTTAATTAAGCAGATCAGCAATTAGTTCTTGTTTTATAGGAGTTTTAAACATTCCTGTACTAATAGCAGGCAGCATGATTATAATCAGAAGCCCAGGAAGAATGGTGGCAGAGGACAGTTTGATTTAGAGCCCCATTTAAGTGAAAGCTATGTAGGCAAAGTGGCTCTCCAACCACAAAGATCCAGAAAGGGCTAGCCAAACCAGGGAGCAGACTTGAGAGGGCTAGGCCAAGACCTTCTCACCTCCATTATGATATAGGCAGTGACTTCATTCCTTTTTTTTCAAAAAAATTTATTTATTTGTAATAGTAATTGCTATTATTTATCAATCACCTATTATATCTCAGGCTTTGCATCTATTACTTTAGCTATATTAATTTTCTTAAAATCTCATGGTAGTTCTTTGAGGTAGGTATTATTAATTTATCCCCATTTTACAGATGAGTCAACTGAAGGCCAGAGAGGTTAAGTCATTTGTCCGTGTTTACACAGCTAAGGATTAGAACCCTTATCTGATTTTGCTACTCTGCAAATTGGTTTCTTTTGCTCCATCTCCCTTCTTGCTCTCTCCTTTCTTCTTTTCCCCTCTCCCCATCCCTTTCTTTTTCCTCGCTTCTTTCACTTATCTCCTTGCAATATGCCCGGCACTGTACACTGAGGTGGAGATATTTACATGAGCAAGACATGGCCAGGACTCTCGAGAAAAGTACAATGTTATAGAGGCAGAGACATAAACTACATAACCATAGCAATGCCTGAGACAATGTGAGGACAAAGCTAGATAGAAAGGGCACAATCTAGCATGACTGGCACATTTGGCTGCTAAATCAATATTTATTAGAGTGGCTTGGCCTGGCCCTTCTCATTATTGCACCTTGTGTTTCTCTTCCTTTTCTCCTAATGAGGAACTGCTTCTAACTGCCCAGAACCTTTCTGATTACCTACATGGGTTACACTATGTTTAATGGAAATGGAACTTATCTTTATGCAGAAGGCTGGTGTGATCTATCACAGGCTAACTTGCAGTCTCATTTAGATTTTTAGGAATAGTTAGAGGAAGAATGCGGTAAATATGGATTTTTCAGAAGAAGGGGAAGAAATTGGGAAAACGAAAGAAGACATGGTTGGAAGGAGAGGGAACTTTGTTTCCTTAGAAAGGAGAAGAGAAAGAGTGAGTTGGGGGATTGGAGGATGGGGTCCTGCCTTCCCGGGGGAGGGGCTGGTGACCATCAGTACAGAGGAACAAGCCAATTAGAACTAGGTCATCTTCTCAGCTGAGCGATCAGGCTTGGGGGCTCTAATTAGAGCTAGGGCAACTTCTCAGCTGAGTGATCAGGCTTGGGGGCTCTGGTCCCTTGCCAGATTCTTAAGAGATCTCCTCAGAGAACTGGACAGTGTTGCCACCTCTATCCTATACCTGTCACCACTACCCACCTAGTCCTAAGATTATCAGAACACCTGCTGATATTTTTAATTACCATGTTTTTCAATGTTGGTTTTTGTACTAGGCTCTATGCAAAGCACTTTAAAACACTGTCTTTGCAATATAAATGTAAATATTCAATTATTACGTATTATAATTGTATTGTAAGAAGGTATCATTATCTTCAACGTACCTATGAGAAAACTGAGGCACATTCAGGTAAATTAACTTTCTTGGATTCACATAGTAGTGGTGACTAGACTTGAGCCTATAATCTTAACTTCTATGTAATAATTTCCATATTTCTTTTGGACTTCCTGACCTACCAAGTGTACCTGACCCTCAGAAATTATTAAAAAAGTTAGTTTATTGCTTCTGAAGGTGTTTCTTTATATGTTTAATAAGCCACACATTAGAGACTCTTACTGTAGGCAACAGAGAACCATTGAAGGATCTAGACTAAGGCGTGGCATGATGGAAGGTGTGTTTTACGATGTGTGGAGGATAATTTGGAAAGAAATTACCATGGAGTTAGAGATGTTGGTTAGGATGATATTGCAACAGTCCAGTCACAAGTGGATGCAAGCCTGGTAGCAATGGGAGTTGGGAAAAAAGGCACAGGTGTGAGGAAAATTACAAAGAATAATAAGTTTCAGTGGCTGATAATCATAGGGGGAAAATAAAAGATCCCTGTGCATTGGGGTCTGCACTAACTGAAATACAGGAGTCATATGTGACTGGGTAGATGAACTACAAAAGATGTTGAGTGTGGTGATTGGTCTTTTGCCCAGCCCTAAGAAGTATGAATTCAATGGGGATAGAAACCAGTTTAGAGGGGATTAGGAGGGACTGGATGATGAAGAAGGAGGGAGAGAGCATGTATAACGGTTTTCTGGCCAGGAGGATACAAGTCCATTTCAATAGAGAGCATTTGATTCCTCCCTCAGCCCAACTCCATCTGAGGAGGGACTTAGTAGATAGTCACTTTCCACCTCTTCCTCCTACCGATGAGACTGACATGGAATTTAAGGGTAGGGGCCTGACTTTTTAAATTCATCTCTGCATTCCTAGCACCCAGAGTAGTGCCTAGAGCAGGGTAGGTGCTCAATAAATAATTATTGACTAACTGAATAATTAATGAGCCAGAAACTGAGGCCAGAACTGCTGGTTCTAAGATGATCTCCAGTGGCAGGGGGTGAAGCAAGGGTGGTCAAGGTGCTCCTATAGGGCAGCTAGGAATGACAAAAAACAGGAGACCAAAGCCGAAGGTCAAAGTGCAGAGGTAAATTTTAGCTTTAAGCCTGAGGGGGTGAGCGTTGCAAAGGGGAATGAACAGCAGGGATTCAAAGCAAAGAAATCCCTGTTTAAGAGTGGCATCTGCTGGGGAGCCTCAGGCCCTGGGTGCCCCTTACCAATATAGTAGTTTGGTCAGTTTAAGGGCACAGATTTGGCGACATCAGAGAGGAAGGTGTAGGTGAAGTAGAAGAAATTTAAGATACTGGCTGGAGAGAGGATTATTGAAGATGCAAGACCACAGAGTCACAGTATGTCGCAGGTGGAAAGGATCTTCTATCTTGTGCACAAACACCTTTAAATATTTTAGATAAATAGTCATACAAGGGCTGGGAAGAAATGAGTTGAGGGAACAGGGAGCAGCATTCATTCTGATCTAGAGAAAAGAACAGCTGTTTCTCTGAAAGAGTGGTGGGTGAAAGGATAGGATCCAGACAGAAGTTATTCTGAAGTAGAGAGGAGGAATATTAGAGATTTTATATCAAGAAGCGGAAGTTTCGCCTCTTCCTCAAAATATTAGTTGTTTCCCTCTGCTTTTCTCCTGCACAGGAAGATGGAATGGCATGGGGAACACCCAGACTTGCACTTGCTCCAATTTCCCTCTAACACTATGCAAATAAGAGTGGCCTTCCTGGCAACAGCTTAAACCAAAGGCGCTTACATTCTGAAATGGCAACTTGAAAGGAAAGGAAATCCTAATTGGAAACACTTTTCAAGCTCTTGAACAATAATTCCTTTTCAAAAAAGAGAAAGTTATTTGCTTCCCACAAAACAGAACTTCTACTTAAGTGTGACAATAAATAAAAATTTTTAAAAATACATATAATATAGTGCAGGTAATTTTACCACTTACATACAAAAAAGAAAAGACGAGAAAAAAAGAATAAAGAAAAAAAGTTAAATCCACACAATAATCCTGAGGTTGATTCAAAGTCTTTGTTAATACCAAAACATAAAGACATAGGTAGTGCAAAGGACTGATTTTATGTCCCTGCAAAAACTCAGACAGAAAGCTAGACTTCAGAGTTTACATAAAATGGATAGAAGTAGGTATGTACTTAGACATGTTAAGGACGAAGGCTCCCAGACCAGAAGACTGCAAGTTAGCAGGGTTTTCCCAGTGCTTATTGAGGAGAGTAAGCAACATAAAGGGCAAATGTGTTGATGAGGTGGATGTGGGGTGGATCATCAAACCAGAACTATAAATGCCTACTCTGTGCCAGGAGGTAGATGTTTTAATTAAATCCTCACAACAACCACGTGAAGCCACGCAGAGATTTTAGATGAGATACTAAGTGGTTAAGGAGCTTCCATGAGGTCACATGGCTTCAAAATGGAGGGCCAGCATTTAGCATCTTGGTCTTCTGCTCCCAGAGATCATGCTCTTTCCCCCTCACTGAGCTGCTGGATGTCTCTGTCCATGCGGGTGGCATGGCCTCCAGGGACTTAGGAAATGACGCTGTGGAAATGTGTGCTTGCTTTTCCCACTTGCTTTTTGTTCATTGGGTTACTTTTCCTCTCCAGATTAGTTTTTCAGTTTAATTGGTTTTGGTCTTGGAATTTTTTATAAAACTAGTTATTCTCCCTATTTTGCTTAAGAAAATGTATTCCATTTGATATTTTCTGACCTTACTCTTGGGTGGGGGAATAATAGAGTATTTTACATGGGAATGAATTGTGTTGTCGTAGGTGAATGTGAGGGAGCTCATAAATCAATCGTGATCCCGGGGGACCATGGAGGGCCTCCTGGCCCTGGCCAGTGCTCTTTAGACCTCTTTATGCTAATAAAACAGAGATTTCTCTAGGAAGGGCTCCACCTTTGCAAATGACACTCATAATAAGCTCAGAGCAGTGTTGCAATAATAGGCTGTTTACCTGCTGGTAATTGGTAATTTAGCCAGTGTAAAGGGGCTAATGGTCTATCTTCTCCATTTGGAGAATTAAGAAGTAGAATTTTGTCCAAATAAACTGTATTTGTCTGTGGGAGGCCCTGCAGAGAGCCAAGGATAGGGAGTTTGTCTTCCAAGGGTATCCTTGCTGAAAATACAGATGCGTGAAAACATATAGGGCTAGTCATTTCCAGATTTCTAGACGAGTTACTGAGTTTCTGTGAAGGGACTTTGTCATTTATTTATTTGACCATCTTGGTAAGAGAGAAATGGGGCAATTTATCAAATGGCAAAGAATATATTACTCTGATTCCTTGTCCTAGTAATGATGACACAGACCAATGAGTGCTAGTGGAGGACTAGCATGACCATTTAAGACTTGCTTATTTCAGTCTATATAGAGTTAATGTGGATATTTTGTCATAGGGCCTGGGGTCAGGGAGAGGAGGAAAAGAAAAAAAATGCATTTTTTCTTAACTAAGTGACCACAAATAGGGATCTTGTTAATGTGATGATGACATGTCAACACAATGAAGAATTACAGAGACATTAAAATAACAATGAAACTATACTGAAATAGTTATATGAAAATATACCAAGGGTGTATATGATATGTGCATACAGTGAAAAAAGCAGGACAAAATTGTGTGTGTTCTCTGATGAGATGCATGTAAAGTAGGACGTGCATGTATATGGACAAATACTGGAGGAAAATATACAAACATGAAAATACTTGGGAGAATGTGGGTTTGTAAATCTATGGAACAATGCAAGGGGTCATTTGTATCAGATTCATTTTGGCCAAGGGGACTCAGTGTATGAGTTAATTTGCTTACTACTAGTAAGAACAATTATATTTTTTCTAGTCAGACAGTGTTGGTCTTAACCCATTTATGCCTGAGGTTGCAATTTTTTTTTGAGTTTTTACAATCAGTCCTTGGCGATGACCTTGAGCAGTAAGATATAAATAACTCCCACATGCTTAGTGTTCCAATAATGGAACACTAGGCATAAATTTAATTCATTCTAACAGTAGGATTCCTATAGGCCAATGTAATCACAGAATGATAGAATAATTCAGTGTTTTGAGAGCTCAGCAAAGGGAGCATTCCTTCTACCTAGGCCTCACATAATGTTTTTATGGAAGGAATAGAATTTACACATGGTTCTGATGTAGACTGAATTTTATCAGGTGGAGATGGGGCTGAAGATATTTCAAATGCAGGAAGAGCACTACCGAAGGCCTAGGGTAGAAAACGTGCCGAGTATAAAAATGCACGGAGATGATAAAAAAAAAAATTGGTTTGGTTGAAGTCTGGTCATGAAACAGAATGGGGAGAGGTCTTTAAAAGGTAAATCAGGGACAGGTTATGGATGACCTTGAATGCCTTGCTAAGGACTATATATTCCCCTTGCTTTGCTTCCCTTGCTTTTGTAAAGATCTGGACCATACCTCAAAATGCAAATCACTGAATATCCTTATGTCTTAGCAAACCAGACTCTTCCAGTGCACACACTCTGCCCTGGGATTAAGTACAGTACTTTTGGAAATCGCATTATCTCATTCTATTCACTTTTTTTCAGCACATTTGTGAACTGAGACAGTTCCTGTTATGTGGATTGTGCAGAATCCATTGGTTAGAAAAGGTGTTAGAACATTTGTATTTTCAGCTGGACTAACAGTAATATCTTGGACCAGTCATTTATTTGATCTTGCTTGCTAAAGTGGAGGATAGCACTTTTCTATTAAAAAGTGCTACCTTTTTAATGCTGAGAGGAAGCCTGTTTTCCTAATAGTCACTCAATAAAATCTTTTACTGAATAAATGAATGTCTCTCCCAATTGTGTCTGCGTTAGTTATGAATAATACTTCCAGCAGAAGTATATGAGGCTTTCCATTTCTTACCTTCTAGTTTTTTCAGTCTAATGGGTATAAAGTGGCATTTTTGTCTTAATTTGTATTTCTGTGACTATTAGTAAAGCAGTGCATCTTTTCATATAACAAACATGCGCTTTACCCATTTTTCTAGAGTTCCTTTTTTTTGAGGAGGAGTCTTATTTGTTCTCATTTTCTACTTACTCCAGATATTAATTCTGCATTGGTGATAGACACTGTAAGATTCTTTTAACAGCCACCTGTTAAAATATGTCTATAGTGTGGACAAAAATCCACAATATTGGTGTAGTCGGTCTAGCAATTCTTTCCTTGATGCCTGTGTTTTTTGTTTTGCTGGGTATTCTCCTATATTTTCTTCTATATTCACTATTTTGCATTTATCATTTAGATCTTTACTCATACAGAGTTTATTTTTGTATGTACTCTAAAGCAGTTAGCTAACTTCACGTTTGTCTCTAAGGTTAGGCAAATATTTCAATTCTGTTTACTAAATCATTCACCTGTTCTTCCACTGATCTTTGTTGCCATTTCTATCACATTACAAGTTTCCATAAAGATATGGCTCTATTTCTGAGCTCTCCATTTTTTAAAGATAATTTTTTGTCTTCTTGCAACATACTAATCTAATACTAATATTGTGTAGTTACTCAAATATCTGACAGAATGATGTTCTATCCTTTGCTCTCCTTTTTCAAAAATTTCTTAGCTAGTTGAGGGTCTTTATTTTTCCATGTAAATTTCAGACATTGTTCCATTTCTGTCCATTCCCCCTGTATCTTTTTGGTATTTTGAGTAGAATTATATTACGTTTTTAAATGAATTTAGATTAAATTGACATCTTTATAAGAAGTGGCCCATCTATTAATATGGTATATCTCACTTTATTTAGTTATTTTATCATAAAGGTTTGTGAATTCTTGGTTAATTCCTTGATTCATTACTGTAATGATTGGTTTGACAGCTATTTTCTTTTGCATTTTCTAGTTAGTTACTGCTTACGTAGAAGGAAGCTTTTTTATTTTTATATATTAATCTTGTATCCAGCAACCTGGGTAAGTTTTCTGATTAGTTGTAATAGTTTGTGTATTCTCTTGGGTTTTCTATGTAAATAACCATAACATCTACAAATAAAATTTTTGCTTATTTCCTCCAAAATTTTGTATCACTTATTTCTTTCTCCTATTATTAAGTTGACCAGGAAACAGTAGTATTCAACTGAGCTGTAACTATAATAGCTGACATTGCTGTGTTCTCTCTGGACTTAAAAGGCAGGCATGTAATGTTTCTCAGTTTTGTATGGCTTATTGTTGTTGTTGTGAGGTTTTAAATAGCGTTTAAAATTAAAAATGGTCTCTTCTCTCCTTGGTTTGGTTTTTATTTTAAATCATGAATAGTTGAACAATGTCAAATAATTTTCTACTCTTATGTTTGTATGATTTTTCTTTTCTGATTCATTAACGTAAACTGATAGATTTTTAAAATATTAAACTCAGAAGTAATACATTATATTTAACCATGACATATTACAGAAAACACAGTGTTGGTTTTAGTTAACTAAGTTTTATTTAAGTTTTGGCATCTGTTTTTATAAGAAAAACTGTTCTATAATTTTTTCTTTTTAAGGTGGTTCTTTCCTGATTATAACATAAAGGCATTATTAGTTTCATAAATGACTTATGTAACTTTCTTTTTCTATTTTCTGTAAAAACTTGTATAAGATAAAGATATTTGCTTTGCTACCACATGCCTGTGAAATAATTTGTCAGATCTTTTAAGTAGGGGAGAGGTGGTACAGGGAAGATTATGATGGCTGACTTCAGGCTTTTTATTGGCAATTCCATATGTTTTATGTCTTCCTGTTCTAATGTTGGCATTTTATAATTTTATAGAATTTTATCCATTTCATCCAGGTTTTCAAATTTTCTAGCCTGCATTTGCTAAAAATATTATTCTGTTTCCTTTTTTCATTTCTGAATTTTCCTGCCTCTGTCTTCCCTCTCCCCTTCTTTTCTTTACTATGTCAATCTTGCCAGCATTTTGTCTTATTAGTATTTTTAAGATAACTACTTTTGGGGATTTGCTAATTATCTTTAGTATTTTGTTGTTTTTTTTTCTTGGTTTAATTAATTTTAGCCTTATCTTTAATATTTCATTTTTTTCTTGTTTTTCTGAGTTTATTTTGTTGCGGCATTTTCTAGATTTTTACGTTAAATCTTCTCATTTATTTTCATTTCTTCTAGTTTTCTATATAAACATAATCAAGACTAAATCTCTCATACTATTGCTTTAACTCCAAGCAATACGTTTTGACTTTTATTTTATTTTCATTTTGGCATTTAATGCTTTTATATACCTCATAATTTCTCCTGTAATACCCTCTTTATCCTATGGATTACTTAAAAATATATATTTGGGCTTTCAGACATGTAATATTTTTGCTATGATTTTGTTATAAATGTTTTGTTTTATGGCACTATAGACAAAGAACACATTGTATATGATGCCCATCTTCAGAATTCATTGAAATATTCTTTGTGACTTACCGTATGACCAATTTCTGTGAATTTTTACGTATCTTTTTTTTTTTTTTTTTTTTTTTTTTTTGAGATGGAGTTTCACTCTTGTTGCCTAGGCTGGAGTGCAACGGCACCATCTTGGCTCACTGCAACCTCCGCCTCCTGGGTTAAAGTGATTCTCCTGCCTCAGCCTCCTGAGTAGCTGGGATTACAGGCGCCCATCTCCATGCCCGGCTACTTTTTTGCATTTTTAGTAGAGACGGGGTTTCACCATGTTGGCGAGGCTGGTTTTGAACTCCTGACCTCAGGTGATCCACTCGCCTCGGCCTCCTAAAATGCTGGGATTACAAGCGTGAGCCACTGCTCCTGGCCACATATCCTCTTAATGGAAGTTTATTTTTATGCTTATGGCTATAAAGTTCATATATTTAGATCAAACTTAATCTTTGATCTATCAGTTCCTGACAGGGGCTATTTATAGATTTCTCCCTGTAATTTTATCAGTTGCTTTATCTAGTGGAGGCTATATTATTGAGCCCTGCTATAGACTGAATATTTTTGTCCCTCCTCATCCCTGCAAAAATTCATATGTTGAAATCCTAACCTCCAAGGTGATGATATTAGAAGGTGGGGCCTTTGGGAAGTGATGAGGTCATCAGGGTAAAGCCCTCACAAATGGGATTAATGACCTTATCAAAGAGGCCTGAGAGAGGTCCCTTGCCCTTCGCACCTTGTGTGGACTTAACAAAAAGACTGCCATGTATGAACCAGGAAGTGGGCTCTCACCAGACACTGAATCTGCCATCAGCTTGATTTTGAACTTCTCATCCTCCAGAAATGTGAGAAATAAGTTTATGTTGTTTATAAGCCACCCAGTCTATTTTATTTTGTTATAGTAGCTGGGATTGAGTGAGACAAGTACATATTTATTATGATTGCTAAGTATTCTTGTTATATTATTCCTTTACCATGATTAATTTATTCTTTTTTCGTTATGATGTTTTTTCATATTATTTATTTTGGCTGATATCAAAAATTAGCATTCTGGCTTTCTTTTGGTTTATATTTGCTTAGTGTATTTTTAACTCTATTTTCAACTTTCTTTGTCATTTATGTTTTAAAATGCTTTTTATAGATGATATATCTCTTTAAAATTCAACCTAGGAGTCTTTTGATTGCTGAGTCAGAGTCATTTACATTTATAATAATCATTATGTCTTTGGACAAATGGTTTTATGTTTTCTGTTTACAATGCTTTATTTTGTTTTATTTTTAATTTCTCCCTACATACCCTTTTTTTAAATCATGTAGAGGAGCGGTTGAATTTTATTTTGCTTGTTTGAATTATTCTGTAGACCCATACATTAAGCTCTCTATCTTAGCAATAAGTGTTTATATCAAAATTAAAATTGATTATGTTTTTTTCTTGCTTCACATTTTTTATAGTCTTCTTAACCTCTCTGAGATTATCTATAATGTATATTTTAACTTCTTACTCTGTCCCATTAGTTTTGCTTCTCCTAGTACAAGTTAATCCATCCTTAGGTTATCACTCTTTCATGTTTCTCACGCTTCTTGGATTTTTGTAATGTTTCAATTTTAGCTCATTTTTATCCTCTTGGGATATCACCTCACTTGATTGGTGACGTTCTCCTGTGAGGAGCACCAGAACCTGGGTCTTAGTCTGGGTTCCTTTGAGTGAGTTTAGGGGGTCATGGGTGTGCTTTCGGGAGGAGAACCTTGATTGCTGCCATCTGGATTCATCCACTTCTTGTTTTTCCTCCAGGGATTGCTCTTGTCTTCCAGTAGACCAATGTGAAGGGATGAGGTGGGAAAGTGGGGAGAGGAAACTATACTGCTCCTCAGGCTGCCACATTCACTTTATCATCAAAGAAAAAGAGAGAGTGAGCAGGATCACTACAGTTCAGCGAGTGCATTTGAGCTCATGCAGGTGTAGTTTTTGTTGTTTTGCTTTGTGCAGAGTACTTTTTACAGTCTCTGAACTTCTGAGCTCTTTTTTTTTTTTTTTTTTAAATGTCCTGGACTTGCCCAAAACAAAGTAATGGGATTAGAGCACTGTAGAGCAGAAAAATAATTAGACTGGGAGTCAGAAAAGCTGGGTGCTAGTTTCACATCTGCCGTGGGTGAGCCATTGCATCTCTCTAGAGATTTTCTACAGCAATTAATCTCGGAAGGTACTACACAGATAAGGATCTGTGTTCTGTATATATTCCTCCTTTTCCTCGGCTCATAATTCACAATGCATATGAGCACTAATGAGCCCTAAAGGATAGAAATTTATTGAATTTGTTTAATCTAGGGTTTCCCAAATTTATTTGACCTTGGAATGCTATAACTAAGGACAGCGTGTTCGATCCTGGGCAACAATTGTTGGGAACAAACTTTAGGAAGTGCTGCTTTACAAACTGCATTGTCTCACCTATGACAGGCAGACTATATGAATTGTATATTACCCCTTTTAGCTATTCTGTATCACTTTCTACATGCCCATTCAATGTTCTTTTCTCTTGCCATGTCCTTGTTCCTTCAAATGTCCTAGTTCTACTAAATGCAAGTGGATTAAGGTGTTAATCCCACCCCTTCTATTAATGACATTTTAATTGGCCATGTTTCAGGAAATATTCAAAACCCAACCCAAAGGAGAGCTTTGCTAATAGTGGTAGAATTTCAGACAAGTACTTGATAAACCTTTCTGGATCCGTGGGGCTTTCTTACCGTCCCTCCTATAATGTCATCTATTTAGCTACCTTCTCATAAGATCAGCACAATTTTGCTCCAAGTGAAGAGGCAAGGACTTAGCAGCCTCCACTTACTGATCCTTTCTTTGAACCACTTAGTGAATATAAAAGTTCAACTTTACAGGAGGAGCAGTTGTTATGTCCTCGCCTAGATAATTATTTCTTTATCTCAAATGTCCCCTTTGTATCTTCATGACAATAAAATGGGGAAAATGGATTTTTTTAAAAAAAAGTAATTACACAATTGAACATGAGATAAATACACTTAATAGGCAAGAATTATCTGCTTTGGCTGCTTTCACAGCCCAAATTCACAAAGTAATTCACAACTCATTCACTGGAATCCTGCTTTATCTCCTAACATGGGACTTGAAACGAGACAAACTTAAGCTGCATGCCTTTTCTGTGGAAGACAGCCACGCTGGCTTAGGAGAGATCAGGTGCTCTGATTACCTTACCTGGTGCCACAGCACTGTTGTGAGATCCACCCTCCTTGGGTATGGTATCTCTGACCCTTGGCAACTGAGTGGACCTGGGATCCAATGCTCCTGGGCCCTCTCATGTCAGGTAGATGGAAAGAATCTTAGTAGAGGAACTCTTTGAATCTGATACTTGGGTGAATTGCTTGGCTTTTCTTCATCAGTCAATCAAGCCTCCATCCAAAACCAATGTCTTTAAATATTGACCTGTTACTTGGGAACAGTAAGTTGTCATTGTTATCATTATTATGGTAGAGGAAAATTTTATTCTTCTTGAGGAGTTATCAAGAAGCAGTTTGGCACAGGGATAACAGATAGATGTTGGAGTCAGAAGGGAATGAACCTCTGAAACAGAGATACAACTCAGTACATTAGCTGTGAGCACCACCAATTCACTGCTCTGTTATTATGACTCCACCTCCGTCCATTAAATGCATCTTACTATACCATATTCACTGTACACAGCACAATGATTAAGAAGATAAGCTTTGAAGTAAAACCAATTTGTGTCTTAATCCTCATTCTGTTTCCTGCAGGTTGAGTCCCTCAGGAAACACTGAGACAGAATTTAGCAGGGAAGATATTTATAAAGGAGTGGCTTTGAGATCAATATCATGGAGTAAAGAGGAGAGAGTAAGAGTGGGCAGAGAGAAGTTGCATTGTGGCCAACCTTGGCTAAGCTGTGAGGAGGTTTCTGCAGCTAATATGACCCTTCATAGTGGTCTGGAGTTGTCAAGATGGCCCACAACACATTGGTCCATCGTGGGAGGCACTGTCCTGAGAAGGGCTGTGACCTGAGCTAGGTAGCTCACATCTGAGGCTATCTGCCATCAGCAGAAGGGGAATATATCAAATATTAACCACATCATCATTTTTCTGTTGGAAGAATCTTTAAGCTACAAAACTTTCCTGAAATTCAGTGTGTTTTTAGGTAAAATGGGGATACTACCTATTATGCTAGGGTTATTGTAAGAATGTAATTAATCCTTGATCAGGAATACATTTAAAGTACAAAGTACTTGGTACAGGGTCTGTCACATGGTAGGTACTCAAAAATAATGATGATGATAATGGTGATATTAAATGTATTCTTCTGAAATATTAGATAATGAAACTTGGTCCTTGGTTTCTCCTTTGATCTCAGATTGTTTTGTCATTGTATCTATGTTTTTATGTTAAGTTATCTCAAATTCTTTTTCTGGAAGCAGTCGAGATACAAATCAGTCAATGTAAAATAGTCTTGGTAACAGAGATACAGTAGAATAATACTTGATATACTATATTAAGCATGTTTTTTATTCTCAATAATTATTCTGTATCTCTCCCCTCCCACTCCCACCAAGCAATAGCCAAAGCATTCCTGAACTTACTGCTTCAGGGAAGGGGAGATACAGTTGAACAAAAGCCAAATTATTCTCTTTGAGTTTGAAATGTTTCAGTCCTTGCATAAATAATCTATTTAGGAGGCTAAATGATCATTCAGTGCCCATTTGTTCCAGCCTAGAAAAAAAATAAAGGTTTTTTTGAGTTGGGGGGAAGGAGAGGAGACAGAGTGGAGTTTGGATGCTGACAGATCCTTGGGAAGGGCTTGTATTCTTCCATTCTCCCCATGACTTGGCTGGAGGGAAGGCTCCTCTTTCCCTCCTCCAAGGGGATCCAAGGGGTAAGGGGTAAGGGGTAAGGGATCAAAGAGTAGGTTTTGCTTTGCAGACCTCCCTGTGTGGCCAGCATGGTGTGGTGATGGAAGAATAGAAATGTCTGGGAAGATGGGGCCAGGATAACTTCAAGAGGTTCTGTGCCCTCTAGTGTGGCTGGGGGAGCAGCATAATGTTTTCCCATGAGGCACAGATGTAACTTATAAAGTTAGTGGACCAGAATAGGCATTGTGGATGGGATTAAAGTGAACACAGTAGCATCTGTGTGACCCAGATCTGGACCCTAGATAGAATCAATGGTATCTCAGTGAATGCCACTGTGGGCATAGGGCAACTGATGGTCAGGCAGGTGATTGTTCCCTCCCATCCCACCAGTGCTCAGATACATCCATAGGGACATAAGAGACTGGATGTCCTGATTTGACCTGCTTACCCTGAATAGACTAAGAACAAACCCCACCACTAGCAGCATGGAGCTCCTGGTAGAAGTTAAGTTTAGTTATAGAGAATAGAGAAGTTATATTTTCTCTGAGCCGAAATTTATGGCTTGATATTCATACTCATGGGGTATATTTGTTAAATCAATTTCCTATTTTTAGTTATTTTGCTTATGCTATTTCACTTGAACAACCCTTTGGAACGCATGTATTATTATCTTCATTTTAGAAATACTGAAATGAAGGAGCAGAGGCATTAAGTAATTTTCTCAGTCATAGAAGATAGAGAAAAAATTAAACTCTATTAAATGTAAGATCTGAGATTAAAATTATTTTTCTGCTTACAAGTGTAGGTATCTTTAAAAATAATATTTGTGAGCATTTCTTAAATATCTATTGTGTATTAGACACTTCTGTAAGTACCTTTAATACAATTAATTTATTAAATCCTCATAAAAATGCTACGATAAAAAGATTATATGTCGCCATCACACAGACGAGAAAACTGGGGCATGGAGAAGTCAAGCGACTAATTCAGCACTCTGAGAGTAGAACAAGGCTTTGAACACAAATAGTTTGACTCAAATGCCTACACCTCTAACCGATTTCTACAGCAGCAGACTTTGTTGGTTCCCCATTTTTACCTTTCTAATAGAACTTCAGTTGTGTTCGGGTGTCCATCTTGTTCCAGCTCCATGAGTGGATCCTGACTATTGTAGATCAAACCTGGTGTTCCCATTCTTTGTCCTAGTGATTGGTTTAGAATCCAAGATAAACTCAATTCATTCATGACATTTCACTTGGTAACTCTTATTGGTCTGGAGGTGGGCACACAATCTAGGTAGTCCAATGAGAGTATTAGAAGACGTTTATATTCCAGGAGTGGAAGGAGAGATTCATATCTTTTCCTCGCATAGACATAATGAAGCAGGTTGCTGCAGGTAGCTCTCTTGAGACCGTGAGACAAGCTTCCACAGGAAAGAAGCCAGAGCTGGTAAAATTGCAGGGAAGTAGCCCTGGAGCCCAGCCTTCATCTGCTGTTCTTGCTATATGGAGTTGTAAATCCCTTCATTGTTTATTTCAATTTGAGCAGGACTTTTCACTCCTTGTAGTTGTAATGCCTTTACTCTGCTAGGTGTAATTACAACAATCCTACTACTTTATCACAGTTTAAGGAGGTGCCTATTATAGCAATGAAATTCAATATTATCCTATAGATAGGGTAATTTAACTGCTGTTCTTGCCTCTAGATTATAACAATAATCTCTTATTAACAGAATCTATGAAAGAGAATATTTATTGCAAATAATTACTCCACCACTAAGATGTAAGAAAACAACTTAAATAGTTTAAGTTTCTACATCCATGTGTATGTCTATACTCAATTGGTATTGTCCCTATAAAACATCGTTGAGAGACTGTAACAATTCTAAATCCCTTGCTATGTGGATTACTTGGCTTTTTAGGAGTGTAGCCACTGGACTGAGTTGAAGGAAAGTGAAGAAATGATCTCCTGCATGTGTCTCAGTTTGTGTAATGGGCATCTATTGAATTGCCTATTGAAGACCACTTTCTCTAGGAAATGTCCTTCTTCCTCATCTACTTATTTGAGGAGGTGATACCTTGTTGGTGCAGTAGACTCCACCACCTGGTGACAGTAGTTAGTTGGTTCTGAGGAAGTATCTGCTTAGAAATTTTGGGAGTCATTTTGAAAGAAAGAGACAGAGAGAGAGATAGAGAAAAACAAGCCAGACTTTTTGGAAGGAACATCAATAAGAAATATAATAACCTGATGCTTCTTTAACTTTTTAAAATTTTGAAGTATTTTTGGATTTACACAAAAGTTTCAAAGTCAGTACGTAGAATTCACATATACCCTTCACCCAGCTTCCTCTAATGTTAACATCTTAACATAACTGTAGTACATTTGTTCAAAACTAAGAAATTTAGATATTAATTAAACTACAGATATTCAGATTTTGCCAACTTATCCAATAATGTTCTTTTTCCGTGTCAAGATCCAATCAATCTAGGATACCATATTGCATTCCATCATCATTTCTCCTTAGTCTTCTTCAATCTGTGACAATTTTTTGCTCCTTCTTTCATAATCCTGATACTTTTAAAGAGTACTGGTCAGGTATTTTGTAGAATGCTTCAGCATTCAGGTTTGTGTGATGTTTTTCTCCTGACTTGATTGGGCTTGTAGATTTAGGAGAAGAATTACACAGAAATAAAGTGCCCTTGTCATTGCATCCTCAGCGGGTAGAGGTGATGTATGAAAATATGACTCTTCACTGACCGTGATGATCTGGATCACCTGGTTAAGTAGTATCTGCGAGGTCTCACTACTGCTAAGCTATGAAATTTTCTTTTCCATACTCTATTCATTAAGAGCAAGTCACTAAGTCCAGCCTACTCTCAAGGGAGGGGAATTAAGCTTTAGATCTTGGAGTGAGGCATATCAAAAATGTTGCAAACATATGTTCAAGCCACCACAGTAATTAATACATATTTGGGAAGAGTTACTTTGAGCCTATGTACATATCTTCTCCTGATGGCTCCTGAGCGTCGAGTTTTCATTCCTTCCTAAAGCCTGACTGCCATCTTCTCTGTGCTGGGCATCTTCTGTTCACTCTCCAGGTTTACTCTTCACCCTTCTCCACCCTCATCTTTTCCTCAGAAGACTTTCCCGTATGGCATCAACAGCACTGTGCCCTCTGGCTTCTGGTTGGGGAAGCCTGTGGGGAGGTGCAAGAGAAGGAGGAGAACAGGGTCAGGCCATTTTTTTTTCTGTTCCCTCTGTGAGGAGTCAGCTCAGGTGTTTTGTGTTCCTGAAAGAAAGCAACTCTTTTAATGGGGAAAAGGACTCCCTATTCAGCAAATGGTGCTGGGATAACAGGCTAGCTATATGCAGAAGATTGAAACTGGACTCCTTCCTTACACCATATACAAAAATTAACTCAAGATGAATTAAAGACTTAAATGTTAAACCCAGAACTATAAAAACCCCAGAAGAAAATCTAGGCAATACCATTCAGGACATAAGCACGAGCAAAGATTTCATGACAAAGATGCCAAAAGCAATTGTAACAAAAGCAAAACTTGAGAAATGGGATCTAGTTAAACTAAAGCACTTCTGCACAGCAAAGAAAACTATCAAACTATCAACAGAGTAAACAGACAACCTATTGAATGGAAGAAAATTTTTGCAAGCTATGCATGTGACAAAGGCCTAATATCCAGAATCTATAAGCAACTTAAACAAATTTACAAGAAAAAAAACAATCCCATTAAAAAGTGGACAAAGGACATGAACAGACACTTTTCAAAAGAAGACATATATGTACACAAGAAGCATATGAAAAGAATGCTCAATATCACTGATCATTAGATAAATGTAAATCAAAACCACAATGAGATGCTTTTTAATAATAGCAATGGTCAGAATTGCTATTATTAAAAAGTGAAAATATAAGATGCTGATGAGGCTGCAGAGAAAAAGAAATGCTTATACACAGTTGGTGGGAGTGTAAATTAGTTCAACCATTGTGGAAGACAGTATGACAATTACCTACAGACCTAAAAACAGAAATCCCATTCAATTAAAAAATCCCATTCCTGGGTATATACCTAAAGGAATATAAATCATTCTACCATAAAAACACATCTGGCTGGGCATGGTGGCTCACACCTGTAATTCCAGCACATTGGGAGGCTGAGGTGGGCAGATTACCTGAGGACAGGAGTTCGAGACTAGCCTGGCCAACATGGTGAAACCCCATCTCTACTAAAAATAAAAAAATTAGCTGGGCATGGTGGTGCACGCCTGTAGTCCCAGCTACTCAGGAGGCTGAGGGAGGAGAATTGCTTGAACTCAGGAGGTGGAGGTTGCAGTGAGCTGAAATCATGCCACGGCATTCCAGCCTGGGCAACAGAGCAAGGCTGTTTCAAAGAAGAAAAAAAAAAGACACATGCATGTGTGTGTTCGTTGCACCACTATTCACAATATCAAAGATATGGAAATCAACCTAAAGGCCCATCAATGATAGACTGGATAAAGAAAATGTCGTACATATAATATACACCATGGAATACTATGCAGCCATAAATAAGAATGAGATCCTATCCTTTTCAGGAACATAGATGGAGCTGGAGGCCCTTAGCAAACTAAGGCAGAAACAGAATATCAAATACTGCATGTTCTCACTTATAAGCAAATCCCCATGACACAAGTCTACCTAACAAACCTGCACGTGTAGCCCTGAAATTAAAATAAAAGTTTTAAAAAAAAAGAAACCCAGATATGCATGACTTTCTCTCCTATAGCCTCTGTTGCCTCCTCTCATCCCCTGTGGTGACAGTTCTGCTGCTGCTGGGTTACAGCCCTGCCCTGTCCCTGTAGTTCTGCCTATCCTGCCAACACCTTTGTTGTTAGTCCCTTTGTAAATAGCCTCTCCTTGAATTCTCCTAATTGAGTGTGCCACCTGTTTCCTATTGGGATCTGGACTGATACATTGATCATGACTTCTAAGAGACATACTTCCATTGTCCTTTTAAAAAAAATTTTTTTTTTGCTTAAGTTACTTTAAGTAGGATTTTCATTCCTTGTAACCAAAAGTATGCTGCGTTAGAGATTACAATGCTGCCTTCTTTGTAGCTACAACAATAATAAAAGCTAACTAGCTTTTTAAAATTTTTTAAATTATTTTATATTTTTATTTATTCATTTTATTTGAAAAATAAAAATTGTATATATTTGTGATATACAACATGATATTTTGATATATATGTTTGTTGTGGAATGAATAAATCAAGCTAATTAACATATCTATTACCTCACATATTTATCTTGTTTTTTGTACTGAGAACATTTAAAATCTACTCTCTTAGCAGTTTTCAAGTACAGAATACACTTTAACCAGTTTTTTTGTTTGTTTGTTTTTTTGAGACAAATTCTCATTCTGTCACCCAGGCTGCAGTGCTGTGGCGTGATCTCGGCTCACTGCAACCTCCGCCTCCTGGGTTCAAGCAATTCTCGTGCCTCAGCCTCCTGAGTAGCTAGGATTATAGGTGCCCATCACTGCGCCTGGCTAATTTTTGTATTTTTAGTAGAGACGGGGTTTCACCATGTTGGCCAGACTGGTCTCAAACTCCTGACTTCAGGTGATTCACTCACCTTGGCCTCCCAAAGTGCTGGGATTACCGGCATGAGCCACTGCACCTGGCCCCAGCTTTTTATAACACTGCATTTTATTAAGGCTCTCTTACATCCATGCTCCCACCTGAGACTTGCACTAATCTGAACAGTGTCAATTAGGGATATTTGTGCCTACTTTGCTGATGAGGAAACTGAGGTACAAAGAGATCTAGTGAACTATTTAAGAGCACAGAATTAGCATCTAGTAGGGCAGATACAGAAACCCAGGTCATCTGATGATAATCCTGAGGTCTCAGGGCATGACTGCACCTCCTGCTCTTATGCACATGTTCACCACAGCTGTGTCTGAGTCAGTCACCGTCTACAAGCCATAAATCTGAAGATCACATTTCCATCACTCCCAGAAATGATAGAATTGAAGCCCAAGGCCTAAGGTGGACCAGAGAAAAGGAGCACTAGATTTTATCCTTATAAAGTAATGCCAAGTCTCATTATTACCAGCGACTATTATTTCCCAAAAAGTACCATAAAGAAAACTGAGTTCCTTAAAATATTCCCAGAGTGAAAGTGTTTCTGAAGATCACAATGCACATTGGCATATTTATTAGACACTCAGAAAATCTGCAGCTACTCAGCTTATTTTATTATGTTTAACCTACTTCTTTTTAAACTTCTTTTCACTAGAACCCTTTCGCTGTGTTCATACCTTAGGAAGTACTGGAATAGAACATGAATATTGAATATAAATAAAATTATGTATAAAATATCATACAAGTTTGACTTTTCCTTCTAAGCACCATGAATTTATTACATCCTAAAATGTCATCTGGCCTAGATCTTTCAAACTACCCCCTGCCACTTTGGCAAGACACAGGCAGTAGTGAATTATCTATTTGGCAGTAGTGAATTATTTAATACTTCCCAAATGTATTGGATAACGGCCAACTCGAGACTTGAATTTGGTTCTATGTAGACCTGTTTCCAACATAATAACTTCTAAGTTGCAGAATGTTTTAGAGGTAGACTAGGTTTCTTTTTATCCTTGACTTGACGTTTCACCATTGACCTAGTAAAATTGCCCTTTTCAGAAGGAATTGGTAATGAAATCAGTGCCATCACTCAATTGCATATCCTTCAAAAGGCCAGGGAAAAAAATAAGTAGGAGTGTTCCTATGAGAGAAATTTCAGTGTAATATTTTAGCCACAGCAAGCCAAGGAATTGAACCATTTTTAAACAAAAATCACCATAGAAAAGATGAACTGAAAGAGTCCATGGAACTTTTCTTCAAATTTCAACAACAAAACTGTAAATAACTTCAGAAATTCCAATTTGAGATTTATAAGATTATCATGGAATTAGAGCACGTTTTGTGAAAAAAGCCTAATAGCTCCTGGGCCTTTCTCAGAGCCATCATGGTTGTTCTGCCTAACATGCTACCCAGTCTCAGGTGTGTCTTTATCAGCAGCATAGGAACAGACTAATACAGCATCTAAGGCTAAACACCCCACAATGCACAAGACAGCACCACAGCCAAGAATTATCCAGCTCCAAATGCCAATACTGCTAAGATCCAGAAGCCCTATTCTAGATGGTGTATTGCTCAAATTGGTAACTCTTAAAACGTGCTAGGCCTGAAAACTTACTTGCTAATTAAAACAACTGCATGCTGGTGGTTCCAAGATGGAAGAATAGGAACAGCTCCAGTCTACAGCTCCCAGTGTGAGCGATGCAGAAGACGGATGATTTCTGCATTTCCAACTGAGGTACCAGGTTCATCTCACTAGGGTTTGTCGGACAGTGGATGCAGGACAGTGGGTGCAGCACACCATGCGTGAGCTGAAGCAGGGCGAGGCATTGCCTCACCCAGGAAGTGCAAGGGGTCAGGGAATTCCCTTTCCTAGCCAAGCAAAACTGTGTCAGATGGCATCTGGAAAATCGGGTCACTCCCACCCTAATACTGTGCTTTTCCAATGGTCTTAGCAAACGGCACACCAGGAGATTATATCCCGCACATGGCTCAGAGAGTCCCACGCCCACGGAGCCTCGCTCATTGCTAGCACAGCAGTCGGAGATCGAACTGCAAGGCAGCAGCAAGCCTGGGGGAGGGGCACCCGCCTTTGCTGGGGCTTGAGTAGGTAAACAAAGCAGCCAGGAAGCTTGAACTGGGTGGAGCCCACTGCAGCTCAAGGAGGCCTGCCTGCCTCTGTAGACTCCACCTCTGAGGGCAGGGCATAGCCAAACAAAAGGCAGCAGAAACCTCTGCAGACTTAAATGTCCCTGTCTGACAGCTTTGAAGAGAGTAGTGGTTCTCCCAGCATGGAGTTTGAGATCTGAGAAGTGACAGACTGACTCCTCAAGTGGGTCCCTGACCCCCAAGTAGCCTAACTGGGAGGCACCCTCCAGTAGGATCAGACTGACACCTCACATGGCTGGGTACCCCTCTGAGACGAAGCTTCCAGAGGAACGATCAGGCAGCAACATTTGCTGTTCAGCAATATTCACTGTTCTGCTGCCTCCGCTGCTGATACCCAGGCAAACAGGGTCTGGAGTGGACCTCCAGCAAACTCCAACAGACCTGCAGCTGAGGGTCCTGACTGTTAGAAGGAAAACTAACAAACAGAAAGGACATCCACACCAAAACCCCATCTGTATGTCACCATCATCAAAGACCAAAGATAGATAAAACCACAAAGATGGGGAAAAAACAGGGCAGAAAAACTGAAAATTCTAAAAATCAGAGTGCCTCTCCTCCTCCAAAGGAACACAGCTCCTCACCAGCAATGGAACAAAGCCTGATGGAGAATGACTTTGATGAGTTGAGAGAAGAAGGCTTCAGATGATCAAACTTCTCCGAGCTAAAGGAGGAAGTTCGAACCCATTGCAAAGAAGCTAAAAACCTTGAAAAATGATTAGTCGAATGGCTAACTAGAATAACCAATGTAGAGAAGTCCTTAAATGACCTGGTGGAGCTGAAAACCATGGCACGAGAACTACATGATGAAGGCACAAGCTTCAGTAGCTGATTCGATCAACTCGAAGAAAGGGTATCAGTGATTGAAGATCAAATGAATGAAATGAAGCAAGAACAGAAGTTTAGAGAAAAAAGAATAAAAAGAAATGAACAAAGCCTCCAAGAAATATGGGACTATGTGAAAAGACCAAATCTACATCTGATTGTTGTACCTGAAAGTGACGGGGAGAATGGAATCAAGTTGGAAAACACTCTGCAGGGTATTATCCAGGAGAACTTCCCCAACCTAGCAAGGCAGGCCAATATTCAAATTCAGGAAATACAGAGAACACCACAAAGATACTCCTCGAGAAGAGCAACTCCAAGACACATAATTGTCAGATTCACCAAAGTTGAAATGAAGGAAAAAATGTTAAGGGCAGCCAGAGAGAAAGGTCAGGTTACCCACAAAGGGAAGCCCATCAGACTAACAGCAGATCTCTCAGCAGAAACTCTACAAGCCAGAAGAGAATGGGGGCCAATATTCAACATTCTTAAAGGAAATAATTTTCAACCCAAACATGCCAAATTGTAAAGACCATCGATGCTAGGAAGAAACTGCATCAACTAACGAGCAAAATAACCAGCTAACATCATAATGAGAGGATCAAATTCACACATAAGAATATTAACCTTAAATGTAAATGGGCTAAATTCTCCAATTAAAAGACACAGACTGGCAAATTTGATAAAGAGTCAAGACTCATCAGTGTGCTGTATTCAGAAGACCCATCTCACGTGCAGAGACACACATAGGCTCAAAATAAAGGGATGGAGGAAGATCTACTAAGCAAATGGAAAGCAAAAAAAGGCAGGGGTTGCAATCCTAGTCTCTGACAAAACAGACTTTAAACCAACAAAGATCAAAAGAGACAAAGAAGGCCATTACATAATGGTAAAGGGATCAATTCAACAAGAAGAGCTAACTATCCTAAATATATATGCACCCAATACAGGAGCACCCAGATTCATAAAGCAAGTCCTTAGAGACCTACAAAGGGACTTAGACTCCCACACAATAATAATGGGAGACTTTAACACCCCACTGTCAACATTAGACAGATCAATGAGACAGAAAGTTAACAAGGATATCCAGGAATTGAACTCAGCTCTGCACCAAGCAGACCTAATAGACATCTACAGAACTCTCCACCCCAAATCAACAGAATATACATTCTTCTCAGTACCACATCGCACTTATTCCAAAATTGACCACATAGTTGGAAGTAAAGCACTCCTCAGCAAATGTAAAAGAACAGAAATTATAACAAACTGTCTCTCAGACCACAGTGCAATCAAACTAGAACTCAGGATTAACAAACTCACTCAAAACTGCTCAACTACATGGAAACTGAACAACCTGCTCCTGAATGACTACTGGGTACATAACGAAATGAAGGCAGAAATAAAGATGTTCTTTGAAACCAACGAGAACAAAGACACAACATACCAGAATCTCTGGGACACATTCAAAGCAGTGTGTAGAGGGAAATTTATAGCACTAAATGCCCAGAAGAGAAAGCAGGAAAGATCTAAAATTGACACCCTAACATCACAATTAAAAGAACTAGAGAAGCAAGAGCAAACACATTCAAAAGCTAGCAGAAGGCAAGAAATAACTAAGAGCAGAGCAGAACTGAAGGAGATGGAGAGACACAAAAAACCCTTCAAAAAATCAATGAATCCAAGAGCTGGTTTTTTGAAAAGATCAACAGAATTGATAGACTGCTATCAAGACTAATAAAGAAGAAAAGAGAGAAGAATCAAATGGACGCCATTAAAAATGATAAAGGGGATATCACCACCGATCCCACAGAAATACAAACTACCATCAGAGAATACTATAAACACCTCTACACAAATAAATTAGAAAATCTAGAAGAAATGGATAAATTCCTCGACACATACACCCTCCCAAGACTAAACTAGGAAGAAGTTGAATCTCTGAATAGACCAATAACAGGTTCTGAAATTGAGGCAATAATTAATAGCTTACCAACCAAAAACAGTCCAGGACCAGACGGATTCACAGCCGCATTTCACCAGAGGTACAAGGAGGAGGTGGTACCATTCCTTCTAAAACTATTCCAAGCAATAGAAAAAGAAGGAATCTTCCCTAACTCATTTTAAGAGGCCAGCATCATCCTGATACCAAAGCCTGGCAGAGACACAACAAAAAAAGATAATTTTAGACCAATATCCCTGATGAACATCAATGCAAAAATCCTCAATAAAATACTGGCAAACCAAATCCAGCAGCACATCAAAAAGCTTATCCACCATGATCAAGTGGGCTTCATCCCTGAGATGCAAGCCTTGTTCAACATACGCAAATCAATAAATGCAATCTGGCATATAAACAGAACCAATGACAAAAACCACATGATTATCTCAATAGATGCAGAAAAGGCCTTTGACAAAATTCAACAGCTCTTCATGCTAAGAACTCTCAATAAATTAGGTATTGATGGGCCGTATCTTAAAATAATAAGAGCTATTCATGACAGACCCACAGCCAACATCATACTGAACGGGCAAAAACTGGAAGCATTCCCTTTGAAAGCTGGCACAAGACAGGGATGCCCTCTCTCACCACTCCTATTCAACATAGTGTTGGAAGTTCTGGCCAGGGCAATCAGGCAGGAGAAAGAAAGAAAGGGTATTCAATTAGGAAAAGAGGAAGTCAAATTGTCTCTGTTTGCAGATGACATGATTGTATATCTAGAAAACCCCACTGTCTCAGCCCAAAATCTCCTTAAGCTGATAGGCAACTTCAGCAAAGTCTCAGGATACAAAATCAGCCTGCAAAAATCACAAGCATTCTTATAAACCAATGACAGACAGAGAGCCAAATCATGAGTGAACTCCCATTCACAATTGCTTCAAAGAGAATAAAATACCTAGGAATCAAACTTACAAGGGATGTGAAGGACCTCTTCAAGGAGAACTACAAACTGCTGCTCCACGAAATAAAAGAGGACACAAGCAAATGGAAGAACATTCCATGCTCACGGATAGGAAGAATCAATATCATGAAAATGGCCATACTGCCCAAGGTAATTTATAGATTCAATGCCATCCCCTTCAAGCAACAAATGACTTTCTTCACAGAATTGGAAAAAACTACTTTAAAGTTCATATGGAACCAAAAAAGAGCCCACATTGCCAAGTCAATCCTAAGCCAAAAGAACAAAGCTGGAGGCATCATGCTACCTGACTTCAAACTATACTACAAGGCTACAGTAACCAAAACAGCGTGGTACTGGTACCAAAACAGAGATATAGACCAATGGAACAGAACAGAGCCCTCAGAAATAATACCACACATCTACAACCATCTGATCTTTGACAAAACCTGACAAAAACAAGAAATGGGGAAAGGATTCCCTATTTAATAAATGGTGCGGGGAAAACTGGCTAGCCATATGCAGAAAGCTGAAACTGGATCCCTTCCTTACACCTTATACAAAAATTAATTCAAGATGGATTACAGACTTAAATGTTAGACCTAAAACTATAAAAACCCTAGAAGAAAACCTAGGCAATACCATTCAGGACATAGGCATAGGCAAGGACTTCATGTCTAAAACACCAAAAGCAATGGCAACAAAAGCGAAAACTGAGAAATGGGATCTAATTAAACAAAGAGCTTCTGCACAGCAAAAGAAACTACCATCAGAGTGAACAGGCAACCTACAGAATGGGAGAAAATTTTTGCAATCTACTCATCTGACAAAGGGCTAATATCCAGAATCTACAAAGAACTCAAACAAATTTACAAGAAAAAAACAAACAACCCCATCAAAAAGTGGGCGAAGGATATGAACAGACACTTCTCAAGAGAAGACATTTATGCAGCCAACAGACACATGAAAAAATGCTCATCATCACTGGCCATCAAAGAAATGCAAATCAAAACCACAATGAGATACCATCTCACACCAGTTAGAATGGTGATCATTAAATAGTCTGGAAACAACAGGTGCTGGAGAGGATGTGGAGAAATAGGAACACTTTTACATTGTTGGTAGGACTGTAAACTAGTTCAACCATTGTGGAAGACACTGTGGCGATTCCTCAGGGATGTAGAACTAGAAATACCATTTGACCCAGCAATCCCATTACTGGGTATATACCCAAAGGATTATAAATCATGCTGCTATAAAGACACATGCACACGTATGTTTATTGCGGCACTATTCACAATAACAAAGACTTGGAACCAAGCCAAATGTCCATCAATGATAGACTGGATTAAGCAAATGTGGCACATATACACCATGGAATACTATGCAGCCATAAAAAATGATGAGTTCATGTACCTTGTAGGGACATGGATGAAGCTGGAAACCATCATTCTCAGCAAACTGTTGCAAGGACAAAAAACCAAACACTGCATGTTCTCACTCATAGGTGGGAATTGAACAATGAGAACACTTGGACACAAGAAGGGGAACAGCACACACCAGGGCCTTTTGTGGGGTGGGGGGAGGGAGGAGGGATAGCATTAGGAGATATACCTAATGTAAATGACGAGTTAATGGGTGCAGCACACATGTATACATATGTAACAAACCTGCAGGTTGTGCACATGTACCCTAGAACTTAAAGTATAATAAATATATATATATATATATATATATATATAAAACAACTGCATTTCATTTGAAATGTATAAAGAGAAGGAAGTTGAAATTGTATATGTCTCAAGTTGTGCTGTAAATGTAGCCATGTAAATGAGCATAATTATTACTTTGTGGCACCCTGTTAGTTTTTCACACAGGTAAAATATGCTCTCCTAAGGATATAAAGTAAAAGCCTAGTGTTGTCTGACTGAATTTGTGATGTGCTCATTATGTTGCTCACTACTACTCACTAAATAAAACTAAGTGATGTTCCCAATGCATGGACACTAATAATTTTAGTCTTCAGTTCCCCCATAAAATTAATATTGAGTAATAGTTCCTAGGGAGCCACACACAAGCAGGTGAACGTGTGCTCGCATACACACGCACAAACAATCACCCATAAGAACAGTGCAGCTCCTGCTGTACCTAGATTGTTTGCAGACTAAGAGAAGCAACTGCAGAACAAATTCTGGTTCTCACTCTGCCTCCATAAAAGAGGTCTGGATTAGAGGTGCTCCTCAGTTATTTAGAGCTGGAGCAAACAGAAGGCCTAACTGTGCAGATGAACTTCTCATTCTTTTATATGAGGCAGCAAAATAAACACCTTAACACTTCATGGTTCCCAGAGTGCATTAGTTACTCGGTCCAATATCATTCTAATTCTCCTCGTAGTTCATTGAATTTGAGCCTGTTAGGAGATAAAATGTATCTTTAGCTACTATGTACTTATTCCAATGACTCTTTGGTTGATGGATGACTTTCTGATTTTTTGAAACAATGCCAGCCCAGGGCCTTGTGGTGGCTGTACAGTGCATGAGACCTCTTGTTGTGCTTCGGGGTGCGGGCTGGAAGGGAGGGAGGGAGGAAAAGAGGGAAGGAGGGGGCTCTGCTGTACGAGGTCTGGCTCAGTCATTTTTAAAATCAATACTTGCTCTCCAAGCCTTGGATAATTTAGAGAACATAATTCAGAATTTTCCCTTTCAGCATGTATCCTCCATCAAGGGGGTGTTTTCATCTAGAGTCAGCACAATGCTTGTGTGACCCAGGAATGCACAGATAAGGTTAAAAAGAAAGAAAGAAAAAGTGCATTTTATTCTTTCTCTCTCTCTAAGCATCTTTTGGATCTCGCATATGTGTGTTAGTATGCCTCATTGTGAGTATCTCTACTTAGAACAGAGAATTGAAATCATGGTGGCTCTTGGTATTACTTCATATTTAAAGCTTTTGGTGGGAGGGAGTTTTCCATTATAAACCCTTAGCCTAAGGGATATCAGCCTTAGATAATTTATTCCCAGCAGGTCTAATATAGGATGCAAAACTTTCAGCCGAAGGGCTGTTAAATTCTGCTTTTCACCTCATTTCCAGAAAGTGCCATCTACTGTAGTGTTTTGCTGTAGAGATAAAATTTTGTGTTCCTATGTACAGAAACAACAGCTTCATTTGCTTAAAAACCGGCATGACGCCTATTATTTAATCCTTCAGACTCTATTCACTAGGTTGCTCTAAAAAAGGAGCCCCAGTGGAAAACATCTTGGTCATTTAAGTACAAAGAGCTTGAGATTTTACAGCAATTTTCCAATACTAATTACATTTCATACTATGTATCATATGCATGGCTTGCAAAACTCTATTGATTTTAATGGATACTAGTGCATTGGGAACAGGTTATTTTATGACATCTTATATTAGAGGACCTCTATGAAATACCTAGATCTTAAAATGTGGGCACAAATATACCCTCAATTATCCACAAGTGGATTATCCACTTGCTCTATTACCCACAACATATTTTAAATTAAAGCTGCTGTCATTAGGTGACTCAGTAGCCCTAGGCCAATTTCTATCATAACTTCTCTGTGCAGCCGGAAATGCAAACTCATTTTGATAGCCTTTTCTAATATGATGGGTGGGAATATACTATTGGGGTTGTTGCCAAAAATGTAAGTGTAAAAGACTTTGACATTGTGTTTTGTTTTGGATAACCCTTTCAAATTAGCAAGATTCCTTCCCTCAGCAAGAAAAATCAAGATAGCAATTACAAGCGTGGGCTCATCAACCTGTTGTAAATATAAAGTATCTCAAGAAATAGCTTTGCCTGGTGCTCTCTGTAAATGACTGGCAAAATAATTTGGGCTGAAATGCTACCTGATTTATGAGGTCTCCCTGCATTTGCCATTCATAATTGTTCAAGTCTTCTTCTGGGGAAGCCTTGAGTAGTGAAACAAAATCATGTGCTTTGGAATCAGGAAGATCTGGGCCTGAATTCTGTTTCTACAACTTCTTAGCCGAGCTATCTGGAAAAAGTAGTTAGCCTTGCTGAACTTCACTTTCTTTGTATTTTTAAATAGCCATAACAATATCTATGAAAATAATATAATATATGTAAAATTCATAACTGAGTGTTTGGCAAATATCATGCACTCAACATACGCTTGTTTCTTTCCCTTTTCCTTCCCATATCTATTTTTCATTAGATTCTGAGTTCCTTCAAAGTTGTAGCAATATTTAAGTCATGCTTGACACTATAGTATTTAATAAATTCCCTTAATATTTTGCTCAATTAAAGTCTGAATTTGATTTTTTAAAGTTTTATATCTAAAATAGTTATTTTCAAATTTCCACAAATTGGTTAAAATTATTTTACTGTTCATTTCATAGAAAGAATAAAAGCTGGGTTGATGTTTTCATGTGTAAATATCAGTAATTAGGCATGCGGTTTTCCTTGAGTACACAAATTTATCCTTAAGAATATTCTTAGCAGGCTGGACATGGTGGCTCATGTCTGTAATCCCAGCACTTTGGGAGGCCAAGGCGGGAGGATCACTTGAGGTCAGGAGTTCAAGACCAGCCTGGCCAACATGGTGAAACCCTGTCTCTACTAAAAATACAAAAATTAGCGGGGCGTGGTGGTGCACACCTGTAGTCCCAGCTACTCAGGAGGCTGAGGTAGGACAATTGCTTGAACCCAGGAGGTGGAGGTTGCAGTGAGCTGAGATCGCACCACCACACTCCAGTCTGGGCAACAGAATGAGACCACGTGTCAAAAAAAAAAAAAAAAAAAAAAAAGAAGTATCTTATTAGCGTATATATGGCTGTATTATATGTGTATTATACATGTATGAAGACCAAGTAGCAATGAAGATTAATAGCAGAAAAGACTCCTTAGCAAGTTCATAAATTCTTTTATTGCTTCTAGAGCTATTGTCAAGGCTACATGTTAAAATGAACATTTTGGTGTGATTAACATAACAGGTATTTAAAATGTACAATATTTTACATTTTAAAATTAGGGACATATTTTAAAGTTAATTTTCTGTTGCTATAACAGAATACCTGAAACTGGGTGATTTATAAAGAACAGAAGTTTATTTGGCTCATGGCTTTGGGGGATGGGAGGTCCAAGAGCATGGCACCAGTATGAGGCAAGGGTCATTCCACTGTGGAAGGGTAGAAGGTAGAAGAGTGGAAGATGGAAGATGGATCCAAGTGCTCAAGACAGACAGCAAGAGATGGCCACTTTTTTTTTTTTTTTTTGAGACGACATCTTGCTCTGTCACCCAGGCTGGAGTGCAGTGGCACGATCTCGGCTCACTGCAACCTCCACCTCCCGGGTTCACGGCATTTTCCTGCCTCAGCCTCCTGAGTAGCTGGGACTACAGGCGCCCGCCACCACGCCCAGCTAATTTTTGTATTTTTAGTAGAGACGGGGTTTCACCCTGTCAGCCAGGATGGTCTCGATCTCCTGACCTCGTGATCCGCCCGCCTCCGCCTCCCAAAGTGCTGGGATTACAGGCATGAGCCACCGTGCCCGGCCACTTTTATAACTCACCCACTCCTGTGACAATGAGGACTCAGCCCTCATGACCTAATCACTTCTTAAAGGACTCACTTCTCAACAGTGTTACATTGGGGATTAAATTTCTAACGCATGAATTTTGGGGGGACACATTCAAACCATAGCAGAACACAATACAGCAAATCTTCCACAGACTTATAATTTTAATGTAAGCATAAGTCCTTAGTGAAATGAACAATTTATTAACCCTGGGAAGTTAAAGATTTTTTTCATTGTGTTTTTTAGCCATGAACTACCTCTTTCTCCTTTGATGTGTCCAGTTGAAGTATCATAGTCATTGCTTAGCTATTTAGTTTGTGCCTTCTCTGTCCATGGTACTGAATGGTTCTGGCAGCAGTAATCGAATATTGCAACAAAGCGAAGCCAGGATAATTATGGTTACACTTCTGTGTGTTAGGTGACTGGCAACAAAACAGCAATATTATTCTTTTCAATGTATTTCTTTGTTTAATTTTTGAACCACATGTTAATTTTATTTAAATACTATGATTATAAGAATATATACTTTAAATATAGAAATAGTTTGCCCTTTATTTACACAAGAATACTTTTATTTACAGATCTTTGATGCTAAAAGCAGAATGGACTGAGAGATGCCTTGGACATAAGTGATTTCACATCTGTAACTATATCCTGCAAACATTTGTAGACACATCTTGGGAAAGAAGCACTCATGCTTGCATCTGTTTCCAACATCTGTGCATTTAAGTCAGCAACAAAAGTCACCAGGCATTTGAGCTTTCCCTGCTATAATGTTTCTGATTTACCTTGACAGCGTGAGTAATCCAATCAAAGACAATATTCCTCTTGATTTCAGTAATGAGAGAGACTACACTTATCTGAAACCTGTGTTACATTCATCTCACCAATACAGTACTAATGAAAAGGACAAATAACTGAGTCTCTCTTGGTGGCCTGCATGCAACTGCTTAAATACATAAGTGCATAGCAACAATATGTGAATAACATATAAAAATAAATATGTTCAAGTGCAGCAGGGTGAGTGGGTTTTGTAGGGTCAGTGGCGTGAATGGGGGTTAATTTCTGTTCAGTCAGGTGAGGTACAAATGCATCAACTTTGCTGGAAAATAGTTCCAATTGTGGCTAAATGGTCTAGTTTCCTGCAGGATACAAGCAGCCTATTATTTAGTGTTTTAAAAGGCTTGTTCAAATTTGACCATTTGTATGGGAATCAATACAACAGAGGATGGGGACAAATATCAGAGGTCACACCAAGCACATCATCAAGGGCAGGTCCAAGTGCCCATAATTTCTCCAATAATCCAGGGGACAAAACCCCTTTTGGTCTGGTGGCACAAAGAGCTAGATGGTCTATTTTGCTATGGCAGGCCTCATTTCATTAGAGATAAGATGACTTAGAGTAGGAACCGAGCTTGGAGTCCTTTGACTACCTAATTTTCTTAAGCCATGATTGAGATGAATCAGGAGGAAATCAAACCATTCTTTAGTAAATATGGGCCCACCAGAATAGCTGTATGGAAAAGGCAAGCTGCTACATGTGTTGTATGTAAGTGATGTAGATTGCCTCCAAAATCTGCTGAAATTAGTCAGAAATGTGACAGATACTTAGGTTGTGTAGGTGAGGTGGAGTTATGAATGAATGAGGCAGATATTCCATTGTGGTTTGAGAAGATAACTTCTAGCCCATGTATTTGTACATTTACTTATAATGAGTTTTTTAGTCTTGGGAACATTTGTGTAAAATTATGGTACACACATACACACACACACACACACACACACACACACACACACACACACACAAAAGAAATCTTTCTTTTGACACCTAAGAAAGAGTCCCAAATCACAGATGTTGAATTACTGGAATTTCACTTGGCAAGGCATATGTCTGAATCATTTGAGTCCAAAGATAGGATTAAATTGCTCAAGTTTTCTTTGAACAAAAAGAGAGCCATGATAATTTTACTTATATATTTATGTTTTGCAAACAACAACAACAACAACGACGAAAAACAAATGTAATTTAGTAACACTCTAAAAGGTATGATTTTTTTGGGGTACAAATTACCAGGACTGCCAAGTAACTGCCTCATTCTCCACTTTACCTGTCTTGGGAACCCACTTAACATTTTCAGTGCAATAAGATCTATTAATCTTGACAGACTTCAGTCTGAGTTGATTCTACACCCTAGATCCCTTTGCTTGAACAGGTTTTTGTTTTGGTTTTGGTTCCATGAAGTTTTTTTGGACTTACGCACCAAAGCATCCTTGCACAAATCAGTCCTTCACTTCCTTCCCAGGCATGGATCAGAATGAGTTTTGATACAGTGGGGAATCTTTGGCTAACTCCACTAAGTAGGTGCCATCTTTGAGCTGCAGACCAACAGAAACATGGCCTAGAGAAAATGAGTTCATGGTTTGATCCAGTCTTCAGTCTCTATTACACATGCCTTACAGCTACTGGCAACTGCAAAAGAGAAATCCTGCCCATTTGGTAAAAAATTTACCTGAACATGAATCCACTGTAGGGCCTACCTCTGTGGGCAGTGACAGGAAGAAAGGCAGCCAGACTATCCATTCCTGACAATTCTGTCTACAGATTCCTAGGGACATCTTGCTGGGGAAATTGCTCACCAGTGAATATTTGTTATCAAAGATTTTTAAACAGAAAGAATAAAAAAGCAGGCTGTGAAGTGTTTGCTTGTGTACTGAGATTCATGAGATAGAGAGGCAAGACATGAAAAACGTATTTTGTATCTATATAAGAAGTAACCAGTTTTGTGAGGAACTCTTTGAGGAACTGAGAAGTGAAAAACTCTTCAGTTAGAAAGGTGTTTTATTACATTTGTCTAAAACATCTCTTAGGCACTATAATAACGCACACTGAGTAAGGCTGCCTTTAAAAAAATCTAGAGTTGTCAACTTTTCTTGTCTATTGTAATTTAATGGCATTTAAATTTCTACTTTTATCAAAATTCATCTATAATGATTGTATAGGATCATAACTTAAAATTATTTTAAAGAACCCGGACATTTTCATTTTCTTGGCTTGGAGGATACTTTGCATTTTAGGGATCTCCGTAATTTTTTCCTTAAAAGAATTTGCAGTTCTTTTATTCAAGTAAGAAACACTTCTAAGCCTCTCTATTTTGCACTATAGGAAAAACTGAAATGCATTCTAGTGTCCACCCCACCCTCCCCCACAGCCCGAGTCACTTCGTGGGCCTCATATCTCTTAAACCACCTGCTAATCATAACAATTGCTAATTTGAGCCCTTTTTAGTCACTTCTGGTGACAATGACAATGCCATCTAGTTTGCAATGGCCATGTGGTCAGTCCCCCACCCATCCTAGCAGGCTGCTGCTGTGCCTTTAGCTGGGGTCTCCATTGTTCTCCCGGCCTCTGCTGACCATAAGCAATTCCTTCTTCCCTAATCTCAGGGGATCTGCTTCTTGCACAATGGGGGCAGGGCCATTTGCTTTGTGTGCAAGATAATCTTCCACAGAATTTTTCACGTATGCACACATACACGTTAAAAAAATGACCTCTTTGGATGTGGGAGGATATATATCTATATATAGGTACACACATATTAATACATGCACAGAAACATTTTTGTGTTAGCAATAACGATCTCTTATCAGTCCTGCCTTACACCTAGAGAATTACTTTAAAAATCTGGTAGCCGAGATATTTGCAAGTCTCTCAGTAATATCTTTTAATATTAATTATTTGGGTTTCTTTATGCCTTTTAAAAATTTTGTGATTCTTTTCTTCTTAGACATGATAATGTCTAAGTTCTTCTTCACCTTAAGCGGCTGGAAGCCCCTGCATATCCTGCCCAAGCCTCAGGAAAGCATATTGGGAATGAATGTGAGACGGAGGTAGATGCGTGTCCGTGGCCTGGATGGATGATTGGAATTGAGGAAGAATTGATCATCTAAACTCGGCAGGGCTGCGCTCTACTCGGGAGCGTCTCTTGGCTGAATAGCAGATAAAATTTACTGGATTTCCATGTCTGAACCTTTGCGATCGCACTCTGTACTCCACTTTGATGGATTTAAAGCTGGTCATTATGATACATGGCAAGTTGTAGCAGGAATAAAAGCGGGTCCTTTCAACCAGCCATTTTAATCAGGAAACAGTGTTACTCTGGCATCATTAAAGCTTGCCATATGCCATAGAAAGGGGTGAAACATACACTTGACTTTTAGGGCAGATTAAAAAAAAGTTTGATTTTACGGGGAGGCAGGGAAGAAGCAACCCAATAATATATTTAAAAATATTTATCTGTCTCAGTAAGCAGGGCGAATTTTTAAAAAGCCCCCTTTAGAATTGTGTCTCTCCTTTCCCCTAAAATGTTGAAGCGAATTAAAAAGAAAAAAGCTCCGCTGCGTCATTTCGGTTTTGTTGGGAGCGGCGAGGCTCCGGGGCTGCTGAGCACATCGAGAGCGCCCCCTAGGCGCTGGCACGTGGCTCTGCAGGAGGAAGCCACCGGTCGATCATCCCTGCGTTTGTCAGGCGCCCAAACCCACACACAAAGCCCTGGCACAGGCGGCGACGCGGCCTCTCTCCGCCCCCTGTCTGAGGAGGGACTCGGAAATGTCTCCACTTGTTTCAGAAATTTCCCATCGAGGCAGCACTGGGTACTCTTTTTGTGTGTACTTATGACAAAAATGCTTTGGAGAGTGATGGTGAAATTAAAGTTAAACGTGTAGCAGTCCAGATTGGTGTCCCCATTAAGGCTTAGGGCACAGATTCTGTGCCTCCGGTGCTCTGGGATTTGACTGGCCCTGCCTCATTTAGGTGGGAGCGTCCACTCTGGATATCTTGGTGGGGGCAAGGTTGTCTCTACTCTGCAAAAAGGATGAATGCCTCTTTAGACTTCTAATCTGACACTGAAGGAAGCCACCTGAGAATAAAAAAAAGACACTGAATTTAGAGACCAAAGACTCCAATTTTCACCCTGGCTCTCTTGCTTAAATGCTGTGTGACTTTGGACAAATCACTCCACTTCTCTGAGCTTCAGAGTGGTTGCTCCATAAAAGGAAGGGATTTGATCAGACATTTTCAGTGTTTATGCCCAGTTATAAAGCATGTCTTAACTTTAACACTGAACACGTTTGCTTTAAAGTGTGTCCATCAAGCCAACACAACACTTCATAGAAGTCTCGAAAGATCTAAATTGGTTAAAAAGAACAGAGTGCATTTGTTTTGGGGGGCGATGTGTATTGGCTGCAGCCAGCAAAATGTCAATTCAATGGACTCTGTGGCATCTTCATAACCAACCTGAATTCCTATTTGATGTTAGTTACTCTTCAAAGGTGAGCCAGTTGTCCAAACTGAGCAATGTTCCCCTCATTCTGACCGTCGCTTTCTGGCCACATTGATCCAAATGGTGGTGTTCTCATCGTCTTGATCATCCCCACTGGCTGGCCACCCAATCACTGATGGATAAGTGTTTCTGCATTCACAGGATCACCTGTGGGCGCTTCCCTGGGTTGGCAGCCCCTGGAATCACTTTTCCTTGAGACCAGCTCATCTGCAGGTGCTTGTTTATAAAGGTGCCAGGGAAAGACTTGTTTTTGTGTGAAAGCTGCTCTGATGTGAGCAGTTGAAGGAGATGGACCTATGTTCCTGCCTGAGTAGGGATAACAGGAAAGTTACACAGGGGTAAGGCCTGTGATAGGGGCTGAGGATGCAGACCATAGATATTGGGACGCAGGTGCCAATGTAAGGGCAGAGCCCAATGCCTCAACAAGATGAGCACTCTGGGCTTTTGGAAAAGCCACATAGACACTTACCCACTCAAGGGTGGTAATTTGTGTCTATCAATAATAATGATGGTACTACTGATTACTTTTTCTTTCTCAGTTAAAACTCTGCTCTCTTTAGCCTCTGTGCATTTGACCAAGTAGTTCACTTACCTGAAAACCCTCTTTGAATTTGTCCAGTTGGCAATATCCCAGATTAAAAGCTTCTGTGCCAACCAGGTACTCCGAGCTCCTGAAGCATCCTCTGATATTGCAATATTTTTGTTATGTGATCAGCACTGATAGTTAGCTGGTATACACTGGTGTGGCCCCACAGTTGTTAAAATATCAAAGTGTTTATGTTCTGGCTAGTAAACAGCTACAGCCCAGGCCCAAAGAATGCCTCCCATTTCCCTCCTCCAGCCCTCTCCTAGTCTTCCCAAATTTCAGCAACTCAGCAGTTAAGACTTGCCCATCAGAGACGGGACCTCTGGGACTCAATGTTGTGTCCAGCCTCTGTTGACTGGTTGGTGCCTGAATCTTACAGCCTTTTAATTATAATTATTCTCTTAATTGCTTCCACTATAGAATGTGAGTCTTATTCCCAGTGCCAAAAATATATAGTGTCTGGAACTATGATGGTTGATGGAATGGACTTTTTGAGCATTCTTTTCTGTACCAGATTCCAGGCTAGGGGATTTGCATACATGACAGGAAGTCAGCAGTAGTATTATTCTCCATTTCATTCTCATTGTTGGAGAAGATTCAAGGAAGGATATAATTTCCTGTCCAGTAACCAAATCTTACGTTGCAGAAAGTAAAGTTGAATTGTCCTAGAAGAAGAGGCGCTCCAAAAGGTGAAGGGAAAGAAATAGTTTGACCATGTGTGTGGGTGATTAGGGGTATGCGTTGGGGGGTGAGTAGCAAATGGTCATGCCCTACTGGCATGCAACATCCAAGTGGGGCAGGCTTTCCAATGAGTACTACCTTGATGTTAGAAGGTGGGTGGATGGTGATGATGATTAGACTCTAAGCACTATGGCTTTTGTGGTGAGCAATCTGGGTGTCCTCACTTTGTACAGAGGAAGGAAATCCTACTGCCTTTAACTGTCTTACATGGTTTTGGGCAATGACATTCAGAGGTGATGATGATGGGCCAGGGTTGAAGCTCTGCTTCTGTTTTCTGATGCCACAAACACCCCATATTCTTTTCTAATTCCTTAGAGAGATTGAAGAAAGTGCTCCAAGAATAATAGAGGCTGATTTTTTTTTCCTTTCCACCATAGAGATTAGGGGCTTAGAGCTATATTCAAGATTTGATTTAAAAAATAAAGCAATATGACATCTCTTTTATCAATATAGCAAATTCATGCCAGCACCATGTATTATTTCAAGAAACATGTAATTAGGCTCGAAATCTAGAGCTTTCTTGCAATCATTTTGTTTTGTGCATGTGGGCTTCAGCTTTTATGGCAAGATTTTTGGTTAACTAGTTCTTTAGAGGTAAATTTTAGGTGCACATGGTCCATGCATGTAAAGTTGTCATGTCGTTCTGTATTTTTATATTTTTCTTTTTAAATCTTAAAGCAAATTATTATAAATCCCTTAAGTAACCTCACTTGTTACAGATGTCTCATGAATATCACATCCAAAACCTAGTATCTGATCATGAAACTTGATTTAAAAGCAGCAATTTCTTCGCCATTTCCAGAGAATTACATGTTTAGGGGAAAACAATTTAAACTCAGTGTATTACAGAAGCAAAATAATTCTTTTCAGAACCTTGTGTCAGTCGAGTAGACAATCCTCTTGGTTGGTTGGCTTTTGTTTGGTCCAATTGGACTCAAAATATGAGCATGAGGCTGGGCGTGGTGGCTCACGCCTGTAATCCCAGCACTTTGGGAGGCCGAGGTGGGCAGATCACTTGAGGTCAGGGGTTCCAGACCAGCCTGGCCAACATGGGGAAACCCCGTCTCTACTAAAACTACAAAAATTATCCAGGCGTGGTGGTAGGTGTCTATAATCCCTGTTACTTGGGAGGCTGAGGCAGGAGAGGGAGGGGAAGGTTGGAGTGAGCTGAGATCACAACACTGCACTCCATCCTGGGTGACAGAGTGAGACTCTGTCAAAAGGAAAAAAAAAAAAGCGTGGGTCATGGATATTTGGGGAAGCATGTATGGCTTTAAGTATCATGTTCTCAGAATGGTATTTGGAATTGACAATATCTAGAAAATAAGGTGATAAATTTGGGACAACAAAAACTTTACTTAAATTAATAATACTATATGTCAGAGCGCATAGGAATAATCATGGCGGTTAACTTTATACCCATTTCTCAGATATGGAAACTTATATTCAGGTAGGTTAATTGCTTTTGGATAATGGCACAAGGTTAATGAGAGGAGGGAGGCTGGGACAAAACTGGGCTCCCTATTCTTCTTCTGGTGTAGTGTCACTATACTGAACAGTGTATATAGAAGCCAGGGATCATATTGGGCTGGCAGAAGGGGAAGTGACAAATTGTGGTCAATGTAAGGTCCATGCAAGCCATTGAGCACATTTTCCGGGCATGGGCTCAGGAAGGCAGAAATGTGGGGGATGCAAGACCTAGAACTCATTTCAAACACTAGCTGAATGGTGCTCAGAACACTTGAATTGGCCCAGCATACATGTGATGAAGTGAGCCATACTCATTTCCACACAGGTTCTGTTGCTTCCAGTGAATGCTCATCTCTGTTGCTTGTGTGTTTCTACATTTTCTCATGGGCTCCAGCCATTTCCTCAGATTCTCCACAGAGGGGATTCTAGGCAAGGAAGGAACAGTCTATGTGCAATCCCTGTCCGATGTGAAAGACACAGGGAAGAAACTTGGCCTCGTTAGAGTGCATGGCTGGGGCTGGGGTGCTGCTAGAAGTGCACATGGAGTGGCTACCTGCTCCTCCCTTGTGCTCCTTCTACACATGCTGTTTGTGTCAAAATGGACACAAGTGCAGCATTAGAAGTCAACATGCAGTTACCAGCCCTGGTGTCTGTGAAGGAAGAACTAGGACTCATATTCATCAGCAAATGCAGCTGAATATGGTCACAGCTGTTCTTGGTGTGTCACCTGGCACTTTGGGTTGTAGTTTTATCAACAGAAACAGAAGTTTAGCTACTCAGTGGTAGAACAGAAATTCTGGAGGTCATATGGTGTGGTGAGTGAGGGCACAGTTGTTTTTGGTCACATAGGCCTGCATTCTGGCACATAGTAGCTCTGTGATCTTAGGCAAGTTTCTAAATCTTTTTTTTTTTTTCTCACTTTCCTCCTCTGTAAAATGGGGATAATAGTGACTACATCAGAGAGTTGTTGAGAGGGGAAATGGGAGGATGTATGGAAAGTACTTGGCAATGGGTTTGACATGTAAGTGTTCACCAAAGGGTAGCACCACCATCATCACCATGAGAGTTCAGATTTACTGTGGGACTGGAATTGAGACTAGGAGAAAGGACAAGTTTAAGTCACCCTTAGGTTATGATATTGGTGATTACAGAGAACAAAAAAAGAAAGAACGAAAGGACAAAGGAAGGAAGTAAAGAAGAAAGAAAACAGCCACAAGCTCTTCTCTAATCCTGCCTTCACCTTTTTAGTATATATACATGTATATAATGGTGAGTTCAATCTGTCTTTACATCAGCTGATGCTTTAAGTCATTGTGTTCCCCATTAGGAAAGATGATGGTGGAAATGATTCCGTGGCTGTACTTACTCGAGTATGATTTAATATTTGCTGGGAGGACATATCCACTTTCATCACAGCTTGTATCAGACCAGATATACAAAGACATCCCTCAAAGACCACATAGATAATCTTTTTAGATGTACAAAGCTGCTTTAGAATTCACAGAGCTCCCGGAGAAATAAGCAGAGGAAACATTGCTATCTGCATTTTATGCATGGGAAAATTGATGCTTAGAGAACATAAAGCATGGGAAAGCCCCTAGCAAGTTGCGTAGCTCCCAGCAGATGCTGATTTCCTTCCTCATCATTCTACTGAGAAACGGTGAAGCTGGAATTAGTCCCTGAGTCCACTGGCTGCTGGTCTATGCTCTGTTCACCTCACAGCTGCCTTTCCCAATATCTTAACTTTGGGTTGGAAGAACACTTTTTTGAATGAAAGATCTTCAGACAGAAATCTCTCCTTGTGGTCTGGGGCTGGGAGTGGGTGCTCAAACCCTCTCTAGGCCCTTTGCCTACCCTGGCCCAAGTTATTTGTGGAATGCAGGGTCCCTGATCCTAGCTAAAGCACCGCTGTCTTTACTGTGTGATGATCTATTATCATGCTTTTACTGAGTTTGAAATGGCATCAGACTTGCATGAGATTTCTCACCTGATTGCCAGGTGGTTCAGGAGCTGACAGCCCAGAAATTCCCTGGAAGTACCTGTATTTTGAGAACTGTAGTGTGGGCATTTACAGAGCCTGATGTGAGCTGAGGCTATCCCAAGTGAATGAATGAACTGGATCACTGACTTCACTGCGTGTAGAACAAGTCACTGGTGTTTTCTTCAGTAGATAAGGCTCTTATTTATTCTTATTAATCATTCTCCCTCACCCCCAATTAATGCATCGGACAATGGATTTAGGGGGTTTGTGTCCATATTAAGAGTTCCATTTGTGAAAGAGAAAATATTATAAAACAATATAAACCTTAGAACCCCATATTTGTTTTGTTGCGACAAATTCTAAGTACTTCTCTGCACCTGGAGGTCTGTTGCTGAAAGAAACGGTTATCTAAAAATAGATTTGTTCTTGGAAACTGACTTAGAAGTTCTGTCAGGCTTTCTTTTTGCACAGGTCAGATTTCCACAGCCAGGCAGTTTGCCAGACAAGGCAGCCCTCACTCTTCTCCTCACCCTGTGTTCTCTGTGGCCTTGCTATCCAGATAGCTCCTTTCTTTCTGCACTCCCCTCTGGCCTCTGACCTCCAGATTGTTTCGGGGGAAGCTCCCATTTGGATAGCAAGGTACTGAGGATAAACTGGTGAGGAAGAGGGCGTAGAGCTCTCCACTACTGCTTCATAGCCTCTTAAACAATGCTAGGGGCTGGTTCTTCTTGAGTTCCAAAGGCCACTGCTTCTACCTTTAGCTTTTGAAAGAGAGATGGATCTTTCATTTACTTTTCTGTTTGCAACATAATGCCCATTTATTTACTCATTGGTTCATGTATTGAACATTCACATGTATAGATTTTTCAGCAGCTACTTTATGCCAGGGTCTGAAGACACGAAGTTTTACCAAGGCAAATTTCCTGCATTCCAGGAGCTCATTGTCCAGTGCATTATAGGACTCATTGTTCCTTTCACTGCAGGGAGGAACTATATCATGGAACCTCTTTTCCTATTCTTGGCTTGTATCCCCTCACTCCAAGCTCCCCCATCTCTCACACAGCCAGATCACAGACAGCCTCCTGAACTAAGCCCTTCATTGCCCTTCGTCCATGAAGCTTCTCATGGTCACCCCCACTCGACACCTTCCTCTGGACATCTATCATGTTTTGATTCACATGACTTTTATTTCTACATTTGTCACATATTTATGTATATGTCAATAAATCCAAAACTATAAGCAGGTTTCTATGTAATAGGTACTCAATAAATATTTGTTAAATGTCGAACACATGTTTCTATCTTTTATTTCTCTAAAAGCTGCTTTCAGCTAAAATGAGGGTGAGTGGCTGCCTGAAAAAGACATAGTGGGTCATTTCAAGGTTAGCAAAACAAAAGTCTTGGAAATGAAAGTGTTACAGCCCTTTGGGGCTATGCTGCCAGTCCTATGCACAAAAATAGTAGTGTGTGTTGTGTCGTGGTGCCAGAGAAGGGAAGAGAGTGGGATGGACTTTCCTTCTTCCATATGTAAAACGGTTTGCCCATCTTCTCTGGAGAAAAGATCTAGGTTTACAAATATAATAACAATCCAATTAACCAAGCAGAAAAATATGGTCTTCTGGTAAATATTTAAGCAAAAAAAAAAATCCCTTTTTGTATTATTTCTTTTTGGACAGTTTGCCAAAATGTCCACTTCTGTGGTTTATGAAATACATTAGAGGGGCTATGATGGTAACTAAAGACTTTCAATACATTTGGCTCATCATTTTAAACATTAATTATGAGTGTGCTGTATTATGGGCATAGGTATAAAAGGTATAAGAAATCGCGTCGCATTTATATTGAGCCCAGGCTAAATGTTGTTAGATTTTTAAAAAAGAGAATCTTTGAGAGCATCTTATTTTATGTAAGTGTGATTTTCTAGAAGAATAATGGGTGTTAGCGATAACTGGATTCGTGTCTCAGCTCTTCTCTTTCTGTGGGGCCTTGAATGTCTTCAAGAGTCAGTTTTCTCATATGTAAATGGAAACAATAATAACCACATTTTCCTCCATGGGTTGTCAGATGGATTCAATAAGATACTATACAAAAAGCACATTGCATAGCCTGAGTTATCCAGTTATCTGGAGCTCTACAGACCTATCCAAAGATTAAAAAACTTGAGAGCCAGACCTCGTCAATAAAATGTAGCCCTTGGAAAGGTTCTATAGCTACTCCAAGTAAAACCTACATTGTCTGTGACCCATCTAATGACAATCTTTCATCAGACAGATACATTTGGGATTTTATTCTATTTTTAATATATTTTTATTTTACTTTGAGTTTGGCATACAAGTGCAGAAAGTGTAGGTTTGTTACATACACGTTCTGTGCCATGTACACATAGGTATACGTGTGCCATGGTGGTTTGCTGCACCTATCAACCCGTTATCTAGGTTTTCAGCCCTATGTGCATTAGCTATTTGTCTAATGCTCTCCTTCCCCTTCCCCGCCACCCCCATCAGGCCCCGGTGTGTGGTGTTCCCCTCCCCGTGTCCATGTGTTCTCATTGTTCAACTCCCACTTGAGTGAGAATATACGGTGTTTGATTTTCTCTTCCTGTGTTAGTTTGCTGAGGATGATGGCTTCTAGCTTCATCCATGTCCCTGCAAAGGACATAATCTCATTCCTTTTTATGGCTGCATAGTATTCCATGGTGTATATGTACTACATTTTCTTTATCCAGTCTATCATTGATGGGCATTTGGGTTAGTTCCATGACTTTGCTACTGTAAATAGTGCTGCAATAAACATACATATGCATGTGTCTCTATAGTAGAATGATTTATATTTCTTTGGGTTTTTATTTTTATGACTATATTTTTATTTTGTTTTTATGATCATGTAACAGGTTGAATAGTATACCTCCAAATTGCTCTGTACTCGGAACCTCAAAATGTGACCTTATTTGGGAATAGAGTCTACATAAATATTAGTTATGATAATAATGGTGATGATGAGGATATAGTCTGTATTAGCTTTACACGGTTGCTGTAACAAATTGCCACAGACCAGGTGGCTTAAGGCCACAGAAATGTATTCTTTCACAGTACCAGAGGCCAGAAGTCTGAAATCAAATTGTCAGCAAGGTTAGTTTCTTTTGAAGTCTCTGAGCAAGAAACCAACCCAGACCTCTCTCCTAGCTTCTGATAGTTGCCAGCAATCCTTGGCGTCCTTGGCTTGTGGGTGCATCTCTCTAATCCCTGCCTCCATCTTCCCACGGCAGTCTCCTCTTTGTGTATCACTCTGTTGCTATTGTCTTGTAAGGTCACCAGTTATTGGATTTAGGGCCCACTCTAATCCAGTATCCTCATCTTAATTACATCTTCAAAGACCCTATTTCCACATAAGGTCACATTTTGAGGTTCTCAGTAGAGAGGAATTTTGGGGGACACTGCTACATAGTCATAAAAAACAAAATAAGAATATAGGCATAAAAATAAAATTCTAAACATACCTGTCTGATGAAAGATTCTAATTAGATTGGTCATGACCAATGTAGGTTTTATCTGGAGTAGCTATGGAACCTTTCCAAGGGATGTATTTTGTTGACAAATTCCAGTTTTCAAGTTTTTTTCAATCTTTGGGTAGGTCTGTAGGGCCCTAGAAAACTGGATAATTCATGAGAAAAATCCTGTTTTTCTGCCTCACCCAGTTTATGGTTTAGTCTTATCCTCGCTCATCTCAGTATGAGATGCCATATCTTTATTCAGCACCATCAGAGAAATAGAGGGTTTTGGCCAAAGTCTCTTGTTGGTGAGAGTATCCATGAATCCCCCACTTGTAGCTAGCTCAGGAAGAATTTTCAGTACTGTAAAATTCATGAAACATGGACACACTGATGAATGTAATATGGTCCTGCTTTAATGATTCAGAAGCACATCAAGGTTATGCTTTAAGGCCATAATTTTGAGCAACAGTCTTAACTGCAGTAGAAATATGTGGATGATGGCTAATAGAAAATCTCCATTAACCAACAGCTAGACTGGAAGGGACTAGCTCTTTTTCCCTTCACTTAAAAGTTAATAAATAAGTGAATTGGGATGGCAATTAAGCTCACCCTTTTTGCTTTATACGCCAATATTTCTGTACATGATTGTAGTCTCTGGGTAGGGTTGAGGATGCTGTATCAGAGACCACGAGAGGATTTTCCTGGTGGCACAACTTCAGGGCCAACATTGCCCTGGGAATTTTTTTCTCATTCTCCATGCATCTCCAAAAATGATGCACTCATTCTGGAGAAAAGGATATTATCACCTCTACAGAGATATAAGATGTATTGCTTTAATGCTCATGCAGTTTGGATGGGTTGGGATGCTTAGATAAAATACTATACAAAAATACAAAACAGTGCTCATTGGAATTTCAAATCATCTCCCCTGCACCCTTTTAAACTACTTTATATTTATTGGTTATGTCCTGCTGGGGCCATTAGACCTTTGATTGTATAGTGTTTCCTTTTTACACCTCTATTTTCACGTATTTTTGACATAGGGAGTATGTTTTCAAGCCAGAGGGGATTTTACCTTAAACAAAATGTGAGGGAAAAAACTAGCCACAATTAAAATTAAAGAAGTTAGTGTTTTCAGATAGTATTTTGTACCTCTATAACTTAACATGAGATTTTAAAAAATATAATATTGTTGATTTACACATTATCAGATATTTGTATTAGGATTTGGGACCTAAAACAAGGAAGTGATTAGTCATTCATAGTGGGAAACAAAGTCTATAGAGATGACCAGTTTGGAATAATTAATGTTGTCACAGAGACAAGGCTGCAAACATCTGTGTTCATTCCTAGTATCAACATCATTTTGTTACATAGGTGCTTGCTCTATAGCTTTCCTTACAGCTATTTTTATCTTTTCTTTTTAAATTTTAGCTTTTTATTATCAAGAATATTGGCTTAAGCTAAACAGCCCCAGCATAAATCCAGTGATCTGAGAAATTTTGGGTTGAATTTAACACACCGCAAAGGAAAGGCAGGATATTCTCTTAGGATAGTCTCCACACCTATAGGTTCAAAATTTTCCTTCAGAGCTGCACAGAAAATAAGTAATAGATCTGTTAGAATTGAAGACAGGGTTTCATCTGAAAATGTCTCTATTCTCTATACTTTGAGGGCCCTTAAATTCAAATACAAGGCTTGTGAGGCAAAAAGGCATGCAAACCCAGACTAGTAATAATTTGCCTATGCTTCTAACACCTTTGCCCTAAGTAATCCCACAGAGCTAAACTTACACTCCTTCAAATATAGGAAAAATGAGCTCATTAAATTTTAATCATCAATATGCTGCAACTAATTATAATGTGTCTTGTCTTAACTCATGACTGCTGTATAATAAATTCAATTACTTTGGTTTTCTTTTCTATTCACATAAACTGATCTCCAGTGAAAGGAGAGTTGCAAACTCCCATGAATGAAGGGAATGAGTAACCCTTAATTTTCAAATCGTGACCTCATTAGAGCATGTGTGTATGTGTGTGTGCACGCGTGTGTAAAATTTGTTTTTCTAAGGAGGAGAAAGTCAACACTTTGATAATTAGACACCCCCCTTCTTGGGCCTCGAGGGTGTCCTAATAAAGAAAATTTTATACATTGATGTGCTTCTCATCTCTTCATTTCTTTGTTCTATCATCCTGTTGTTAATAGCACCCTGCAGCAAAAAAAAATGTTTGTGAAGCTAAGAGCTGTCCAGATAAGAGAAAAGGTCATGATCTCCCTCCTGCGTGTTCATCAGCCAACGAACAACAATCTGAAAGTAAGAGGATGTCTGTCAATATGGAGTGGGCAGGCAGCAGCGTGCCATCAAATTGAAGGCAGTGAATGCTCACACAGTTGTACTGGGCTCCAACCTTAACCAAAAATCAATAATCACCAAAGTATTACAATATGAAGTGACTGAATCATGGGAGGCAGTGGTGGAGGGAGAGAACATATGTGTGAAGCTTTGTAAATGCTAAGAATGAGGAACGTGGGCTATTTCTCACCATCTTAAGATTTCTAAGATAAGTGTGTTAGAGACAACTAATTGAATGAAGTAGAGTCAGAGAATCCCAGACACACCCCATTTCATTAATGTACAGTGTGGCAGATTTTTAAAATGAGCTTCCAACTTCTGTAAAATGGAGAAATGAAGTCACTCGCTTCATTTCAGGCTCAAATTTTGAGTCCAAGGAGTAACATTAATTTGTGTATATCTTATTATCATTAACTTAGATAATCGGATAAACAGCAACTGTGTCATAGGACAAATGATATTCTTATGACGAGGTTTCAAAAATATCCTCGTGGCCAGATTTTAAAATAACTGAGTGAAGCGTCATCATTTTTTCCAGATTAGTTCAAACAAAGTCCCTGTCTTTCTTTCCTCTGAGCAGTGAGAAAATGCTCCTCTTCCAAGAAGACTTCTTTGATCCATTGGAGTTAAGGGAAGGATTTCCTCCTCTTTAGGCATAAAAACCAATTGTTTTCAGGCAACAGGGATGAATCTAACAGAAAAAATTGAATAATAAACAATAAACAATGTAAAATTTAAAAGGAAAATAATACAGAACTTCTTTACTTACGTATATTTACTGGCTGCTTCCTATAAGTATGCGTCACTCTCCTGTTTATAACTCATGAATAGTAATTCTTTTGAGAGAGAAAAACTGCGGCAACGAAACCACAAAACACGTTGTTAGGGCAAATGCATTTGGTAATAATGAGAGCTTTGTTTTCCACTTTTCTTTAAAAGTGGAACTTTTTCTCCCTTTATACTAATCCACTTATTTCACTCTTTTCTGTTTTGTCTATCCCTCTATGTATATATGTGTCTATCTATCTACTATTTGCCATCTGTCTACCAATCTATTTATTTATCTACCTACCATCTCTCTATCCTCTATCTATCCATCTATCTACTATCTATCTATCTAATCTATCTATCTATCTATCTATCTATCTATCTATCTATCTATCTATCTATCTATCTATCTATCTATCACCTATCTATTTCTAGTTCCAGCCCCACTGAGAAGTCTGGCACTGAGGTCTTTTCTCTCCCAGCCATATTATAAGCACAATCCTAGGGCCTTATAAGCAAAAGCATCCAGCTCTAAATAAAAAGTCTAAGAACACTGGATGCAATTAAATATTCAAGTTCTGTAAGTTTCAGCTTTATTTGAGCCTGAAAAGTATAGAACCGAGAGAAGGTTGTTTGCTTGTCTTTATGTTTTGATGTGCCTGATCATTCACAGAGTTTAGTCAGTTCACAGAAAAATCCCACCTTGAAATTCTCTTTTAATTATTATCTCTTTTACAGCTCAAGATTCCTGGCATCTCCTTTGGTGACTACCACCCCTCACTCCACACACAAACACACATGTGCAGAGAACAAATATACCTCCAATACACCTTTATCAAAAATATAGAGTAAATAAAAAATCAAGACATGAAGAATGTACCTGCTGGAAATGACTGTTTTTTTTTTATCCTGAATTTCCAAAAGAAACTGCTGATCAATTGTGAAGAATGTGGTTGCAATAAAAGTGAATATTAAGTGGAGGTGCAGTGGGGGCAGGGAGTGAAGACCAACTAAACCACAGTACCTGGTGAGGGTGCAGTTTGGGGCCTCTCTTGGTGGCTGCCCAGTACCCTTTGAAGTGCATATGCTGCATGGATGCATGGGTGCCTGGAGCTCAGCTAGAATGCCAAATCCATTCTCTCCTCTCTCTCCCTTTCTGTTGCAGAGACAGAGGCAAGGGCAAAAATCGTTGCAGCTCTCGTATTATGAACCAGGATGTTTATTGGTGATTTCTCTATAATTTGCAGGGAGAAATAGAATACGATCTAAGAACATTGGATTCAACTAAATATTCAAGCTTTAGGGTTAATAAACTTGAAAAGATTTTATGTAAGAATAATGATGGCTTTATCTTTATTGCACAATACACAGGTTTTTAAAAAATAAAATACTGTCGAGCCTAATTTCTTAGCCTATACTTCGGGACCAAGAGTCTTTCCAAGGTCTGGGGCAAGCTACTTGGTGAGTGCTGGTAAAGGAGTCTACTGCATCCCAAGGCACACTGGGAGCACTGGTGAAGTTGAAGAGTGAAAGGTGCGGGGAATGGAGTTTTCTCTTTCGATTAACAGCTGCTTAAGCAGCCATCTAGAGAAAGCTTTTACAGAAAAATTCAGGTCAACCTATACCAGGTCAACTTCTATGCCTTGAAGAATAAGAATACAGCATTCCCATTCAGCACATAATACAATGCTCTTCACACAGAAATAAATCAATAAATGCTGTTGACTGGTGTCTGACTTTACTTAATGTCTACCCTTTTCGTGCCTCAAACTGCTTTGACAGTATTCATTCACTGAGTTTTTGAGTAACCCTCTCTAACACACAAAATATCTCTCCTTCCTCATAATTACACAAACAAGGCAAAGGAGTCAGGAGACTGGGTTCTTTCTAGGCCTCCACCTATCACTAACATTGGCAGTCATATCACCTCTATGTTGCCACAATTTATTCCCTGTGAAACAGTGTATTTGAACCAAGCAACTTTGAAAGTTAAGATTTCTTCCAGTTCCAAAATTAAATCTTGAACGCTGATGACAATGTTGCTGCAATAAATGCAATAATATCTCTCTGCACTGTTATTGCAGTACCATAGTCATTATTATCATCACCAAGTCCAGTGTTGACTGTGCTTAGCACTTTACATATATGAGCTCACTTAATCCTCACCTGAGGCTTAGGAAGTAGTTACTATTACTACCTGCATTTTACAGACAAGGAAACAGGCAGAGAGAAGCTCAGTAACTTGCTGGAGGTCACACAGCTGTTAGCGACGGGGCTGTTAGTTGTTGTCCATTCAGTTAGATTTCAAACTCTTAAAGTTATGTTTTCTGCTTTTACTATTACCCTGCAGTCCCACTTTCAACATGCCCATGCATGTACACACATACACACATGCATATGCACACACCACACTACACAGCCTTGCCCCTGGGTGATCCTTGGTATATTTCAGATACTTGAACCCATAAAACTCTAAAACTGAAATTAAACCCAATCTATTAATTTATAGGAACAGTGAATTAAATCAGCCACAATATCAATTTATCCTAATATATAACCCATAACAAGAATTTTCTTTGTTTCCCCAAAGTGTTCCAATTTATATAAGTGATGAGATTCCAAATTATATAAGTGACTGGAATTATATAAATGACAAGGTTGATTTTCATGTGTGACAAGTGGAATCAGTATCATTACTTTGTAGTCACACTTCACGTTTTCCTAAATTACTGAATCAGGAGAAGATGAGAACGTCAAATTATTCTCTGAAGGGAACCTCATCTGAGTAGATATTTTATTTTGTTGGAGTCTGATAAGTATTGATTCATGGATTGATGGACGGATTTGAATCTGAGCCTGTATCAGACTTGTTAGAACACACTTCTTACACTTCTTAATTAAACTTTTAGGGAAGCAGAGGAGATTCTTTTTGAATTAATATTAATAATTGATTGTCAGAAAACAAGATTCTTGGAAGCAGGGCTATTTTGGTTTTCTGTGGATTCAGATGTGAATTTAAATATTACCTTCCCCACACCACTGCTCTATTAAAAACATAAGTAAATGGGTCCCAGTGTATTTGGTTTTTATTACTAATCTCAAAGACCATGGCGGTTGCCTTTTTATTCACGTTTACATTAGGGCTAACTCTTCTGGCCTCGCCTGTTCAGATCAATGTTCAGTGTGGGATCAGCAGTGTGGATAGAATTGACCTTCCCTGACCTCTTTTCCCTGGCATAAAGCTCGGAAAATGAAAATCAGAGGAACACTGGGCAGGCTGTTCAGCTTTCAGTAATCATGCAAAGCTAAAGCCTCTTTCTGCTCACTGCTTGAGGATATTAGACTTCAATATGCTGTGGGTCACACTGTCATAAACACTGAATTCTTAGGGAGCAAACAAATTTGGATAATCAGCATCTTAGAGTCCAGTCTACTGGGTACCTGAGAACTACAGCTTGTAGCAAAGAAGAGGTTTAAGAGGAAAAGCAGCAGAGGATCCCAAGACCTATTCTTGAGAAATAAGATAGATCATTCTTTCTCATGAGGGCAGGTGTTCTACTATCTCCTCAAATAGGGAATGGGAGAGGGCAGGGCTGGAAGGAGGCCTAGGGAATAAGACACATGTCTTTTTGAGTCCTGATCAGTTGTCAGAATCCTGTTTTTTTGTTTGTTTTTTACATTTGTCTAAATATAATACATTTTCTTATCCTGTAGGGAAGGCTTACCTGGCACAGATGAATTTTGAAAAACTGCCCCATCAGCAAGTAGGCAAGTTATTACCTTGTTAATTAGGGTCACTGCTCACTAATAATTTAGCCAATAACATGGTATTTTTTTTAACAAGGCATTTATTGCATTTATTTCCTTTGGCTAGAGCTATAATAAATACAGTGAAATTTATTAATTTATGAAGCTTTTATCTAACACAAATGCATTTGCCATGGTCCTAAATTTTCTTCAAGTCTTCGTATTCACATTCTATTGCCGTCATATTTTCTGAGCTCTGGAATAAAAGCTTTCCCCTCCCCAAGTAGGTTCGTCTAGGTATATAGTAATAATACCTAGCTTACAAGATTACTTTAAAAATTAAAGGAGATAATATATAGGAAATTGGCCTAAATACATACAGGAATTTAGTAATGGGGAAAAATAAATTATTCAATACATGGTGTTTAAACCATAGGATAGCCATCTGAAGAAAAATTAAATTTTATCCCTACTTCACTTAAACTTATCTACATTTCACATGGTTTAAATATTTAATCACACACACACACACACACACATACACACAAACACACATATAAGTAAACCATAAATGTAGTAGAGGAAAACATGAGCACCATGTTGGAGTTCGGATGGCCTTTGTAAACATAATCCAAACACTATAACAAAAGGAAAGGTTTGATAACTATTGGCTACAGTAAATTCTTTAAAAATCTATCTGAGAAACAAAATGCCATAAAATGATAAAAGAAAAACTCGGGAAAATATCTGCAACTTACAACACAAAAAACTTATTCTCTTATTACATGAAGATCCCTATAAATCAGTAAGATAAAGACCAACAACTCAAAATAAAAACGGACGAAAAATATGAATAGACAATTCATCAAAAAAGAAAGACAAATGGCTTATAACATGCCAAATCTAATTAATAAAAAGAAAATTGCAAATTAATTGAGTTTTGCAAATGTTACAACTGTTATGTTTACCAGTTGTTAACATTGTGTTATGTAAGCTTGTTAGAAAGCTATATAGATGTATAAATAAAATCTGTATAGATATATAAATATATATGTGTGTATATATAATACAAGAGCCTATAAAATACTATATTACACATTTAGTTGTCATATCTATTTAGTCTCCTTTAATCTAGGAATAATTTCTCAGCCTTTTAAATTTTTTTTGACATTTTTAAATAGCCAAGGCTAATTTCCTTATAGAGTGTCTCACAAAAACCAAGCTGGTATCAGAGAGCTCTCCTTCCCATTCCTGTTCCTTTACTATATTTTTACTTATTTCTGTAGGTACAATTTTATATTTTATGATTTATTTCTCCCTGTGTATCTATAAGAGTAGATAGATAGGTAATTGATAGATATAGATATTTCCATAGTTTGTCTTTTTATATATAGAAAGTTATAGTATACTATACATGCACTCTTCTGTGCTTTGCTTTTTTAACAAATAATATATTCATATCAATTTATAGAGATCATTCTCATCCTTTTGGATGGTTATATAATATGCTATTGTGTAGATGCACCATGGTTTATTCAACCAAAATCTAGTGAGAGGTTTACAGGTTAATTCCAATATTTTGAAGTTACCATAATGCTGTAATAAATAACTTTATGCATATGTTGTTATAGAAGTAGATTTTTAGGGTGAACTATCAATTTTTGAGGCATATTGATAATGCTTTCATCAAGATGCCATTTGTGTATTTCATGATATTTTTATATACTCCAGATACTGTTGGTAACCAGTCTACCTAAATGCCAGAAGTAATAATCAGTCACTAACATGTCAGGCAATATGCTAAGATCATTATAATATCTCTGCTAAAATATTATGGGTGTGTTATTTTATTAGGCCACACAAGCACAAGTAAAGGGCATACCATGCCCTCTTCTTCTTTCAGTTTTTCTATTCGTTTGATATTTGTCAAAAAGTGGGGAGACATGCCTTTTATATGCTTATAAACAAGTGATGGCTACTATTTAAGAATAACACACAACCCAAATAAACTCAAACATTAGGATCTTATGAAAGAGAAATCCAAGTAGGTTGACTCGGTGAAGAAATTTAATATCAAATCTTCCACTGAGAATTTCTCTAAAGCTCTGTAGAGACGCTTTGTATTTTCTGCAGTTTTATGGGAAGCCAGGAAGCTAGAAACACTTTATAAAGTCACCTTGCCCTCTTTGTAAAGCTATCCTACTTTGTAAGTGGTTGGTTTAGGTTGGTTTAAAAACACCAGAAGCAACAAATTCAACATGAATTTCATTTATTTTTGAAAAATTGAGTTTGGCTTTGGAAAATTTTGCTGGCGCTCTGTATATGTCTGTTTTGTAGTGACCCTAAAGAGAGCAGATAAACTGATGACAAGAAGGAATGCAGGCCACCGAGCCTCCTCTGATTCTAACCCTATTTCTCATCTTGCCCTTTCTCACTGCTAGTCTTCTGCATCATTCACTCTCCAGGATTCTGCCTGCTCTTGCCCTGTGGAGGATCTGGGAGTGGAGATATTAGAGGCTCTGGGCAGTAAGTTGGAAGACAGTGCTGCCCACACACACAGCAGGCTCTGGGTGTGGGCTCCACTCCTGTCTTGGCAGTTTCTCAAACTTCTGTAACTTACCCTGTCCACTCTCCTCCTGCTATTCTATAGGATTCCGTCTAGGAACAAAAGCTTACTTACTATCTCATATTCTTCTAAATTTCTTATCTATGCTCACATGAATTCTTATTGTTCCCTTAGGGCTTGGCTTTTGAATCTCAAATACCAAAAACAATCTTCCTTACGCTATGTCATCCTTCCCTCAAGGCAATGCATGCAGACTGTGTGATTGATGGGAAGAATGATAAAGAAGAATCATATCCGAAAATATTAGACATCTCTTCTTGCTCCAAGGCCCTGACTCCTTGTCCCATTATCCTCATCTTCTTCCCTTCCAAACTCAGTTAAAAAAAATCATCTGCCAAAGGAGAATCAAAAGTGATCTCACTTTCAAACTTATTATTTACTAGAGGACTATAAAACAACAGGAGCTTTATGTAAGTGTTTTTTAAGCCTCTTACGTCCATCATCCATCTCTTCTCCTTGGTCATTCCTCATCTCAAAGCCCAAAGCCTGGTCTTTGGAGACAAATAGAGGTGGAACTAAATCCTGGCTTTGCAAGAGAAATAAGATTTCATGCTCAGTTTCAACATCTGTAAAATGGGGATAAAAATACCTATCTGAGAAATTTCTGATTAAGACTCAATAAGATATATTTACAGTGTATAGAACAGCATAGGTGGTCAGTACATTCTCACCTCTGCCTCCTTCCCTCCTTTTGTTCTCTCTCCAAACACATATCTATTGCTTAAATATGATCATTAATAATAATAAGAGAAACAACAATAAAGTCAAAGATAACAAGTCACAATCCCTTAACCATCTTGATGTTTTCATTCCCTAAGTTTCATTTACATCCAGTTCTGAAGGATCTCTATAGTCTTTAGTGAAAAGATAAGCTTTTTGAATAACGTTTCAGATTAAAGCAATCTAAAAACCAAAAAAAATACTCTTTCAGCTTCTGTGAAAGAATATTCACTGTTTTCATTTTTAAATCTTGAGATCAAGGATTTGAGGTAGGGGCTATTAAGGTAAAGATGAGAGGGAAGCAGAGAGAGAAAAAGAGGGATGAAGATAAGATGGGATGGTGTGGATAAAAGAAAGAGAGTTGTAAGCATAAAAGCATGAGGGTTATGGCTTGTCTTGCAAAATAGAACAGATGAAGTATCCTCTCCAAGACAATTTTCTTCTTTTCTTACCCTCTGTGCTAAGATAAATTTTCTTTTCGGATCATGATTATGGATTAATTTATGACTTCCCTTAATTGTCTGAGCAACGCAGGGTTAATGTCCTGGTAAGGACAAGTTCTCTTTTACTTTATGAGAGCAATCACTTAACGAAAATTAGGCTATTACTTTTTATCTCCTTCTCCTTGGCAATGCCTGATAGCATGGGACACTTCTGCAAATTTTCCTCCTCTTGCCTGTGTTAGGGAATAGATCTTTATTTGGCTTTGACACTTTGAAGATTTCCTGATAGTTGATAACAAGATTGAACTCCAGAAATGTCATCTGGTAAATCACATTGAAGCAGTATATCTTCCCAGGGCTGTGAAGGTTCTGTTTTTGAGTGAATGTTGGTTCTAGGAGAAGCTACCACTAGAAGGGAATTTAGAACTAGTAGATACCCAAGGGTTATGGTGCCTTCTGCCATTTCCGAAAACATCGAACTAGTGCTGGGTGGAACATAGTGCTGTTGAAAAGTTTAGTTTGGAGCCATATATGTGCCTGGAATTGGTTCCTGGATCTCCAAGTGCCAGCTGTGTGGGTTAGAGCTTACTCTACTTACCCTTAGCTTCAGTTTCCTCATACATAAGATGGGAATAAATATACTTGCTACTTTGTTGGATTCTATCATAAGTGATTGATTAATTTACAGACAGTTACTGGATTCTACTCTGTATCAGATACTATATTAGTTTTTCAGGGCATAGCTTAGGTTGAGATTGCCAGAAGTAGACCCTGAGACAAGGATTTGTGTGAGAGTGATTTGTAAAGGAATGCCTCCAGGAGAAACCTGTAACAGAACAGTGGAAACAGCAAGGGAGAAGAAGACAAGCAAGGGTGCCATTTCAGGCAAAGACCCATAGAGGGTGGCTTGAAGCTGATCTTGAAGGGGATCGCTGGAAAATAAGTTATGCTGCAGTATTTGTTCCCACCTATGGAAAAGGGATCTGGACTTTCGTACTCCAGTACCAATCAGTCATTGGCTAAGGGCTGTCCCATGGGTGAAGGGTGAACATAAACTCAAGCCCTCCAAAGAGGGTTGCAGACACAGTCTGTTAGAAACAGAAGCATATGGAAGGCAGAGAAGAGAAACCAGGGATGGTAAAGGGGATTCCAGGAAATCCAAATGTTTCCTACTAAGAGATATAATAGTCAAAAGATAAACATGGTCTCTAACCTCATAGATTTTACACTCTTAATGGGGGAAACAGATAAGTAAACGGGCAATGCAGTGCTGTAAGGGCTGCTGTGGAGGAAGGTCAGGGTACTATGGAAGCGCAAGGAAGAAGCACTGGGAAAGGATCAAGGAAGTCTGCCCAAAGGAAGTGATGTGTAGTTGATGAGTAGGACTTACCCCGGCAGAGTGGGAATGAAGGGTCTTCCAGGAAGAAGGACTGCCTGTGTATGGTTCAGAACAGGGAGTATGGCATATTTGAGGAGCTGAAGGAAATACAGTGTTGACTGGAGTGTACAGTGGAGGGTGGGGAAAGAGGAAGCGTTGAGAAATGATGCTGTGGCAGCCAGCAGGATTCTGACAGCGCAGAGCTTGTAAGAGCTGAGTCAGAATTAGAAGAGGCATTGAAAGTTATAGGCTTGGCGTCCCACTAATACTCTACAAATAATATCTAATGGTGGAAATAACAGCTGGTGGGAGAAGTAGTGTCATTAGCAGTATTACTATGACCACTACCTCTACTATTACTACTCCCTTACAACTATTATTATTAAGTTGGGACCAAACTAAAGGCCTAGCTGTGTTACACTGTTTATGTGTTTATTATCTGTCTCTCTAAACAGCCTGTAACTTCCACAGGGTAGGAGTTGTGTGTTTTATCCAATTATTTGCATATTCAGCATAATATATTTGGTAAGTGAATAAAAAATGTTTCTGAGCCCTAGGCATGCCAGAGGTTGGGGTGGGGGTGGGAAGGGAAGGCTAAAGATGAACTAGACAGTCTCCAGGCTCAAGGGTACATTCCTTTATTTACTCAATGGCTATTCATTGAACACAATTTAGTAGTGCGTACTAAACCTTTGTTAGGTGCTGAGGATACAGTTACAAGGGACACAGATCCTTGTCGTCATGCAACTTACCATCTAGCATCATGTTTCTCATTGGGCATGGTTCCACCCCATAGGGAGCATTTGGAAATTTGTGGGGACGTTTTGGGTTGTCACACTATTGGAGGATGCTGTTGGCATTGGGATGGCAGAGAAGAGAGAGACTAGGTGTTCTACAATGTGCAGGACAGGCCCATGCAATGAAGAATTTTTCTTTATCCTGCATGATCTTTCAAACATCTTGGGGAACAGGCGTGTAGGTGACAAAAGCTCTTTGCAATTAATCTACAATCAAACCGGTTAATATATAAACACGAAGTGGCTTTTGTATGATTTTATTTTGTGCTGATTTTTTTTCTGCTGTGAAAAAATCACCTAATGTAGAATTTAGTGTCTTAACCACTTAACATAGCCTAACAAATCTTAACCATATAAACAGTGCACAGTTCAGTAGTGTTAAGTACGTTCACATTTGCTGTACAACAGATCTTTAGAACTTCCTCTTGTAAATCTGAAACTCTGTACGCATTAAACAACATTTCCTTTTTCTTTTTTCCACCCCCTGATGACTACCATTCTACTTTTGGTTTCCATGAATTGGACTATTTTAAATATCTTATTTAAGTGAAGTCATATAGTATTCATCTTTATGTGACTGCCTCATTTCACTTAGCATAATGTCCTCAAGGTTTATCCTTGTCAGAGCATATGTCAGAATTTCTTTCCTCTTTAAGGCTCAATAATATTCTGTTGTGTGCTTCTACTACATTTGGTTTATCCATCCATCCGTAATGGAACTTGAATTGCTTCCACCTCTTGGCTGTTGTGAATGATGCTGCTGTGAGCAATGGTGTGCCCATATCTCTTTGAGAGTCTCTTCCAACTTTTTTGGATATATACCCAGCAGCAGATTTGCTGGATCATATGGTAATTTTATTTTTAACTTTATACTTATTTTTTATCTAAAAAATACAATTGTAAATCAAGGAAAGATTGTGTTTTATTTCCCCAACTTTATCAAGAATTGTTCACCCTTTGCAAAAAATCACGTTGCCAATGGGAATGTCACTCATGGTATTGGAGTCACCAGTTCAATGCATTTAGATGAGTTTGCATTTGTAGCTAGGACATTCACAGCAATTCTATACGTAACATGAAGTTCAGACTAGCTGGTTGTATCTTTTTGCATGTTTGTGCCCAAGCATTTATGTAATAATGTGGATATGTATAATTTTTTTCACAAATTATTTTCTTTTTATTGTTCCCTTATTGTTAGCATTATATTGACTTTTTGAAAATAAATGTATGGTAGGTTATGTAATCTATGAACTTTGTTTTCAGGATGGTAAAAGGGAGCTATAAAATGTTATTTTAAAAAGGAAACATTAGTTTTGATTGGCTTAAATGTTCTAGATTTTTAACATGAACCACATTCTAATGAGAAAGAACTTAAACTGTGATACATATTCACAGCAAAATCTTCAAAACTGCTCTAGTTTTGTAGATCGGGATGGCTGGAGGCAGACAGATATTTCTGTCTACATCTAAAAAGTGGGTCACGAGGCCAGGCGCGGCGGCTCACGCCTGTAATCCCAGCACTTTGGGAGGCCGAGGTGGGTGGATCACAAGGTCATGAGATCGAGACCATCCTGGCTAACACAGTGAAACCCTGTCTCTACTAAAAATACAAAAAATTAGCCAGGCGTGGCGGCGGGCACCTGTAGTCCCAGCTACTCGGGAGGCTGAGGCAGGAGAATGGTGTGAACCTGGGAGGCGGAGCTTGCAGTGAGCCGAGATTGTGCCACTGCACTCCAGCCTGGGCCACAGAGCCAGACTCCGTCTCAAAAAAAAAAAAAAAAAAAAGTGGGGCATGTGTTTGCCTGCGTGAGGTAGGCTCCTTTTCCAACTGTCTTCAGTTTCTGAAACTTCTTTGACTGGACGAAAATGATGGGTCTGCCTCAGTTTTATGTTAAATAAAAATTAATCATCAGCACTTTTTGGGATTCCTTTCTTAATAGGTAAATAACCATTGGACTTAAAGAAGAAGCGTTCACCGTTTTGGAAAATCATACCTCGATGGCTATTCATGGTGTCTGGGTGTGCAAATCGAAATGCCTGTATCAGTCTATATTGGTAACATCACATTCCTGGTGACTCTACCTACAGGTAAAACATCTGCCTACTTCCTCATTAGGTTTCCTAGCATAGTTAACCCAGGGAATTCAGATATTGAAATATGTACTGTTTTATTATAACTTACTTTCCTTTTATTTCTTTTTTATATTACAGTTAGGGCATTATATTGATTTTTAAAAAAATATGTGTGTAGGCAGGTTATATTATCCATTCATTTCATTTCAGGTTAGTAAAAAAAAGGTACTGGAAAATATTTGTCATAAAAAGGAGATTTGGACCTGGTAGGTTTGAGAATCACAGGTCCCATGAATAAATAATTATACCACAACTAATCAATTACATTGTGATGAGTGCTATCCAAGGAAAGCACAGAGTGACATGAGCTTGCAGTTCTATATAGATTCATGACATGCACCCTGAAATAGCGATTTCGGTAAGTCCTTCATCAGCTGCTGTGCCACATAACTGGAACCTTGTCAAGAGGAGCTCCTTGTCCTTGCAAAGGGTGCAGGTGAGGAAAGAGTGTGGCATCCATTTGGAAGGCTAGGTTAGGTAAGGGTCTGGCTGTAGCACTTGAGGTGACAGGGCCTACATAAATGTGGCACTGTGGGGTGTGCAGGACTATAAAACAGGATTCTCGGGCTTGTTCTCTGGATGGTGAAAGAAAACACCACACCCTCAGGAAGACTTCATTTATTCATTCATTTAACAAGTATTTATTAAGTACCCTCTATGTGACAGGCACTTTTGGAGATACTGCAGGGAATAAAACAGGCAAGGATTCCTGTATGTCTGAAGCTTAACTTGCTGTCAGAGCAGCCAGGCAGTAAACAAATAAACAAGTAAGTGTGTAGTATGTCAAATAGTGATAAAGTCTATGGAGAAAGATAAGGCAGCATCAGGGGAATGGGGAGGCTGGAGATGGGATGGGAGGGCTATTTTATATCAGGTGGGCAGGGAAGCATCTTAGACAAGACGGCATGTGAGCAAAAGTGTGGAGTGCTTTCCATTCAGCAAGAGCAAGGCAGGCCAGAATTCTCTTGCATTAGTTCCCCTTCTACCTCTACCCGCTATTGCCGTTCTTCCTGCTACTCCCTGGTGCAGGCTTAGCAACTCACTTCTAGATAAGCACATTTATCTAGGAGTCCTTTGTTCCCCTGCTCTCTCACCCAGTTGTTCCCCCTTACATGTAGCTACTGCCCGTTCCTGCTGGATTGTTCTTCCGGAATCTGGTTGCAAATACATGCCTCTCCAAAACTCTGCATGAGGCCAGGCGTGGTGGCTCACACCTGTAATCCCAGCACTTTGGGAGGCAGAGGCAGGCAGATCACCTGAAGTCAGGAGTTTGAGGCCATCCTGGCCAACACGGTGAAACCCCATCTCTACTAAAAATACAAAAATTAGCTGGGCGTGGTGGTGGCCGTCTGTAATCCCACCTAATTGGGAGGCAGAGGCGGGAGAATCGCTTGAACCCTGGAGGCGGAGCCAAGATCTCGCCACTGCACTCCAGCCTGGGTGATAGAGCCAGACTCCATCTCAGAAAAAAAAAAAAAAATCTGCATGAGATCTTAATCTTTACAAATGAAGTCTAGACTGTGGAGCGTGGCATTCAAAGTCTTTCAGGTGCCGGCCCACACTACTCTTTTCATCTTTCTCTCTGTTGCTGTTGCCTTTAACAGACCCCATTCCCCAGTCAAACCAAATTCCTGCTCATCAAGTCTGACGGTGCTTTCTCATCTTACCTATGTAAATTTTTTCCTTCTCCCATTCCCTCTCCTTAGAACACTCTTCTCCCATGCTCCTTCTTCCCAAATCCTAACCTTCAAGACTCATGCCATTCTATATTCCAGGATAACTTCCCCATTCCCTTGAGAATCTATGCTTTTCTTTTATTTTATGTTGTAATTTCTTCCCTGCTAAAGTGTAACCATGAGTTGAAATAGACAACTGGAGGAAGTAGCAGGGGAGGAAACTCAACCATCTTTGGGAGTGACGCAGGTAACATGAAGGAGAGTCCTAGTGTGTGAGTAGAGGACAATAGGGTGGGATGGGGCCTGTGGAGAACTGCAAGGTATATGCCTATCTAAAGTTACTCACAGAGTCCCCGGGCCATGTTTCTGTAACTTCTGGAATAAGGAGTATAAAATCAGATTGACATGGACTTAAATTCTGGTTGTATTCCTTACTGATGTGCAAATTTTGGCAGGTTATTGAACTCCTTTCCTGCTGTTTCTTCACTGCTGTCCTGGGGGTAATAGCACCCCTTTAAAATGATGAGTGAGGTCTATATAAAGTGCCTGGTGCATAGGAAACATTCCAAATACTATCTGTCTTCCTCTGTGTCTTCCATGATGTCAAGCATAGTATCAGTCACATGGTAGTTCTCCACAACTATTTGCTGAATTAGACTATTCAATACAAGAGAGTAAAGGGTCAAGAACAATTGAGGGAATGTCCTGGTCATAACTGATGAGAGTGTTGAGAGAGAGAATTGAGTGTGTTCTGGAGGGCTGGGGAGGCCTCATGGAGGCAATCAGGCTGCTGCTGGGCTCTAAGACTGGGTAGGGCTTAAATGAACAACTGAGAGGGAGATGGTGGAACATCATGAATGAAGACTCAGAGGTAAGCGAGTGTGAGAAAGAGATCATCCTGGTCCCCACTGGTGGACAATTTTTGAAAACATCAACCTTACTGGTGCACAGAATATAATTAAACCAATTACCAGAGTTCCCTTGCCTTTATCCTGAGAGGTGGGTGCTGGGTGCTCTCCCCTGGGGCATTCACCCATAAAATCCTTGTACAGACCCAAGCATTGCTGTGTGTGTGTGTGTGTGTGTGTGTATCAGCAGGTAGGCTATTTCCTTTAAGTAGCATTTGATGAAGCTGGTAAGTTCTAGGCTTGCTGGTGTAAGGATGTAGTTGGTATAATAATGAGTCATTATTATTGAATAGGCCTATGTAATTAATCTAGGAAAATCATGTCCTGATGTACTATATTACTGAGTAGAGTGAATAGTGAGAGTCTTGTGTCCTAGGGGAATGCAGACTTCTTTCAAAGCATTTTTAAAATGCAGATTTCCTCTGCTCAGATCTGGATTGCTCATTTTTCATCTGTCTGCTTCTCCACTTCAGCTGAGAACAATGCACTTCTTTTCAGTCCAACAAAGAAATAGACATTTAAAGATGGTAGACAAAGAAGGCAATTGCAAATATATATGTGTGTATGTATATACTATATAACATGTGTACGTGCATACATGTACAGATATATTTATAATAAGTTAAACATTTATTTCAAATTCACCCTAAGTTTTTAAAAATAGCATACTCTGAGAAGGAATAAACAATCCATAGATTGTTACCTAAAAGCTGAAAAGTACTATAAGGAGAAAACAAAACAGTACATAAAGGATTTTAAAATATGTGGTGCCTAGCTGGTATGGGAATGATTTGCATAAAATGGAACAGAAAGAGTTTAGGATCACTCATATTTGTTTTAAGCACAAAATCAACAATATATTCTGAAAACAACATGGCTAGTCTATCTTTAAAAAAGTTTCAGGGCCGGGCGCGGTGGCTCACGCCTGTAATCCCAGCACTTTGGGAGGCCGAGGCGGGCGGATCACGAGGTCAGGAGATCGAGACCATCCTGGCTAACACGGTGAAACCCCGTCTCTACTAAAAATACAAAAAATTAGCCGGGCGTGGTGGCGGGCGCCTGTAGTCCCAGCTACTCGGGAGGCTGAGGCAGGTGAATGGCGTGAACCCGGGAGGCGGAGCTTGCAGTGAGCCGAGATCGCGCCACTGCACTCCAGCCTGGGCGACAGAGCGAGACTCCGTCTCAAAAAAAAAAAAAAAAAAAAAAAAAAAAAAAAAAAAAAAAAAGTTTCAGATGAGATGTGAATGGTTTAAATACATGAATTGGGTAAATTTTTTTGCATGAAAAACATTTATTAAGTCAAAATTAGTTGGTTATAGTATTAGTTTAACACTTGAAATTTTTACATATACCTTCCACCTTTATATTCCAAATGACATGAGAACACTTTCCCTATTTTGCTGACATTTCCATTGAGATAGAAATCTCTTTAAAAATAGTTTATGTGAGGTAACATCAAGACTGACATTGTTTTGACTGAATTTTCAGTGAAGATCTTTTAAAAATCCTCATTGTTTCCTGCGAAACAAAAACCTCATCATAATGAACCAAATTGCAATTATTAGAAAGAATGTTCCCCCTCCACAGTGGATTACTTTAATAGACATACCATATTTGGTTTCATTGCTTAATTTAAAGAAAATATCTTTCAGAATTAGCATAAGAACTTGTCATATGATTTATGGTTTAGTATTCAGGATATTTGTTGGATTCTGTGACACTATTCATAGTGTTTGTTACTCATAGACATCAACAATTCGTCACAGAAGAATTCCATCCTGGGAAAGCAGACTTTAAATGAAAAGTGTTTTTCTGAGTCTTCAGATTTCTATACTGCACTTTGAAAGACTGGATAAAATGGACAATGAAAATGTTCACCATCTCTAAGCAGGACATGAAACATAGATGCCAGAAAGTAGATTTCCCCCATCATGCCTCGTATCGAGTTCATTCAAGATGTAATTGGAAAAAATACAACTATTTCAGAACAGACACGAGTGCTTGTCTTGGGAAGGGGGTGTTTTATAATGTTATAGACTTTTTTTCCATTGACACTCCTCATTCTTATCTAATAAAGTACAATGCTACAACTTTTGTAACTCATCGAAATAATTAAAGTGGACACACTGCCATCCCATGAATGTTATATCAACAATTAAGTGTGAAAAATGATGCCGGGTCTGGGAAGTAGGTCCTGCACATTACCATTATTGTGTGCTAATCTGTTTCATTCATGAACTAACCAGAAGCAACAAGAAAAGCTTGAGATTTGAGGCCTGAATTCTGGATTTTCCCTTTTAGGGTAGAACTGACTTTTGGCTGGAGATTCTTTCCACACTGTTCTTAGTGTTCAGCAAAAACAAAAACAAACAAACAAACAAAAAACAAAACTCCTCATTAATCCATGGTGAAAAATTACTAAAAGGAAAAAATCCTGTAGTAGTAAGAGAAGTCTCACTTGGGAAGGATTTTAGCACCAGCCGTCTTCGTAAGCAGCAGAGTGGAAGTGCTTGGGCTTTGATGTTGGAAGGAAGCTTTTTCCTGGCCAAGTTACTCTCTGCACTGCAGCTTCCTCATCTATGAAATGTGACCAAATAAGGCATCCTTCATAGGCTTGTTGAGATTATCAGTTGAGCTATCCCATGACAAGTGCCTGACTATATATTACCATCAAAACATAGTTATTTGAGAACTACCTATATAGGGTACCTGGATCCCACACAATTGAAAGAAATACTGGCTTTGTTCTTGCCACCAGGGCAGCTTGTCTGCTGACACGCTGCATCTTTTGTGTTTTAACAATCTTTTATTGTGCATCAGTTTCACAGCAAAGTATCGCATGAGCCCTTAGAAAGATTGTTGAATGGGAAAATTCATCTTAACAACTAAATCAATGGGTGACTGGAGCACTCAGTGCTTTCTAGGGCATCCAATTTCTCTAGCAAATGTGGATTAGGCACCTAATATGCGCCAGTACACCAGACATGAGCTCAGTTAGAGTGGGGGCTCTAGATGTGGCTAAGACATACTGTGTCTTCTCTCCAGAAAGATTGGGAGACATTTATGTGAGTAAGTAAAGACATTCTTGTGTAATAAGTGTGGTCACCAAGTTGTTATGTGTTGGGAGCACAGACTCTGTCTTAGCACTGAGGAAAGCTTCATGAAGGAGTTGACATTTGAATTGGGCTTGAAGCAGAATTTTAGGGCATGTGCAGAAGCTAGGAGACGCAATGGAGCATTCTGTGTTTGGGAACTTTTTTAGAGTGGCTGAAACAGAAAGTGGTGGAGAATCTCTGGGGCCTGATTATAAAGGGCTCCCTTTGCCCCATCTAGTAGACAGTGTGTGGGAAAACTCTGTGGCAGTGGTGGCGGGAGAGGCTGGAAGCTTACTTACACGGCTTTCAGGAATAGTCAAGCAAGAGAAAATGAGGGCTCAGAGCAAGGCAGAGGCCGGTAGCATTTGCTATAGAGAGTGAAGGAGAGAGGATCCAAAGGTGAAGCTGAGATTTCTAGCTTGAGCTATGGGATGACAATGTTGTCACTTGTTTATCTTGGCTGGCCAGCTACCAATACTCCCAGGTTTTGAGGTCTTGCTACCAACTTGAGCACGTCTCCTGTTTCCTAAATAACTCAAGCAGTCCAAGGATATAATCATTGTTCAGGCTCCTTCAAGTGTCATCAAAAGAAAAGGATGATGGTGGCATGACTCTTGTCATTCTCTAGGTGGGTGCCATGGTTGCCTAGCTAGCTATTCTTTTTGAGCGAGGTCTGTGGATCCCTGAGCATTCCTAAGACCCTTTTGGAGGGTCTGCCAACCGAATACTATTTTCATGACGCTACTAGGATGTAATTTGCTACCTTCACTCTCATTCTCTTCTAGGTGTTTAGCTATGTGGTGACATCATTACTCTGATGGCTAGTGGAATATGTCTTGGGCATTTTTGTGTTTTCCAGAATTTTCTAAGGTAGTAGATTTAGGGTAAATATATGAGCATTTTTAGAGATTAACTCAGTATGTTTTCAATACTTGTACTGTACCCTTAATAGCAGATTATGTCTTATATATTATGTGTAATTTTATTGTCATCCACTAAATCATTAATTGAGGTTTTCCTTCCACCTAAGTGGAAACACAATAAGAAGTACACTTTATTGTCTTCATTTGTAATATTTTAAATGTATGTAATAATATTTGCAATATACATAAAATACACTTTTAAACTTTAAATTTTTTCTGAAACTTATTTTAGAATTTAATATTTTATTCCATAATAAAACAAATTGTGTTTTATCTAATATTTAAAAATATATTACAGGCCAAAAATAAGGGGAGATTAGAAGAATAGCTTTTTCAACCCACAGCCAAACCGTCTGTATATAAAGAAAATGAAAAACATGAAACTGACTATAGAGAATTCTGTGACTCTGGAAGGGAGGAATATGAGTGAAACTGTAAATGGGAAACAAAAGTATGATGACAGCTGTCTTTCCCTTGGCTTTAGTGATATTAATAACTAACCCTATTTTGTTATGGGCAACAGAACATTTGAAATAAAACTATGGTGCCACTTGTGACACCATTTTAAGACCAGTATTTAACAGTTTAAAGAAAAGGAATTGAATATATTAAAGTAAAGATGATAAGGTCTTTAAAAGCAAAACATTTTCAAATGAGGCATCTTTAGGTAAATTAATTATTCCCTTGCATTGGCTTGAAAAGTGCATATAATAGCTAAGAGACTAATTGAGCTATGTGTGTTCAATCTGAATTAATTTGATTTGAATATTGAATTACTTTTGCCTTTCAAATGGATGAATCTAGGTTTGCTTGTATCCATTCAGTTTCAGCATCAATGAATCATCAAAGATGATCATTTATGTGACTACGTGGCAACCAACACAGGTGGGTGCTGAAATAATCAAAAGTATTGAGTAACCTTTTTTGCTCTCATGATTTATCTTGGAAAAACAATGTTGACATATACGACAATGGTGCAAAAATGGTGCAAACATTTTTATGTCTTAGCAACAATGAAAGGAGAGCCACCAAAGTGTCTTGACAGTCATGGTATTCCCTACTGCATATTTGCAAATTTTAAGAAGCCAGATTCACTTAAAAATGTCTTTGCTGGTTTTGGGCCATCACATTTCAGAGATGATGATAATGGGCCAGGGTTGAAACTCTGCCTCTGTCTTCTGATGCCACAAACACCCCATATTCTTTTCTAATTCCTTAGAGAGATTGAAGAAAGTGCTCCAATAATAATAGAGGCTGATTTTTTTCCTTTACACCATAGAGATTAGGGGCATGAGCTATATTCGAGATTTGATTTAAAAAATAAAGCAATATGGCATCTCTGTTATCAATATGGCAAATTCATGCCAGCACCACGTATTATTTCAAGAAACATGTAATTAGGCTCGAAATCTAGAGCTTTCTTGCAATCATTTTGTTTTGTGCATGTGAGCTTCAGCTTTTATGGCAAGATTTTTGGTTAACTCGTTCTTTAGAGGTAAATTTTAGATGCACGTGGTCCATCCATGTAAAGTTGTCATGTCGTTCTGTATTTTTATATTTTTCTTTTTAAATCTTAAAGCAAATTATTATAAATCCCTTAAGTAACCTCACTTGTTACAGATGTCTCATGAATGTCAGATCCAAAACCTAGTATTTGATCATGAAACTTGATTTAAAAGCAGCAATTTCTTCGCCATTTCCGGAGAATTACATGTTTAGGGGAAAATAATTTAAACTCAGTGTATTGCAGAAGCAGAATAATTCTTTTCAGAACCTTGTGTCAGTCAAGTAGACAATCTTCTTGATTGGTAGGCTTTTGTTTGGTCCAACTGGACTCAAAATATGAGCATGAGGCTGGGAGTGGTGGCACACGCCTGTAATCCCAGCACTTTGGGAGGCCGAGGTGGGTAGATCACGAGGTCAGGAGATGAAGACTATCCTGGCTAACACGGTGAAACCCTGACTCTACTAAAAATACAAAAAAATTAGCCGAGTGTGGTGGCAGGCACCTGTAGTCCCAGCTACTCAGGATGCTGAGGCAGGAGAATGGCGTGAACCCGGGAGGCAGAGCTTGCAGTAAGCCGAGATCTCGCCACTGCACTCCAGCCAGGGCGACAGAGCGAGACTCTGTCTCAAAAAAAAAAAAAAAAAAAAAAAAAAAAAAGTCTTTGCCAAAGCTGTAAAAATGGTTAATTTTATTAAATCTTAACCTTTGAGTACATATCTTTTTAACATTCTGTTTGATAAAATTGGAAGAATGCATAAAGCACTTTTGCTGCATTCTGAAGTACTATAGCTGTCTCAAGGAAAGGCATTTGTTTGATTATTTGAGTTGGGAATAGCTAGCCACCTTTTTTATGGAACATCATTTTTACTTGAAAGAATGACAGAGCAGACAAACTATGAGTATTCAGGCTTCAGTACTTGACATACATTTTCTGCAAAATAAATGAAGTGAGCCTGTCACATCAATAAAAGGTATGACGAATGCTATCTTTCCTTTGGCTTCTGTGATGTTAATGTAACTTATTGTGTAATGTGTGACAGAGCATTTTTGAATAGCATTACAGTGCCAGATGTGGTGTCATTTTGAAATCAATCTTTTGGAGCTTAAAGAAAAAAGGAATTGAATACTTTAAGTGTAGATGTGATAAGCTGAAAGTATTTTTTATCCATGAAATGAAATTCAAGTTTTCAAGCAAAGATTAGAATTTTGGGAAATTTGTATCCAACACCATGAACCTGAGAGCCTCCCAATATTTCTGATAAGATAGATGGTGATTTTAAGAAACGTGACTTATTTGAAAATCCAGGTTATTATACATATTGTAAAATTTACTTCTTAAGGTATGCAGTCCAATGAGATTGGGTATATATATATATATATATATAGTCATGTATTCTCCTACACAAATAGGACATAGAATATTTCCATCAATCCATAACGTTTCCAGAAATATTTTTAAATAAATTTATTTTTAGTTACAAAGTTAGAATGGCTGTCATCAAACAGATGAAAGATAACAAGTGTTGGTGAGGATGTGGAGAAAAGAGAAACTTGTATACTTTTGGAGAAAGTCATATTGATACAGTCACTATGGAAACCAGTATAAGAGTTCCTCAAAAAATGAAAAGCAGAATTATCATACAATCCAGTAATCCCACTTATAAGTACATATCCAAAAGAAATGAAACCAGGATGCTGTAGAGGTATCTGCACTCCTGTGCTCTTTGCAGCATTATTCTCAATAGCCAAGATACCGAAACAACGTAAGAGTCCATCAATGAATAAATGGATAAAGAAAATACGGTATATATGCGATGGAACACTATTCAACCTTAAAAAGAGGGGAAATCCTGTCATTTTTGACAACATGGATGAACTTGCAGGTGTTTCTTTAGAATCAATAATCTCCTCCTCCTCCCAGTCCCTGCAAACCACTGATCAGACTATTGTTCTCATATTTTTGCTCTTTCCAGAATATCATAGTATATGGAATCACACAATACATAGCTGTCTGTGTCTGCCTTCTTTCACTTAGCATGTTTTTGAGGGAAATGTGATCTGCTGATATTATATAATAAAATGTGTCAACATTTAATCTGCATAGCTCTGAGAACCAATATTTTCTAAATGCTCAATCACCTATGTTACAAAAGGGGTAAAAGATCCCCTCACAATGCAAGATAAGTCAATAGCCATTAAGGTATTGAGTATGAAAAGTTTATCAATAAGTTTTCAGATCCTACTGCATTACTACTTGTTGAGTGTGAGTGTAGTATCAGAGAAGATTGTTCACAATTATCTGAAAAGCCTTTTCGAATACTTTTCAACTGTATACATATCTGTGTGAGGCCAGGTTTTCTTCATATAATTCAGACAAAATAACACATTAGAACAGAATGGATGCAGAAGCAAATATGAAAATTGAACTGTTTTATACATTAGAGAGATTAGCAAAATTGCAAAACAATATCATACTTCTTGTTAATTATTTTTGTTTTGGAAAATATTTTCATAGACGTGTCATTTGTGTTAATATGTGATGGGCTCATCATGCTATTTTAAGTAAGTCAATAAATACTTCCATGTTTTCTCAATTTCTTCCCAAATACAGAAAATATTTGAAGGTGTAATTCACATAAACAAAAGCTCTTTGTGTTCTCAATAATTTTTCAGAGTGCAAAAGTCCCTGAGACCCAACGTTGAGAACCACTGGCCTAGGTGGATTGGCAGGTGCCCTTGGAGAATAAGAACAGCTGGGTAGGGAAGGAGTTAGGGAGCCAATTGCATATCTGATTCCTTGGCTTATAGTAAGGTCTCAATACATAGTTAAGGGATAAATGAAAGTCAGGCCATAAGCCAATGTAGTCAGGCTAATCAATTCAAGAGAATGAAGTTTCTGAAATGAATAGATGGTTTTATGAAGGGCCCAGCATCCTGGCTCAGAGAGACACCCAGGTTGGTCTATCTGCTGACATAATTGATCTGGAAGAGACTGAGGGTGAGCTAGGATTGGAGCTGTTGGTTGGGTTGAGAGTCTAAGCAAATTCATCAGATATATGCAGAAATATCAAATGCTAGCAGAGGATCAGAGCACAGGGTCTGTGGCAGAGGTGGCCAGGTTCAGGAAGTCCATAGGAAAGGATGGACAGAATTTGTATGGGGAGAGAACAAGGGTGACTTGGCTGAGAAAGATCTGGATTTGATCTGGGTCAAATGGAGGTTTCTTCTAGGGTTGAGATGGCCCCAGATCAAGTCCTACAATGGCAGAATTGGAGTGGGATTTCAGTGAAAGTAGGAAGGGGGAAAACACAGGTTTGTGGTGGTGATAGTGGGGGAGGGAGTGGGCAGTTTGGTCAGGTGTTGTAGAATATTGAACTAGGACTTTGGTCTTTGCATTTCCCTTCTCGCTTTACCTTTAGCCTGAGTCTATAGCATGAATTTCACAGCCTCTAATCTTCACCAGAGGCCAGGAGTTTTGTTGGGGTGGAGACGGTGTGATACTGAACATAGTGTCTTAGCACAAATTAGCTGATCTGTGTCCCAGCTCCTGACTTGCTCTCACATGTACACTTATTGTTCAGTTATAATCCTGAGGTAACTAATTTATTCTGAAACAGATAATTTTTAAAAACATATGCTCAATGTCAGTGTCAAAATCACATTGACATCCTTTTATCCTGAAAATATAATATACTTTTCTCCAAATTTGGGAAAGCTTGAGCTTTTTAATGTGTTTTTTTTAAATCAATGGTTATATTTAAAAATATTAAGCACAGGTTAATCTAGATTCTTTACTTATATTGTATCTGTGGTGACACTGAATTATACAGAATTGTATAGGAATTCTATTCTAATTTCATAATAATTCATGTCCATGTATTCATTATGACAGCATCATAAATTATGTTGAAATGAGTATGGAAAACATATAAGCTGTTAATGCTAGGTATTACTAGAAGTTATATCAAATCTTGCTTGCTACTGAGAGTAAATTGTGACATCAACACCTTATCTTTAATAAACGCAGAAAGCACCCTAACCTGACATTTTTATCTTACAATGTGTGTTGATAAATACAAAACTGGATATTTACTATAGGAAATGCAAGGTATATAATTTGTCAAGAAGAATTTAGCTTTCTTAGCAGGCACATGATTATTTGGTTACCTTCTGCTGTCTGCTTCCTGTCTGCAAAGGGTGGTCCTTTCCCCCCCTCCTCCTGCCTAATATCCTGTGAAGGTGCCAATTACTCTGCTGCTTATCGGTTGCAAATGATGCTTGGTGCAACGGGAACATCAATTATTTGTGAGCAGAGAGCTAAGGCTGCTGGAATCATATTAAAGGATGCTGGAGCCTCCAGTTAATAGACTATGTCAAAAGGCAATGTGTAGACCAAAGAGAGCACATTTCAGAAGTCTATGCCTTGAAGATAAACTTAGGCCAGATTTGCAGACTTTAATGCTATATAGGTTATGTAAGAATTTGCTAATGTTACTGAAGAAAACTTGTAAGACATTTTCCTTTTATCCATGCAGCTTTTCACACTGTGGATTTATTAATACTATGGACTTTTTCTTCTTGAATCTGGTGTGTGTGTGTGTGTGTGTGTGTGTGTGTGCGTGTGTTTGCTTTGTTTCTAAATGGTAGCCAAATACCAGGTGAAGTTAGATGCAAGCTTTCTTTAGGTCCTTTGTCTTCAGCAGTGAGCCCTTAAAGATGAGTTTGTAAACTTACTATGATTATTATTGCCTTATAGTTTCAGGTTGGACTTCTTAACTTTCACTTTTTAAACAGGAGGTTAAAGAGACTAGGTGAGTGTGGAAATGTCAGCACTGGTCAACCTGGCTTGGACAATTTATTTCCAATTCTATGAACAGGGTTTCCAACTGACGAGAAGAGCTCACATTTCTCGCTGTCCTGATATTCATATAAAATAATTCGACCAGCCCACTTAAACTTCCTGATTAGTACTATAAGGATGTTCACACAAAATCGAAAGGATTAGAATATATTCATAAAAATGAAGATGATTCCTTGACAGCAAAATGATAATCCTAAATCTACCCCGAGCCTGTTTTGTGCAGGTAAAGGGAGATGATGAACTTCAGCTTGCAGATGGTTCTCAGTTAGGTAGATGAGGATAACCTGTTGATTTGTTTTTTAAGTAAATTTTATATTTTAGAATAGTTTTATATGTACAGAAAAGCTGCAAAGATAGTACAGAGAGTCCTCATATTCCCTGCACCATGATACCCTATTGTTAACATCTTACATTATCACGGTGCATTTGTCACAACTAGGGAACCAGTATTGGTATGTTACTACCTATTGATTTTTAATTTCACCTGAGTATTTATTATTTGTAAGATACTACTCCAATCCTAGGAATTGCTCCAGTATTCATTTATTATATTTATTTTTCCAAATCCATTATATTTTACACACCAGCTTATTGCCTTTCAAGTTGATCACCCATTTGCTCTTGATGGCACTGTATCATTTGGGATCCCAAGTGCTACCATGTCCTCGTGTTTCTCTCAGCTGCTGGGCCACATGTTGGGATAAAGGTCGGATAGATGCACTGCATGATGTTCAGCTTCAGAATGAGGAGACTGCTCATCAGAAAGGGCACTTTAAAAATCACTCCATTTAATTCACATATTTTACAGAGGAGAAAATGGAGGCCCATTGAGGTGAGGTGACTCACCCAAGGTCACACACTGCTGGTGGTGGGGCCTGGACTGACGCCCAGCCTCTTAACTCCTTTACACTTACTGCCTCTGATAAAATTTTCACAGTGACGCTTTTATTCTATTTATTATTTATACCCTGCCTACTTTAAAAAAGAATTGGAGCCAGCTGCTCTGTGATTTACTTTGCTTTGAGCACAATATAGATCATTGCATCCTGCATGATTTAAGTGAATTTTTTTTTTTTTAAAAAAGCTCTCATCTGTAATTATTTGATAAATAATTCCTACCCCCTCATAGCCACACTATTGATGCCTTGCACATAGTAGGCACTGAGTAAACAGAGCTAAAATGAACAAAAGAATAATGCTTACTTGGATTTATAGAAAAAATTCACAGTGCATGCAGATGAGTACAGCATGGCCAAGTGAGTGGGAAGAAATATGATCTATTCTTGGCTCTGGAAAAAGGGGCCATGAGGGAGATACTGTGGATGAAAGATGATTATTTTGGCTTGTGTTTCCCTTTATACAATTAGATGGGTTGCAAAGGTGGGATGCACATCTGTGGGGCCTCACAAGGTAGAAAGTGTCCCAGGTCCCACGTGTGACTGGGCAAGCTGTTTGCCTTCTCTGAGCTTTCCATTCCTCACCAGTGAGGGCATGAATACCTGTCTCTTGGGGTTGTTGCCACTGTTAAATGATAGCAATAAGAAAGTGTTTTGCAAACTCTAAAATCTGGCATAGGCGTTACTTATTAATCTGTAGGATTATGTAAAAGGAACTCAGCATTTAAGGCAGGTTTTCTATGAAGTATCTTAAACCTTTCCTGTTTTGCAAGTTATCGAAACATCATGAAAATGTTAGAAGAATGAATACTGGGAATTGAAAAGGGAAATAAATAGATATCAGGACAAAATGGTTTTATAACTCAACCCTATGACAGAGAAAGCTGAGTCAAAAATGGCAGGCATTGGGATTTAATACCTGCCTAATAGGGAGAAGAGGAACTGAACCAGGCCAGAGTGTCCTGCTAATAGTTTCTGCTATGCTTTGGCTCAGGTTTTGTCACTCTGTTCTTAGGGTGGGGTGGAGAAATCTTGGCAAGCATGAAGATTCTCTTTAGGTAGGCTGTGGTATATATTAGTAGAAAGCATTACACTCTCACCAACAGTGTAAAAGCATTCCCTTTTCTCTGCAACCAACTGTTGTGGAAAGCAGTATGGTGATTCCTCAAAGAACTAAAAACAACTACCATTCAACCCAGCAATCTCACTACTGGGTATATACTCAAGGTAATATAAATCATTCTATTGCAAAGATACATGCATGCATATGTTCACTGTAGCACTATTCACAATAACAAAGACATGGAATCAACTTAAATGTCCGTCAACAGTAGACTGGATAAACAAAATTTGGTACCTATACACCATAGAATACTATGCAGTCATAAAAAAGAATGAGATCATGTTCTTTGCAGGAACATGGATGGAGCTAGAGGCATTATTCTAAGCAAACTAACTCAGGAACCAAAAACCAAATACTACATGTTCTCATTTATAAGTGGGACCTAAATAATGAGAACACATGGACAGAAAGTAGGTAACAACAGACACTGGGACCTACTTGAAGGAGGAGAGTGGAAGGAGGGGAGGATCAGAAAAAACAAATTGTTGGGTGCTATGCCAAATATCCAGGTGACGAAATAATCATACACCAAACTCCCAAGTCATGAATTTACCTATATTCTGAGCCACAACTGGAGATCAAGATGAAGCTGGCCACATGAGAAGCAACAGTATTTGCACAAAACAGCTGCCAACATACAGTATCCCAAATTGCCCTAATGATCATTGCTCTTACTAACTGGGACTTCGTTCCTTCAATGCTGTGCTGCTCCAGGCAAACTGAGAAGTGAGTGGTCTCGGTTTTGCCTTCCTGCCTGTAACCTCCCTCAATGGACGTATATCTTACGCATGTGGGAGCTTGGCTGCATTGTGGGGCTAGCTTAGCCTGCCACATAAAGACACTCTGACTTCCATGTCATCTCTGTTCTTTCATTTCTCATCCCATCCTTCTTAAATGTGGCCTGGCTGGTATCTCACACTCTTGGGGCCTGCTCCATGCTTCATAGCCCTAAAAGCAAAACCCATGACCATAGAGAAAAAGAGCCAATGGGCTACTATCCTGGGTAATAGAATATTCAGAGAATTGGCCTGGGGGAAAAGCAAAGTTTAATTTTAGACAAGTTGGTATATGTAGGATTTCTATATGGATTTGACCCTCAGTCAAATATAGAATGATGACCAGGAAAGAAGCCTGCCCAGGGGATGTGAATTTTTGAGTGATTTAGTACAAGAGAGATTAGTCTGACTGTGTGACTCCAGAGGGTGAAAGGGAGTACTATATGGCAACCCACGAGATTTTGGATAGGACAGGTTTTGTCTCATGGTTTGATTGATATAATGCACTTAATTTTTACAAATTGATTTTTATTCAAAGACCTGAAAGGGCTTAAAGTTATAAGTTTCAAAATATCTCATTTCATTCCAAAGTGGCAGAAAGAAAAAATATCCTTCTTGGTCAATCACTTCCGCGTATTCATCCTCTTGTCCATTCAACCAACAAATATTGGCTGTGTGTTCACTGCTTGTCAGATACTATTTTAGGAACTTGAGATAAAGCAACAAAATGAAACAGATAGTCACTGACTTCATGGAACTTACACTAATTGGAAGACCCAGATAATCAAGAGCTAGTAGAATAAATAACTAAATATTTGTGCCATGGAGAAATAGATCAGTGTAAGCAGAATAGGCTGGGTTGTGAGTGGGGAGACTGCTTTATGTAGGTGGTCAATGGCGGCTCTCTCCTGGGGTGATATTTATCTGGGAGCTGAATGAAATTAGGGCTGGGATTCTAAAGTTTCCTATTTTCTATTAGCCAGCCGGCTGAGAGCATTCTTACCAGGGCTTATGCCTCTGAGCTCTGAGACATGAAGTCTAAGAACCAGGCTTTCTATCCCTTGATTGGTACTTAGACTCAATGTTGCTCATTTTTCCCCGTTGGAGAAAGGTGGCAGCTTTAGTACTTTGGAGGCAATTGGACTTGGGATAAACCTGCGGCTTCATTTAGAAGAGAAGGACATTTAGTAATGCTGTCTTGTTCGGGAGAGTTACAGAATAAGCAATTTCCTAGAAGGGATATTCTTCTAAATAGCTTATCCCCATAGTTCCTGAATTTAATTTAATAAAATATTTGGAATGAAATTTTCCAAGACCATTTTGTGCATATATCAGACTTCAAAAATAAGTTTTTGAGCATTTACATTTATTTAGAATAGGACATCTTTCACAAAGAATTTGAGCCAGATTGTGCTATACAATAAAATAATCAAAATAAAAAAGAGAAATGTAAAATTCAGAACAAAAACACTGTAAATCTGGAGTAGAAAATCATGATCCCCCCAAAAAAACTAGAATGAAAAGGCCCCTAAGGCCCTTTGTGGCTTTTGTAGGAAGGCTGAAATTTGGTTCTAAGCTTACTGGTAGTCAAAGTGACAGAAAAAAAGGTCAGGTCTATCATTTTTGTCAGAAAGGAAAAATTATACCACATCTTTAAGAAAAGCAAAAATTCCCAGGCACTCATGCTACAAGAAATTTCTCATGGGGATATTTTGAACATGATTTAAATCTTATCCATTAAGTTTATTAGTTTGAATGATACTGCATTTACTAGTTTGAATGATACTGTATTTTACTATTTATTAATAAAATATCATTAAGAACTATTGAAAGGTTTTCTATTGTTTTCCCTGAAATGAAAAAAGACCCAGAATGATATGTTTTGAGTTTCTATATCCTATTCTCGTTGTCTTTCTGTCTTTTTGTCATGTTCAACTTGTTGGCCATGGCCTTGTTGTGCTGTTAATGCCAATGCTTTTCTAGTAGAATATTTTCCTCCTTGACTGATTTTTGGCTTCTGATCTGCCGTGGATAAACAACCTGACAATCATACTTGCAGCGTTGTATTTAGAGTAATAATAAAAAAATAAAAACAAAAACACCATTTACAAGTACTTTATAAATAACAGGTAATGTTCCAATGACTTTACATATTACTTCATGAATCCTGTCTACAATCTCATGAGGGGAAAAAAAATTACTATCCCTATTTTACAGATAAGAACACTGAGACTCGGAATGGTTACCTAACTTGCTCAATATCTCACATCTGTGACTGGGCTAAGAACCAAGGCAGCATGACTGTAGTGCTAGGATGTGAGAAACTCACAGTGGGACAAGCTGGTATCACCCGTCTGTGTTTCTCCAAGCTTTTTCTTATTCTTGCTTCTAGTGTTCTGTATGGCTGTAGTCTTCAACAAGCAGGCTCCTGATCAGTGAGGTGGGTGACTGAACTGTTCAGTATCAGCTAATTAGAAGATTTTCTTTGACAAGAGGAGATGCTGTCTGAGAGGCACTGTACTTCTAAGACCTGGCCCTATCCCGTTGAATTACAATATCTGAATTCTAATCTCCAATCTTCTACTTATTCACTTCTTCAAAGTAGGGGTATTTATCTCTAGACTGTGGTTCTTCCAGCTGTAAAAATTTAAGATTGTAGAGTCTTGTGCAAAGCTGAAATGAGAAAGAAATATAGAAACATTTAAACTACCTTAAGTCCCCTGTTTTTCCATTCTGAATAAGGAATCACCATGAGTTCATTGCAGAGGCTTCTATACGTGGAACCTTATGCAGTTCCAAATAACTAAACGAAACCATTTATTTTTTCAAATGTTCTGCTTGCCATTTCATATATTTTCTATTATGCAAAAATGTCTTTTGTGTATTAATATTTCTTGACCACAATTCTGGTATCCTTTCTGATATTGTCCCCTGCCTGCTCATGCAGAATTGACCAGCAGTTCAAGTGCATAGCAGAATCCTCCGCCTAAATTTAGAAATTGGTAAATCAAACAAACACAGGAGCCTCAAAGTCTGTAGAAGTACAGCTGATAATCTTTTTGGCTTTTAAACAAACGTAAATACTCTAAAACTTGCTCTTAGCAAGTAACTTCCTAATTAGGTTAATGTAATAGCATTTTGTTCTGTTGTATCACATTTCAACTGAAGATCTAGAAGGGATTTTAACAAATGTGAGTGCTTTTTACCTTGGTTCCTGTAGAATAGGAGGTTCATTATGCTCATATGATGATCCGTCACATAATGGCCATTAGAGCTACCGGGTTGGGCGTTGCATCAGTCAGGGTTTTCCAGAGAAACAGAACCAATAGAATACACACAGACACACAGACACACACACACACACACACACACACACACACACACACACACCATACGTATAAGGAAATTTACTATAAGGAACTGGCTCATGTGATTATGGGGGCTGAGAGTCCCACAGTGGCTGTCTGCAAGCTGGAGACCCAGGAAAGCTGAGGTGTATCTTGAGGGCCTGAGAGCCTAAGACCTCATGGGATGGATTCCTATCTGTGTCTGTAGGCCTGAGAACCAGCAGCGCTCAGGGAAGGAGAAGGCTGATGATCAGCTCAAGCAGTCAGGCAGAGAGCAAATTCAACCTTCCTCTGCAGTTTTGTTCGAATTAGGCCCTCAATAGATTGGGTGATACCCACCACATAGAAGAGAGCAATCAGTTTTATTCGATACACAAATTCAAATGCTAATCTCTTCTGGAAATGTCCTCATAGACACAGCCAGAAATAATGTTTAACCAGATAGGCATCCCATGGCCCAATCAAGTTGACATATAAAATTAAACATCACAACAGGATTGAGGGCTTGGAAGACGATCGGCAGGACAATAAATAAAATAGTCTTTTAACCTCTAAAAACCAAATGATTGTGCGAAGAAGGTAGGAAAGCCCAGATTTGCCTGGACTTAACAGGATGAATTCTCTTGCACTTTCTGGGTCAGATCCAGTATTACCTAATAAAAATAACCCAAAGAATGTATCAGTATATGGAGGTTAATTTTCAAACCTTTGAAAGGCTTCTCATCTGTATGCCTGGGGTTCTGTCTTGACCTTAACAGGCACCTGCCTTGAGGATTCAGGCATGTCCATGAATATAGGATGAGCTGGTGGAAGGAGGAATCCAGGTATTCAATTAGAGTAAACTGATATGCAAAGGAGGAAGGGGGTTTTATACAGTGAGGGAGATGAAAGAAAATGAAAAGGGGTAAGAGGGTAAGACTACATGGTGTCTCTCTTTAATATTGATCTACAGTCTGGTCTTAGGTCTCTGGCCTTGTAATAAGGAAAACTACAGGCAGAAATTGAGCAGCTGCTTCCACAGGCAACAGGGTGAGGTGCAGAGGCATCAGGAATGTTGCTTTGGTACTGAATGCTAACAGAGGACTCAGAGTGGGTGAAAAAGTCAACCTCTCCACTTCCACACAAAATACACCTGGAATCTCAAGGGTTGCTGCCTCTGAAAGCACAGAAGACAGTGTCTGCAACATGAAGCATCTGGGTACAGTTTGCAGTGACAGCAATGGGACCCACTTAGTGAACTTCTTACCAGGGACACTGATGGTGAATCAGAGCAGAAAGAGATGTTGGTAGATGTTCTGATTAATTATTGCACACACCTGAGGCACCTCTGGTGACTTTAGACATACTAGGGTGAGTTTTTACAGGAAGCTAAAGTCTCACTTGAATGAAAAGAAGCAAGAGCTGGAGAAACATTTTCCTGTCTGGAGAAACTCAGGACTCACATGGTAAAATTAATAAGTCAGAAAACACTTTTATGGTCATGCTTGGCCTCAGCTTTTTGGTTTATGAATATAGCAAGGCAAGCCTGCTATTAAAATAAGGGCGACTGAATGTGCTAGATTTACTAAAACAGAGCAGCACCAGATTTCTCCCTTGGTACTGGTGGCAGTTGGCCCAATTCCTTGCAGGAAGCAGCCCAACAGGGGCTGGGCATAGGCGGGACATGAAAGGCAAGTCCCACTGTTGCTTGCTCTACCTGCAGTTACCAAATGAAGGTGATTCTCAAGGTTCCACATTGGCATCAGTAAGCTGGGTCATTTACTCTCCAGGAAGTAAATTAGAACGCACCAGAGGGTTTTTATAAAGTCCCTGCCAAGTGTAATCACCGCTCCTTGTGCCTCTAGGTGCTCAGCGTGTCACATTTCCCACTGACATCAGGCATAGGAGAGTGCATTTGAACCTCAGGGATCTGACCAAAGCTTCCCAGGGAATGTCTTTCAAGTTTCCACTTTTATCTTAAAAGTGTTTGTAAAATTTTTATTCTACTTCATGTTATACTTGTTTTCATATAAAGGTATGTCTTAAGTTGGTTACTTTTGAGTCAAACTGATGCTCCAGAAAAATGTCTATTTGGTGCCTTGGCAAAGTCCTCTGCACATCCCCATGTACCTCTGATGATTGAGATACATGCATGTATAGTATTTTTACATATATTTACATATCTATGTAAAATGTATGTACACATGTGTTAAAATATATATGTATTTTTTTTTTTGAAAATGGGAACATCTCAGCAACAGTGCACGGTGGGGCCATTGCTGAAAATATGATTGTATGATTGCTTCATTAATGGGGAAGGGAAGATGCCTCTGGAGACCCCAAAGCAGGTTTCTGGAGGTGGGGCAATGGATGAGGATGGTTGATAGGAACAATCCTGGCTGCCCCGACAGTGGGATGTGTTAGCCATGGGGACTGGACAGTTCCACGGTCCACATAGGAGGATGCCACTGTCAGTCACAGGATTCTAGGAGACCAGCTGCTCAGCTGATAGCTCTTCTGATGAAGTGTGGATAGATGTAGGCACCCAGAGAGCAGGAGCAAACAAGAGGAAACACATGAGGAAAAACAGCCCACTTATGCTTTCTGACTTGTCTAGAAAGGGAGACTATCAGGTATTCATTTGTCTGACAGAAGATCTAGACTCTGACCACATGAATTTGATCTTAAAGTTTTGTTTTGTTTGTTTGTTTTTTCAGTGATGGGAAAGGTGTTTTAAGGATGTGGTGAGGGCCTTGGCGATACAATACGTGAAAAATTAGATTTAATATTTAAAGTTGCTTTAAGAACATTGGAACGGCAATAAAAGAAAAGGAGAATCTCGGCCAGGCGCGGTGGCTCACGCCTGTAATCCCATCACTTTGGGAGGCTGAGGCAGGCAGATCACGAGGTCAGGAGATTGAGATCATCCTGACTATCACAGTGAAACCCCGCCTCTACTAAAACATACAAAAAATTAGCGGGGTGTGGTGGCGGGCACCTGTAGTCCCAGTTACTTGGGAGGTTGAGGCAGGAGAATGGCGTGAACCGGGGAGGCAGAGCTTGCAGTGAGCCGAGATCACACCACTGCACTCCAGCCTGGGCTACAGAGTGAGACTCCGTCTCAAAAAAAAAAAGAAAAGAAAAAGAAAAGGAGAATCTCATGTCCATGTGATGCTACATTATTGCATTTCTTGTCATTATTTTTCTACTGCTTTTTCATGTGTACATGATGTTCATCTGTTTACTAGGGGCAGAGCAACACTTGGAATTAGGCTTTTCTCAGTTAGCTGTACATCATCAATGTTTATTTCTTTGTTTTAGTCCTGAGTTTTTAAATGCAAAAGATGGCACCGTGTCTTCTGAGGTTAGGCCACCTAGGAAGAAGAGTACAGAGTGTTGGAGTGTGTGGTGAAGGAAACCAGGAAAAGGAGGAAGGGCAGGCAGAAAGGGAAGAGAGAGGGGAGAATGTGAGGAATAGTGGGCCATATGGTGCTCTGCAGATGCTCCATACATTTTATATTTCAATTTAAAATTAGTAGTGATGACAGTGATGCATTTTATGTGGCAATTTATAGTTTCCCAGGTGCTTGCATATCCCTTTGGTCCTCATGGGTCCTTGGGGAAAATCAAGGCAGCCATTTCCTTGCAGATAAATTAAAAGGAGTTTATCCTATCTGATATAAATTAGTGATCTCACCCATTAATAAGTTTTTTAAAAAGAATTTTTAAAGAGCTGTATTAGGTTCACAGAAAAATTGAGTGAAAGTTACAAAAATTTCCCATATACCCCTTGCCCCAACACATGCCCAGCCTCCCCAACTATCAACATCCCTTGCCAGAATGGTTCATTTTTTACAACTGATGGACCTACATTGACACATTATCACCACCCAGAATCCATAGGTTACATTAGAGTTCACTATTGGTGTTTTACATTCTATGAGTCTGGACAAATGTATAATGTCATGTATCCACCATTGTAGTTTCATATAGGCTGCTTTCACTGCCTTAAAAATTATCTGTGTTAAATATCATAGCTATTTATTATTATTTATTATAATAAATAAATACCTATTTATTTCTCCTTTTATCCCTCAACCTCTGGCAACCACTCATCTTTTTACTGTCTCCATAGTTTTGCCTTTTAAATAATGTTCTGTTATTAAAATCATACAGTTTGTAGGCTTTTCAGATTGGCTTCCTTCACTTAGCGATGTGCATTTAATTTTCCACCATGTCTTTTCATGGCTTGACAGCTCTTTGATGTTTTTAGCACTGAATAATATTCCATTGTCTGTACGTACCACAGTATTTCCCCATTCACCTACTGAAGGACTTCTTAGTTGCTTCTAGTTTTTGGCAATGATAAATAAAGGTGCTATAAACATCTGTGTACATGTTGAACGAACATAAGTTTTCAACTCCTTTGGGTAAATACTAAAAATTGTGATTGTTAGATCATATGGTTAAGAGTATGTTTAGTTTTGTAAGAAACCACCAAACTGTCCTCCAAGGTGGCTGTGCCATTTTGCATTCCCATCAGCAACGAAGGAGAGTTCTTGTAGCTCTACATCCTTGCCAGCATTTGGTGTTGTCAGTGTTCTGGGTTTTGGCCGTTCTGATAAGTGTGTAGTGGTATTTTGTTGTTTTTAAAATTGGCTCTTAGTGAGATATTAAAAATAAATTTCTGTATTTGTTTAAAAGAGTTATTCACTTTGGTGATTAAGTAAGCTAGAATTAATATAGTTGAGAACTATAATAAAAGAATTTATTGATCTTTACTTATGTTATTAACTCCTTTCATAATCCGAGTTGTGAACTTCTGATTTACGTCAATTTTTAGTTTTCCTTTTCTTCTTAGGTTCCTTCAATGGCTTCCACCTAAGTGTCAATAAAAAAGAAGAAAATGTGCTATTCCAAAATATTTAAAAGCATAAACATATGCTTGTCTTATGATAAATAAAATGAACACTGTTCCCATCCTCATTCAAGAGGGAGTTGGTTTGAAAGGGAGAAATGTACTGATACGGTTTGGCTGTGTCCTGACACAAATCTCATCTTGAATTGTAGCTTCCATAATTCCCTCGTGTTGTGGGAGGGACCCAGTGGGAGATGATTGAATCATGGGGGGTGGATTTCCCCATACTGTTCTCATGGTGGTGAATAAGTCTCACAAGATCTGATGGTTTTATAAGGGGAAACCCCTTTCCCTTGGCTCTCACTCTTCTCTTGTCTGCCACCATGTGAAATGTGCCTTTCACATTCCGCCATGATTGTGAGGCCTCCCCAGCCACATGGAACTGTCAGTCCATTAAGACTCTTTCCTTTGTAAATTGCCTAGTCTAGGGTATGTCTTTATCAGCAGTGTGAAAATGGACTAATACATGTACCTTGTTTCTCTCTGTGTCATTTATTTTAGGAAGGGAGGAAAACATTACCCTCTGAGTTATATATCAAAAGAGGAAACTTAACAGTGTCATCCCCCTTCAATACTAACGCACACCAAACACAGACCTCTCTCTCACACACACACACACACACACACACACACACACACACCACCCTTTGGCATCAGTGGACTAAGGAGATTTGGGTAACAATCTCAGTTATACCACTTGCTATATATTAACATTTAGTAATAAGTTGCAGCCTTCTGGGTTCGTTTTCTCATTGTTACAACTGGGAATAAGCCATCTGCCTCACCAGGTTGTTGTGTGGATTATGTGAAATAATGCACTGGAAACATCTACAGTGGGTCTGAACTCTGGTTGTGCAACCACAAACACTTGTAGAGCTTCAAAATAACAACAACAAGAGCTGATCTGGCTCCCTACAGACTTACTGAATCTCATCATTGTGGGTGGGCTGAAGGCTCAATATTTGACTAAGCTCTGCAGGCGGTTCTGATGCTCAGCCAGAGTGGAGAGTCCTTGGTCTGTAGCACAATGCCTCTCCATCAGGTTTTATCCTTTTTCACTCTCCCTGCAGGGCTCCTCTGACAGGTGCATCTCTTGCCTAGGAGAAAAATATAAAACCAATGCATTCACATAAAAACAATGGGGCACCTGAGATGTTCCACTTTCCTGGAAGGAAAGGAAGGAACCCTATTCTGCTTTTGGGCTCCATGGTTCAGGTAACGTAGACACAAGTCCTGACCTACAGACTCATGCTGCACTTGATGGAGCTCTGAGAGCAGCCTGTTTTCCTCCTGGCTTCTAAGTAGAGTGTTGCTGCCAATCAAACCAAAGCATCTGATTTTCTTGATGGTTTTCAGAAAAAGAGATCCCAAAGCTTCCCTCTATAAACCAACCAATTCTTGGTTTTCCAGCACTTTCCCCTGTGCCAGACTGAGAAACACTTGTCTAAGTTTCTCTGGCTTTTCAAACAGCGAGTCATCCAACCCCCAGTAACTGATAAACTCAAGGGCTTCTTTCATGATCTAAATTCCTTTTTTCTCCCTTCCCCTCTGTCCTTTCTTTTCAGTCACCTCTGATGCAGCCTCTATCAATCAGCTTGTTGGGTTGGCTCTAGCTCTTTTAAGCAGCTCTTAACAAAGCATGGAGGGAAACATCATGACCACAAAAAGTGATGTCATATACGGACACACTGACTTTTTTGTTTTTGTTTTTTTTGGTAACTATAGGGAATGAGGACTTATTTCAAAATTAGAAATGAAGCAAGAGTTCTGTGATTCTTGGCCTCAGTGCCATAAAAGGGTAAAGAATGACTTTTCCAGCAGAGAACTATGTTATCATGAAGGTGAGAGAAGATTAAAAGAAAAATCAACACTACAGTCCTGCCACTCAAGTGTTTGTTGCTGAGGGCATCAAAGATTCCTGCTGCCAATTCTACTTAAGCATTCTCCACAGCTTTGCTCATTCCTCCTCAGAAGCAGACCTTCTCCTCTGCCACTGCTGCCTTTGATACAGGCTTGATTCCTGTCCTTTGCCTGTTGGGGGAGTGAGGAAAAGGGAGGACACCTGTATCTTCCCCAGCAGTGTTCAGAGCACCCCTCACAGAGACCCGACCCCTGGCCTTCTCCCTCTGAAGGAAGGATATAGGGCTTACTTCTGAACACATTTCTGGAAAGGCACATGCAGGGATGTAGATCATCAAACCAGATGGGGACAGGGGAAGAGGATGTGACTTAAGCTGTCCCAGTGGCCTGGATCACAGTGCCTACTGAAGGAACCTGGCCCCAGGAAACAGCTGGGTGAGTGACAATACAGGGGCACCAGGCAGAATGCCCGGTCTGCCCGCGTGGGCTGTGCTAACCCCTGAGACAGACATGGGCTTTCAGAACTGTGAAATACTCCGCCTTTGCCTTCTCAGATGAGACTTACTTCTTTTGTAAAGAGTCAGTTCCCTTTAATATCGGACGGTTCCCAACAACCTCATGACTTCAGCATCATCTCAATTTTACTTAAAATAGATCTAGGCAGGTTTTATTCCTTGCCCAAGTATCCAGAACTAGTAAACAGGGTGAGGGTAGCATTGAAAGCCAACTCTGTCAGACCCCCAAATCAATGTACCTTTCCTTAAAACAAAGTGGAACAGATGTTTTCAATAAAAATCTAAAACTATTAATGTGACTCACCCGTATCTTTAGCCCACATCAGCCTAGAGCTATAATACACAATACAATATATACATTATTACTCTGGCTAAACCTTGACCCAGGATCCATTCAAAGTGCCCCTTCTCCTCTTCCTCTAATTATTTCTAGGCATCCTCAGGAAGTATTTTACTTGCAATCACAAACATCATCTTCTTGGTTCCTATTAGAATCTACATTTTCCTTTTTTTTTTTTTTTTCTTGGGACGGAGTCTCGCTCTGTCGCACAGGCTGGAGTGCAGTGGCGCGATCTTGGCTCACTGCAAGCTCCACCTCCCAGGTTCACACCATTCTCCTGCCTCAGCCTCCGGAGTAGCTGGGACTACAGGCACCCGCCACCACGCCCGGCTAATTTTTTTCTTGTATTTTTAGTTGAGACGGGGTTTCACCGTATTAGCCAGGATGGTCTTGATCTCCCGACCTCGTGATCCACCTGCCTCAGCCTCCCAAAGTGCTGGGATTACAGGTGTGAGCCACCGTGCCCAGCCTACATTTTCCATTCTTACACTGGAGTGGTAACGTCTTTTTCCCAGGCCTTTGGATAACACCTGCCCATTGTGAGGGCGCCACAAATCCATACTGTCCTGGTGCATCCATACCACCATCACTTGATGGAGACAAAATCTTCTTCAGTCCAAACAAGGATAATCCCACTAGATGTCCATGCTGTTGGGCCTTCTCAGGAGGCCAGAGAGCTTGGAGAGGCATCTAATAATTACTAGACAGCGTCTAGTAATCTTCTGCTGATACTGTATGCTGCAAGACAAGCTAGAAAATGACCTATGCTTCCAATAATTGAGGGTGTAAGCAAATATCTCTTTTGGATTATTTTTGCTCCCTTCTTTCTTCTAGCTATCTCTTCCTGGGACTCAGACCCTAGATCATAGATTTAGGGCCAAAGATATATATATATATAAAATATATTTTAAAAGATAACATTTTTTAGAAAACTATGCTTTACAATATTGTCCTAATAAACTAATTTGGGTAGATACTTTAATGGCGTATACCAGGAGACTGCCATAATAATTACAGAAGTTTATGTTTTCCATACTATTACTAGTGTCCTGTGTTTAACTTATATGCATGCGAAGTCAATCTGGTATGTTCAAAAGAAAACACAACCACAGGCTCAGTGAGATGTAGTGGCATATCCGGGAACTAGCAGTCTAGTTCCAGTCTAGGAAATCTGTGTTCTAGGCCTACTTTTGTTACCCACAAGCTAATCGGCATTGGATAGGCCATGGAAGCTCTTTGGTCCTCAGTTTGCTTACCTGTAAAATAGCAGTAATAAGTGTCTACCCTATCTTTCAGGGTTTTATATGGATCAAATGAGAAAAAAGATGTTAAAAATGTTGAACACAAGATTAGGGATATGTCAGATGGGGAACTTTCTGGATCTACCATACCATAGCTATTAGAATTTTCACTCCTGGCCAGGCATGGTGGCTCATGTCTGTAATCCCAGCAGTGTAGGAGACCAAGGTGGGCAGATCACTTGAGGTCAGGAGTTCAAGACCAGCCTTGTGAATATGGTGAAACCCCATATCTACTTAAAAAAATATAAAAATTAGCGTTTGTCATGGTGGCACGCGGCTGTAATCTCAGCTACTCGGGAGGCTGAGGCAGGAGAATCACTTGAGCCTGGGAGGTGGAGGTGGCAGTGAGCTGAGATGGCACCACTGCACTCCAGCCTGGGTGACAGAATGAGACTCTGTCTTAAATTTAAAAAAAAAAAATATATATATATATATATATACACACACACATCTAATTTAAGAAGAGCCAGCTGGGTGCAGTGGCTCACACCTGTAATCTCAACACTTTGGGAGGCCAAGGTAGGTGGATCACCTGAGGTCAGGAGTTCGAGACCAGCCTGGCGAACATGGTGAAACCCTGTCTCTACTAAAAATACAAAAACTAGCTGGGCGTGGTGGTGAGTGCCTGTAATCCCAGCTACTCAAGGGAGGCTGAGGCAGGAGGACTGCTGAAACCTGGGAGGCAGAGGTTGCAGTGAGCTGAGATCGTGCCATTGCACTCCAGACTGGGTGACAACAGCTAGACTCCATCTCAAAAGAAAAAAAAAAAAAAGCCAAAGCTTGAATATGTGAATGCTAGAAGTGACCACAAACCTAATAAGTGACAGGTTAAACTGCAGGGAACAGAATGCAATTTGCTTTCCCTTTAGCCAAAAATTAGGATGTTTGATTCAAACTTCTTGGACTATGGATAATATCAACCTCCCCCTTTCCAAATAATGTGTGACTTATTTTCGTCAATGATTTTCTAATTCTGTGTGTCTTTGTTTTGGCCTGATTTTTAGACTACGTTCTCCTTTTAAAATAATTATCTGGAATGTATTTTTCTGTTTTAAAATGTAAATGAACTCATAATTCTTTCCTTTTAAAAAGAATTTTGAGATGATTCCTTAAGATAATTGAAGGTGCCCTGGCATGACACAACCCTAGGCCTGGAAATGAGTGTGTAAAGCAATGTCTCTGACAATCAACAAGCATCAGTCATGTCTCAAATGAGGACAGACAAAGGGAGAATCAAGTGGAACATAACCATGGAGGCCGGTGTTTAATCCTGTCCGGATCAGTGTGACCATTGGTTTCCACAGGCTGGGCCTGCTGACCCACTGCACTTCTACAGGAACAAATAAAAGGTCCAGCACCACTGCCTTTTAGTGAGAATTTTTTAACGGCTTCTGGGTCTTGAAGGGTTGGAGCAGGATGCCGTGGAAGCCATATTATTCTCTGCTGGCAGGAGAGGCACCCTCTACACAGGACTGTGGCTTAATATGTTATTGTTCAAATTCAGTGTTACTTATTTTCTTTAGTAGCTGCTGAAGTAGCCCTGATACTTCGACACAATTCCCTTGCTTTACCCACCACACCAGGCAGTGTGGGATTCAAATCCTGGCTGAGTGACTTTAGACAAATCCCAAAATCACTGAGTTTCATTTTCTCATCTATAAGAAAGGGTTCATGTGAACCACCTTGCCGTTGTGAATTTAAATGAGATAATCTAAGCAAAGTGTCTTGTCTAGTGCTTGGTTAAGGATAGCCATTTGATGAATGGGAATGACTCTTAGGGGAAGAGCAAGGGTCTAAGAGGCAGGATGTGTGGGGTCTATGTCTAGTTCAACCTCTAAAGAGCTTTGTGAGTTTAGCCAAGTCACTTAGCTGCTCTGGGTTTCAATGTACTCGTCTATCAAATTGTCAACTGGTATTTGATGGTTTTCCTATCTTGGTTGAGATGATGAGGTTGCCTTGTAAATATTAAGAGCTTAATATATATTTGTCAAAGGGTCAAATAGGTGGAGGAAGTATTTTGAAAAGTTAAAACAACTATTCAAATACATATTTCAACACATTTTAAAATAATCAATATGCCTACATCATCAAAAATGTCTAAATTCTAAGGCAATCAAAGAAACACCTGAATTGTACAGATTTTTTTATTTGGAAAATGGTTTCTATTCTAATTATCATGGCATATTAAAAATTATAGGTTTATTGGACAAAACCACACAAAAACTTCATGGAGTTTGTGGATAGCCTTTAGTACATTCCGTTAAGGACACTAAGCTGAATGCCAAGAAGGCTTTTTTTTTTTTTCTCTTAGATCTTTCCTTCTTCCCCTTCCTCCACTCTGAAACAATCATCAATTATCCTTATCCACCGGCACCATCTCATCTAAGTTCATTTTCAAGATGAAGTTTCCTCGTTGGATGGTGGCTGTCCAATCCTCCTTCTGTCCATCACTGACTGCCTCAGAGCTGTCCCCAGATTGACAGTTTGAGAGCGAATCAATAATAATTATCTGGCTGCAGCCATGGCGAGCTGTGTAATTCTGCCACGGGACAGCATTGTGTAAACAGAGCTGCATCGCCAGCTGCAGGTTAAAATATGCAGGCTGAGTTTGTCCATTTAGGTGTGCTGATCATGTGATTACCAGGAGGTAGTGCTTCCTCCCCCACTGCATTAAAACCCTTTCAACTGATACACTCACCTTCGGGACCCTGGCTGCTGGCTAGCGTGGTACTATGTAAAATGCTGTCTTGGGGGGCCTTAGAACATAAATCAGTGATTTAAAAGCACAGCCCTGGCAGAGGAGACACACTGCTTCAGTTCTTTATGTGGACTTTGGGAAGAACCACTGATGGGGAATGTGTAAGCATGGATAGAAGAATGGAATCTTAAATATTTGGGGTCTGTATTTATTACACCTTGCCCTAGGCAAAGAAGAAAATTGCTTTCTAAAATTATTTGTATCTTAGTTTAAAGATCAGAATTAGTTCAATATTAGTATTAGAGGTACAAGTTCATCCTTTTCCACTTGAACAAGAAAATGTTGGCTTTATTGAGATACATATCACTTTATTCTTTTTAAAGCAACTTTAGCATACTTAGGTAGATGTTGCTGGTTGCTGGTGTGGTTACTTTTATGAATAAGCAACATCAGTTCCTTGGTCATATTTATGGCATTTGGATATCGAAGGCAGTGGGATTTCCTTGGTGTTATTTTCTGGGAATCTATATCTATTAAGAAATTAGAAGAGAGGAAGGTCTTGGAAAGAACAGCAATTTTTTTAAGAACCCAGTGAGAGCTGGGCATGTAACCAAAATCTTCCTTTCTTTTCCCTTTTTTCCAGTCAGGCAACCAATCAACCAGATAGTAAACCAAACCATCTGCCTTTTTAAGCTAACTTCTACCTGTAGGACACACATATGGACCAAATCAGAATCTTGTCCTTGGGGAATTCATACACCAGCAAGAGAGATAAGATATGAGAATACTAATTATAGCCCTGAAACCCAGGGGGAAAGTACTAATTGCCAAACAAAATACAGAGAAAGAGGCAAAGGGATTCAGAGACTGGGCAGCAGATTTCCAGCTAGGCGATCATATGTGTAGCCAAACCATCCTGGTATCAAAGCATATATCTGTTATTTTGCAATGAATTAATTAACTGTTAAGAAACCAGGGAGCCAATTAAAAGATTTAGGAAAAATAAAAGAGCGATGAGTTAAAAAAACAAACAAACAGACATAAAAGTACAAGCATTGGGCATAGTGGAAATTATTCTAAATGACCTTTAAAAAGTTTATAAAGATAGAAACACATAATAAAATCTGGGTTTTGGAAGGCAATTAAAAAAAGATATGGTTCCATATAGAAAAATATTCCTTGAGATTTAAAGGTTCTCTGCTGTTGAGTTACAGGACAGACTTATAATTCTATTCTAATTTGTGAAAATAAGACTTTTAATCTATACCTTCTCCATTAAGAATTTTAGATTTCTTGAATTCACAGTGCAGTCTTCCTCTGAACACTTGTAGGCTCTACTGGTTGCATTGTTCATTTGACCACCAGCACTAACTGCCTTGTATATAACTAGAGGATTCTTTCTGGTGAACAAGATGCATTGTTTACAACTGCCAGATAAGTGTGAAAATGGAGGTGCCCACCATAACCATAGTCATAAGGAATATTACCATATTCCTTGAATTCAGCTTGGTAATATACTTCCTAAAAAATTGAGAAAGCCTTTAACTGAGGCTGCTTTCTGGTATCCATAGTTTCTTGGCCAACTATTGGAAAGTTTCATGCAAAATAACTTGTATGCTGGTAAAACAAACAAACAAACAAAACAAAACAAAAAACAAATGAACAAAAAAACCCACAAAGTCAGTTGTGGCTACCATGGCAGTAATAGTAATAATTAGATTATCTGTAGCTCTTTCTGCTTCCCCTCACCCTCAACCCCACTTCTCCTGGCCAAGGGGGAAAAGGGGCAAGTGGCCTGCAGGTGGGAGGAGGGTTGAGGGCTGGAGCTCTAAGGAGTAGATTACTCTGAGCTCTAAGAAAGAGACAGCCAGTGCTGTCTATTCAATCAATTGTGAAGAGAAGAATGGAATACAGAAAATAGTTAATTAGAAAGGTTGGGACAGGGACTCAGTAGGACATAGAAGGAGCAGGTGTCGCCTGTAAGAACTGTTGGGGCAGGCAGCTGGCTCAGGAAGAGGAGTTGGCTTGGGGGTGGTCATAGCAAATAACACAGAAACAGAACCAACATTGGTACTTAATACAAAACAATGACCTGATCCCTGGGCCAGCCTCATGTGTACATGACTCATGCAATCCAACAGGGCCCTGCACTTAGAAGGGCCCCTTGCTTGGTTTAAGGAGCTGTTGTTCCATCTTGAAATTTGTATTAATTTTTCAAGAAGATGCCCCAAAGTTTCATTTTGTGCTGTACTCTCAAAATTATATAGCCAATCCTACCTGATATGGTCTGCATTTGGTATTGCACAAATATGTTTCAGATGGGCAGTGACAAGGGGTATTTGTGATGTTTCAGGAGGGAAAACTGGCTATCTAGGTCAATGATATTTAAAGCCAGTGTCCTCTGGGCCTTGTCTTTCCCATAGAATTGACTACTTTTAAGAATAGGGCCTGCTCCTGAATCATCTCTGTAATTTCCAAAGTATACATCCTGATGCTTGATGCAGAGTTCAATGAATATGTTGATTAGTTGATCAAAGAACCAAATGGAAACTGGTTTATTAATATTATTATCACCATCAGAATTATAAAGCATTGTTTTTCTTTATGTGGTTTTGTGAATATACACTAAGCTTAAAAATGGAAATTGGTTTATTAATATTACTATCACCATCGGAATTATAAAGCATTGTTATTCTTTATGTGGTTTTGCGAATATATAGTAAGCTCAAAAAGAATGTGCTTGCTTTGAATATTTTGCACAGGAGAAAGAAATGAATGCAAGAAAAGCACAGGGAAAACCACATTAAAAAGTGGCAATGTGGTGAAATGATTTTTTCCTGTCTACTCTCAAGAGTTTACACAATATGTTCCATATTCTGTTCTTGAGAGGAAGGGAATGGACTCTTGGGGCCAACAGACAGACCTTGGGTAGCTTATTTCGTGGTTAAAAATCTTCACCTTGTTGTCTGATATCATGGCTTTGAAACCTGGCTCTCCCACTTACTCGCTGTATAAACGGGTATGTTGTTTACCTCTCTGTGCCTCTGTCACTCCATCTGTAAATTGGGAATTATCATTGTGACTACTTCACAGAGTTGTCATACAGATTAATAAGATGATGTATGTTTTTACACTCAATATGGTACCCAAGATGCAGAAAGTATTCAATAAATATTCATCATAATGATGATGATTCTCAATAAATAAATAAATAAATAAATAAATAAATAAATAAATAAATAAGAGGAGCAACAAGTACCTTAGCCACTGAGGTGTTCCTGACGTAGATAGAGAGGAGAGGGTGGAGATGCCTGGTGTTGGGAGAGGCAGACCTGTGCACACAATCTTTCGAATCTTGTTTGGCTACATAAGAATGGGCCATGGTTCTGGACAACTTCCTTACCAAGAGGTAAAGGTCATACAGCCTGTGCTGAACTTATCACCCTGTATGAAAATATCTTTCTGTTTTAGACTCAGTGGCCTTCAGGCATGCATCCAGATTTCTGTATTTGTATTTCAGACTCCACAGGGGAGGGGTTGGGACCCTTCTACTGTAGCATACAGTGAGGTGCATGCAGCCATGCTGCCTGAGACAGCTGCAGAGTGGCTCTGCTGGCCACAGGGAACTGATGCATTGCAAAGGGCTGGATCTTCTACACACTCTCCTCTTGCTGTAAGTAAATGAGATATGATTTGAGCCTGGTGATCATGTTGTCTGTTCTCAGTGACTTCCAGTCATGCACTGGTCTGTTCCCCAGGATGGCATTAACTGCCTTTTTAGCTTGGCCACACTGCCTGGCCACCCAGTGAACAGCAAAACACTTGAATAACTTCAAGGCACAATTCAGGGTCCGTGGGTATTTTCCTCAAACGTCCTCTAGGGCTTGCCCCATGTTCTTTGAAGGATGACATCATAAAACTGAGAAGAACAATTTTCCCTTTTGGAGGCCAGAAGATGAAGCAGGGCTTTGACAACCCTGTAGCAGCAGCGATGGCAGCGTTGTCAGGAACCATGATGACGGCGGCTGAATTAGTGGTGGCAACAGAGAGATGTACTTGTTTCAGCAGCAATGGCATGTACAATATGACCAGCCAGGTGACCTTGGGGAACTTTATGCCAATTCATTGTGCATAATTTTCCTCATCTATAAAATGGAAATAATAAAAGTGCCTACTTAAAAAGTGTTCGAAGCATTAACTGAGTTGAGATGATTAAGTGAGATAATATATATCAAGCAGTGAGCCTAGTGCATTGGGCTCAATGAACAGCAGCCATTATTTGCATTTGCATTTCTGTAAACAGAAGCAAGAACAGTGGTGTGGGGAGCAGTGGAGAATGACAATGGCAGCGTTAACCTCAAAACGTTGGCTCTGCTTAGAGTCTTAGCACTGAAGTTGAAGTTCTGGCCCAAGGTTTTTCTGCAGCCTCGTTCTGTCTCTGATTTGACAATGCCTTCTGCAGTTGAAGTGACCATTTTATTTTGAGGTTTGATAAATAAAACAAATGTGAAGCATAGCTCATTCCTCTGCTCCGAAGAGGAGCAAGAGTCAGAACTGAGAGCAAATCTTGGATCAATTGCTGTGTGACTAAGAAATTTACTGACCTCTCCAAACTCATATTTTTTTCAATATGCAAAGTGGAGATCAATGGCACCTACATTATAGTGTGGTCATAACGATTAAAGGAGAGAATGTAACGCAAAGGCCCTTCCTGTGTTCCAACTAATATAAACATTTTCCTATATTTCATGTTAATTACTATTTTGAAGACAATTGGGCAGCTATTGTTTCCCTCATTTTATAAATGAGGAACTACGTCTAGAGGCATTAATTTTCTCAGAGTCAACCACTAATGAAGGACATAGCTAGGACTTGAAACCCCTTTTTTCCCGAAACTAAACCCTACCCGCTTTTCATTTTTAAAGGCTTGGAACCTTTTCTCTATATTAAATTGTCACCCAAATCCATTACATGAAACTTATCAAAAAGAATCTATTTTCCTGCTTCCTCTCAGCCCTGTAACTAGCCTTCAGGACTCTGAGGAGCATGACTTGCAAACCTTTGCCTTCTGTAGGGAGACTTCCGAGGGACCTGAGTCCTCCATCTACCACCAAATGCGGTCCCAGACTCTCAGGTCAGATGTCAATCTGATCAGGTGGGAGGTTGAACCAGGAGACCCCAAGGGCCTCTGATTCTGGGCCCCATCACCCCGGGGCTCAAGACAACACACACAGGACACATTGGAAGTTGTGAGAATGTATAGCTGTGAGCCCAGCCAATGTAGGCAATGCTGTCTATGGCTCTGGAAAGCCTCTTGTGCTGCTTCTCATTGGTGCTACTTGTGCCTCTTGACCTTCTGGAGTGATTCTTTCTGTTTCTAGTGCAAATGGAGAACCTGGAGAATTATTGCCTAGTAAGCAATCAGAAAAGAAACCAGGGTTCAGAAATAGCTTAGTGCTTCCAAAGATAGTGGGGAAAAAAATCCCAGTCAGGCAAGTAGCTCAAGGTCAGGATGTGGGCATCTAGCATTTCTCGCTGCAGGGATGGAGGCCTGTAGAGTCAGGAAGGTTTTGCATGCTCAGTGGTGGCTTTAGTGATGCTGGTACTGTTAAAGCTGGGACCTTTGCTATAGGCTTATAAAAAGCAGATTTCCTGGCTTCTGAAAATACACCTGCTGTAGGATGTAGGAACCTAATTCAGTATAGAAAAGAGCATTCTCTGAAATCAGCAACCAGAAGTCAGAACACTATGGGGACAGGGTTTTAGGAACAGTCTAATATATGTCCCCCGAAGTTTGCTGGTTTTAATCTAGAGCCAATGCAAATGTTGGGAAGGTGGGAAGCCAGTTCCAGGAGTCTGCACCAGCAGGTTCTAAAGGGACTGTGTTTTAGTGGCTGTGAAGAGGATGGGGGCCAATGCTTACCCCATCTTTCTTAGGTGTAGCCCTTCATGAGGATATAAGAAAACCCTGTGGTTTCTGAGGCTCCACGTGCAGGAGGATGAAGTTGGAGGCAGGGGTCCATGTGGATTCCAGGCAAAATAAGGGGACACCTAACCAGGGGGTGTATTTGAAATATGGGGACCTGGGGGAAGCTGCTGCTCCTCCAGAAAGCCTCAGTAAAGAGTGCCCAGGGAAAACCAGACATTGCCTGTAGATAATCATGTGCATCTCCCAGTGGAGACCACCATACAGCAGAGGCCCCCAGCCTCAAATGGAAACAACCTGAGCAGAGCTGGGATGAGACTGCAGCAAGGGAGGGCCCAGGGTACAACATTCCAGGAGAGGCTCACTCCCAGGACTGGACAAGTGCTTGCACTTGTGCCCCCTTGGTCCTGGCCCTGGGAACCAGAGATTTCTGCCTCTCCCACTCTTCTGCCTGCTCCAGCACAGGGTTGGAGCCTCAGGGAGGAAGATTGGGCCTTGATAGACAACCCATTTCTCTCCTCCATCTTCTTGGAGCCACAGTTCTGGTATATGTAGATTTGAGCTTTAAATTGGATCTGAGCGTGAACTTTCTTGGACTATATATTAATAACAGAAAGGGTCTGAATAATAGTAGAATTGGACTAAGACATGATCAAAGGATTCACAGGAGTCACTATCAAATAAAAAATTTGAGAGGATTGATATTACATGGCTGAAAAGTTGACATTACAAAAAGCAAGTTTATATAAAAAGTTATTAAGGCTCTTCAAGAAAGTGGTTGCATATGACAGTGCTTCTGAAGAGGCAGGAAGAAGAAGGCATAGTAGAAAAGAGGTCAAGGAGGGAGACTTTCTGTTTTCCTCTCCTTAAAGTTAGTGGTCCTGTGGAGAAATTGAATATTCAACAGGCCTAGGTTTCTATCCTGGCTTCATTTACCTATAGCTGTGGAATTTGGATGAAGTGCTCAAGCCTTTGCTTCATAACTTGGAAGTAGCGCTAAGAATCCCTATTCCCACTCTATAGTACCGTTGTGAGCATAAAATGACATAGGATACATAATGCACTTGGCATTATGCTTAGCACCTAGAAGATGGACAACGCATGTTAGCTCTTTCCCTTGTCCTGGCCCCTATTTCAATGAAGAATGGAACTTTTCAGAGTACACATATGAGTGTTGTATGTGTTGGGTGTGTGTACTGGAGAGAAAACTGTCTGAGAGGTAATTCTGGAAAATATGGGACTGGGTGAGGAGGAACTCTAAATTTACGAAGAACACAACATGCTTCCAGTCTGTGTAGGAAAATAATCTGTTTCAAGAAACGTTTGAGCTGAGTGCTTAGGTTTAAGTGTCACTGAAACTATGAAAGCCCTGTGAAGCCTTACAAAAGTCATGTTGGGCACATAAAAGACATGCTACTTTCTTCAGTGGGTAGCAAATCTATGGACCTTAAGAATGGTATATGTGTGAAACTAATAAATAGCTTTCAAGATATATGGGCATAACCACAGAGGTTAGAATTGGAGCTGCTTTTTTTTTTTTTCAAGCTCGTTCTTAAGGAAATTTGTGATACATAGAGTAGAAATAATATCTTAGGAAGTTGACATCATGGAGGTCAACCTCATTTTCCTACCAGGTAGCTGTCAGGGAGATTGTCAAATCCTGGGCCCAGTGTCCCAAGGGAATTGTCCTTTATGATATTTTTGAAAATGTTCATGTGTATAACAAAATTCTAGATTTTCTCTGTGCTTTCCCGATTTCTGGAGGAAAACATTTCCTGCACTGAAACAGTTGCTTTTTGCCCAATCATTTTGTTTACATGAATAAAGAAATTAATTTATCTTGAGGTTTAGATTTGGAATTATCCCATATTTACCTCTGTCAACATTTTCATGGGAGGGAAGAGTAGTTACTATATTGGTCTTTCTTGGAAATCGAACACTCTTCTCATTATCATAATACTGGTATTTATGCTCTGGTATCAATGGATTTTTTTTTGCAGTAGAAATTTCCTTTTAAAGGTCTTTGTTCAGACATTTAAAATCCAGCCATAAATATTTCTCTGAAACTGGGCAGGGGAGGTTTAAATTATAGTCCTTTGAAAAAAAAAGAGAAGTAAAAAATTCCCCCCATCATATTGGAACACCGAAATGAGAGCACATTAGAAATGTATTTTAGGAAAAAAATAAAATATTCATATCAAATAAGGTTTTTGGTCATTTTTCAAAGTAAAGAAATGTGAGATACACATATTACCTCAGACCTAGTTGCAAAATGCATCAAATGTACTATTTATTAAATGTACTATTTCATATTTCATGAAATTAATAATTTTATGTTTTAATCTATCCAGTATTTCCTGGTTTACCAACACTTTACTTACATCATAATGAGTGAAGATAGGTATATTTTATGTAGGTATGTATGTGCAGTGAATTCACATCAAACTCAAAATCGGAAAAACAGGGGATCTAATAAATGCATGAGTGATATCAAAAGCACTCTCTGTACTATTTCTTTCCTAGATATGATTGGCAGTAGGACCTCTTGACTTAGTACATAAACACAGGTTATGGGGAAGAAAAGTGCTGGCATTTTACACAGTTTATCTTCCATTACTGTATTTAATTTTTGAAAGGACATTGGAATCCTTTGGGAATTCTATCACAGCCTGAAATTCTGCTACCAATTACACATTTTATTTCTAGTTGATTTAGTGATAAAATTTAATATGCCTTAAAATAATATTGGAAACTTGCAAGGAGAAGCACCCCTTCATAAATAGAAGAGATATATCCCTGAAAGAGTACGTTTACATCTTTAACTCTTTACAAACACCATTATTATGGTAACTAGATTATATTTGCTATCCTAGAATGTACTAGCAATGTAATTCCAGAGGACAGGGTTGGAGAGACTCTCCTAGGATTGAAGGGTTTGTGCCTGGGTGAGAGGTCATGATGGCTGGAGTAGGAGAAGCAGACTGGTATAGGTGGTAGCTGGGGAGAGAGGACTCTTCTAATGTGTACCTCAGTCTAAAAAGCTTGGAGCCAGTGGGGTTTTCCATGGTCCTACTCAGTAAAGATCTTCCTCCAATCATACATTCATACACACCTTGTGCTTCCAATGTTGGGTACCCCTAGATAAAGAGTAACATGGAAAGGAATGTTTGCAAACATTCATCCATCTACTTGGCTCAGTGAGGTTAAGGACGAAAATACTTCATGTGCAAGTGGACGTTTTTCCAACTGCCAATGAAAACTTCATTCCAGAGCAGACCAAAACACATCAGGGTTCATAACATGGATTTCTCAGCGTTTTTCACTGACTTCTTGGAAATTTTCTCCCTAGTAACCCCAAATGTGTTTCTTTTAACTTCTGTAAGGTTGAACTGAAAACTTTCTTGCACTCTCTTCAAACTCCAAACTCTTTTTCAAATAAATGCCAACACTAACGATCAGTTGTCAAAAGCAAATGGGCATAAACATGTAGATTCCATGATGGGGTTTAGGCATCATACTTTTAAAGGACAACAGGCCTTCTGTAGATGCTGTGTCTTATTTAGGCACCGGCATCTTGACTCTGGCTTTGTTCTTCTAGTTTTTAGTTTGATAAAAATTTACCAGAAAATAAACTATTCAAACATCTGACTAGGTCAACTAGAAAGTATAGCGGATGAACTGTAGAAGACAACACTCAAGAATTTATGACATTTCAGCCTTATTGTAACTTTCCAATTGTTTTAAACACAGTCAATGACTGAAGGCAGGCAGGTTAGTATGCTCAGTTGCTCGTGGTATAATAATTAGAGATGAGGCAGCCACTCTACTGGCCTATAGGAAGACTGTTTCCTACATCTCTTCGATATAATTATCTCACATTTCATAGACTGTAGTCTTTTCATCAGTGCAAGCCTGGTAATCCTGGTTGTAACTCACTGGAGCCTTTTCAAGCAGGAAGGGTGTACTTTAGTGGAAGGATGATTTACTAAGACGATGGTTTAAATCCTATTATGATTACTGGACTCCGATCTTTCTGAAATGCTCATAGCAATGAACTCTTCAAGAATCAACACCTTGGGTCATCAGAAAGTGTGTTCTACCCAAAAGTCTCTCATGGACTTTAAACAACAGACATATTAGTTTGCTGAACAGTCTATCAAAATGTCATATGGGCTCTCCTTTTAATAAATTAAAGTTACTATTTGTTTCTTTTGTGGACTTTTCACTGGGCATTGACTGGAGACCAAGCTGTAGAAACAGAGATGGCCTGCTATCAAATGATCATGCAGATTTGCACTGTGAAATCTCTACCAGAAACAGTGCCTGCAGAAATGACCTCTCAAAAGGCTATTAATCTAAAATATTGTAAAGCATAGTTGTATTTAGCTGCTATTCTTTTCAATTTATATTTAATGAGAATTTACTTCTCACCTTAATAAATAGAATTCAAAATTCATTAGCATAATAGAGACTCTTAACAGTCCTGCAGCGAAGAAATCTATTAAATTCTGTTTATCCCAGTGCTTTCCAATGTTATTGACTAGGGAAGACTTTTAGTACATTTGACTCATATTTAGATTTTAAAGAGATGGATGTTCCACAAAACACAATGTGGTAAGTACCAGTCTAAAGTGATTATTAATTTAAAAAAGTGTCCAATGCCTTCCATCTGAATGTTGTGATACCACTTTTAGCTAAAGTTGAAATCTTAATGAACAGTATACAAATAATTGCACTACAAATCTTCACCAGAACCTTCTAACTTTAAAATTTGGCTCCTACAAAAAACACAAATGAAATAATGTTTAGACAAGGCATGTCTCTATGTATTCTGGTTTGTATCTTGGATAGATTGAACATTTATATCACTGCACTGTGTTTAATAAATGTGTAGATAGGTATGGGCTAGGCAAATCTAGAACTATATAAATATCAATTACTTAATCTTAATAATAATACAATGAGATAAATACTCTCCTAATTTTATAGATGAGGAGCTAAAATATAGAGAGGTTAAATAATTCATCCAAGTCAATGTGGTAAGTGATAAAGCTGGGTTTTGACCCCATGCAGCTGAAAAACAGAGTACATGTTCCTCCCCACTAAGCTGTACTGGTGCTCTTGAGCATTTTCCCCAGATTGATAATGTTCCCACACAGCTCTTCCTCTCTCATACATTCATATTAATCTGGATCTTTGTGATTGGGAGCAGCAAGTCAGCAGTCTTCCAGCAGAAGAGGAAGGAAGTCAGTGAGGTGAACTCAGCATAAGCCTCACACCTTTCATCTTGCTGAAGTTGAATTCTAATATTATGATGGTAACTTTTACCAATATTTCCTTTCTGATTTCCATCACTTTTTTCCTGGAGTTTAAATGTGGATTGTGTTCTGCCTCTTTATCCAATTAGCCAGAGAGGAAGAAAGGCCGAGTAGTTGGGAATAAGACTCAGTGAGCCAAGTTCTAATTCTTGGTCTGCCACTAGTAAGGTGGATGACGTAAGACAAGCCACTTATCCTGTCTGAGCATCAGTTCTCTCATCTGTAATATAAGAAAGTTGAGCTAAGTAGCTTTCAAGACCTGCTCCAACTTATAATTATATACATAGCATGTACTGTCAAACTGTTTTTTTTTTTTCATTAAAGATGATGAGAACTAGAAAGTCACTGAGCAATGTGGCTTTTCCTGTAAGTTTGTGCTCCTTGGAGTGTGTATAGGGAAAAATTCTCATTTCCTTTTTATTCACATACAAAACTTCTGGCCAGCAATTGGGTAGGATTTTTTTCCCCCTGCACCAACCAGTTCTCCAACACCAGCTGGGTATCCTAAAAATTAACTCAATTCTGACACTAACTGCCCAGTGTTAGCACAGAGCCCACTGTTTAAGGAGTTAGTCCTACAAGGCTGCCCCCACTTCAGATGCCAATTGAAAGTGGTGAGTTCCCAGGTTACCCACAACTTCTGCTGGATGTGACTACAAAATATCTGCTTTCACAACCTCCCCTCAGGTTTTCTCATTCACTAGACCAGCTTACAGAACTCAGTAAAGCAGTTTGCTTACTAGATTATTGGTTTATTATAAAAGGATACAGCTAAGAAACAGCCAGATGGAAGCTATGTATAGGACAAGGTATGGGGGAAGGCGCATGGAGCTTCCATGTCCTCTCTAAGCATGCCACCCTGCCAATACCTGTCCGTATTCAGCAACCCAGAAGCTCTCCCAACCCCATAGTTCAAGAATTTTCATGGAGGCTTCATCATATGGGTATGATCACTTATAAATGCAATCTCTTCTCCACTTTCTGGAGGATGGGGGTTGAGGCTGAAAGTTCCAGGCTTCCAATTATGGTCTGGTCCTTCTGGTGATCAACTCCCATCCAGGAGCCCACCAAGAGTCACCTCATTAGAGCAAAAGATGCGTCCAGTACCCCCTTTCTGTTTCTCAAGAAATTATGAGAGCTTTAGGAGTTCTGTGCCATATATTCATTTGCGTGTGTGTGTGTATGGATAATGTCACAAGTAGATTGATGAATTACATGGTTAAGAAAATGCCCTCAATAGGGATACTGTGATTGGGAGGTGACTCTGAAGGTCCTTGCTCCCTCCCTTCTTGCAAATAAGCTTCTCCACAGTGTTGTAACTATTCAAGATAAATACACAATCTAGGATCATGCAAGTTAAATACAAATCTAGGATCCCCCCAAGTTGTGAGCCTATGAATAAAGAACTGTATCTTATTCATCACAATATTGCCAATAGTATTTAGCACAGTGTGCTGCACATAGTAGGATGCAACAATAATGGGTAAGTTAAATTGAACTAAATTGGGAGATTTGCTTGATTAAGCATTTAGTTGGTGATGTCTATTGGGAAGCCAACAGTGTGGGCAGCACAAGCAGCCTGAGGGGTGACATAAAAGAGGGGGTCCTGACTCTTGACATCCTTAGAGTTTGGTAGTCAATTTAATGAAGAGGATATTTATGTCTGATGCAATATTTACTGGACATGTGGTTTGCTCTCATTTTCTCATTAAAAAAAGTCCACCACAAAAGAAATCAAAATCTTGGTAAGGTTGTTGAAAGTTAAAGGAAAAACTATCACTCCAAATATGAAATTAGGATGTTAGGGTGGAATATCGAAACGTTCCCATGGAATAGAGAGCTCAAGACACATGCCCCAGGGTATGACAGGATCTAGTCCCAGAATATTTCTACTCTTCAAGGCAAACAACCCAAAATGATGTACTTCCTCCACCATCTGACATTAATGAGATTTAAGAGGCTATGACTTATTTAATAGCTCTCATAGTAACCAATGAAAAACATCTGGCACCACCTACAGAGAAATAAAACCTTAGCTTCTTGGGCATAGTCCAATAGAACATTTAGTTTAGTCAAAACCTCTGAAAAAAAAAAATGAGATCAGATAATTTTGGAAATAGTGGAAGTATCTCTTTCAAATGAAGAGGAATTAACTGTAAATCTACATTTTCTTACTGAAAATTGGAGTTTATTAGTATAATTCATCAAATTAGGAAGCAAAATTGATTAGAATTATTTGATTGAAACTACATTGATTAAGGAAGTAAACAAAAGCTACAAATCTAATCATGAACAAACAGCATTCCACATGGGAAAATGCTGGATTGGCATTTAGAAAATAGTTGATTTTTATAGCAGTTCTCATTTAATATCCAGAATTATGAAAATTAACTAAACTTTGACTTAAACATATAACACTTGATAAATGTATCTTAATAGTGTCTGAAGAATGCTAGTAGTTTCCTAGGAAAATAAAAATAGGTGAAGTGAAAGTAGAACAATAATCTTGGCCACTTGCTCAGTTTAGATATTTAATTTGAATAATTCAGGCAAGAATCATCCCACTGTGATATCAATAATGCTGTGATTCCCCCACAACACCCCCTGCCATGTGCAGATTTAGCCTTTATGGATGAAGGAATATGAAGCATTTGTTTTTAGAAAATAAAATGCTGCCCTTTTGCTCAAAACATTTTCCCCTGGAGAGCCTCTACAGATCAAACATATTCTTTTTCACAATTGAACCAATCCTTGCAAAAGCTGTGACCACAGTTTTTGATTTATTTTGGCCTGTGATGAAAGGCAAGCACTTTCAAAACGATTCAACCAATGGCTCTCACTAGGGAGAGCACCCCGGGTGGAAACACAAAAAAAACATTTTGAAGAATGGTGCAAATATGTTCTCTGTTAAAATGCACTTTCTGTTGGGATTCTACCATTTGAAAACATTTGCAATGTCTTGCAGAATTTAAAAATATTTACAGTCATTTTGTGCCTAACCGTACTATACAGTCAGCTACTTTCAGGTCTTTGAAATCTACTTAGAGTCATATCTTCCAATTCAGGCTGGAAACTATTCTCATGCAGGCAGAGTTTTGCTCCTTTACTAACATCTATATAGCTATCATGTGCTGTCAGAGATTCTGTCCAAATGCATCCTTTATATGACCACTTGTGCTCCACCTTAGCCCATGATAATAACACCTCGCTTAAACAACTGCAGAGGCTCAGAAAGGATCTTTCTACTTTCACAGTTTCCCTCCTCTAAAGTTTACCTTCCCATGAGAGCCAGGTTTTCAAACTTAAATAATTTCTCATTACTCTCCAACACTTTGCATCACACTTGCAATAAAACTCAAATTCCTCACAAATCCACGCCAAAGGGCATGATTTTGCCTCTGCCTCTCAGACCTCATTTCCACTCTCTTTGCTTACTCTGCTCTACATACTCTGGTCTTCTTTCTGTTTCTTGAAACATGCTAAGCAAGTTTCTGCCTCAACACCTTTTCTGCTCACTCAGCCTGGAGCCCTGTTTCACCAAGAATTCACCTGGCTCATGTCCTCACTTCCTTAGGTTTCTGCTCAATGACACCTCTTCAGAGAAGCGTTTCTCAACCTCCTTGCCACTCTCTAGTCCCTTATCCTGCTTTATTTTTTTCAAGCACATACCACTACTTGAGATACAATTTATTCATCTGTTTTATTGTCTGTCTCCTAAACCAAGATAGAAACCCTTTGAAGGCAGGGACTTTATCTGTTCTGTTTATTACGATATTCACTTCACATAATAGGTTTTGAAAAAATGTTTTCAATGAATGAATTAATGATTCTACCTCTAAGATTTCCTCAATGCTTGTACAGATGGTCCCCAGTTTATGATGGTTGACCTTATTTTTTTTTATTTTATGGTGGTACCAAGTTGATACACATTTAGTAGAAATTGTGCATTGTGTACCCATACAACCATTCTGCTTTTCACTTGCAGTTCAGTATTTGATACATTATGTGAGATATTCAATACTTTATTTTTAAATAGGTTTTTTCTTAGGTGATTTTGCCCAAGTGTAATCTAATGTAAATGTTCTGAGCACATTTAAGGTAGGCTAGGCTAAGCTATGATGTTCGATAGGTAAGGTGTATTAAATGCATTTTGACTTACAATATTTCAAGGGTTTATCAGGATGTAATCTTATTGTAAGTCAAGGAGCATCTGTATTAGTTTTCTAGGGCTGCCGTGACAAAATACCACAAACTGAGTGGCTTAAACGACAGAAATTTATTGTCTCATAATTCTGAAGGCTAGAAGTCCAAGACCAAGGTGTCAATAGGGTTGTTTTCTCCCAAGGGATGTCAGGAAATAATCTATTCCATGCTGTTCTCCCAGCTTCTGGGTATTGACTGGCAATCTTTGGTGTCTCTTGGCTTGCAAGAGCATCACCCCTATCTATTCCTTCATGGTCACATGGCTTTCTCCCTGTGTGCATGTCTCTGTCCAAATTTCCCATTTTTATGAGGTTACCTCTCATATTGGATTAGGGCCCATTCTACTCCTGTGTGACCTCTTCTTAACTTAATTACATCTACAACAACTCTGTTTCCAAATAAGGTCAATTCTGAACTACTGGGTGTTAGGACTTTAATATATGAATATTGAAGGTCAGTATTCTCTAGAGAAACAGAACGAATAGGATATATACACACAGACACACACACACACATCCTCATATATATGTATGTATGAGGAGACTTATTATGTGAATTAGTTGATGTAATTATGGGGCCTAAGAAGTATAATGATATGCCATCTGGAAGCTGGAGAGGCAGGAAATCCAAGAGTATAATTCAGCCTGAGCCTGAAGGCCTGAGAACTAGGAGAGCTGCTGGTATAACTCCCAGCCTGAAGCCAAAGGCCTGAGAACTGGAGTAGAGGTGGTGGTGGTGGTGGTATTAGTCCTGCAGGCCAAAGGCCAGAGAACCAGGGGCTCTGATGTCCAAGGTCAAGAGAAGATAGATGCCCCAGTGCCATTCCTCTGCCTTTTTGTTCTTTTTGTTTTGTTGCCATACATTTTACTTTTACATGCATTGGGTTCTCAATGAATTGAATATGTTGCCCATATTGGTCAGAGCAGATCTTCTTTATTCAATCTACTGATGCAAATGCTAATCTCTTCCAGAAACACCCTTATAGATACATCCAGAAATAATTGTTTTACCAGCTCTCTGAGCATCCCTTAGCTCAGGCAAATTGACACACAAAATTAACCATCACAAGGGGTTACAATTCAACCCCTAATAATACCCCTAGTACTGTGATCTGGCATGAGACTCTAACTATCTGATAATTAACCCTTGCTTTGCAAATGAACTTTGCAGACAGTCTGTGGGTGAATTGGGGATTGTGCTTGTACTTTAGTGTCTCTAGCACCTCAGTTGTTGGAGACAATGATTGGTTTTTCTTCTGACAAGAGTTGTTTATCATCTATGGGGATGGAATTACTCTGATCCAGCCTCACTCAGACACAAGGAGCCCTTTGAACAGGCATGTGCATTTATAAGATTGCTAGTCAATCAGTGACCATGGAAGGAAGCACTAAGAGTCTTCTGCAGATCTACAAGCTGAGGTTCTTTGGCACCAAATTTTAATAGCACAGTAATAGCTTATAATAGAGAGTATATTTGCCCATCTGGGGCTAATTCACAAAAGGCATGTAGCACAATTGCATAGTGTGTATTAAGCACATGTGAGCTGTTATTTGCAGTTTACAAAGGGCCTTCACAGAAATTAATGTGTTTATTCTAAGAAGTTGCTTGGGTGATCATTAATAACTTCATTTGTCACACAGATATGAGCTAGGTATGAGTGCCTTGGGGACAAACACTGAATCTTATTCATGTTTTTAACTCTAGCATATGGTATTTAATAGAAAATTCTTAAATTGAGTAGATAGGTTTCAGTAGGTTAGCTAGTTAGCTAGTTAAAGATAGTGCCAGTAAGGTTATTCTTGGTCATTGTCTGACCATTTGCTTGTGTTCTGCTCCACAACTACTCCAACAATTCCAGTGATTTCTTTGAACAGTGTCTGGGTCATTGTAGGCACTTAAAAACTTGTTAAATAAATTAAATGAATAAGCACTTTTTAAAATAAAGAGGCAGCGTAAAGTGAAATTAGGTACATGAAACTACATAAATACACCATGGATAATTTGGAAAGAGTTCAATATCATGTCCCAGAGATGGTGCATCACCTTCAGGGCAGTAAAAAGCTAGTAAAAGTCTAACTTTGTGAACTATGGAAAATAGCTGGAAAACTTTTTTTTTCACTCAACACAAACTTCTAATGGTCCAGAGATTTTAAGATGAGAACTGTGGATCTTTTCCAACCCCTTTATTTTAACATATGCCATTATATTTTAACATGCCATTATATTTAACATATGACATTATACGGACTTCCTACTTTCTTAATCAATCTGGCAATCTCTTTCTTTTAATTGGGTGTTCAGAGCATTTAAGTTTAGTGTAATTTTTAATATAGTTGGATTTAAATATATAATTTCTTTCTCTTCATTATTTCTTTGTTCCTGTCTGCTTTTGGATTACTATTTTTTATTTTGTTTTGTCTTCATTATTTATTTATTTATTTATTAGTTTTTCTTCTTATAAGTAGTGATTGCCTCGTAAGGTATACAATTGATAACTTTAATTTATCAAGTTCCACTTTTAAATAATGTTATACCAATTCTTGTATAGTGTAAGAGTCTTAAATTAGTATACTTTCAACACCCCCTCCCAACTTTTGTGTTATTGTTGTCATATATTTAACTTATGTATGTTATAAACCTCACAATATATTGTTATTATTTTTGCTTTAGAACATCAATTAACTTTAAGAATGATTAAAATAAGAAAAATCTTTTATATTTATCTTCAGTTTTTACCATCTAGAGCTTTTTATTTCTTTATATAGATTCAAGTTTCTGCCTGGCATCATTCCTTCTTCCTCAAGAACTTCTCTTACATTTTTCTTATAGTGCAGGTCTGCGTGCAATGAATTATCTCATATTTTATTTGTCATAAAAAGTCTTTATTTTTATTTATGAAACCCTCATTTTTCAAAGGCATTTCCATGAAAGATGGTATTCTGGGTTGACAGTTGTTTTTTTTTTCTTTCAATACTTTAAAGATGTTATGTCATTGGCTTTATGGTTATATAACTTCTAATGAGTCTGCTGTAATTATGATTGCATCTCTGTATGTAATGTTCTTTTCTCTTTGACCATCTTCAAGATTTTCTCTTTATCTTTAATTTGCAACAGTTTGAATATGCATTTTTTTGTTGTTTTTATCTTGTTTTGGATTCTCTGGTCTTCTTGGATCTTTAGTTTAATATCTTAATTTTTGGAAAATTATCAGCCAAAAGTTCTCTTCACATATTTCTTCCACCCTGTTCTCTTTCTCTTCCTCTTCTGAGACTCCAGTTATAGATATGTTAGACTGTTTAATATTATTCACAACTCTTGGACTCTTTGTTCTGTCTTTTTCACTCAGTTCTCTCTCTGTGTTTCAGTTGGGCTATTTCCTACTCACCTGTCTTTAAGTTCATTGAGTTTTTCCTCAGTTATGTTCAGTCTACTGTAAGCCTGTTAATACAATTCTTCTTCTTTTTTTTTGTTTCTAGCATCTCTATTTCTCTTTCTTATGGTGACTCTGTTAAAATTCTCCCATATATTCATGTATATTTCCACTAGATTCTTTAAAATATTTATCCCAGTAATTTTAAACTTCTTTTATGATCTAATATTTGGGTGATCTCTGAATTTGGTTCTGTTGATTTCTTTGTCATTCGACAATCAATTGCTTTTCTTGCCTTTTTATGTATCTCATCATTTTTTATTAATTGGTATACATCATTGTAGAACAGTAGAGGCACAGGAAAATATATTTATGCCTGGAAATGGTCTCACCTCTTCTTCTTCCAAAACGTGTGTGTGTGTGTGTGTGTGTGTATGTTGGGGGGGATATTGAGTCAATGTAGTGAGAAGTTCAGCAGGGTTTTGTTGTTGTGATGACCACCTTCAGTGTGCCACAGTCTTCAATCCCACTAGCATTGGGCTGCTGTTGCCTGGTACATAGATTGGAAGCGGGGGAGCCAGAGGGTTTTTTTCAGCACTAGTACTTCATCTTCCACTTTTAGCCATCCCTGCATACCTATATAGCACAGAGGGTAGATCTCCATGCTCCTGCCTCTCCTCCAGTGGTAAGCTGCTGTTGCTTGCTGCTCAGTGTTTGCTAGGTTGATGGTAGAGGGCAGAAGGTTTGCTACTCTCCTGGTCAAGCATTTTAATCAGAGCCTGTGCCTCATGGATTTAGCTTTCTCATCATCTATGTCTTTCCTTCCTGTAGCAGCCAAACTCTGTCTTGTATATGTAGCAGGTTTTATATGATAGAGTGGTTCTTATGTGGGACAGCAGTAAGAGACCTCTGATGATATCAGTATGGCATTCTGGAATCAGGACCCTTTCCTGCTCTTCCTCCTGGAGTAGAGGTGTTTTTTGTTTTTTCCTTCTGATGGATGTTTACCTGTGTCCTGAAAAGACAGGGGTTGTGTCCCCTCCCAGTGGATTATGGCTTTGCCTCATATGAGAAAAGGTTCTGGGTAGAAGAACAGAACAGATCTTATGTATTCCTGCAGTGGCAGCTTATCCCTTCCTGCATACCTGCATAACTGAGGGTGATTTCTTTGGTTTCTCACCCTGTACTCAATCTTATTAGCACTCAATGGAGGGCTATGGAAAATGGCCTGTGAGAGTTAATTCCTTTGTGTTTGGGGGCTCACAAAAATTTTATGTGGTCATACTAGCCCACACTTGGTCTTTAGCATTTGTGAGAATTTCAGCAGATTTCTTTTTACTTCCTTGGACAGTGGTCGGTGCATCTTTCTGCCCTGCTGAGCCTGTCTGCATAGCCTATCTCTTCTTGGGGGTGCCTACTCGCCTTTGCAATTCAGGCTACTTGGTTACTCTGCAGCATCAGCTCTTCCAAGGCTCAAGAAAAGTGGTGGTTTTGTAGTCTACCTGGTGTTTCTTTGCTGTTAGGGTGGGAGTGACACTCCTTTCAGCTTTCTATATCCTAAGCAGTAACAGAACTCCTCTATATCCTTTATTTTACAGAAGCACAGCACAACCATGCAACTCAATCATGTTGCCATTAGAAAGTGACACAACTAAAACTAGAACCTATGTCTTCTGCTTCCTAGTAAGGCTCTAGCGATTATTCTAACACACCTAGGATCTTTCCCTTCCTCCCATCTGAGTTTTTTTCCTCTCTCTCTTTCTCTCTCTGATTCACATCTCATATTTCATGATCAAATTTCCTCCAACGTCAAGCCCTTGGTCTTCTTCCTCTCTGTGTTTTCTGTGTGGGACATTTTAGTCATTCTCACGACCTCAGTTATCATCTCCATACTGATTGCCTAAAACATCCATTTAAATCTTTATTTCTAATCCATACATGATATTTCCACGTGTTAACTAAATATATCTAGATGGCTGTAATTTCACCCTCTCAGATTTAACAGCTACTGAACCAAATATTTAACCTCTTAATTCCCCTGCCTTTCCTACCTCCCAATTTCCAGATCAGTGCCATTTGCTAACCCTATTCTCCTGTCAGTGGTACTAGGGATACCCTCCTTCTCCTGGTGCTTTGGAATCGCAATTTAGGACCCATCTTTTATAATTGACTGCTTATCTATACCTGCAAATCCTTATAATAAAATAACGGCATTTCCCTCTGACCTTGCCTTCTTATCCCTTCTCTCTTCCATGTAGTTTAGGTCCTTTTTGCCTTATTACAGATTATTGCCACAGCATCTTAAATGTATCCATGGCCTATATTCTTTCTTCCGTCCAATTTCTGTTTCCTTACCTTTCCTTCCCTTCCTCCAGTTGCTAAGCATCCACAACATATACAGCTTCCTGAAAGATAGCTTTGTCTCATCACTTTTTGGTTTAAGAATCCGTAATAGCTCAATGTCATTTTGTGGGTAAAATCCCAAAATCTCACATTTCAAAATTCTGGCCCTCTATCTACTCAATATCATGTCTATTAACCTAGTGTCACTTTTTACTCTGCCTATTGGAGTCACTTTAGAGTCTACTTTTCTGAATTCTCCCCAACCTCAACGCTCCATCTCACACACACACACAATGTATGAAGGCGCATAAATACTTACAGAATTATTGCTGACACTCTCAACTACTGAAAACAAACAGCTTTAAATATCCAATTTACTATGTGTGTCTAAATATAGGCATAATGAAGTTTCCTTTTATTGGACTGGCACAGTCATGACAATATGATTCTTTGTCACAGAAATATTCTACAAGTGAATAGTTAGTTTTGGAAAAAATATGCCATAAGGAAGAGCATCTTGATTTTCAGTGAGGAACAGTAAGTGTACTGATTATATTTAGATTTATATTCCTACATTTATTTTATAGCTGATTTAAGAAGCCTTCTCTTAGACATACCAATATGATGTTTAAATGAAAAATAGATGAGGAAAATGATTCCCAGATGGAAGTGCCTCTTTAAAATTTTGTTTTGGTCATTTGAATGAAGATTGTGTACCAAGAAGCAGAATGTCAAAGATTATTTGAAACCTGTCAAAAAGAATTACTGGCTGTTTGAGACTTTCGTTTTCTGGATGACTTAGAGCGGGGTCACTGGGCCTGGTGGTAAATCTTGGCTTGTTTGATAACTTGATTCTTTATATATTATTCCAGATGTCTACTCCTCGGAATTATTTTATATAGGAAGGGATGGGGAGAGAAAAAGCAGTGATGAAACTAGATGGAATTGTTTAGATAGAAAGAATTCCATTTAAGTGTAATTCCCCTGATAGCATTAATTTGGTAGAAACCCTGGTACATGACCTGCTCCTAACCTTATATTGAGCAGTCAAAGATAGCTTTTAAAAAAGCATTGTCAATTCTAAGCTGCAATAGCTCTGTTTGCCACCAACAATGGTACCTCATATCCTGTGTGGAAAGTAACTAATAAGGGCCTGATTGAAGTTTTGACTTCTATTACTTCAGCCATGGTGGAGTCCCCTGAGGATGGGTGGGAAATGCCACTAAGACCTGAGTTGCTCTGTGCCGGATTTCTGAATTTTTACCCTTACAGCAGTATTGCTGCTCAGATTCTAATAACATTTGTGTGTGTCAGTGCTTGTCCCCAATAATGCTCAAGCATTACACAGAAACGGCATGTGGAAGTTCACATTCGTCATTGCAGGACTGTGCTAGCAAACATTGGTAATTCATTTATTCCCTCCTCCCTTTTAATATCCCCTCCCTCCCTTCCTCCCTCCTTCCCACCCTCCGACCTTTTCCTTCCTTCCTTCCTTCCTTCTCTCCCTCCCTCCTTCCATCCTTCTTTCCCTCCTTCCTTCCTTTTTTCATTCCTTCGTCTTCTCTGTCTCTCTTCCTCTCCCGGCTTCCTTTCTTCTTTCCTCCCTTTCAAAAATAGGTATTTTAAAAATAGTATATTTTGCCTTAAATCAGCTGCCCAAACCATGATTAAAAGTTGGTTGTTTTCTTTTTTGGCTGCCTTCATTCTTTCCTCTTTTAAAGCTTCTCTAGAGTATAAAGATGGCCAGATGAGGACAGAGTGGGGGAAATAGTGTAGAGAAGGAAGGAAATGTGGGATAGCAGACAGTAACGCAAAGGTTAATTGAGAGGTGTAACAGCCAAATATGAGAAGGGAAAAGTAAATTGACGTTGTAAAGAAAAAAATAGAAATGATAAACGAGTGAAAGACTTCATCCAATGATTTATGATGAGACCTCTTAATATGCAAACACTTCAGTTTTATTTTCTATACAATGGGAATGCTATTCTTTCTTGGTAAAACACTCTTTGATATCTATGTATTATAGTCAGTTTTCAATAGCAAATCATTAAGCTTTTTTTTTTTTTTTTTAAAAAAACAGATTTCTAATGAATTCCAGTGTCAGTTATTTTCTCTGTATATTGGAAAATATTGATTATTCAAAAATCACCCTGGGCCTTTCTGGCTAGTTCATGATAATACATTTCTCTCTTTGGCCTCTCAGGTTATAAATTTAATAAGTAGACAAATCTTAACAATTGTGCCTTTTGCCGTTTAGCTTTAGCGTGCATGTACATGCTCCAGAAATATGTAAAGCCTTTTGGATTATTAAACTTTTAGAAAATTATTAAAGTATTATTACTATTATATGTATTTCATTACCCTTTATAAGCCAACTTGAAAGGGCAAGGCTTGAACCATCTACCTGTAGGTCCACCTTCTGGTTGACCTTTTGTAAACTGTTTCGTAAGATAGATTCAAAATAAAGGGATGGAAGAAAATTTTAAAAAATTTACCAAGCAGATGGAAAACAAAACAAAGCAAAAAGGCAGAGGTCACAATTCTAGCTTCTGATGAAACAGACTTAAACTAACAAAGATGAAAAAATATAAAGAGACCAGGTGTGGTGGCTCTCACCTGTAATCCCAGCACTTTGGGAGGCCGAGGCGGGTGGGTCATCTGAGGTCAGGAGCTCAAGACCAGCCTGGCCAACATGATGAAACCCTGTCTCTATTAAAAAAAATACAAAAAATTAACCAGGCATGGTGGTGGGTGCCTGTAATCCCAGCTACTCAGGAGGGTGAGGCAGGAGAATCACTTGAACCTGGGAGGCGGAGGTTGCAATGAGTCAAGATCACCGCACTACACTCCAGCCTGGGCAACAAGAGTGAAACTCTGTCTCAATAATAATAATAATAATAATAATATTAAAGATGAAGGGCATTACATAATGATAAAGTGTTCAATTTAACAAGAAGAGCTAACTATCCTAAATATATATGCACCCAATACAGGAGCACCCAGATTCATAAAGCAAGTCTTTAGAGACCTACAAAGAGACTTAGACTCCCACACAATAATAGTGGGAGACATCAACACCCCACTGACAATATTAGACAGATCAAGACAGAAAATTAACAAAGATATTCAGGACCTGAACTCAGCTCTGGATCAAACAGACCTGATAGATGAATACAGAACTCTCCACCCAAAACAACAGAATATACGTTATTTTCATTGCCACATAGCACATACTCTAAAACTGATCACATATGGGAAATAAAACACTCCATAGCAAATGCAAAAGAAATGAAATAATAACAAACAGTCTCATAGACCACAGTACAATCAAATTAGAGCTCAATATTAAGAAATTCACTCAAAATCATACAAC